>NC_000023.11:104962542-105587542 GCF_000001405.40 Homo sapiens
AATGTGCGTAGCTAAAGGTGCAATGCACTAAAGGTGCAATGCTAAATATACTTACTCTAAGGAAAAGGAGGACACTTTAAGGCTGAAACTGGGAGAATTTTATTCTTTATGTATGTCATTAGGAATTTCCTTTCCTGGGAGAAGACACATCAACACCTCAGTGTAGGGACATTGGAAGGTGCCTTTAAAAAAGACATTAGTTGTGCCTTTTAAATTGCTTCTCTCCACAATTCCAGGGTGATTCTTCAATCTCTGCCTTTCTCTTCATAATTCACTCACCTTCTCTGGGCCTCTGCTTCCCCTATTTGGACAATGAGGCTGATGCTATATGCTCTGTCTAATAGGAGCGTTGGATGGCTGTTATCTCATTTTTTTCTGTCTGGTTAATAGTTACACAAATGCTAGGCATTATTTTGGTTATTGTTAGTGGTCGTCAATATTTACCTGGGTTTCTTCATCCCTGAGAGGGGCTAATAGTAACCAGTTCGTCCCATTACATGCCTCCGCCTGACAGAATTAAAGAACTCATAGTCCTTGGGATCTCAGCAGTCAGATATCAAATAGTTTCCCTAATCAAGTAGTATTTTATTAGTGGTAACCATGGTATTTCAGAAGTGAGATCTGGATTTAATTGAGCTATGATAGAGTTTTCCAGGTTTTAGTAGGGATAGATTGAGCTTTCCTTTTAAACATTATAAAAATATATTGTCTCCACATTATTTTAATTAGGAAAAATTTGAATAGTCTTAAGGTAGTACTTAATACTTACATTTGATCTTCCAACCAAGGAGGTTTCATCATAAATGTAGTTATTCATATGTAATCACATCTCACATAGTAATGATATTTACATAACAAGAAATAATTTTCTTCAGGAAAGTTGAGTATGTCCTGCACACATCAGTATGGCATTATGGAAAACATTCTGACATCTAGGCATTTCTCATTGACATTAATAGGGTCAATATCCTCACCTGTCACCACAAATTAGAAGTCACCCCTGGATCTTGTTGTGCCCTGAGGGTAGTAAATAGATTTCCATGCCCCAGACCCAAATAAAATATCACCAGTATCTTTTCTCTTCCTTGGCTCAGGTAGTATACGTCCTGAAACAGATGACAACTTTAAGTTTGGAATACCAATTGGGTCAGAAGATAAACAAAGTGCCTCATTTTTTGACTCATCCATGCTTCCTCCACCTCCATACAAGTATTTTTGACACCAAGTTTCTTTTAATCCTTCTTTAAGAGATTCTTCCTATAAGATTAAAAAAATAAGCAGAGTACCTTTCCAAATAACAAAACATAAAGGTAAGTATCTTGCAAGTACATAGGATTCATTTTCTGAATATAGTATAACTTAATAATAGGATGTGCGTGTGTGTGTGTGTGTGAGAGAGAGAGAGAGAGAGAGAGAGGGAGATAGATTATGCAATCAGATATGACCCTTTATGGATCTATGATTGGTTTACAGGTACTTTTCATGACCTATGAGATCTGATGGTGAGCACATGTTACTCAAAATTCATTGATCAATTCAGGAAGCATTTGAAAATTGCCCAATAACTGCTTTTCAGAACTAATATCCATTTATATTCATTTATTTCAACCAATTCCTAAACAAAAGCTTCAGAGAAAAAAATCTCCTTTGTCTTTGCCTGAAAAATATGTGTAATTGTTGACTTGTCATTTTATATTGTGTTACCTGCCTTTATCATGGTACTACATTGTGCCAGGGATTTATTTATTTATTTATTTATTTATTTATTTATTTATTTTATTTATTTTGAGATGGAGTCTCGCTCTATTGCTCAGGCTGGAGTGCAGTGGTGTGATCTCGGCTCACTGCAAGCTCCACCTCCTGGGTTCACGCCATTCTCCTGCCTCAGCCTCCCGAGTAGCTGGGACTACAGGCGCCCGCCACCACACCTGGCTAATTTTTTGTATTTTTAGTAGAGACGGGGTTTCACCGTGTTAGCCAGGATGGTCTCGATCTCCTGACCTTGTGATCCACCCGCCTCAGCCTCCCAAAGTGCTGGGATTACAGGCATGAGCCACCGTGCCCAGCCGATTTATTTCTTATGTACCCAAGAAAAATAAGAAATAGCTCTCTGCCCCTCTCTCTATCCGAATTAACATCAAAGACAAACAGATATGATTTACAGATACTAGTTGGTTTAGACAATATGGTGTACTAGATGTCCTAGAAACCCTTATGATAAAATGCCTAGAAATACTGGGAAACATATAAAAAAGTTTTTTTTTCTTTTTTTTTAAATCAGAGAAAGGGTCTTGCTCTACTGTTGCCCAGGCTGGAGTACAGTGGTGTAATCATAGCTCACTGCAACCTTGACTTCCTAGGCTCAAGTGATCCTCCTGCATCAGCCTCCCATAGCACTGGTATTACAGGTGTGAGTCATCATGCCCAGTCAAGAAACATTTTACAAAATGCATACCTGCTTTCATAAGAAATTCAGGGAAAACAGCCAGAGGCACACCAAAAGAAGGATCTGCAAACTGAAGTACTAAGGTAACAGTAAACTTGCAGTTGCCCTGGGAATATTTTTCTATCTCAGTTATCTACCACCTTGGATTTTAGTGGGCTCATAAGGAACAGGAGATGAAGCCTTGTTTCTATACATGGTGTTGATTTGGGATCGTGATTGCCAGTTGAATCTCCTATCCACATAGAAATAGTGGACTAAAAGGTATATATATGGCCAAGAATAAAGAGAAACTAGAAGTATATTAGTTTGTCTTGGCCTGGGCTCTGTGAGGTAAAAATTGTGAAATGTGAAAATGTATATATGTAGTCTGCCTTCATGTAAATAAGGATCTTAAATCTGCAACATCTCATGTGATCCTGGAAACTTTGAGCAAAGAAATTAACTTAAAGTAATTCCAGATTTGTATCACCACAGGACTCTTGTATGATGCAAAAGTCAACTCTTTCTGAAGGATTTTATCCTAACAGGTCTTGTAGGATTCTTAAACATAGAGCCCCCATGAACATAAATTCACAATCCAAAGTTATAAAACTGACACTGAAGTAGTGTCAGAAGAAACTACAGAACAGCGTATTTGACCTTTAAGAACTTCAGATACTGAAATTATCAAATATTAGATTTAACATTTATATTTAAAGTATATAAATAAGAATCAGAAACATGAATGAAGGAGAAGATACAATAAAATGGTGAGATATATTTGCAGAAATATCAAATGTATTTTACAGAAATGAAAAATTCAGTAGATGGATTAAACAGAAGATTAGGCATAAAGAAAGAATGAGCTATAAGAAAAATCTGGAGAAACTGTCAAGGTGCAGTTCAGAGAAACAAACTCATGAAATATATAGGAAGCATGGAAAATAAAATGAAAAGATTTATCATATACCTAGAGTTTCAAATGTAAAGAAAAAGTAAGATTAGGAGAGAGGTGAGATCCAATGAGAAAATGACTGAGAATATTCTAGAATTAATGAAAGACATAGCTTCAGAGTCAGGATGCATAATGTATATAATGCAGGAAAAATAAATCATCACCTAGGTACAGAATAATAAAACCACAGAACAGCAAAAGCAAGAAAGAATATAAATTTAAATAAATAGCAACTCAACCTCCATCTCCAAATGAAGTGAAGGAGAAGAAACTAAATATAGAAAAAGTTTGGTAAGTGGAAAACACCAAGTAAATTGGTGAAAAATATCAGTAATCACAGTAATATAAATGGACTAATGTGACAAATTGAAAAAGTAATTGTTAGATTAGACTTTTAAAACATGCTACTTATCAGACTTTTCTAAAATATAGGGGCAGTAGAAAAATTGAAAGTAAAAGGATGGATAAATATTTGTCAGGCAAATACTAATGCAAACGTTACATATTTTCATAGCTATATTATATTTCAGATAAAATTGACCTTAAGGTTAAAAAAGAAGCATACTAGGAAAAAAAGAAGTCTTACATAATGACTGAGAATTCAATTCACTAGGAAGTTCTAACAGTTCTGAATTTGTATTTACTTAACAATACAGTCTCAAAATACATGAAGTAAAAACTGACTGAATAACAGGAAGAAACACACAAATCCACAATCATGAGGGCAGATTTTAATCCACTAGTCAAAGTAATGGATAAATTTAAAAGACAAAAATTGTTGGTGAGATTATGGAATAGAGATCAACACACATTTACAAATTTTAGACATTGTGGACCATATGATTTGCAGAATCTCTTACAGCTACTCAGTTGTGCCAGTGTAGTGTAAAATCAGTCTTAAGACAAAACTTAAATGAATGAACATATCTTTTTCCAATAAAACTTCATTTATGGACACTGAAATGTGAATGTCATGTCTTTTTCAAGTGTCACAAAATCTACTTTTGCTAATTTTCAACCTTTTAAAAATAAGAGCTCTTTTTTATCTCACATGCCAAAAACAGGCAGTAGGCCAGTCTTGGCCCATAGGCTGCAGTTTGCCAATGCCTAATATCCAAGATTTGTACAACAGAATTAATAAGTTTAACTTAGTGAAAAATCTTGCGTGTAGTAATTAGAAAATACATATTATTCTCAAGAACATATGGGATATTTACTAAAATTGTCACGTATTATGCCGTAAAGCAACTACCAATACATTTAAAGAAATCCATATAATACAGACCATGTTCTCTTAACTCAATACCATCAACTTAAAAATAAATAACAAGGGGATTATTTTTAAAACACACTTTTAGAAAAATTTAAAATATACATTTGAATAAATATTCACAAGAGAAAATGTTCATATTGGACATTAGAAAATATTTGGAGCAAGTGAAAGATGAAAAAAAGTACATGTAAAAACTTGTGAAATTAACAAACTGATATAGAGAAAGAAGTTAGTAGCATTAACTATATTAAAAAATAAAAGGTTATAAATTAATGAGCTAAGTTTCAGTTCTAAAAGTTAGCAAAAGAACAAAATAAACACAAAAAATAGAAAAAAAGAAAATAAGAGGAGGACAGAAATTAACAAAACAGAAAAGACAAACCTTGTAGAATCAACAAAGCTAAAGGTTCGTTCTCTGAAAAGACTAATAAAATAGACAAACCCTTGGCAATAGTAGGACGTGTACATACATGAGAAGAAGAAAGAGAACACCAATGATGAACAATATTAGGAATTAAAAAGGAGAGATATGACTAGATATGAAGTAACAAATAAGAAAATACCAAAAGACAACTTTATACCAATATACATGAGAACTTAGACAAAATGCATGCTTTTTAAAAGAAAAACATAACTTCCCTAGACAAACTACAGAAGAAATAGAAAACCTTAGTAGACTTATAATCATTAAAGAAATTAAATCTGCAGGAAAAAAAAGAACAAAAAAAGGACCTTAAGAAAAACACTGAAACCACAGGAAAATTCAACTAAACATTCAAGGAACAGATCATTTCAAGTTCATATAAACTCTCCCCAAAAGATAAAAACATATATTCCAAATTTCTTTTCTAAGAATAATCTTTATTCCAAAAGTAGATAAAGACAATAGGAAAAATGAAAAGTGTAAGTAAAACTTATTATGAACATAGATGAAAATTCTAATTCAAGTATTAGTAGACTGAATCAAGCAATGTATAAAACTGTTAATAAAGTAGACCAAGTTCAGTTTCACTGGAGTCTAAGGTTTGCTGAACATTAGAGAAAATGTTAATGTAAATCATCACATTAATGGAAAGTAATAAAATTATATCACCATCTCAATATATACAGTAAAAACATTTGCTAAAAACCAGTGCCTGTTCATGAAACAAACCAAAGCAAACACACAGTTATTAACAAAGTAGGAATAGAAGCAACTGATAAATTGTGTCTACAAAATAATCTGTTGCAATCATCATGTTCAATGGTGAAATGTTAGGTAAATTCCTCTTGAAAATCAAGAACAGGAGAAAATTGCATAACATTATCATTCCTACTCAACAGTGTACCAGAGGTCCTAATCAGTGCAGTAAGACAAGAATAAAAGGTAATTATTAAAATGTTAAAAATGCAATGTTGTCACAGTGTATAGACTTTCATGATTTGCCTACATAGAAAACCTGAGATAATCTATAAAGCCTTAGAGTTAATGATAGTTTAACAAAAATTAAATGTATTCCTATATGTCAGAAACAAACATTTGGAAAACTAATTTTAGGAAAAAAACCGCGTATAATTGCAAGAAAAACAATAAGATACCTAGAAATAAATCTAACAAATGTTTAAGACCTTAATGGAGAAAATATAAGATTTTATTGAGAGATAGTAGACTTAAATAAAGGCAGATATAAAGCATGTTCATGGAAGACTCACTATGATAAAGATGACAGTTCTCTCCACTTAATCTATATATTCAATGCAATTCCAATCAAAATCCCAACAGGGTTTTGTTTTTTGCCTTTTGCTGTGTGTGTGTGTGTGTGTGTGTGTGTGTGTGTGTGTGTGTGTGTAAGTAAAAATATAAGCTGATTCCAAAATAAATACAGAAGGAAAAAGACCTCAGGATAGCCAAGAAAATTTTTATGAAGGGACATGGCTTATCAGCTATCAAGGCTTATTAGTAAAGCTAGAATAAATAAGCTAATTCTCTTACATAAAAACTAGGCCAATAGAATTCAATATAATATAGATCCAGGAGAAAGTCCTTTCCATATATAAAAACTTAGTATGAGTCGACATTGAAGATTAGCTGGGAAAGAACAGGCTGTTCAATAAATGGCACTGGAATCACTGGTTAATACACGTTTAAAAGGGGGTTATCTTGACGTCACACCATAGACAAATATAAGTTCCAAACATTTAAAAGATCTAAATGTAAAAAGAAAACCTTTAAAATGTTTAGAACAATATAAAAGAGACTAACTTTATGACAGAGTAGAAAAATAGTTCTTTGAAAGGTTTTATAACATAAAACATAAAGGAAAATATTAATTCATTTTACTATAATAGAAGTAAAATATTCTGATCATCAAAAGCACCACTTAAAAGTAAAAAAGATAATGAAAAACCTGGGGAAAGATATTTGCAAGGCATAAAATTAATAATTAGAATCCATTCTAAAAATGTTTTACTACTAATCTACAAGAGAAAACAACTCAAGAGAAAATTAGGCAAAGGTTATGAGCAGGTGTAACCTTTCATAACCTCTCACAGGAGAGGAAACATGAATGGCCAATAAACACAGGAAAAGTTGTTTAATTTGACATGTAATTAGAGACATCTAAGTTACATCTAAAATGATATGAAATTTCTCCACCCTCCAGATTAATAGAAATTTAATGTCTGGCTACTCCAAGCTTTTGTGAAATTGTGTAGGAATGGACACTCTCATACACTAGTTTTTTTTTTCTTTTTTTCCTTAAAGATTTTTCCCTTATTATACACTAGTTGTTGGTGGGAGTTTAAATTGGTGCATTTACTGTTGAAGGCAATTTGTCAATATCTAGTAAAATTGAAGATGGAAATATCCTACAAATGAGCAATTCCACTACTAGGTATATTTCCTAGAGAAATTCTTGTACATTTACACCAAAATATCTGTAAGATATATAGAACTATATCCTGGTTTGTGAGAAAAAAGGCAAAATTTAAACAATGTACCTATCATTGATAGGGGAATGGATAAATAAATTATAGTGTAGTCATAAAATGAAACACTAAATAGTGAAAATAAATGAACTTGAGGTAAATATTTCAACAAATTATTGATATAATTGATACAGAGCAAGTGAGCCCCAAAATTGGAACTTAGCCTGGGAGAGTTGTTGGCTTCACCCAGGAAAGAATTCAAGGGCAAGCAAGTGGTGTTAGGAACTTTTATTGAAACAGCAGTGTACAGCAGCAGCAGAGGTACTGCTCCTTGCAGAGCAGGGCTACCCCACAGGCAGTGTGCTCAGGGCATGGGCAGTTCTGCAGTCATATCTATACCCACTTTTAATTATGTGCAAATTAAGATTATACAGATGCTTCTAGAAAAGGGGTGGTAACTTCTGGGTTTTCTGGTCATTGTCATGGAAAGGGGCGCTAACTTCTGGGTGTTGCCATGGTAATGGTAAACTGACATGGCACTGGTGGGCATGTCTTTGCAGAGGTGCTTTTGCCTCTTCTCTATTTCAGCTATTCTTCAATCTGGTCCAGAGTCAAGTCCTACTTCCTACCTCATTCCCCCTTCAAAGATTAAATACTCCTCTTTAACCTTAAGGGGGATGCAAAAGTGCAGAGGTACATCTTTGTAACTGCATCCTGCTGAGTTTATGGGCATAGGCCCTTCCTACCACCAGAGGAATAAAAATCTCTGGATCTTATCTAAGGGGCCCACAGGCAAGACGCTTTTACTCTCTGGGTCAGTAGATGGGATGGGTTGGAAGTCTTGTGCCAGCATTGTCTTTACCTAGAACTTTCGTAATATAGAAGACACAAACTTTATTAAGAAGTTAAGCAAACAAAGGCCAAAGATTAGTAATAACAAGACAGCTATTAAAGGCCCTACGAGGCCGGGCATGGTGGGTGACACCTGTAATCCCAGCACTTTGGGAGGCTGAGGCGGGAGGATCACCTGAGGTCAGGAGTTCGAGACCAGCTTGGCCAACATGGTGAAACCCCATCTCTACTAAAAATACAAAAATTAGCCGGGCGTGGTGAGGCAGGCCGGTAATCCCAGCTACTCGGGATGCTGAGACAAGAGAATTGCTTGAACCTGGGAGGCAGAGGTTGCAGTGAGCCGAGATTGCACCACTGCATTGCAGCCTGGGTGACAGAGCGAGACTCTGTCTCAAAAAATAAATAAAATAAAATAAAGGTCTTCGGAGAGGTAAAAACCAAGTGAGACTTGGGAAAGTACTTTTGTTAGTCAACCTGATATAGTTGGGATCAGTGCCCTGGTTATATCTATGTAACCAGGTAGCTTGCTTATAGATCTTTTGAATGTTAACCTCAATCTGTCCAGAGGCGTTAATACATGAGCAGCAGGTTTTATTAATAACTGCACAGACTCCACCTCATTCAGCTTGTAAATAATCCAATCCTAGTCTATTATAGAGAACTACATTTGCCAAAGAGTCCAGGGACTCTTGAACTCTCTTTAGTCCCTGACCTGTGTTGGTGGCTAAATATTTTAGGGTTTCAGTTAGGTCGTTTTAGGGTTGACTCATGATAGACAAAACCACTCCATAGTGCCACTAGTCCTATTGTTGCCCTGATTCCTGCCAGAGTTAATCCTATTGCTTGTTTAATTCTGGTGTTCCTCAGTCTTAGGGGGTTATAGGCTATGAACCCTGGAGGCACAAGGGTGTCCAATGTACATTCACCCCTGTCCTAAATTTTTGATGTACAAGAGAAAGCTACTTCTAAAAGAACAAGTGGCTCTCTGGGAAGTTGGGTGTGGTTATGGGGTGTGACTTTTTCCCACTTACGGCCACAAACAAAAATGAGCCCAGTTGAGGCACACATCGAGGCCTTACAGAGTATGATGTCTATTCTTTGCTTCCAAGTTGGGTCCATAGAAATATTCTTCCCCTGTTCCAATGGGGGTGGTCGAACAATCTTTGTTTTCCAGAAGCGGGCAGTACTCCCACCTTCCCAGATTAGGCAGTTGTTTTTCCCTTGCATGTTCTGATCCAATAGAAGCCACCATATATGGGTTCCTCACTCTCAAGTGGAATCCCATTTACCTTGCTCTGGCCTTGGGAACTTGGCAGCTAGAATTGGATCACAGCATCACAGGGAACTTCCTCTTTTATGTCATTAAAACAACAGTGGGTGCAAAAGATAGAATCATTAGTGTACTGGAGGTATAGATACCCAACTTCCCAGGTTCAGGTAATAGTGGTGGGGGAGTGCAGGTGGAATCTGTTAAGTAGGGGAGCATCCCACCTAACAAGTAGGGAGTTTTGGATACTTGAGGATTGCTATCATTAGTTAGGAGATCTGGAGAGATGGCTGTGAGAGTTTATGAATAGGCCAGAAGATGGAACTCTCTATCTTGGGGATGTTGATAAATCCAGCAACCATAAAGATGATTCCCTGATGCTACAATTTTTGAAATATTTACTATAGAGTTTTGTTCCTACCCACACTGGATTAGAGTAATTGGGAGATCAAACAGTATTAATAGTGACAGCATGGTATCCAGCTGGGCTTTAGAATGGCCTCTACACCCAACAAGAACAAAAGAGATGTCTCCCCAGAGGAGGTAGCTGGCTAAAGCAATAGAAAAGAAACATTGTAGTCAAGAAGAGAAAAATTAATGCTCCTATTTCCACCCATGGCATCATGTTACCACTGCTGGCTGAGTGTTGATTCTTTTAAATAGGTAGTGGAAGTCTTCCAAAGGTTTACAGAAGTAGGTCATGGTGCCCTCTCTTTGTGCCTGTGACTCATAAGAAACAGGTTTAATCCTCGATAGTTGTACTCAAGTAGTTATTCCCTGACATTTAAGTGGTGGCAGTATTTAACAATACCCAGTAGGGACCTTTCAGTTAGGTTGTAACTGATTCTCAGAGGATCTTTCTTTTTGGTTTTTAGTAAGACTAAGTCTTGTGAGAGGCAATAATTTATTTCCATATTCTGGAAGAGACTTGTGAATCTAGCCTAAATTTTAAAGGGGGCATAGTGAGGTTTGTCTAACTCCCTGATACCTGTCATGGCCTGAGTTAGTTTTTAAGTTTCTTTGGAATTTCCTTTGCTCAAGGGACTTACAGTCAAAAGACTTATAGCCAATTAAACATTCTAGGCCAGATGGGAATGGAGGTGGTCAGGCACTCATCAGCACTTAAAAACCTTTTAAGCAATGTGAGTCAAAAACTAAAAGCCAAAAATGAGATTATATCAAGAGAAACTATATTGGGTGAAGACACTGCTCCCACAGGCCTCTAAAACAAAACACTTTAGCATCTGGCCACAATAATAGAACCAGAAGAAAAAACTCACAGGAGCCGACAAAAAAGCTAAAGGAGGGAGTTACATGAACTCACTGAGAAGCTTTCAAAAGAATTAGCTTACAGAATTGAAAACTTTCTGGTAATTTCACAAATTAATACCTTAAGAAAATTTGGTCTTAAAATGTAGGCCATTTTTAAAGAGTCAATTATAAACAATTTTCTTTTAGTTACAGCAAGCTTAGTCACACACAAAAAATTTATTTTATAAATTCCCTTTCGTGAACCTTATCATAATTTACACAGATCATCTATAACATGCTTGGCCTTTCTGACTTTTCCTACACTATCTCTTTCTTAAATAACCAATCATTTTAATCTAGGACAATAATTTACTATAGAGAATCCTTTTGATGCAAAATTACTCCTTTTTAAATATTCTTTCTTGCAAAAAATATATTTTCTGTCAATAGCATTTTTTATATCTCTCTTTTTTACACATTTGTTCCCTCATATTTTGAACCTTTCTTTCAATAACTTCCAAATTAGACAAAAATTATTCTTTTTTTCCAGTAAAGAATACATTTCTTTGGCACATTTCATATAAAACTAGGAAGCAAGAAATCCTGAACTACCCACCATACATTGGCATTCTATATATGAGAACTATTCCACAATTTTAAGATTTTAAACCACACAAAAAGCTCATTATTTAAGCATCTATTCCATTCACATGTGTTTAACATTTTTACTTTTAATAGCTATGTTTAGACCACCTCCAAGAACCAAGATCCCATGCAAAGGTAGTCACCATTTAAAGCCATTTTAACCATTTTAAAACCTATGAACATCAGTGATTTACCTAGCTAAAAATCTTAAAGTTAAATTTTAAAAGACGTAACATTTCTCTTCAAATGAATAAGCCTAGACTAGCCTTGTTTAATTCATGAGCACTCTTTTATCAGCCAATATGATAGCCTGCTAAACACAACACACATTAAACCTGTATATACACTTAAACACATCAAATAAAATGACATATACAAAGCAACTGGATTCAAGTTATTTACAAAATTGGGACTTACCTATCTGCCAAATTTTGTTAGCACCAGTAGGTATAGAAGACAGGAAGAGGCAGGGAAGAAGATCCCATAGCATCAAATAAAGAAGGAAGCTGGGGGAACTGCAGTGCTCAGGGGGAAAGCCCAGAGTCCCCAAGCCACCAGAGAGATCACCCAGTAGTGGAGACATTGAAGAAAAATGTTCAAGCGGCTGCTTGTCTGCCACTGTGGGAAGCTGTCCATTAGGTCAAGGGTCCAGACCCTTAGTAAATTTACTTGGACAAGGCAGCTCTCTGGGGGCTAGCAGAAGAAGGTTAGCTCTGGACACAATATTTTCCTCTCACTGGGGACAGTTAGGACATCTTATTGCCAATGGTCCTTTTGCTTGCAGTAGACACACTGATTCTGGCCCAGGGGCCTGCGAGTTGGGATTCCTTTCTGGGCATTCCAGCCGCTGATCTTGCGATGCTTTCTTGAGATGGGTAACCCTGCAGAGGCAGGGGGATTAAAGCATTTGCTAATAATTGCATTTTTTGGCTATTTCTTTTTTTTCATCTCTTTTGCCCTGTCCCTATTGTTGTAGACTTTAAAGGCCATGTTTAAGAGTTGGCTTGCAGGAATTTGCGGTTTCTTTGCTGCTTTTTGTAGCTCCTTCCTAATGACAGGAGCAGATTGAATAATAAAATGCGTACCCAGAAGAGTTTGCCCTTCTGGGGAGTTTGGGTCTGCATTTGTATATTTCCTGAGTGCCTCAACTAAATGACCCTGAAACAGAGCAGGATTTTCAACTTTTCCCTGAGTTATTTCTCTAATTTTGTTATAATTGACTGGCTTAACCATACACTTTTCCTTCCACTTTTTTCCTACAGCACAAGTAATAGATGGCAATATTTGATGACATGCTAAACAAAACACAAGTTGTAATGACTGTATATACACTTAAACACATCAAATAAAATGACCTATACAAGACAACTGGATTCAAGTTATTTACAAAATTGGAATATGACAAGTTATTTGTGAGTAATGACAAGTTAAATCAAAGAACATGGTAAACTTAACAAACTACTCTATAAACTTTTTTGGATTCTTTGAAAACTGGCCAAATTTGTCCTTGTATAAAGCCAAATCACACATAGAAATTGGCATATAAGCTCCAAGTGTTTTCTTATTTCCATTAGCTACCTCCTGCAATAGATGTAGGTTTGCCTTTAGGGGCCCCAGTACAGGGCCCCTCTCCAGGTGGTACTGGTTGGGCTTATTTTCCTGGGCAGTGTGGGGTATAGCTGGGGCTAGTTGGATAAGTGAGGTGGCTGGTGCCTGATGACCTTGGGGTGAGATCCTTTGTTAGAGAACTGGTAGGACTCCTCTCAGAATTGGGGGACCGAGGAGACTCCAGGGAGGGCATAGGCTTTCTAGCCGGAGCAGCTAGGAGGGGATTCCTTAGGCATATAGCTTTCTGGTGCCTGGAAATAACGAGAGCCAGTAAAGGGCCATAAAACCCTGTACATAGGGATATCCTCCCATTTTCCTCTTTTTTTTTTATACAGAATAAGTCCAATCGTAAAATGTCGTTATAATGTATAGGACCATGCTTAGGTAAAATCTGTTTGCTTTCTAATTTGTATTGAACCCAAATGGTGTTGCAAGAGAAAATGAGTTTCTTTTTCTCTAAGCTGAATTTGAATTTGCTCCAATAGCTTAAAAGACACCCTAGTGGTCAGTCCTCTGGGATGCTCATCATTGTCTCCATGACTAATAAGAATATTTATTGGACATAGGACTTTTTCTAAGTCTAATGAGAAAAAAAACAACTGGGCCTTTGTTATTTCTCCCTTTTAGATTTCTACTTGCTATCTAAGTATAGGTAGTAAGGTGTTATAAAAGTGGATTGTAAGTATTTGCCAGTGAATGAAATATGACAAAAAAGGGTTTTTATTAAGCAAAGTGTAGAAGGAAAAAATAAATAAAGTAACAATAGGAAAAGAAAATGTTGTTACAGAAAATGATAACTTTTAGGGCAGAAAATGAGAAAAGACAAGACCAAGATTCCTCTAGGATGGGCCTCCAACCCATAATACTGGAAGGAATGCCAATGCCAAAACCCTGGAACAACCAGGGGTGTCCAACAATACTGAATGCTGAAAACCTGGAATACCTGAGTATCAAGCCAACAAGTGTTTCTACACCAAATGCCCGAAACCTCAGAGTTTCCAGGGGTTCTCCAAATGCCAAAAACCCCAGAGTATCTGTGGGGCATCCAACAGTGAACCCCAAAGGCCTGATTGGGGCCACAGAAAAATGTGACTCTGGTGTTCCTCAGTAAACACAATGGGGAACCTCTCATAATCAACTGCCCTGACTTAAACAATTGCCAAAGGAGCCAAAGCCAAAAAAAAAAAAGACTGCAAACAAAACATGCATTTTAGGACTGAAAATAAAATGGCTAGTGGAGCAATAAAATAGAGTCAGAAGAGAAAGGACCTGGTGAAGAAGTGACAAGGATGTGTCTCAGGACACTCAATTAATGAGTGACTTTTCACTGACCACTTAGCCAAAGACTTTTATGCCCTAACTTATCTGATATTGTGGGGAAGGGTTCAGAGGGGACACTCACCCATTCACAGTAGCCAAAATTGTGCTGACTGATCTTCCACATGGGACCCGGATGAAGGTCTTCCCCAGGTTCCCTTAACTTAGGTTGACTTAGCTGTCACACATGAGGTGCAAGTGCAGGGATTGTTTACCTGCCAGCCTACTGGTAGGAGCAGCAGGTCCCATTCAAGGTGGTACTACTGTGGACACTTGCCTGTTCACTCAGCTCCACTGCCCACTGGGAAAGATGATGGATCTGGAAAGGGCCTTTGGTTAGTGTTATGGCTTTGCGGTGTTAGCAGCTCTTTATTGTTACAGCCTCAGGGTTATAGCTCTGCAGCTTTTGGTTGCCATCTCACCATCTCTTGCCAATTGCTGCCTCTCCACTGATCACTGATTGCCGTCATCGCCACTGTCTCACCATCTTACCTCTCCACCAATTTCCATCTCTGCTCTCTCACTCTCTCTCACTTGCTGTCTTTGTCCCTTTGTTGGTCACCAGATAACACAGGGCAGGTGAGCTCTAAAATTGGGGCTTAGCTTGGGAGGGTTCTTGGCTTCACCCAGGAAAGAATTCAAGGGCAAGCTGGTGGTGTTAGACAACAACTTTTATTGAAGTGGCAGTTTACAGCGGCAGCAGAGGTACTGCTCATTGCAGAACAGGGTTATCCCATTGGCAGTGTGCACAGAGTAGTAGCTCAGGGGCAGTTCTGCAGTTATATCTATATCCACGTTTTATTATATGCAAATTAAGGGGTAGATTATGCAGAAATTTCTATAAAAGAGGTGATATCTTCCAGCTCATTGGCTTGTTGCCATGGAAAGAGGTGATAACTTCCAAGTGTTGCTATGACAGTGGTAAACTGACATGGCACTGGTGGGCATGTCTTATGGAGAGATCCTTTCACTTTTTCCCTGTTTCAGCTAGTCTTCAGTCTGGTCCAGAACCCAAGCCCCACCTCTGCAGTCAAGTCCTGCCTCCTACCTCATAATGAGCCAAGAAAAGCAAGGTACCAATTGAAATGTGCAGAGTAGTTCCATTTCTACAATGTTTAAGGACATGTAAAACAATGTTATAAATTGATGATACTTCTATGTATATATGCATCTTTAAAAGAATGCAAGAGAATGATGAACATCTAAATCAAAATAGTGGTTACCTCATGGTGTGGGAGTAGGAATGGGAATACAAGAGTGTAGGAGCACACAAAGGGCTTCAATTGTATTGGTAATATTTCTAAGTTGGTTATGTCTCATGGGTGTTCATTATATTAATAGTATTAGTCTTCTTCAATGTCTAAAATATTTCATAATATACTAAAAGTAGCATACTATGTCTCTGACACTCTACACTCGCTTTTCCTCCTGAACCTCTGTTTAATTATGAAACTCTAAGAATATTCTCATTGATGTTGGAAACAAGGCAATATCACCACGATCATTTGACTTAGCTCTGGATGTACCAGCTAATGCAATTAGATGAAAGAAAGAAGATATGTAAAAACAAAAAGAAGAGGCACAATCATCATTATTTGCAAATGTCATTATATACCTGGAAAATCCAAGAGTACCAACTGGAAATTATTATAATTGTATAAGTATGTATCTGTAGAAGTGTAGAAAATATAACAACAGATTTCATGCATAAAAGCTGCTAAAACCTAGCAATATAATCTTAGGAAATTTATAGAACCTATATGAAGAAAAAATGTATTTTTTATTTTTTTCTGTCTCTGATGCTTGAATCAAGATGAAAAACCATTAACTCTATTGAGGAACATGAATAGATGGAGAGAAATATCCTGTTTTTGGATAGGAAGACAATAGTGAAAAGACATTAAAGTGTAATACAATCCCAATAAAAATACCAAGAAAACTTTGGACTAGGCATAGTGATTTCAAAGTACATACAAAACATGAAAATAAACATGTGAGAATAGCTAGGATAATTATGAAAAAGTGATAAATAAGGATTAACTTTACAATATATATTCTAAGCTCCTGTAATTAAAGGTGCAGGAATAGGAAGACAGGTCAAAGCAACAGTTTTTTCATTCTAGAAATAGACTCAAACACTAACATATATAATTAAAGGGCCATATTAAAATAGAAGAAAAATATGTTAAAATTGACTATACAGTAAAAAGTAAAGGTAATTCCCTCTCCCATTATACCAAAATTAATTCCAGAAAGCCCATATATTTGAAATTATATGAGTGAAACTCTAAAAGTATTAGAAGTAAACATGGTCATGGGGAGGTAGGGGGATGGGAGATCTTGGCATATAAAATACCTGAGATGCAAACTCTAGAAACTCTAGTGGAAAATATTAATAAATGTCACTAAATAAATTTAAAAATTCTACACAGAACAAATATATAAAAGGGGAAATTCTGGGAAATATTTTGCAATACATGACAGATAAAAGTTTGATAATTTATTATGAATCAGTACAAGATCATTCAATACAAAAGAGTATGAACAAGCAATTTACTAAAGGAGAAATATAAATGGATTATAAACATAGGAAACAATCATCAGTTACATTTATGAGTAAATGCAGATTAAAATGAGTGGCAAATAGTAAATTTTGATATTTAACAGTGTTGGTAAGTTAACAAATAACATAGAAGCAAATCCATTGCTAGAAATTTGTCCTACTGATAAGTGGTTTTCAACCTGAAGCAATTTTTCCCCTAAAGGGACATTTGGCAATGTCTGGAGACATTTATGAGGATCACAACTGGGACATGTGTTACTGGAATCTAGTGGGTAGAAGCCAGGGATGCTGCCAAACATTCTGCAATGTACAGTACAACCCCCAACAATAAAGAATTATCTGACCAAAAATGTAAATTGTGCCAATGGTGAGAAATCCTGCTACAGATATACTTGTGTATGCAGACGCATGTTCAAGGGTACTCATTGCCACTCTGTTTGTAAAAGCAAAGGACTAGAAGCAACCTAAATATCTATCAATATGGGTCTAGTTAAGTAAAATATGACACATTCACAAAGGGCTGTTGTATAGTTTATTTTAAAAAATAAAGTAGATAGATGCTGAGAAGAATATGTTTACAAGAGACACAAAGAAAAAAATTAGGATTCAGACCAGTGTATGCAATATGTCTCCATTTATGAAATACAAAGAAAAACATGAATATATGCATGTATGCATATACGTGTGATGATCTGCAAGTACACACAACAAATAGAGAATGGTCATCTCTGGGTAATGAACTTTTTGAGTGGGAGACTCACTTTTTATTGTGTTCTTTTTTGTATTATTTGAAATTCTACTTTATGAAAATATTATTTTCACATTCTTTAAGAAACCCAGGCTGATATTTTAACTCCAACTTACCTTTGCAAGGCTTCTCTCTATTTTATCTCTAAATAGAAGACACACTCCATGTAAAGTTGGCCAAGACATTATTTTTCCTTTGTGCCCTCTGCCTACAAAGGCATTCTGCCAATTCCCATTTTTGCCTTTTAAAATCCTTTAAGTGGTTGTAGGTGTCTGGCATTTTATCTAGATTTTTAAACCTGTTTCATTCTCTATATGTTTGTTTTTGTACCAGTAACATGCTGTTTTGGTTACAAAACAAACTAACCTTGTAGTATAGTTTGAAGTTGGATAGTGTAATTCCTCTGGCTTTGTTCTTTTTGCTTAGGATTGCTTTGGCTATTTGGACCTTTTTTTGTTTCCATATGAATTTTAGAATAGTTTTTTTTTCTGTGAAAATGTCATTGGTAGTTTCATAGGAATAGCATTGAATCTATAAATTGCTTTGGGCAATGTGACCATTTTAACAATGTTGATTCTTCTTATCCATCAGCATGGAATGCTTTTCCATTTGTTTGTGTCATCTCTGATTTCTTCCAGCAGTGTTTTGTACCTTTCTGTGTAGAGATCTTTCACCTTCCTGGTTAGCTGTATTCCAAGGTATTGTGTGTGTGTGTGTGTGTGTGTGTGTGTGTGTGTTTGTGTGTGTGTGTTATTGTGTGAATGGGATTGTTCTTTTTTTTCTTTCCAACTTTTAGGTTCAAGGGGTACATGTGCAGTTTTATTATATGGGTAAATTCTGTGTTGTGGGGGTTCAGTGTACAGATAATTTTGTGACCCAGGTAATCAGCATAATATTTGATAGGTAGTTTTTCAATCCTCACTCTCCTCCTACCCTTCACCCTCAAGTAGGCCCTGGTGTCTATTGCCTGCTTCTTTGTGTCTGTGTGTACTGAATGTTTAGGTTTGTGTTCTTGATTTGGCTCTCAGTTTAGACATTGTTGGTATATAGAAATGCTACCAATTTTTTTTACATTGATTTTGTATCCTGAAACTTTGCTGAAGTTATCGGATCTAGGAGTCTTTGGCCAGAGACTATGGGGTTTTCTAGTTATAAAATCATATCATCTCTGAAGAAAGTTTGATTTCCTCTCTTCTTGTTTGGATGCCTTTTATTTCTTCCTCTTGCCTGATTTATCTGGTTAGGACTTCTAGTAATATATTGAATGGAAATGGTGAGAGTGGGCATCTTTTTCTTCTTCTGATTCTCAAGGGGAATGCTTCCAGCTTTTGCCCACTCAGTAGGATGTTGGCTGTGGATTTGTCATAGATTGCTCTTATTATTTTGAGTTATGTTCCTTCAATGCCTAATTTATTGAGAATTTTTAACATGAAAGGATGTTGGCTTTTATTGAAAGCCTTTTCTGCATCTATTGAAATAATCATGTAGTTTATGTGATGAATCATATTTATTGGTTTGTGTGTGTTGAACCAACCTTCCAAATACAGCATGTTCTCACTTAAAAGGCAGAGCTAAACATTGTTTACTTTTACAATGGATGCAAAGAAGGGAACAATAGACACTGGGGCCTACTTGAGGGTGGAGGGTGGGAGGATGGTAAAGATAAAAAAACTACCTATCATCAGATAGTATGCTTATTACCTGGGTGACAAAATAACCTGTATGCCAAACCCCTGTGACATGCAATTTATACATGTAAGAAGCCTGCACATGTACCCCATGAACCTAAAAGGTAGAAAGAAAAAACTGATCACGTGATTCCTGTTCATTAATACCCCTTATAATCTTCTGTTTTTCTTTGGCATATGTGATCAGTATACACATTTTAATGTGTATAAAAAATAAAATCCTTCAAGGTAAGTCCCATCTCAAAGACCACTTTCTATACCAAGTCTTCCCTCATCCTCTCAACCACTTGGAAGTACACATTTATAGACACATAACACTTTGTATTTTTAAGGCACCCATACCCTGTGCTACAGTGATTTATGAGCATTTTTACTTTCTTCTTTCCTCCATATCAAAAACTCACCTTACATTTTGAGTTTTTTTAAGGGAAAAATCATATCTTATTCATCTTTGAACTAGTTTTATAGTATGTAGCAAAGTGCCTGAGGCATAATCATTGGTCAATAAATATTTGTCAGGTTGAAATGAATAAAAGTTTATAATATACAGGCAAATATAAATGGGTAAATACAAAACAGAAAACAAACAGAAAAAAAATAACAACAGAATTAGTTCAGTTTGTTGGTAACCTAAACTCTCTTGTTCTTTAGTGCTTTTAAACCTATACATTTAACTATTGTTAAAAATGTATTGTTAAACATATATTGCGTTTTCTGGAACAGGAAACCAACTGTGTATACTGTAATATACCTATGTGATGTTTTTGTATTTCTTTTAACACAAACTTTTCAATTCTTGTATAGCAATTCCACTGAAATTGTAATTGCTACTTTTAAGTGTCAGTCATTTTTCATATGTCTCACTGAGGAAAGTGCTATTTGTTTTTATTTTACATGTGATGCATCAATTGTACAAGCACATGAGACACTTATTTTATCATCTCTACCCTCCATGTTTCTTGACTGTTACATTTTACTACTGAAATCCAGCATTTCAGATATTCATGAGGCTGAAACATGTCCATAATCATCACATTCCCCATTTCTTTGGGAACAACATATACATAGTCGAGAAACTCACTGTATCTTAAGGCATGCTTTGTCATCTACTAACTTTCTACTCATTGGGATGGAGTTGCACTGAGAGATAAGGTTGCATTTAAGCAACTGCACACACAAGGAAGAACAGTAACCACTGTTGAATGAGTGGTCAATGTCATAACACTGCTTCACAGGGAGGTAAAAAACATGGCCCATTTTTATTAGAAGCTAGAATTGTGTCCGGAATAGAAAATGCTATATATATATATATAAAATATTTGCTCTCTCTATATATAGAATATTAGATATATATAATATTAGATACATAATATAATATTAGATACATAATATATAATAGATACATAATATTATATAATATTAGATACATAATATTATATAATATTATATTAGATACATAATATTATATAATATTATATTAGATACATAATATTATATAATATTATATTATAGACATATTATATATTATATTATAGACATAATATATAATATATTATATGCATAATATATAATATTATATTATATGCATAATATATTATACATATAATATTATGTACATAATATATACATAATATTATATACATAATATTAACATAATATTATATACATAATATTGTATACATAATATTTCATATATATATATAAATATTTGATACTGTGGAATACTTTTCCCCAGTTAGTGAGGTTACTTTCTATTGATAATACTCTGGCTATACAGCCATTTTACTTGTTTCTAAATTTAAAATCAAATCACTTTAGCAAGTATAGATGTAGAATTTTAGGAACCTCTGGCCTTTTTACAGGTATTTTCCTTGGCAAGGGCTCCATTGAGTTGGCAATCTAGTAACCTGCATTGTGAGGGCACATTATAAAAGTTACACCAACATCTAGGACTAACTTTTGGCTTCTCAGATGGAAGATAAGGATATAATAACCAGGTGTTGCTGTTATTACCTTTAGTATTTGAAGCAGTTGTAATGTTTATTTTATTTCAACTTTGGGTAAATTTAAGGAAGCAGAGGAAATATAATTAGTCTATAATTTAAAAACATAAAGCCAATGTAAGAAAATCTGCCATAGTTAATTATAGTGTCCAGATTAAGAACTTTCAGCCTCTTCCAGAATAATGTATGAGCGCAGAGTTAATCACATGTGGGATTTTCAAAACATTTAATTGAGAAAAAAATACAAAAAAGTACTTTTGAGAAAATATGACCCACAGCAATCCCATTATCTCCACTGTTAAACCTCCCCACTAGCTGCTTTTTTTCTCATCTGTCCTTATCTGTTATCTTGCTAGATGCCATGTGAGGAGGCCACTAAAGTAGAAAGAAACCTGTTCTTTGCCTTCAAGGTAGCTCTGGAGGCAGTAATTAATATGGAAATAAGCGCTCCATTGTGTGATTCAGACAAATATGATGGGAGCATATAGTTTCAAATGAACTGTGGTCATCAGAGCAGGTCATATGGAGTACATGGGCCTTAAAGGATGGATTACACCATTACTGTTTCAAATGTAATAGTGTAGAATTATGCTAATCATGGGTTAGGGATTCCATTTTACATTAAGGTCAAATAAATTTTCTCAGGTTACAGAAGATAATTCAACCTAAAAATATGTTTCAAAAGAGTACCTGAATACAGATACATTTTAAGGTGTTTTTATTGTTTTGTTATTGGAAAACAGCAGAGAGTAGGGATGAACGTGATCTCTTGCTATTTTTTACTTGTTAAGGACTAAATAAGAAGAAAATGACTAAAACTGACTGCAAAAAATAAGAATAAAAATAATAGAAAAGTTACAACTGGTATTTAAGAGAACATGGATGAAAACTTATCATATTAATTAAAGCATGGTATTAAAAAGCAAATTCACTTAGCTGTTCTTCCTTTATGTTTATAAAAGATTGGATTAAATGACCTTCCAGCTTCAAAATCTGTAAATTTATTAAAGCATAGTGCTTGTTTATCTCATTTTGTTTTATTTTTCTTTATTTTTTTTTTTGAGATGGAGTCTCACTGTGTTGCCCAGGCTGGAGTGCAGTGGTGTGATCTCAGCTCACTGCAACCTCTGCCTCCCGGGTTCAAGCGATTCTTGTGCCTCAGCCTCCCAAGTAGCTGGGATTACAGGTGTGTGCCACCATGCCCAGCTAATTTTTGCATTTTTAGTAGACATAGGGTTTCACCATGTTGGCCAGGCTGGTCTCGAACTCCTGGGTCACTTGTGATCTGCCCGCCTCAGCCTCCCAAAGTGCTGGGATTGCAGGCATGAGCCACCACGCCTGGCCTGTTTATCTCATTTTAAATAAATATGAGTGTTTTCAGAGAGTGATGATCAAATAGCAGAATCTCTCCTATCAAATTTTTTAATTGACAAAAATAAATATTAAAAGGACCCCATTAATGCTGCATAGCTAAATTGAGTAAGTACACATCTGGTTATAGAGGTTATACATGCTGGGGATGAGTAGATGGTTATTCCAACCTGTTACTGTTCTCACAGATGTCAGTTTGTAATTACTACCTCTTGTCAGAAAGATGCTACCCACATGGATTTCCCAGAATTTAGTGAAGAGAGTCAGAATGGAGAAAGTGAAGGAGCTTTGGGCTTGGTGATAAAAAGACAAGTAATATATAACATTTTTCCCCTTAAAAAACGTTTCTCAGAATAAGTGAAGCATTTAATGAATGCCTTTGGAGCTATCAAATATTTGTCTTTTCCTGAGATCCAGACGCATTACATTTACAAACTACCGAGTTATGTGTACCTGTATTTCATTGTTGGCATTTTTTGATAGAAACTTGTGGTATGCAAAAGGAAATGAAAAGCTTATAGTAGACCCCCAACACTAGTCTTACAAATTCAAGCCAATACATCAATTTCATATTATTCAGTGTCACCCATTTGCCTTTGACATCTTTGCTCACAATATTTTCTTGCCTTGCTATTTGTCCTTCAGAGTTCTGCTCAAATTCTACCTCTTCTCTAAAAGTTTTCCTGTTTATCTCATATTCCTTTTCCATTTCTCTGAATGTCTCTGTAGCACTGAGGCCTCAATTATATGTGATCTTACATTGTTCTCTAAATTCTTACTCTGATTTGCTTCACTATCCTGACTGCTCCTCCAGGAATGGGCATTTCTCTAGCTTCAGTTCCTCTCTTTATACAATGAGGGTGACAATATAACCATGTTAAAGGCTTCTTTGGAGGATTAAATGAGATAAACCATGTTAATCGTGGATAGCACAGAGTCTGGCACACATTAAGTATCCAATAAACTTTAGCTATTGTTATTATGTGCTCTAAAGGCTTAGTAATTGATAGCTTGATTAAGTTTTCTTTCAAGTCTGAATTTTAAGAGAATATAATTTTTTGTCTGCTAGAAATAGCCTCAGAGTGTGTCTACAAAAGTAGAACAACTAGTTAAACATTGAAAATATGGTTAACTAGTTGCTTTCTCTACATGCCACTAAAAACCAATTTGGCTGAATTATCTGAGTGAAATAATTGACTGTTTAGGAATAATGGCATCAGAATGTGCATAATACATAAATTTTCACCAGTAATCACTGCTAAGTAATATAAGTTGAATAAAGTCATGCCCATGAGGCATTTAGATAGAATTGCCACTTAACTCAGTAAAACAACCATTTTGACAGGCTTTAAGATAATTTTTTTCTGACTTCATCAATTTATTCTGTAAGTTGAATAAATTGCCTGGGATTTTGTGTATAGAAACAACTTCAATCTCTTTAAGTCCTGTCCTGATTTCTTTTAAGTACCAAATACATGGACCAATACTTACTCTTCTTATACTCCTGCTGTGGGGAATTTTCCAGTTTCAACAAAACATTAAGAAATGACATGAAATGCACATGCAGTGTCTGCCTCACAGGCACTAATGTTAATACAATGCATTTTGCTTGACAAATCAGCACCACTTGAATAGAGGCCTTGTTACCCATATTCTCCTATATAGTGATCTCTGCATTCCCATTTTCTCACATTTTGGTGGTAAAAAATACATTCCATTTTGCAGTGGACTTCACTGACTATCCAGACAATAAGCACAAAATTGTCTCAGCCTGTGTGCAAATATCTTACTCAGCAGTCAGGGCTACTCAGGAGGATGGCCTTTTAGCACAGGAAATAGTGTTCCAGGTTTCTGGAAAGATCAAGGGAGAGCAAAGCTTTATTGAGAATGTGACTCAGTGTGATACAAGCTTCTGGCATATACCCAAGGTAATGTCAGTAACTTATTTATTTGGAATTTATACCCTGACTTTTTTCAGAAGGCTTTGAGGTAGTTTATAAGTTGTGTATAATGTAAAAAAAAAAAAAAAAAGACAAGGAACATTTAGGGCTTAAAACAATAAAAACCATTCTGTTAGTACAGCTATGTTACTCTCAACTACGGAACTGTTCCTTACTTATTTAATCAGTGAGGGGTTTTCTCGCTTTGTGTCCTTTAGCAAAGTAGGCCTTAAATGAAAATTTTCAGGCACTCTTTATTGTTGGCAAGGTCACTGGTGGTCTCTGAGATTTTGTGCCTCCTGCCTCCCGACTGCCCAAGAAGGCTGCCCTCCTGCATTGTAGTTTCATCCCAAACAGGGTGCTTGGGGACCTAGATGCCCACCACTGAGTTACACAAATCAGCCTTTAGCTGCTTTGTGACAGCAAATACAAATGGGTATGATGTGCATATGTGCTTCTCAGTGAATCATTCATCATCTGCATGATGTGTCTCCCCAGGCAAGAGGTATGGTAGCACAGCTCCCTCAAGTAAAGCATGTCTGATAAATTTTGTAGACTGTTAGTGGAAATTTTCAGTGTTTTTCTTTCTAAATGCTTAGTTTATCTTGCCCACCAAAAGCATAGCACAAACAACTTTGCCAACATCTATGAAGCTCTAAGACCAAGCTCTGCTCTTAAAGGTTTGGGAAAGTGATTTGTATTCTTTAGTCTTCCAGAGTGAAGAATTAAAGTTTCCATAGTTTTGGCTTTACTGGTTTTCTTCTGACCACTAGCTATCTGCTGTGGTGCAGAGACATTTCCTGTAGGGATACATGCCTTAGCAATTTGTTTTCATCACTGTCACATCAACTCAGCATTTTCTTGTCATCTTTCAGTTCTGATAAACTGCTTCTGAATTGACAGCTGTCACCAAGATGCTTACATAGCAATTTAAGGTTGGTCTAATTGACAAAGGTTAAATTTTCTACTTGCTCACTAAACACTAAGAAATTGGGGGTGATTATAGTTAGGAGCTATTGCCTTGTTATGTGTAAATGAATTATGGAACACTGTAGTTTCTATGCATCTTAATAGAACTAGATGTAATATCTTGTTTCTAAATGGATCAAAGATTGAATTCACAGGAACTCTAGAATTCATTTTATTATTAGCATTATTGATAGGAAGGTGCCAATATATAGACTTTGCCGTCTTTTGTTAGCACATGATACCTACTCTCATTCCAGTTAAGGCTTGAATGCCCAAGAAGGCACTATGACAATATTACTGCTTGAAATAATTTTGTTTTACTTTTTATTGTGCTTTTATTGAAGTCTGTGTTTTTAAATTTAAAAACATGCACTCCACACATATTAAAATGCTTTTTAAGATGTTTTAGAAATTGTGTGTCAAAGAAATTCACTGATTAAGTAATGCTACCCTTTCTTTTCATATGCATATGCAATTTTTCACTGAATATGGACATGTACCTTTCTAATCTACAAACATACAACTATGTGATGGTATAGGAACTGCTGATACTATTTGTACTCACTTAAGGTAATAAAGAGGCTTATTTAGGGCTGATCACAAAATGAGTTTTCATAAAGTGAATTACATTTCTCATTTTATTACTTTATTATCCTTTTTATATATGGATACTTCATCTCAGCTATAGTAACACAGGGAACAACTGGTGGACAAAGTGTGTGTATATCCTCCCCCAGAAAAGCCTGGGGTAACCTTTGAGAAGTATAGTGCATAAGAAATGTAGTGCCTAAGTATTTGCTCTTTCGCTCATTCCTTTGTGGTTAATTTCAATGTAGGCATACTGGGGTGTACATCTTGAGCCTGGGCAGCAAACAAGGCATAGGGTTTGGCCATTCTTATTATGCTCTTGGCACTGAATACTCTAATATCATTATGCTTTTCCCTACAATGAGCCATCTTTCTTATAAGGCTGTACTTCTAGTCCCAAAGAGAGACTGAATGAGTGTGGATGGCCCAACCTACCCTCATAACTGAGAGACCAACTCAGATTGCATGGTTTGTACCTGCTGCTAGAAATAAACGGGATGTGAAGAAGAGTAAAGAATCATATTGTTGGCAAGGATAATTCTCATTAAATATTTTTTCCAGTTTGAATCTTCTTTCTGTGCATATGTAGCATATTTTGCTCCCTTGGACTACATCTTCTCAAAGGACAGCTATTATTCCTATTGTTTACATTCATACAGTCCTCTTACTGCCCAATATTTGAAATATTTTAAGTTTACGAGGGAAAAAATGAACATATGACTATATTCCTTCATCAAAAAATGGTTTCCTATTTCAATATCCTCTCTGTTCTCTGGATTTATCAACTCCAAAATTAGTTTTAACCATGTCTGTAACTATAAAAGCACAATAAAAGGTAAAAAAAAATTATTTCCCAAACCATTTCAGACTAATTATTGGAACTCATTTTGTCATGACTCTATTTCTCTTTTATTGTCTTCATCTCTTTCATTTCATTGTATGTATGTATAACACACATATGCATGTAAAAAATCAGATTCCACTGCCATACTTTTCTATTTTCTTGTTTCTTCCTCCTGCCTTTAATAAGCTGTAAGCATTGCTTAAGTTCTCCTATTCTGATTCATGTTTCAGGTAGCTAATGTACCACTCCTTGTTTTCTGTGATGAAGTTAGGAACAATTTGACTCTTGACTATCGTTTGTGTTACCCTCAGTCACAGTTGTTCTGTACTAGATGTTGTTGACAAGGCAATAATAAGCCCTATTAAATCCTACCTCTTACATCACCAAAATCTATGTTATTGGCTAGACAAATTGGGCCGATGTGTATCTCTTCACTCAGAAAGTTTTCATGACTTCTCCATGTATAAGGACTCATAAGCAAACACTATACAAATCTGGAAAATATATTTCCTTGTGTGGTGTAAAAGTCACAGGAAAGTATTAAATTTGGCTTGGGTAATGGGATATTCTTCCTCATTTGTATCATGCAAATAAAACTCCGTAACATTTTACAAATCACATACCCACCCTCTCTCCCCTTGGGATGGGGTTGGAGGTGTATGTTTTTTTTTAACAATGGTAGCATTCTTTTTGACACAAAGCAAGGCAGTTCAAAATAACACTGAAACAATCCTACATTCATGCTTCTTCTTCTTCTTTACAAGGCATCTGACAGGAAAAGTATCAATGTGCTAATCTCCACAGCAAATCATGAGATAATGGACATCTTGCAAAAGAATATAAGGTGACTTGAGGATTATAAAGGTAATCTTGTAATGCTTTTGAAAACTCTTCGAAAGCACTAAAACATCAATGGCCTGAGAGAGAAGGAAGACCTTTAAAATATATTGCATATTATTATTCAATAAGGCAAAAGCATTATTTGATGCCTTCTTTGGGATCAGTAGCAGTTGAAAGACCTGTGTTGCAAAATTATATTTAAAGGTCAACAGCTGTTTTATTCCAGATGGAACCTACTCCTGAAGATGTTTAAACACTTTTTTATAGAAATTGTGATTACTGTAGTGATGCTAGTCTATCCCTATAGAATTTCTAGGACCTATTGGAGAAGAAATACTTTAGTAAGGATATTTGGCCTTATTAACCCTAGTAAAGCTTGATGTAAAAAATCATAAGGTGACTAAATGCATGAGAATTGGCTTGAAATTCAGCTTACTAGTAGGAGGCATTAGGACATAACTTTCCCCTGCAGATTTGAAGGAATAATGCTAGACAGCATTAAGTAGTGAGAATGCTTACTACTCATATACCTCCTTACTGTCTCTCCCTAAGACTTTGAACATTTTTAGTCTTTAGACACACTACTTTTGGCCCTATTCAATGTATTACTATTTATGTACAAGATAGTAATACATTAGTACATTTAAGTTATTAAGTAACCCAGGCAAAGGAAGATTTTATACTGTACATGTCTGAGGCTCAGTGCTCAAGGGATTAGGCAAGTTACATGAGTTTGTCAAAGGGAAATTCAGAGGAGAAGTTTACACAGTAGCCAGAGGAAGGTTAAGAGTCTTAGAATCAGGCCCCAACAGAAAATTGAGATAATAAGCAGAATACAGACAGGGGCCAGAAAGCCTTTCAAAGAATGGACAGAATGTCAGAGGTCTACCTGCCAACTGGTAGGAGATTAGGAGGGCTGTCCAGAGGGGCACTGATGCCAATGAATTGAGCCTAGAGTGTTCACACTGTGTTCACATTAATGGCCAAGGCTGTATCTATTAGGAACTCAAAAAATGAGTCTATAAGCCAGAATTTCAAGGGTTTCACTCCCTTTGTTGCATCTTTTAAGCCAACATTTATTGAGTACCTACTTTGAGCCAGGTACTGAGACAGGCTCTAGGGAATTCAGAAATTTATAAAATAGGGTCCCTGCCTACCAGGAGCTTACACTGTTGTGGGGAAGACAACTAAGAAAATCTACAATTATAAAAGCATGCTGTGATAAAATTATTCAGTAAGAGCTAAGGGAGAGCAAAGGAGGAATACCTGCATTTTATGTAGGTGTGGGTTATTGGTCATATGTGAGCAAAACCGAAAATAATCTTAGAAGGAGATGCCACTGAAGTTGAATTGTTAAAAATAAGGAGATTTGGACAGGTGGATGAGGAAGCAATGGAAGGCATTCAAATTAGCAGGAAAAACATGTACTAAGGCATTGAGGGAGGCAAGTGTGGCTTCTTGAAAGAGCCATACATAGGCCAGTTTTGCTAAAAATGAGAGTGGAAGGGAAGAGATTACAGAAGACAATGCTAGAAATTTAAACAAGGACCAGATCATGAATGGCCTTTGTAGAACATAGTAGAGAAACTGGATGTTACCTTGGAAACAGCAGGAAACTACTGAAGGATACTAAGTAGAGAGTGACATGATCAGATTTGCATTTTAGAAAAAAAGCACACTGGCAGCTGTGTGATAAGCAGGGGAGTTAAATGAGTACAGGAGAGGTACACAGAGGGGTATACCTAAGTCAGTTAATAACTGACAGGTTAAATAAGCCCTTACACCGGGTACTTGCATTTGTGGAATACAGAGTTTGAACTCCTTATCTCTTCAGAATTTTTTAGAAGAGTTCAAGACATTACCAGGATGTGATGGTTGAAGGACAGTGATTTCAGACATAGCCATAGATTATTGCTGCATAATGTAGTTGGAGGGCTACCAAGATGCAGGGGCAGTATTTCTACCATAATGAGAATGACATCAAGGAAGACATCGGCCTCCCACCTGGCCGTTATGGCTCTGTCAGAGGTGGAATCCTGACTTTTCTCATCACCAGCAATGTTATTAGGGAAAAGCAAGAATTTGACGTTTCTCTTTGGGCCCTATCTACTGAATATGAGTGTTTGAGATTTAACTTTTTTCATTCAGAGAATGAAAAAGGCCACAAAATCCAAACAACCTTTCAATTTTCATTTATAATTGGTTTACAATTATACCAACATCAGGGCCTCTCCTAGCTCAAGCAGTATTGTTCTATGATTTAGCTTGAGCAAGAATAGGGAAAACTTAATTTTAGATTTGCAGTTTCTCTTGAGTTAGAGTCCACAGCTACATTAGTACCCACAGTTTCCTTTGGAAGTGAAATGAAAACTCACCATTACCTGTTTTGAATTGTGGTCTGGCAGCTGAGCACCTTGACATTGTAAATCGAGCAGAGTCACTTGAAAGGAAATAAAAGTTACACTGATTTTGCACATTCATTTTTTTTTATTGCCTAATGCTAGTTGACCAAAATGTATTCAGCCGAGAGAGTTGGGAAATTGATTTTATTGAAATTGATAAGTAAAACATATATAAATTAGTAATTACAAAACCATAAAATGTTTCTTATAGGTTAGGCATCTTTATGCATGAGTCTGATATTAATTGTCTCTAATGATGGTGCCGAATTGATCCTTCCATTAATATTTTGCAAGTTCAGCTGTTATTTTTGGCACCCTCTGTGAATGTCAACAATTTGCTTGCAAAGAAATGATAGCATATTAAGCTTATGTATACAAGCCAATATTATTTAACAAGGAAGTACAATGTTGCTGAAGACAAAGCTAGTTTGAAGAGTAAAGGCAAACAGCTAATCAATCTTTGGTTGTGCACTATTATTTAAGAGGGAAAATTTAACTTAAATTTTGTTTACTATTAAGCTCAGAGTTTGGTTTTAAACTGTGATTTAATTGCATAACTTCTAGTATGTGGTTGCCTTTCATCTTGATGTTATATTCATTGAAGCTTTCAAAGAAGTGCAGATAGGACTTATTTCCATCCCCAAGTCAACATTTATTGAATTTTTATGTAGTGCCAGGCACCATACTAACTGCTTTCATAGAGAATATCTTATTGAATCCTCACTACACAACTCTATGAGACAAGTATAATTTACATATAAGTAATCTAAACTCTAGGATCATGAAATAATATGTCCAAGATTTCACAGCTATTAAGTAATAAAGCCAAGATGTGAACTTCGGCTGTCTGAGTCTAGAGAACTCACTCTTAACCACTATGCTATACTGTATTACAGTTTATTTTTAGCCAAAGCTGAAATTATCAGCTAAGAAGATGATTACTACCATTATGAACAGGTATTCTGGGTTCAGAGCCAAATTTTTATGTATATTAAAATTCTTAATCCCTCCTACCCTATAATCCAACTTCCACTTCTACATAATTACCAAAGAGAAATGAAAACATATGTCTACAGAAAGACTTGCTAATGAATGTTCATTGCTACTTTATTTATAATAGCCCCAAATTGGAAACAATCCAGATTTCTATCAACAGGTTAATGGATTGTATTCGTACAATAGAATAGCACTCAACAATTAAAATAGGTGAGCTGCTGAGATACACACAACATGGATGAATTTCACAGACTTAATGATGAGGGAAAGAAGCCAGGCATAGCCAAGTACATACTGTACGAATCTATTTATGTAAAGTTCTAGAACAGGAAAAACTAAACTGTGGTGAAAAAAATCAGAACAGTAATTACTTCTGGAGAGGAATTGATTAAAAAGGGTACAGAGTAACTTTCTGGGGTGATGGAAATATTTAACTTGATTGTGATGTGAGACACACAGGTTTATGCATCTGTAAAAAACCCATTGAACTATATACTTAAGATCTGTCCATTTCATTCTTTATAAATTGTACCTCAATAAAAATATTAAATAAGCAAACAGAATAAGGGCAAAGTTTAACCCTTAAAATAACTTTTACATAGTCCAAATGGGTAAAGCATATCTAGTTCATTATCAGGCCAGGAATCCAGATTCAAGGGTATCTACTCTGAGGAGGCCAGTATGAGGCTTTAAGGATGTGCAATGAAATTGATAGAATGTGCCTAGCCACATGGTTCTAAGAGTTTTCACCCAAAAGACATGAGAACAAGATATCAGGGCCTAGGCTGATCCCCAAGAAAATTACTGTGAGCTCCTTGTGGGAAGACGCAGAGTTTTTCATCTCTGTAATACCAGTGCTTGATACACTAGGAGACTTGCAAGAGTAAAGTGAGCAGCAGGACCCAGTCAGCTGGCTGTGATGATAGATGTACAAGACCTGGGTATTTCAGACTCTCAAGTAGAAGAGAGCCATGGAAGCAGGCTGGGGGCTCCAAATACGCTACTGCCAATTTTGCTAAGACCTATTCAGGTCTTTGCTCAAATGACACCTCCTCAGAGAGGCCTTCCCTGACTACTTCATCTAAAATAATCATCCTTACCCCCACCATCACACTCTGTCCTCTTACCATGCTTTATTCTTCTTCATAGCCCTTATAATATGCTACACAGTTATTTGCTTACCTACTCTTTGTTTCTAGTTACTCTTTGTTTCTAGGTACTTTTATTCTTTGTTATCTATTTACTCTTTGGTGTTTAATATAAGCACCCTAAGAGCTGGGACTTTATCTGTTTTTCTCACTATTGTATCTTCAATACTTAAAAAAGTGCCTGGCACATAGCAGCTGTTTAATAAGTGGCTATTAAAAGTAACATATTAGTAAGACTTGCTGGCTGAAATTAAATAGTCCAGGTCTATCCAAGTGAGAGCAGAATCTATCTCTTACATGGCATAAAAGTGTGATTACTTGTACCTAGAGTTATGATATTATACTCAGAAACATTGGTCTGTTTCACAAAATGTGCCCATTGTAACTAAAAAAAGCAGGCAATGATCAAGAAAATGCAAGTAAAGGCCTGGCTATCAGGCTGAATTGAGTTGCCTTTAGTTGTAGTTTCTTTCCATCACTTGGGCTGTGGAGTTCAAATAGTCTCAAGAGCAAAGTCACAAGCTCCAATTTATCTTTATGATAGAATGTGCAGAAAGTGCTACTTTTCTGTGTGTTGACATCTGTCAGAGCTAGTCTCCTTTCATTCTAAAAGAGATCAATCCTTCATGTGATAGAGGATTATCCTCTTTGCCACCTATAAGCTGGCTTTGATCCCTCTTATCTCTTTTCCTGAAAGGGTGTCACCATTTTACCATTTCTCTAGCAACCTGCAGGGTTCCAAACAATGCACTATTTTAATTTAAATAGAGTCATACCTACTCAGCCACTCACATATATGGCTATTTTAGTGGCTTGAGCCTTTTCAGATTTTCTGAAATGAAATCTCCAAATATCAGATTCTTAATTTAGGATAATAAAAGAAGGAGGTTATGCTATCAGAGCAATACATAGTGTTATGCTTTTTTTCCCCCTATCAGAGTCATTCCCCAAACATAATAGGTTTAGTTTTCTTCACAGTGGGAACTTGAATTTGCTCAACAAGGAAGTATATATTGAGGTTCAGCCTTACTAGCCTCAATGCCAGTGTGAGTCAGTTCATCTTACTTCAGTTCAGCAAACATGTAATGAAGTCTTGCTGCATGTTATTCAATGTGCTAGATAAAAAGATTAAAAAACAGATCAATGAACCTTTGCCCTCATGAGAATATTGTCCATAAGTATGTACCAAGCAATTGGAGATATCATGAGTAATATAAATGAGAACATGCAGGGTACCATGGGTACAAACTTCAAGGAGAAAATAGTCCATAGGTTCAGGAAATACTTCCCTGCAGAGGCAATAGTTAAGCTGAGACTTGTAAGATAATTGGAAATTAGCCATGGACAGACTGAAAATGGTTATATTTCCCACTAATTGACCACATCTTTGATTCTAGCATACATGCTAGCATACAGTCATGCCGAAGCCCATTGGCTCTTTTTCTTAAGTAGATAACAAAGAACTGGATGAATAGAGAATATTATGCTTTGAATAAGTTTATTCAATCATTTAACAAATGGTTATTAAGTGCTTACTATGTGCCAGACACTGTGGTAGGCCCTAAGAATAAGTCAGTAAGGCAGATGAGGTGTTTGAGATCAAAGAACTTACATCTAATGGAAGGTGAAAGACAAGAAAATATCAGGTACCAATAAATATTGAAACTGAAGTAGAGAAAGACTGGGGGTTTCCTGTTAATTAGGTAGGAGGTGACATTTATGCTGAGACATAAATTATAAGAAGGAGCCAGACAAGTGAGTATTCGGGAACCAACATCCCAGGAAGATGTAGCATCAAGGGTAAAAACCTAAGGAAGCAAACATTTGTCAAGCTAGAAGGACAAATAGGCCACTATCACTGGAGCATAGTGGACAAGGGAAGAGCGTAGATAGAGATGAGGTAGACAGGAGTCAGTTCATGTGTAGTTTTGTGAACTTAGGGAAGTATTTTGGATTTTATGCTAAGTGGGAAGGGAATCCCTTAGAACTTCACTGTCCAATATGGTAGCAACTATTCACATGTGGACATTGAGCATTTAATATGTGGCTAGTCAAAATTGACATGTACCAAAGATTTAGTATGGAAACAGGAATGTAAAATGTCTCACAAATAATTATTTTATGGACTACATATTGAAATGACAATATTTTGGATATACTAGGATAAACAAAATATATTAGTATTGGGTTAACCAAAATTATCTAATTTTACCTGCTTCTCTATACTTTAAAAGTGTGGGTATTAGAAAGTTTAAAGTTACATTAGTGGCTTATATTTGTGTTTTACATTACATTTCTGTTGGACAACACTGCCACAGAAGGTTTCAAGCAAGTAAGTGATATGATATTATTTCTGATCTTTTGAAGATCACAGGGGCTGTTGTACAGAGAAAGGATTGGAAGAGGCAATACTGGAAGCATGGGAATTAATTAAGAGACTTTTTCAACAGTTAGAAAAAGATAATGCTGGCTTGAGCTAAACAGATAGCAGTGAAGATAATAGGAAAAGGTACAGCTTATGATGTTTATGGTAGGTAGAGTTGATTTTATTTCCTTATAGTTTGGCTCTAAGAAGATGAGGAAAAAAGTTTCCAAAGAAATAAAGCTTTGGATTTTTAGCTTGAACAATTGTGTATGTGGTGGTACCATTTAGTAAGATGAAAAAGAGAGGAGAGACAGTTTCTGATTGAGGGTAGAAATCAAGAGTTCTGTTTTGGAGATATTGAGTTTGAGATACTTGCTAGATATCCAAGTTGATGAGTCAAGTAAGAAATTGAACATAAGACTCTGAAATTTGGGAAGAGGTCGGAGCTGAAGATATAAATTTAGGATTCCTAAGCATGTAGCTATAAACACCATCTGTGGGAAAAGACCATCACCCAGTGACAGTCTGTAGAGAAAAGAAGAGGGCCAAGGACAGAGTCCTGGGGCATGATATCATAAAGAGTTTGAATAAAAAAGGAGAATCCAACAAAGGAGATAGGGAACATCTGGTGAGTTACAGGTTAAAAAGGAGTGGTAACAAAGAACACAAGTATAGAAAGTGTTACTTTAAGAAGGAAGTGGTCAACTAACTTATATGGTGTTGAGAAATCAAGTAAAGTGAGGACAGAGAATTTCTATTTGGAAACATAGAGGTCATTGGTGACCTTGGTGAAGTATGGGTGGCAGAAGGCCCATTGGAGTGAAATGAGGGGGAGGATGTGAGTGAGGAAGTGGAGACAGTGAATGTGACAACTTTTTCAAGATTTGCCTTGAAGGAAAGTAGAGAAATGGGGCAGTAGCAGGAGAAGAATATGGTAACAAGGGGGAATTTTCCTGTGTGTTTGTTTTATTAAAATAGAACGTACACCAGTCTCAGTGGCTCATGCCTGTAATCTTCACACTTTGTGAGGCTGAGGTGGGAGGGTCGCTTGTGCCCAGGACTTCGAGACCATCCTGGGAAACATAGTGAAACACCGTATTTACAAAAAATAAAAAATCAACCAGGCATAGTAGCACACACCTATAGTCCCAGCTGCTCAGGAGGCAGGAGAATTGCTTGAGCCCAGGAGGTAGAGGCTGCGGTGAGCTATGATTGCACCACTGCACTCCAGTCTGGGTGACAGAGTGAGACCCCCATCTCTTAAAAAGGGTTGGAGAAAATACTAGAGTATTTTATTATTTTATTTATTTTTGAGAGAGGGTCTTGCCCTCTTATCCAGGCTGGAGTGCAGTGGTGCAATCATAGCTCATTATAACCTGGACTCCTGGACTCAAGGGATTTTCCCTCTTCAACCTCCCAAGTAGCTGGGACTATAGGCATGTGCCACCATGCCTGGCTAACATTTGTGTTTTGTAGAGACAGTGGGTCTCACTATGTGACCCAGGCTGGCCCCAAACCTTTGGCTTCAAGTGATCCTTCTACCTCAGCCTCCCAAAGCACTGGGATTACAGGCATGAGGCACTGTGCCCAGCTTAGAGTATTTTAAATGCTGACAGAATGATCCCATAGGAGGAGGACTGATTACCCAAGAGAGAAGGGATAATTGCAGGAGTGCCATCTTGAGAAATCTAGATGCAGCTCTTTAATTGGAACAGGGACACACCATCCATTGTAACAATAGAAGGCAGAGAGTGTGCCAAGATACTATGTGTACGTGGAGTGGGAGAGTGTGGGGTAGGAGTGGGAGGACAGGATAGGGAGATGAGCTCTTGCAGCTGACTTGAAGACAGTGGAGAAGGTGTGAAATATTTTTTAAAAGTGCAGAAGTAAACATACTAGGGAAGTGTAGGAACATCTCTAGGCAATGTTGTGTGCCATTTGAGAGTTGTAGCCATGCATTTAAAGCGAGGCCAATCTGCACAGTTGTATGGTCTCCAAAAACTTTCTGGAACTTGAAGGAGGAACTAAAAGAAGCGGCTTCTAATAAATTCTATAGCTAAGGTCATCGAAGGTTACTTATTTTTTACTTTATTTAGGTTGCCTGATATTCACTTAGTCTGGCCTGCTAAACATGGACTTTTCCAGTATGCGTGGGTGTTACAACAGAAACCTTTATGTTTGCTTACAGGCTCCTCCTTTTTCTACACAGTGGTATGCATACTGTGACTACATGAAAACCAGACATCCAAGTGGAGACGGAAAAATTTCCCCAAACTTCCTTTAGTTCTAGTACACATTCTGACTTGTGTATGTGATAATACCCAATGACATTTTCCCCTATGTACAAGGCAAACCTTTAATTTTATTCCTGGTGTTTCCAATTTCTTACTTAGTACTTTCCATTTAATCTTTCACTTCAACATTATTACCCCTCTCACTCATAACATTTCTTTTTTTTTTTCTGCATAAGACTTTTCTAATTTGTCTGCTGTTTCTAATTCTTTTAAGTATCTTTGTTCCTCTATAGCTCCTCTGTCCTTCCTCAACTTCTTTTTCCTCTTTCATTTCCTTCTCAAAGCCTTTATAGATTCAATCCCTAGCAAATCATATATGGGTATATTTTCATTGTGCTATTCCTTTCATATGGAATATATTCTCTCAACAAGGTACTTACTAGTATTTCTTAAAACTTTCTTTTTGCAAATTATTTTCTTGAGCTAGCCTAAGCTCCAGAGGAAGGACATCTGTTACTACTATGGAATTGTAATTAGAAGTCTACTTTCCATTTATAGCTCTAAATTTTAAAAAATCCCTTGAGGTTAGTGACTTAACAGAAAATAGAGAATTGTTATTGGGGATTTGGGACAGTATAAAGACAAGTACAAGCTGGAGATCTTTCATGGGTGGCACTGGGAGTTTGGGGCCTGTTTGCCCTCTGCTAAGATGATATGGACCCTACCTGAGATTATTATGGCAGTCTAAAAGTACTGATTGTGCTGTCATCCATCTCCAGACTCACTGTTGGTACCTTATTTTATTCATGTTCAAAAATGGTATTATGATTCCTTCACTGACCCTGGCTTTTTTCTAAAGAAACACTCATGTGCTCAATAATTGCATTGACTAAAGTACAAAATAAAATAAAATTTGAATTAGTAAAGGTTTTAAAACACTTTAAAAAGGTCTAATCTCTGGTACTTTTTAAACATTCTAAAAATTAAAGGTTACATTAAAATGGTGCCTGTTGCTGAAAACATTACACTAGTCCTGATGTGTTATATGAAGTCCATAGAACTACAGGTTGGTTAGAATTAAATTATAGTTATTAAAGACAAGAATCTATTAGTATTGAATTCCAGATATAATGAGAATTTTGGCTTGCTGCCTTCCTGCCTTCAGCCTCCATAAATGGGGCATTTTAACCCCTAGCATTGTCCAACACCCAAAGATCAATCTGGTTCCTAATCAGAGGAAATATTAATAGAAAGGTCCACTGGAGTCCTTAGCCTTGCAGTAAGTCATCCTTCTTCTATTCTGCCTCTTGCTTTTCCTTGTGACCAAATTCCTGCTTTGTACTGAAATTTAAGCAAATGGGTTCCTATTTTTCGTTTACCACCACTTGCTTTCCTTATCTTGTGCCTGACACCCTCTGGAACTGCCAGCTAACCTTTTGGTGCCAGGTTACCATAGCATTTGGTCCTATTGACCCCTTAAGATGTCTTACGTTGCCTAATGTTGGATCTTCTTGATGCCAACTACCTATCTGATTAGACTTCCTAACATTGCCTCTGCTATGATTTGCACAGAATACCTGTAGTATTCAGAGGAGTATATCTAGTCTCCAGGATTCTGAATATCTCCTCTCTGGTCTATTCTACAGAGAGTCATTCTCTTTTGGCCCTTTGCTATAGTTAATCAATGTAATCATTTACAAAGGAACTGAGTTCTTTTGCTTCATTCAGTAAAAAATAAGCAAATCAAGATGAAAAAGCTGGCCTTCAGGAGGCTCAACCTGCTTTATCATTGAGGTCTGTCTTCCCTGTATTTGAAGCTTTTTAAATAAACCATTCTAACCAGAAGAGAGAAGATGAAACAGTTAAAGCTCAAATCAAACAGACTCAAGAATATTTAAATAACTGCTTTCTAAGGGAGGAAACCAAAGCAAAGGCATTAGGAGAGTGTTGATTCTTAGTAGAATAAACTTCATGGGTAAATTGGGCATCTTTTAAAGTGAAGCTCTGTGACTATAGTTCTAACCATGGGATCTTAATAGATGGATACACCAAGCAATGTGACAAGGACATGGTAAAGGGCTTTCCTATTACACAGTAGGTAAACTCAGGGGAGAAAAAGCAGAAGCAATTCATAGGCTCAGGTTTGCATATCAAAAGAATGAAAGATGATGTGAAAAGTGAGGGTACTTCTGAAGTGAACAGAAATCAAAATCTAGTTAGGTTGGTAATTGGGACCAAAGTGAAAGCAAAGGGGGTAAAAATAAAAGTGATGAGTTTCTGCAGAACGAATTTCGGAAGATTGCAGCAAGAGTTGTGTGAAATTGAATGAGTGCAAGCAGGAAATGGCACAGAATAGAAATGCAAAAGCATTAAACCTCCTTCAATGGGATCCTAAGAGTTCTGCCTGTTATCCACCAATAAAAATAATAGGAGATAAAGAGCCCTTCTATATCTGAACTGCTATATACAAAAAGCATGGTAGAACAAAGGGAGAGCTATTCAAGGAATAAAACATCAAGTTTACAGGGAGACAGGAAAATATAACAGAACAAGTTTGAGTGTAAAATAAAGATAAGCCTGACAAAGAAGGAGAATGAAAAGAAGAGCTAACATACATATGATGCCTTGAAAGCCCATCCATTTCATAATTTTGGTTTTTGAATGATAGGTAGAAATGAACTCCACCTAAATAGCACTTTTGGGATCTGGATTGTGTCCTACATATTTTGAAATTTCTCCTTGATTTGGGGAATGAAGTCTTGGAATCCTTTTTGAAGTCACGAAAGAATTGAATGTTTTAAATCTTATAAACGATGGTCCATGAATTCTCTGGGAAAGAAAATCTTCAACTTTATTTTCATAATGGTGGCATTTATATTGTTTACATACAATACCTTCCTTCCTAGAATGAGGAATGTCAGTAGCCATTATCCCAACCCCCCTAATATACCCCCACATACCAAAGTCATTATGTGTTAATCCTATAGGAAATGGGCAATTTTTCTGAAGAGATTCTAAATTAAGGCCTTTTAAAATAGAGTATTCTTAAGGAGTAAAAATGGCTTAAAGAAAATTGATCTGTGACGCTGTAGAAGATTCACAGTTTCAGTGATCTAATTCTGTAAACACCATCATAATATTATGTCATGCATAATTTATTATTGAAATCCTGTGTGAGAATTCTAAGGTTTTTTCATGTACCAGAGAGTTGCTGAGATTGGTAAAGAAATGGGTTAACTGTTTAAGATAATGGTATTACTCTGGATGGGAGGATGCAATCAATGGGGTTTCTAAATATTCCTTTTTTTCACCATTGTGGAGGTATTTATATGTAATAGATTTGCTTTTACATCAGTGTTGAGGAGGGAAACCACCCAGGATATGCTTATATTATATTCCTTCCCCTTTAGTCTCTCCCAAATATGCAATGCACAGCTGTTTTTAAATCACCATTCAGCATGTCATTCAATTTTTATTACTCTACATTATTATAAGTATCCAGTAAAAATAAGAGTGAAATCTGATGTGGCTTCTAAAATCAATGAGCTATCATAGAATTGACAAAAATTTTGGTTGAAATTTAGAGTACTTAATTATCACCCAAAATACAGATGCTGAATTTCATCCTTGCTCCAGATGCTTCTTAAAATATCAAATGTTTGAGATCTTTCATTTATAGATTTGGTTTTACAGGTGAACACACCAAAGTTTAGCAATTTTTCACATCATATTTATGTTATATCCTCTCTCTCACGTGCATGTGCATGCCTCCCCCTCCCGAAACCGAGGGTTATAGAAAGATAATTACTTTTTTTATCCTCTGTGTATTTTTGCATAATTTTCTTCCCCATGTTTTGATTTCTCTGGAGCAAGTTTCTATTAGTGCTGTCAGTCTGTAACTGGGCCACTTAGTAAGAGTGGGAGAAGGAGACTTTTTTCTTCTGTATTACATCTTCCATGTGATTCTGCAACTCTGTTTTAGTCATCTGTCCATTCACGCTTGTTACTCATGTTATTTTTCTCTTCGTTTCTGTCTTCCCCATTCCCCACCTCCAGGCCCCACACACTCAGATCCATACTTGCAGAGGTCATTCCTCCTCTCTTCCATGAGAAATAATAATTGACATTAAAGTAGCTAATGTTTATTGCGTGCTTGCTATGTGCCAGACATCATTCTCAGAACTTTGCAAATATTATTTCATCTAATCTATGTAATTGGCTTTTCTCCAATTTTATTTCAAAATTTCAAGAAGGTTATAGAAATGTAAGGCAACAAAAAGGGAAAAATCAGACATGTCACTCCTGAGATTTCCTTTTCCAGGGCTTGAAGAATCCTTACACATAAAAGATGTTTATAGTTCCAGATCATCTATCCACCACCAGAAAGGGCAGCCCATTCACTATGGATGTCTCGATATCCTGTTTTCAATACACACATCTCTGCTTGTGAGGCAGTTTTAATGCTCCAAGTCATCAGAAAAGGAGAGTGACTTGGTTTCAAATGATGAGTGACCAAGATAAGCAGTCTGAAGAGTGGGTTAAAATAAAGTAAAATGCTTTGACAGGAAGAGGTCAAAGCTGGCAGTTGTGTTTTGAAATCTTATTAAAAGAGGCTGACATCACTAATATGAAAGAAACTTCTTTCTTGTTTTTTAAAACTTTTACGATGCATGAGGTAGACTTCTTTTTCAAAAAAAATTCCCATCTTGAGTCCTTGCAATATACAGGAAACATGCAGTTAATGAAATGAGAACAGGTTGAATTTGTGATAAAAATTGGTGTCTGGCTCTCTGAGTTCAGCAATATAATTTCATTTTTATTAGAGTCTTACCTATCTTTAACATTGAAAATTATGCTAAGAATGAAAATTTTGAGGAGTATGTACCTTACAAGGTTAAGAAATATAATTTTATTTTTATCAAATTATGCTCACATTTTGTGTTAAAAATTCACTGAACGATGAAAATGTTGAGAGACCCTGAATCCTATTTTCACCTATTTTTAATAAGGATCTTGTGGTACCTCGATACTGATGTATTACTACAATTTGCCTTAAAATGGTGTTCACCATACCCCTCTTTTACATGTTAAGAAGTTTCATCTGCACAATGTGAGATGATGTTATCTAAATTCAATTCACACATTTGGTTCAAGGTTAAAATATCCCCGTCCCTCAGTGAGGTGGGGGAGGAAAACTGCTTTGTTTAATGTTAATGGAAAAATTTCACCTGTGAAATAATCTTCAAACTGTGAAATTAAATCCCCCACGTATGTTCTATGCTCATGCCTTCAGCCTTCCTCCCTCTACACCGATCTACCCTGTCTCTGGATTCTTTTAAGAAAGTATTTGAATACCATGTTGCATAGAGGGCAAATCACAAAATCTGGGCAAGAAGGATTATTTATATGACTTTTGTGAAACCTATTCCCTCTAAATATTGACTCTCCAACTAGATTGTAAGTTTAATGAGGAGAAGAACAAAGATTTTACCTTCCTGTAGCCTCCTACAATGCTTCGTATAGGGTAGTGCTTAATAAATACTTAATGATATTGATCTGAAATAGCCAGTTTAGTTGGTCAGTAACAACCCAGACCACTTAATAACTTGATTGCCTATAAACATAGATATATCTATGCACCATGGACCAACAACGTGGGCATCACCTGGGAGCTCATAAATGCAGAATCTCAGGCCTCACGCCAGACTTACTTAACCACGATGTGCATTTGAATAAGTTCTCCCTGTGATTTGTATGCACATTAATGTCTGTGAAGCACTGCTCCATTGCATTAAGGATTAGGCACTTTACCACCATGAACATTTCTTTCTTTCTCTTATATTTCTTCTTGTATGTACCTCTTTCCCCCTCTTCTGCTTATATTATAGGCCTACTAGTTCCCTCTACCTTTTTAGTTCACCATGTATTTCCAAGTTTTGTGAAGACTAGTCCTCACAAAAATTCTCTGAACTCTTCATAAAGAATAGTCAATATCTAGTCATTTCTACTTCCTCAGCTAGTTTTGTTAAAATTATACAAACTTAAATAACAGGGGAGAATTTTTAGCCTTCTCAGCCTTATGTTCCCTAGAAAAATGTTACCTATAGTTTCGTTCAGAAATCATAGATTACAATATTATTCTTTTAAAGTAATGAGCAGAGTTTTGGTAGGGAAATAAACTCTCCAAAAGTAATAATTTCTGATTCTCATAGCTATGGAATCTTACGTTTTGTATAGATAAGGGGCAAAGCAAGTAAGGGAAATTCGTTCTGTGATTTCAGACACATGGGGGATTTTTATCTTTACCTAATGTAGGTTTTTGCTGTGTTTTTTCTCTGTAAAAGCCATGGTGCTTCAAAATTTAATGAGATTATATGATGTATTATCATCATTTGCAAATGCAATTATCAGCTGCGATTAATCCTGCTAATTCCGAGAAAGCCATATTGGGTGTTATTTTTCCCCTCCTCGTGGGTATTTGTGTTGCTCTTACTTTATGAACTTTGATCAGAACTACTGCAGAAAGGAGGGGGAAAGCAAATGGGATGTATGAAATAAGGCTTTTTATGACTGGTTTTATGTAGACATTTATGAGTGCCTAGGAGGAAACATCTCACAAAAATTCACTTCACCTGGAGAGAAAACAATGTAAATATTAGTATATAGATATAATATATATATTACTAACAACTTGTAGAAGAAAAAATAATACTGGATATTTCTTGTTGAATTCAAACATATGTTTTATTAATTTGAAGCAACATCAGCTCCTTGTATGTAACTTTCTCAGGATATTCATTTAGGCATTACATGTCAAGGAAGATGCGAATGACTAATCCTAGAGTTCTGAGCTCTACTGAAGAAATCAAATGGTAAGTCTCAGGCAATTACTGTATGCATTTGAGAGTAAATTTTTATCCCACCAGATTACAGATGAGTTCATCAATTATTGAGCACTTAAGCTCAGCTGGAATCCTATGAACTACTGTTTCCAAGAATTAAGCAAGAACACATTTTGAGATTGTGTCACTGTTGGGTTGCAGTTGAGACACCTTGCTATTACCATCATCTCTACCACCACATAGGTAGGATAACTGCACTCCTTGTTAGATCCTTTAAGGCTTGAGATGAGTGGGTTAGAATTAGGACCTACAATTATTAAATTTCAATCTACCAGTGGTTTTAACTCTTCCTTGGTCAATTGTGAGAACAATCATTGCAATTATAGTCCCCTCTCAAGGGGCTGGCAGCTGCCTTTCTTATTCCCCACTTGTGATTTACTTTTATAACTGTGTTTAATGCCTGCCAACAACTTATATCCCCAACTCTTCCATTAGTGAAAGTCTTGGTAAGGTGCTGAAGCAGATATAAAGATAAGTGAGGGGGATAATGAAACTGAAAGAAATGAAGTTACTTGTCTTTGATTGCAAAATATAATGGGAGAACTATGACTAATGAGAGGTGCTCAGTTATTTATTGAACAAACAGTTCTTCAGACTTGGGGGAAATTTAAAAGAATAATTCTTCATCAGAAACAGCTTTGGAATGCTCATATATATAGTCCTACATTCTTATTTTGTAGATGTGGAAACTATGTCCCAAACCATGTGATTTGTCCAGAACTAAACTAAACCTGGGTCATCTGATACAAGCCAGTGCTGTTTTTCCAGCATAATATCTCAATAAAATTCCATAGGCCAGCTGTATCTACAACTATTTGGCTCAATATCGAAGTATAACTTCTTTGGGCTGAAGAAGGAAACTCCATCCTAATTTAAATCCTAGTGATATAAATAGGATTTAGGATTTAAATTGGGTGGCAACAGAGCCTGACAATCCTTAAGGCTTCTTCCAATGCTAAGATTCTAGACATAAAATCCACCAGTGTCAAAGGTAAAAATGATTCATGCTAAGCACAGTGCCATACACACTAGAGCTCTGCGCCTACCTTTTAAGGAAGATGGAACATTCAATTACTACATAATCATGTTTTTCTTGAAATGTACTTTTTAATAAGGGCAATTCTGTAAGAGTCACTGTGGGAAAGTGAACTGATAATGTAGATATACTACAAAGATCTAGTGGTGAGATCAGAAATGATCCAGAAACCTGGAGCAAGTGAGAAGAGAAATGCCAAGAAGAGAAAAGTCTATAGTAAGAAACTACAAAGGCAAAGTAGAAAAATTCAGAATCGTTTTAGCACTATAAACACTATACATTGACGTGGAATTGGTTACTTACTATTGAGAAGAGAATTGCCAAGGGCAATACTATCTGTCTTAGTCTGTTTTCAGCTGCTACAACCGTATACTACAGATTGAGTAACTTATAAAGAAAACAAGTTTATTTTGGCTCACAGTTATGGAGGCTGGGAAATCCAAGAGCATAATGTTGGCATCTAGTGAGGATCATCCTATAGCAGAAGGTGGAAGGGTGAGAGGGTGAAAGAACATAATACAGAGGAAAAGGGAGCCAAACTTCTGTGCTAACTACACTCACTCCCACAATAATGGTATTAATTCATGCATGAGGATGATGAAGATGGAGCCTTCATGGCCCAGTCACCTCCCACATCTTAACATTGCCATGATGGCAACCCAGCTTTAACATGAGTTTTTAAGTGAACATTCAAACTATAACACAACTCTTTCAAAGTGACGAGTATACTTTCTAATCAAAAAGAGAATTTTTTTTTCAGTTTCATATACCATAGGCTATTTTTCAATGTATATGTCATTATACAAAAACAAGAAATGGGGAAAGGATTTCCTATTTAATAAATGGTGCTGGGAAAACTGGCTAGCCATATGTAGAAAGCTGAAACTGGATCCCTTCCTTACACCTTATACAAAAATTAATTCAAGATGGATTAAAGACTTACATGTTAGACCTAAAACCATAAAAACCCTAGAGGAAAACCTAGGCAATACCATTCAGGATATAGGCATGGGCAAGGACTTCATGTCTAAAACACCAAAAGTAATGGCAACAAAAGCCAAAATAGACAAATGGGATCTATTTAAACTAAAGAGCTTCTGCACAGCAAAGAAACTACCATCAGAGTGAACAGGCAGCCTACAGAATGGGAGAAAATGTTTGCAATCTACCCATCTGACAAAGGGCTAATATCCAGAATCTACAAAGAACTCAAACAAATTTACAAGAAAAAAACCAACCCCATCAAAAAGTGGGTGAAGGATATTAGCAGACACTTCTCAAAAGAAGACATTTATGCAGCCAACAAACACATGAAAAACTGCTCATCATCACTGGTCATCAGAGAAATGCAAATCAAAACCACAATGAGATACCATCTCACACCAGTTAGAATGGCGAGTATTAAAAAGTCAGGAAACAACAGGTGCTGGAGAGGATGTGGAGAAATAGGAATGCTTTTACACTGTTGGTGGGAGTGTAAATTAGTTCAACCATTGTGGAAGACAGTGTGACGATTCCTCAATGATCTAGAACTAGAAATACCATTTGACCCAGCAATCCCGTTACTGGGTATGTACCCAAAGGATTATAAATCATTCTGCTATAAAGACACATGCACACATATGTTTATTGCAGCACTATTCACAATAGCAAAGACTTGGAACCAACCCAAATGTCCAACAATGATAGACTGGATTAAGAAAATGTGGCACATATACACCATGGAATACTATGCAGCCATAAAAAAGGATGAGTTCATGTCCTTTGTAGGGACATGGATGAAGCTGGAAACCATCATTCTCAGCAAACTATCGCAAGGACAAAAAACCAAACACCACATGTTGTCACTCATAGGTGGGAATTGAACAATGAGAACACATGGACACAGGAAGGGGAACATCACACACCAGGGCCTGTTTTGGGGTGGGGGGAGGGGGGCGAGATAGCATTAGGAGATATACCTAATGCTAAATGACGAGTTAATGGGTGCAGCACACCAACATGGCACATGTATACATATGTAACTAACCTGCACATTGTGCACATGTACCCTAAAACTTAAAGTATAATAATAATAAAATTTAAAAAAAAGAAAATAGTGTTTTTATCTCTTTGTAATACTGTTTTGTTAGGTGTAACTTTCTAACACTGTGTGTTTAATGGAGTATTTTCCTCTCAGTATGTGTGACTTCTTATGATTCTTTGCAGAAATCTCTACCTACTACCTTAAAGAAGCTTAGCTTTGAGATCCACAAACTCTCTGGAAAATAATCTGTACATAACTTTTTAATTAATTTTTTTATTTTTAAAATTTACTGTATAATATTTAATCATTTATCTTGTGTCTGTAAGGGTTTTGTATTATCTTGTGAAATGATTTTTGTCATCTTTTATGTAGAGTTTTGTTTTTGTTTTTAGTCAAACCATTTTAAAAGCAGGTAGGGCTCAAGAGTAAATAAACAATTGCATATTTGAATTGCTCCCCTGAAAGTTAGGGTATATTCTATTAACCCAGAAATGCCAATCTGACATAGTGCAAATAGAAGTTTTTCCCAAAATAGTGCTTGGCACCTTGGTAATGTGCACATTTCCTCCTATTTTATTACCTACTGTGGTGCAAGGGTTTCACTCTCATTTTGGGATGGACTCTGAATGTTTCATTTGCATGCCTTTTATGGTGGTAACAGACGATAATTTTTTTACAGATACAGTTTTGCTTTTTATCATCATTTGTTTCTCTTCTACAAGACTTTTAAGTTGGCTAGTTACAGACTATCTGCTTCTTTTAATGTTTATATATTAGAAGGTTTAATAGAAGAAATAGAATGTCACTGTCGTAATTGGCCATTTCCCCCACCTTAATAGCATTCCAGAGCAAAGTTTCTTTAGATAGCAATGCTAAGCAAAATGCATTTGTGCAGCTTCATCTTTGATTCACCCATTCTTATACCATCATGAATGTTTTTGAAGGTCTTTGCCAAATAATCTTGCCAAAGGCTCTAGGCCTGCTGCTTGGTATTTGCTGCACGGACTGGGCCTGAGGAAAGGTGAGCTAAAAAGAAATTAGCTGAAATAATGAGATAATTCTAGAACACTAGAAAATTTAGAATTAACAAAGTTTTATGGTGTTGGATAAGTCCCAGCTTCAAAGCAATTTCTGACCATAGCATTTAAATTATTTCTTAAAAAAATCTCAATTTATTTACAGCTCCATAGTAGAGACTATAGGAAGTAGAGAGACTCTGAGGATAAGTTATTCTCCTGCTGATGTGGGCCATTGCCACAGGATGGGTGGAGAGGGGACAATATTGAAAACTTAAGAGTAAGCTCTTGAATGAAAGTTAGGGGTAAAATTTACTTGGAACTTATGGCCTTTGGTTAAGAGAGTGGACTTGACTCCAAATCCTGGCTCTGTCCTTTACTAGTTGTGTGACTTTGGGCAATTTACTTAACTTCTATAAGCCTGCTTCCTCATATGTAAAGGTGGTACCAACAATTCAATTATATAAATATATTATCAAACAGTGAAATACCTGCTATGTATTAAATGTTAATAAATGGAAAATGGCATTAATATTTAATTCTCAATATTTATTATGATTCCCCCAGGTTTCTCCTTTCATTAAAATATCTCTGAAAAATGTTTCAGCTTTTCTTCTTGCTTTTTAGTTGCTTCTTTAAAAACAAAATTTATTGAGGCATAACTTATATACCATAAAAACCACCCATTTTATTGTATAGTTAAATGATTTTTAGTAAATTTGCCAAGTTTTTCAACCATAACCATAAACCAGTTAGAGCATTTTAATCACAGCTAGTCCTTGGCATCCACTGTCCACTTTCTGGCCCTATGGATTTGCATATTCTGGTCAATTCATGTAAGTTGAATCAAATAATATTTGGCTTATTTCACTTATCAAGATGTTAGAAAGGTTCATCAATGTGTAGCATGAATCAGTACTTCGTTCCTTTTTATAGTTGAATAATATTCCATTTTGTGGATATACCATATTTTGTTTATCCATTTATTAGTTGATGGGCATGTGGGTTTGTTTCCATTTTTTGGCTAATGATGCTGCTATGAACATTTGTGTGCTAGTCCTTGTGTGGATATACATGTTCTTATCTCTTGGGTATATATCTAGGAGTGGAATTGTGATGGTATTAATATTAATAGTAGTATTTACTACTATTTCATAATTCACCTGACAATTAGACAGTTACATAGATTCCTATGGCAAAACAAAGTAAGTAACTTCAGATGCCCCTTAAAGGAGCATTCCTCAAAACAACATAAATCAGTTAGCTCTTAAAAAAATTAAAAGATTCCTATGGGAACCATCTTTAATCACAGGATAGATCATTTAAAGACTTTTTGCACATCACTTTTGGGAGAATTCAAAAGATAATGTTTTGGTTTTCAAACACCTCAAGTTTTGTCTTGTCTACACTTTTGTAAGATACCCATCTGAATGTCAATAGGACATATGATGCCTCAGAAAGGCAAAGATTTACCAGTGATTAATACAGGGTATAAATAATGGTGTCTGAATCTGTGCATCAAAGCAAGGAAGATAGATCTTGTGACATCCCTACCTTTTTTCCCTGGGATGCACAAATCAGTCCTTAATAGAAGGGGGAGAGAGGATGAATGCTTTCATGCCTGTCAATGGAATGAAATACAATTCTATGGCAAGGAAGGATACACAGTGGTTCATGCACAGCAAAGACATCAGGGCTTTCTAGGTTTTCAGATAAGGGACCATATTCAGATGGCCCTCACTTTAAGCAATAATTGAGTTCTTGAAAATAAATCAATGCAGATATTGCGGGCCTATTATTAATGTGTATTTTAGTAGCAACTGGGTGCTAGTTTGTAGAACTAGTCCTCAAAGCACAGGCAAGGCTAACTTTCTCTTTCTCTCTCTCTCTCTCTCTCTCTCTCTCTCTCTCTCTCTCTCTCTCTCACACACACACACACACACACACACACACAGAGAGAGAGAGAGAGAATAATAAAATGCAAAATTATCAAGTTCTAATTTATGTTACAATAAAATTTCAACAAAGGGTAAGTTAGGTTGCAGCACTCAGGTTAATTGGTCAATGAAGTCAGATTTTTTCCATTTTCTTTTATTGTAGTTTCTCTGCTTTATAATCATTTCCCTACCCACATCTTTTATAAAAAGGAAATGAGGTATTCTGATTTGATCTCTGGTGGTAAAACTCATTTATCAGTGTGCCAAGTGAAAAGGATTTAGTAAGGTTAGATGGCCGTTGAGCAGGGTTTCTCAAAGTGTGGCCAGGTAACTTTCTTCATCCAAATATCCATTTTTATCAGGCTCTCTAGGTAACTGTGATGCACACTGGTTTGGGAACACTGTAGTGGAGTCTTGATATTCTTATATTTGCTTTACTTCCAACTGTTTATTAAATGTAACAGGTGGGAAGTAAACCAATGGGATATTGTAAGCTATAATTAAAGAAAAGAGAAGAGAGTATATGTGTGAGAGGTCCTATGGCTTCCATCAGAGTCTTGGACAACTCTGTTACCCCAGAAAAGATTAAGAACTGTTATTGGAAACCTTGAGTGAGATCTCTGGCTTGAGTTCCATTCCTTTTGTGCTTCTAGCTATGCCAACAGAACCGCAGCATCAAAGAGTTGCATCCTCAGGGTTTATTATCATGATGGAAGGGAGCAGATATCCTGATACTGTTCCACAAGTACTAGAGAGGGATGTAGAGGAACTGCATTGAAAGAGGTAGCGATACTCTGGTAGGCAGGAAGTATAAGGTCTTCATACTTTCTGCCTACCAGAGACAGAGGTATAATGTCACCAGGATCCTAGAGTAGAAACATCCTAGATTGTAGAGGGCAAGAGAGTTTTAGTCCTTGCTTGCTGGTATGGGTGAGGAAACTAAAGAGGCTTCTGGAGAGCAGTGCTCCAGCCCTTTGTCCTGACGATTCTCCTTCTCTATGAAGAAATCATCTAATTTTTAAATTTCCTTCCCTTGAAATACCTAATTTCTTGCCCTTCTGCCTACTGAAAATCCTCCTTATTATCCAAAGCCTAGGTCTAGCCTTATCTCCTCCACAAACTTTTTCACGATGACTCTTTTTCCACATTGATCTCTTTCTTCTATTGTGTTTTATAGCATATAATCAGTGGCTCAGTACATATTGCCTTACATAAAAAGTGTTACATGTATTTGTTTTATCTCCACAATTGGCTCATAAGCTACTGGTAAACAGGGCATAACTGCCCTGACTCCTTTGATATGAATCAACAAATCTAGCATTATAAGCACCAGGCACATAGTGCGTATTCAGTGACTTGAACTGAAGTACCTGGAATGTGGATGGCTTATGATTCTTTTTTATATCATGAGTATAAGTGGAGAGACAAGTAGAATAAATGAGAAAGGATGATTTCTTAAGGTTTTTTTTAGCCCTTGATGTTATAAAAATATTTTTCCCCAGGGAACATAGCTTCACTTTAATTTATTTTTTATTGTTACATAATATTTGCACATATTTATGGAGTACATGTGATGTTTTGTGGCATGCATAGAATGTGTAATGATTATAATTCTCTTCTTAAAACTGTATATGTTCCAAGCTAAGGTTCTCTTTCTTTCTTTTCCTTTTCTATATTTAAGTTCTGAGATACATGTGCAGAACGTTGAGGTTTGTTACATAGGTATACATGTGCCATGGTGGTATGCTGCACCCATCGACCCGTCATCTACAGTAGGTATTTCTCCTAATGCTATCCCTCCCCTAGCCCCACAACCCCCCGACAGGCCCTGGTGTATGATGTTCCCCTCTCTGTGTCCATGTGTTCTCATTGTTCAACTCCCACTTATGAGTGAGAACATGCAGTGTTTGGTTTTCTGTTCTTGTGTTAGTTTGCTGAGAATGATGTTTTCCAGCTTCATCCATATGCCTGCAAAGGGCATGAACTAATCCTTTTTTATGGCTGCATAGTATTCCATGGTGTATATGTGCCACATTTTCTTTATCCAGTCTATCATTGATGGGCATTTGGGTTGGTTCCAAGTCTTTGCTACTGTGAACAGTGCCACAATAAACATATGGGTGCGTGTGTCTTTATAGTAGAATGATTTATAATACCTTGGGCACATGCCCAGTACTGCGATTGCTGGGTCAAATGGTATTTCTGGTTCTAGATCCTTGAGGAATTGCCACACTCTCTTCCACAATGGTTGAACTAATTTACACTCCCACCAGTAGTGTAAAAGCCTTCCTATTTCTCCACATCCTCTCTAGCATCTGTTGTTTCCTGACTTTTTAATGATTGCCATTCTAATTGGCATGAGATAGTATCTCATTGTGGTTTTGATTTGCATTTCCCTAATGACCAGTGATAATGAGCTTTTTTTAATATGTTTCTTGGTTACATAAATGTCATCTTTTGAGAAGTGTCTGTTCATATCTTTTGCCTACTTTTTGATGGGGTTTTTTTTTTCTTGTAAATTTGTTTAAGTTATTTGTGGGTTCTAGATATTAGCCCTTTGTCAGATGGATAGATTGCAAAAATTTTCTCCCATTCTGTAGGTTGCCTGTTCAATCTGATGATAGTATCTTTTGCTGTGCAGGAGCTCTTTAGTTTAATTAGATCCCGTTTGTGAATTTTGGCTTTTGTTGCCATACTGCTTTCGGTGTTTTAGTCATGAAGTCTTTGCCTATGCCTGTGTCCTGAATGGTATTGCCTAGGTTTTCTTCTAGGGTTTTTATGGTTTTAGGTCTTACATTTAAGTCTTCAATCCATCTTGAGTTAATTTTTGTATAAGGCGTAAAGAAGAGAACTAGTTTCAGCTTTGTGCCTATGGCTAGCCAGTTTTCCCAACACCATTTATTAAATAAGGAATCCTTTCCCCATTGCTTATTTTTGTCAGGTTTGTCAAAGATCAGATGGTTGTAGATGTGTGGTATTATTTCTGAGGGCTCTGTTCTGTTCCATTTGTCTGTATATCTGTTTTGGTACCAGTACTATGCTATTTTGGTTACTATAGCCTTGTAGTATTGTTTGAAGTCAGGTAGCATGATACCTCCAGCTTTGTTCTTTTTGCTTAGGATTGTCTTGGCTATGCGGGCTCTTTTTGATTCCATATGAAATTTAAAGCAGTTTTTTCCAATTCTGTGAAGAAAGTCAGTGTTAGCTTGATGGGGATAGCATTGAATCTATAAATTACTTTGATCAGTATGGCCATTTTCATGATATTGATTCTTCCTATCCATGAGCATGGAATGTTTTTCCATTTGTTTGTGTCCTCTCTTATGTCCTTGAGCAGTGGTTTGTAATTCTCCTTGAAGAGGTCCTTCACATCCCTTGTAAGTTGGATTCCTAGGTATTTTATTCTCTTTGTAGCAATTGTGAATGGGAGTTCACTCATGATCTGGCTCTCTGTTTGTCTGTTATTGGTGTATAGGAATGCTTGTGATTTTTGCACATTGATTTATTATCCTGAGAGTTTGCTGAAGTTGCTCATCAGGTTAAGGAGATTTTGGGCTGAGACAATGGGGTTTTCTAAATATGCAATCATGTTATCTGGAAACAGAGACAATTTGACTTCCTCTTTTCCTGATTGAATACCCTTTATTTCTTTCTCTTGCCTGATTGCCCTAGCCAGAACATCCAATATTATGTTGAATAGGAGTGGTAAGAGAGGGCATCCTTGCCTTCTGCCAGTTTTCAAAGGGAATGCTTCCAGTTTTTGCCCATTCAGTATGACATTGCCTGTGGGTTTGTCATAGATAGCTCTTATTATTTTGAGATACATTCCATGAATACCTAGTATATTGAGAATTTTTAGCATGAAGGGCTGTTGAATTTTGTCAAATGCCTTTTCTGCATCTATCGAGATAATCATATATTTTTTGTCTTTGGTTCTGTTTATGTGATGGATTATATTTATTGATTTGTGTATGTTGAACTAGCCTTACATCCCAGGGATGAAGCCAACTTGATCGTGGTGGATAAGCTTTTCGATGTGCTGCTGGATTTAGTTTGCCAGTATTTTATTGAGGATTTTTGCATCAATGTTCATCATGGATATTGACCTGAAATTTTCTTCTTTTGTTGTCTCTCTGCCAGGTTTTGGTATCAGGATGATGCTGGCCTCATAAAATGAGTTAGGGAGGATTCTCTCTCTTTCTGTTGTTTGGAATAGTTTCAGAAGGAATGGTACCAGCTCCTATTTGTACCTCAGATAGAATTTGGCTGTGAATCTGTCCGGTCCTGGACATTTTTTGGTTGGTAGGCTATTAGTTACTGCCTCAGTTTCAGAAATTGTTATTCATCTATTCAGGGATTTGACTTCTTCCTTGGGAGAGTGTATGTGTCCAGGAATTTTTTCATTTCTTCTAGATTTTCCAGTTTATTTGCGTAGAGGTGTTTATAGTATTCTCTGATGGTAGTTTGTATCTCTCTGGGATCAGTGGTGATATCCCCTTTATCATTTGTATTGTGTCTATTTGATTCTTCTTTCTTTTCTTCTTTATTAGTCTGTCTAGTGGTCTATCTATTTGTTGATCTTTAAAAAAAACCAGCTGCTGGATCCATTGATTTTTGGAAAGATTTTTGTGTCTATCTCCTTCAGTTCTGCTCTGATCTTAGTTATTTAAGGATTGTAGGACAAATGCTTGTCTATCACAAGAAAACATTTTTATTAACTGAAAATTAACTGTAGCTTTAATAAATTTGAACTCGGAGATTTTAAAAAAATACTTATGCAAGTGAGTCAGATTTTGTTTTTAAGGGGAAGGAGTGATTGTCCCTCAAAGGAAAATTATTGACCACTTCTATCACACTTTTATGTTTCTGAATTGTTCTTTGAGAGAGAATAGCTTTTAAAAACATCAAAAACTCTAGATCTTAACAATCTAAGGACCCAAAACCTTTCAGTGTACAATTATAGTATTATTGAAAAATAGAGAAGAATGCAAAGAGGTTGCATAATTGAGTATAATAAAGAGTAACATAATAGAGAGTGGAGAGGGAGTAAGAGCTGAGTATGAGCAAAATAGAACTAGTAGGTGAGAGGCCATGGGCAAGTAGAAACATGTCTAGCAATAAAAGTAAAAAGAAGAAAAAACCATAAAATAGAAAACAAAGGTAAGAGGAAGACTGTTTACGGTAGGAAGTTTGGAAAAAAGTGACTAAGAGCAAAAACATTGCTGACACCAGTGCATTGCACATGTTCCAGCAAATAGTGGACTGCAATTAACAAAGCTGATTCTCACCTGTTCTTAGGTAAGCTACTGAATGCAACACAAAGGGTTACTAAGAGAGGCCTCTTGACCAAAAGTGGTTCCCCCCACTACGTGTGCCTGGAATTCCCACAATTAGACTCTTTCTTTGAGTTAAGGCTTGGCATTTTCAGAAGTCATCTCTTAAAGGGCAATTTAAATAGACTGGAAGGGTTAAAATACATAGAGCTTTAATATCTGCTATGAACTCTTCATAGATTGGTCTTTCAGAATACTTTTAAATGTGCCAGCTACCCAAGAGGAGCAAAGCACTGCATGATCTGAACTGTCTAGCCTCATCTCTTCCTAATCCCTACCTTCTTATTACACTCTAGCCATGAATGAACACATCATGGTTATTTGTTATCCTGTGACTTTTTATGTGCATTCCTTCGCTCAGTATGCCTTCCTCCTACCTTTCTATCAACTGCAGCTCAAAAAGCATCTCCTCTGTGAAGCCTCACTTCAGTTGCCTTCTCTTGTACTTCCATAGCAATTTACATATGCCTTACTTTGAGCAGTATTGTTGATGTATTATAAATAGTGGTTTCAGTATTTGTGTTCCTCTCTAGACCACAGTTTCATATCCATAAACCAAACTATGCTTATTCCATAATCACACGAATCACCTAGTAAGGCAGTACTGTGTTTAACATAGTTTAACCTCTCTGCACCTCAGTTTTGTCATTTAAAAACCAGGGATAACAACAACGATAACAAATAGTATTATTGAGAGATTTAAATAAAATAATGCATGCAAGTGATATTACCTTAGTCCATTAGATATTTCAAGCCTAAATATATGGAAAAATACGAAAGAAAGGAGTTAGGAAATTTGAATACTATTTGGGGTTCCTGCACTAACTCACTTTTCATTCCCAGCAAATTACCAAGGCCCTTGTTTTTTTCTATTTCCAACACGCACTGCCAAGATATTGATCTCTTACATTCCCTATGTAACTATTGAGTTTAAATAGAAAGAGTAACCTAAAAGGAGATTGGAGCCTCTCAGAGTGAGATAGCTAAGAAATACCAGGTGTTGCTATGGCTGAGAAATTGCCAGTCATCTTTATCACAGTTGTTGCCAATTCTTGAGGGCTTACTTATAATGTGTCCATGCACTAGGCCAAGTATTTTGTTTATGGTTCTCTATTTTTAGTCAATTATAAACCAAGGTTGGTTTGTCACTGGGCAGGCATGCAATGGGAGTATTTAAGTACAGAATTGAGTAGCCTGGGAGAATATGGCTGTATTCTTTAGTAGCATGTTTTGCTTTCTTGCAGAATATATTTTTTCTTTTCTTCCTTTGTTTACAGAAATCTGAAGAAAACCATACCTTCAACTATTGTGTGAAGTTTATGTCATATCTAGAAGCTAGTTCATGGAAAAAGCTACAAAAATTGAAACACTAGCTCTATAAAAATCAGCCATAAGTGCCTTCTTACTGGAATGAGATTACTAAGGTATAATTAGTAGTAACACATATATTAGCAATTAGAAAGTCAGTAGAATTGAGGCATGAACAAAAGACCATCTGTTATGAGAGAAATATCCAACCCTCATAATCAGTAGGTAATAGATACTCTGTTCTTGAAACATAACAGTTAAAGGATAACAAAGGAATGTCTTATTGCTTGCTAAAAAATACTCTTGGGAATTCCCCAAAAAGAGCTACACTGTAATAGTAGAAGTTCTGATTTTTAAAAATTGAGCTAGAAATAAATCTGGCAACAATTTTTCTCTAACCTTATCCTGATGTTCAGGGACTCCCTCAAAAGTAATTATAGAACTCAACTGTTCATTTTTAACTAAAGTGATTTCTGGTTATGATTAAAATAAACTTTGAATTTAAAATCTCTCTAACTCATATATAAAATTCATATAAAGGATATTTGGTTTGCCTCCTGAATATAGGAATCATAAGAGACCCTGGAGATCAGGGGAAAGGTCCCAGATTTTGGAGCCAAAGAAACCTGAAACCTGAGTATTAAAGTTCTGCCTTACCCATCTCATGTGCAATGTGTGGCCCTAGGAACTGATTGTGTTTTTGTTGTTGTTGTTTTTAGATGGGGTTTCCCTGTTACTCAGGCTGGAGTGCAGTGGCTCAAACTATTGTGCTCAGGTGATTCTTCTGCCTCAGCCTCCTGAGCAGCTAGAACTGCAGGTGTGTGCCACTACAGCCAGCTATTTTTAAAATTTTTTGTAGAGATTGGTGGGGGGGAGGGTCTCACCATGTTTCCTAGGCTAGTCTTGAACTCCTGGCCTCAAAAGATTCTTTCATCTCTGCCTCCAAAAGAGCTAGGATTATAGGCGTGTATCACTGGGCCCGACCTAGGCAGTGTCTTAACCTCGTTAAAACTTAATTTCCTTCTCTGTAAAATGGAAGTAATAATAGTTCCTAGCTCAGAGTGTTATTGTAAGTTTTAAAGGAAATAGTGCAGTCAAGCATTTAGCAGCTTCTGCTGCTGTTGTTGTGACAGACAGAATTCTGGACAGGGTGGACCAGGGATTTACATTGAATGACAGTCTGATGTCTTTATTTCATGGAGACAGATTGGTCTAGCATCTGTAAAGTGAGGATTCATAACATTAGTACTTACTACATAAGGCTATGAAAATGCAAATTGATTATATATGTAAAACCTGCATAGTGCCTGGCATGTATGTAGTAAGGGCTCAATGAATGTTAGAAACTATTGTTATGTTTTGGCACAGTGTCTGGCACCTAGGCTCTCAATATGTGTTAGCTCTTATTGCTATCTCTGGGAATCTAGTAATTATCAGGTGACAGAGATGCCCCAGCATTGTCTAGTGTTTTGGGAAACCCCACACTTCTCATGGACTTGAACAGTAACTCAGCAAGGTGGACAGAGGACTGAAAAAATAAATGACACCTCTTATATAATGTATATTAGATAAGGGAGAATGAAGACTTTATGCTAAATTAGGTGACTAGGCATACGTTTAAAGATATTCCATCCCTGCTTTAGCATATCCATTTATTTTCACATAATTTATCATGGTTATTTGAACAGTGTCAGCAGGTTTCTAAGACAAAGCCACACTGCAAAATCAGTTGGCATCTGGTTTCTCTTCAGTTCTAATCTGATTACCAGATCTAACTTAAGGAGATAGACTTGAATTATTTCCAGAGAATCCATGTAAACATTCCAGAAATCCCTTGAGATGTACTTAAGTGAAAGTTCTGGTTTGCATCCAATTGTAATGCAAGGTCAGGGTCTCCAACACAAATGTCATTTCAATCTTTTAGTGATTATTCTTTCAGTAGGAGCATGGATATTAGTTCTAGGGTGCTGTGGCTCTAGGGCCATCTGAAGGGCTGTGTGGGTCAGGGAAAATTACACTGAGGAATTGTCCTACATATTTTTATCTCCATGAAATCAGGTTAAAAGAAGAACGAAAAGAGATCAGTGAGATGGAGGGAAAGCCCATTCTTAGGTATGCTGCTCGGAGTTTATGGGTGGCCGTGGGGCTTATATACATATAAGCTCAAGAATTATAGACCGCTCTGCTGTTTGCCTCACTGGGTCACTTCTCAGTCCATCAGCAGTGCAATTCTTCCCAAAACACCAGCCAGCACTGACAACATCTCTGCCCTGAGTAATTATTTAGTGTACAGGGGAATTCTCAGGATATCGATTGTTTCAGGAGACTCAGATATCTATGATGTTAACCCATTTTCATTTGCCATAACTATGCCTACTCTATTAAGTTTACTTGTTCTTTAGGTGTTTTTGATTATGACTAGGATTGGACTGCCCAAAACAATACGTGGGTATTTGCCTATGATAAGCTAACTTGAACCTTCTTATTTCTTCCCTTTCTTTCTGCCTTCCTTTTTACCCCATTTATTCAAATAGTAAATAATATTTGAGCATATGCTTACCATATGACAGAAAGGCAGAATATAGAGCTGGAGATACATAATGGCAATCAATGCATGCATAGCCCTTGCCCTTAGACAATACATTTAGGGTGTGAGCATTCACATCAACCATATAAATTGTAGGAATTGGTAAGTGTATGGAGGTAATGCTTAATGTATACTTCTGAACCCTCTGTATATTGTTCTTATCCTTCATAAGATTTATGTCAGTTCTCATTTCCCATGAGAAAAATTTTAAAAATATAAAGAAAATATAGAATTAGATGCAGCATCCCATACATTATGTATATACATATATACACACATTATATATATCTATAGATAAATTTATTTTTTAACATACAGATTTGAAATATTTATAGACTAAGTTTACTGAAACTCTTGTAAAGCTAGGCAGCCTAGCACTTAGAAGGATGAGGGGATGTAAGAAATGTGACTGTTTCCAAACAATTCTCTTATTCTCATTTTGCTCTCAGAGAAAATAAAGAAGAATCAGATTGTATAATTTCTGAAGATTCTGCTATTTTATTTTTAAGTGCCTCTTTTCTAAAGGATTCACAGTCACACGTATTAAATGACTTAAAGACACATCCTTCTCTCCTCTGTCTCAATGAATAGTTTGGTCAAGAACCAGAAGAAGTTTAAAACTTAACACTCTAGGTTACTGAGGAAGTTTGAAGAGTCTTTTCTTGGATATCCCAGGCTCCTTGACTTTCAGCTCTGTGATTTTTCATGGGTGCTAACCACACAGATAGTTGGCATGAGACTGTCTTGTTAAATAGGATGTGAGAGACATTGAAAGCTTCCCCCACCAGCCTCCTCAGAGGTAGAGATGCCCTCCCCTATTACAGTGGCTCCTTTGGGGCCTCTGGAAGACTGTATTTAAATTTCAAATATCTGCTCTTAGAGGGCTGCGTTACACTGTTCTGTCTCATGGAGGAAATGGTTAGTGGGCAAGCAGATTTTCTCTTGTGGAGAATGGCTCAGAAAGGGTCCAAAACCTGTGAAATGCCTTCAGGTGGATTTCTACAGTTTAAGATCGGAAGATTCTAAGGCTGCTGAATCTTGGTACTTCTTGATAGCAGCTGTGAAGCAGAGATGTATATACATGAAAATGAAAAACATAAGGCACTAGATGAAAGAGAAATTGGTGTAGAAAGGAGATAGAATGTTAGTGACCTAATATAACCCTTCCCTATTTTATAATTTTGTCGGTCTGACACTGCCTTCCTGTAAAGAGCTAATCACAATATAAGGATTAGCATTCTCAAGTTATCTGCTCCACTTGACTGTGAGTCCTTTGAAAGTAGGAACCCCAATTTTAGTTGCTTTGTATCACTTGCTCCTAGGTCTTGCCTGATATATAATAAATGTTCAGCAAATGCTGGGTTAAAAAAAAAAGGAATGTCATTTCAGGGGTCTGAAACTTTCGAATCTTCTCTCACATTCTTTATTTTGGCCAAAGGTCTTATCAGATGTCTTCCCTGATCACCCTATCTAAAATTACACCATCGTGCTCCAGCCTCTTGTTTTATTTTGCTATCTAGCAGTTATAACTATCTGAAGTTATACTATATGATTAATTCTTATTCTGTTTATTATCTGTCTTCTCTGATATAATCTAATACTCTTAATGGCAGAAACCTTGTGTACGTGTGTACTGCTGCATCTCCAGTACCTAGAACAGTGTCCAACACAAAATAGCATCTCAAAAAATATTTTTGAAGAGTGTGCCAAGAGCTTGAGGATGTTCTTCCAAGTGGTTTTGCTGCATTAATTTTTGTTATATTTGGATTCCAAATAATATCAGATATGTTTGGAAGATAATATTAAACATAGATGCTTAGGGAAAGAAAAATCTCTTTTAATTCTAGGTTTAATTGCTCCAAATAGTCAATAAAGTGGTAAGAAGAATAAAAAAGTAGAATAGACATTTAATAAGAAAGCCTTTTGGCAACATAAGTATATTATATTTTACTCTTATCGGGGCAGGTGGTTTTTGTAAGTACTTGTTTATTTCAAAAGGGTGGTATTATTTGAATTAATTCACTAGTTAAAATTCTCAGAGCCTAAAAGTGATTTTTTCCATTTCAATTATCTTTATTTTCTAAAATATTTTCAAAGACAGTGGCTTCATGCTGAGGATAGAGGATGTAGTTGAAGAACTGTATGTAGCTCATGATTAACTGAAACTCTGTGAAATGAGCCTCTTCATGTATTTGGCAATTATTATACTTCTTTAAAATATGATTCAAAAGATAGAAATAATATTTTACAACATAAAGATCATTTGTCTTGTTTTATTGTATGTTCTGCATCTAACAGTTCACTTAACGAGAATAGTCCCTTGTGTCAAATTCAAATTCTCATTTGGCACTTTTCCTATACAAATTGCTTTCTGCCCATCATACAATTTTGCTTTGAAGCATTCTGGCAATGGGTGATATAGGGAGACTTAGAACCAAATTCTGCTTTTAATATGGAACTGGAAACAGTCCTTTCATCTTCCAGGTGATCTTTATATCATATGTATACAACACTTTCTTTTTCAAAAGTCTACCCTCTGGATTCAGCTATGATAACTATCGAGCACAGATAATTAAGAACTTAGGCTCTTACAATGTTTAAAGTAGCCCAAGAGAGCATAGAAGTTCTGTTCTTAGAGGTTCAGAAACAGGTGAGGACTGATGGTAACAAAGGTTGTGAAAATTCGACATTGCTGGTTTTGTTGTTTAGGGCAAGTGGCAGTCTCTGAAATATTTACTGGTTGAGCAGAGAATATTTGTTATACTTCTCCAATCAAAAGAGAAAAGAGGAATTGTTACCAATAACTGAAAGCTTTTACAACTCTCTAACTTCCTTATAAGGTATAGCTTCTGGGAGATGTGTTGGGCAGACTTCAGTAAAAGAAGATAGCATGTTTATGTTGACAGAGATGGGTCAGTTACAGATTTGTCCAGGGATTCTCATTAGTTGTTATCTTTCTGTTAACTTCTTTCCAACTTCTGATGTATGAGTACAGTTGTTACAGTGTTTTTCACAATTTTCTTTTGTTTTCTTGATTAATTTTTTTTTTTTGGATAGAAATACATTTTCTATGCCTACTTATAGCAAGTCAGGCTTTGTCTTTCTGAACCATTTTCTCTGTGGTGACATTTGGAAATGAACTTACAACGTTTTCCACTGTGTATTGTAGGGGGATTATTATAGACAAAAACTCTTTTAAGATACCTTTTTTTGTTCCTGCTTAGAACTATTATCAGTTTCACAAACTCTTTAGTCTTCTTGTCTTAGGTAGGATCAAGGAAGAAAAGAGGGAAGTTTCAAAATACTTTTTCTAGTTCTCCCTGCTTATTATCACAGGAGAAAGCTAAAACTTTGTTACAAGTAAATCCTTTAATATAATTTTATTTGAACACTTATAGCACTACTTATTGGGCAACCATGTGGTTAGAACCAGCTTTTTTGTTTTTTGTAAAACAGAATTGAAGTTGAAACAATTACTTCTGCCCTCTAAATAATTAGACTGCTATACTCTCCTCAAAGTATAAGCTGATTAGACTTTATCTTTGACTTCAGTGTGTTTCTGGCCTGCCGCTAAATGTCAAATTAATCTTAAACGCCCATAGGATTAATGTTGAAAATTGTTACACATTTTTTATTCATTCATCAATATTGCAATATACTCCCTTTTTCCTCTTTTTGGGTATGGGGCTGTAAAGTTTATTTGATTTCTTAAAGCACAAAGAACCTCATTGATCTCAACATAAAACTTATTATGTTACTGCAAAATAAACATGAAAATAACATTGAAAAACTGTGTTCATATATTATTTATAAGAAAAAGCCATTTGTAAATGCCTGTCAGTGTTTCTTGTAGTGCTTCCCTTTTTAAGGAATCCATTAACCATGATATTGTTTTATATTTGACAAAAACTATTTTATGGAAGAAAAGAGTGTTGTTTAAGTAACTGCAGCTGTTTCTGCAGTCCAGGTGGGAAGAATAAAGACATCTGGTTTGTTTGAGGAAACACATTAATGAGTCTTTCAGTTATGAAAGAAAGGCCCTGAGCATAGGGTAGAGGTTGAAATAAATGGGAACTAATTGATTTTCCCATGAAGATAACAACATTTTGAATTTTCTACCAGACAGCAAAAAAGACAAGAGTTGGGACCAGGAATCTGCGGAAAAGCATTGATGGGGGAATGGGCTCCAGAAACATGATAGCTGGCCAGCACTGGAATACAACCATGAGAAGAACTGAAGCCCGATAGTCAATGTCTACTAGTTGTTACCTGCTCTGTGCAGCAATCTTCCTCAGTTAGGCTAACCTTTAGTGAAAGCCTACAGGTTTGGGTACCCTTTATGTGAAATGCTTGGGACCAGAAGTGTTTTGAATTTTGGATTTTTTAAAATTTTGGAATATTTGCATTATATTTACTGGTTGAATCCCTAATCTGAAAACCTGAATTCTGAAATGCTCTAATGAGCATTTCCTTTGAGCATCATGCAGGTGCTCAAAAGTTTCAGATTTTGGAAGAAGTAAAATTATACTGCTTTGCAGATAATATAATCTTATATTTGAAAAAAATTAAAGACTCCACCAAAAAACTATTAGAACTGATAAATTCAGTAAAGCTGCAGGATACAAAATCAATATTTTAAAAAATCAGTAACATTTCTATATGCCAATATTGAACAATCTGTAAAACAAAAAAGTAATTCTGTTTACAATAGCCACAGATAAAATTAAATACCTAGGAATTAACCAAAGAAATGAAAGATCTCCATAATGAAAACTGTAAAACACTGATGAAAGAAATTGAAGAGGACACCAAAAAATGGAAAGATATTCCATGTTCATGGATTAGAAGAATCAATATTGTTAAAATGTTTATACTACCCAAAGCAATATACAGATTAAATGCAACCCCTATAAAAATACCAGTGACATTCTTCACAGAAATAGAAAAAAAATCCTAAAATTTATATGGAACCACAAAAGACTAAGAATATCCCAAAGCTATTCTAATGGAAGAATCACATTATCTGACTTCAAATTATATAACCAAGCAATAGTAACCAAAACATCATGGTACCGGCATAAACACAGATACATAGAATAATGAAATAGAATAGAGAACCCAAAACAAAATCCACATACCTACAGTGAACTCATTTTCGACAAAGATGCCAAAAGCATACACTGGGGAAAAGACAGTCTCTTCAACAAATGGTGCTGGGAAGACGATATCCATATGCAGAAGAGAGAAACTAGGCCCCTGTCTCTCACCATATACAAAAATCAAATCAAAATGGAATAAAGACTTAAATCTAAGACCACAAACTATGAAACTGATACAAGAAAACATTGGAGAAAATCTCCAGGACCTTGGTCAGGGCAAAAATTTCTTGAGCAATACCTGACAAGTAAATGCAACCAAAGCAAAAATGGACAAATAGGATCACATCAAGTTAAAAAGCTTCTGCACACTAAAGGAAACAATCGTCAAAGTGAAGAGACAACCCACAGAATGGGAGAAAATAATTTAAAACTACCCATCTGAGAAGGATTAATAACCACAATATAAAAGGATTTCAAACAACTCTATAGGGAAAAAATCTAACAATATGAGCTAATAAAAAATAGGCAAATGATTTGAATAGACATTTCCCAAAAGAAGACATACAAATGAGAAACAGGCATATGAAAAGGTGCTCAACATCATTGATCATCAGAGAAATGCAAATCAAAACTACAATGAGACATCATCTCACCCCAGTTAGAATGGCTTATATCCAAAATACATGAAATAACAAATGCTGGTGAGGATGTGGAGAAAAGGGAACCCTTGTATACTGCTGGTGGGAATGTATATTAGTATAACCACTATGAAGAACAGTTGGGAAGTTCCTCAAAAAACTAAAAATTGAGCTACCATATGATCCAGCAATCTCACTGCTGGGCACATACCCAAAAGAAAGGAAATCAGTATATTGAAGAGATATCTGCACACCTGTGTTTGTTGCAGCACTGCTTACAATAGCTAAGATTTGGAAACAACTTAAGTGTCCATCAGCAGGTGAATGGATAAAGAAAATGTGGCACATATACACAATAGAGCACTATTCAGCCATCAAAAAGAATGAGATCCAGTCATTTGCAGCAACATGGATGGAACTGGAGGACATTATGTTAAGTAAAATAAGCCAGGCACAGAAAGACAAATATCACGTGTTCTCACCTATGGGATCTAAAAATGAAAACAACTGAACTCATGGACATAGAGAGTAGAAGTACGGTTACCAGAGACTGGGAAGGGTGGTGGAGAGCTGGCTGGAAGCTGGGGATGGTTAATGGGTACAAAAAATAGTTAGAAAGAATGAATAAGACCTACTATTTGATAGCACAACAGAGTGACTATAGTCAATAATAACTTAATTGTACATATAAAAATAACTACAAGACTGTAATTAGATTTATTTGTAATATAAAAGATTAATGCTTGATGGGATAGATATCCTATTCTCCATGATGTGCTTATTTCATAGTACATGCCTGTATCAAAACATCTCATGTATCCCGTAAGTATATACACCTACTATGTACCCAATCAAATTGAAAATTAAATTTTTTTAAAAGTTTTGGATTTTGGAGCATTTCAGATTTTGCATTTTTGTATTAGGAACATTCAACCTGTACATGCAAAAGCAGTGTGTGAGTAGCACCATGAGGAGTCATGCATAGTGGGTTGTATTAACATCTGGAGTGAGTCAGTGTAGAGAAAGAACTTATCAGTAATAATGATGCCAAGATTGCTGAAGTTGATCAAGGATTGACTGGGAAGCTAGAATTCAGAAATAAAGGTAATGAAAATGACCAAGAAATATAAGGGCATATCAAAGAAAGTGCTGGATTACCTGCAATTACATAAGAACAAGGACTTGAGTTCTTTTCTTTAGATATTAAAAGAAAGTATAAGTCCAGAACGTTAGAGAAGTAGGAGACATTCAATTTATATATATGAGGGGTTACGAGCATAAATACATGCTCCTGGAGCATGGTGAATTTATAAATACTTATGTATTTAGATTTTATATATTTTTCATTCTTGTACTTGGTCAGTTGTGCCGTCTTTAAATAAAGCTGTTCAAGATCTGTTTGCAGTACCTTTGTATTTTGCTTGAGTGCACCAATTTTTATCTTAGATTTATGAAGTCTAATTATCATTCAACGTCTTTGTTCAAGCCCTAGACACATTTTTCCTTGTTTTCTCATATCTCAATTTTCAAGTTAATGATTATAATGACATCATGATTTTATGTTAAGAGTCTTTTTTTTTTAGTTGAGGTCTTTTTATTTTATTTTTTATTTTTTATTTATTTATTTTTATTTTATTATTATTATACTTTAAGTTTTAGGGTACATGTGCACAATGTGCAGGTTTGTTACATATGTATACATGTGCCATGTTGGTGTGCTGCACCCATTAACTCGTCATTTAGCATTAGGTATATCTCCAAATGCTATCCCTCCCCCCTCCCCCCACCCCACAACAGTCCCCAGAGTGTGATGTTCCCCTTCTTGTGTCCATGTGTTCTCATTCTTCAATTCCCACCTATGAGTGAGAACATCCAGTGTTTGGTTTTTTGTCCTTGTGATAGTTTGCTGAGAATGATGGTTTCCAGTTTCATCCATGTCCCTACAAAGGACATGAACTCATCATTTTTTATGGCTGCATAGTATTCCATGGTGTATATATGCCACATTTTCTTAATCCTGTCTATCATTGTTGGACATTTGGGTTGGTTCCAAGTCTTTGCTATTGTGAATAGTGCCGCAATAAACATACGTGTGCATGTATCTTTATAGCAGCATGATTTATAATCCTTTGGGTATATACCCAGTAATGGGCTGGCTGTGTCAAATGGTATTTCTAGTTCTAGATCCCTGAGGAATTGCCACACTGACTTCCACAATGGTTGAACTAGTTTACAGCCCCACCAACAGTGTAAAAGTGTTCCTATTTCTCCACATCCTCTCCAGAACCTGTTGTTTCCTGACTTTTTAATGATCGCCATTCCAACTGGTGTGAGATGGTATCTCATTGTGGTTTTGATTTGCATTTCTCTGATGGTCAGTGATGATGAGCATTTTTTCATGTGTTTTTTGGGGGCATAAATGTCTTCTTTTGAGAAGTGTCTGTTCATATCCTTCGCCCACTTTTTGATGGGTTTGTTTTTTTCTTGTAAATTTGTTGTTCATTGTAGATTCTAGATATTGGCCCTTTGACAGATGAGTAGGTTGCGAAAATTTTCTCCCATCCTGTAAGTTGCCTGTTCACTCTGATGGTAGTTTCTTTTGCTGTGCAGAAGCTCTTTAGTTTAATTAGATCCCATTTGTCAATTTTGGCTTTTGTTGCCATTGCTTTTGGTGTTTTAGACATGAAGTCCTTGCCCATGCCTATGTCCTGAATGGTATTGCCTAGGTTTTCTTCTAGGGTTTTTATGGTTTTAGGTCTAACATGTAAGTCTTTAATCCATCTTGAATTAATTTTTGTATAAGGTTTAAAGAAGGGATCCAGTTTCAGCTTTCTATATATGGCTAGCCAGTTATCCCAGCACCATTTATTAAATAGGGAATTATTTCCCCATTTCTTGTTTTTGTCAGGTTTGTCAAAGATCAGATGGTTGTAGATATGCACCATTATTTCTGAGGGCTCTGTTCTGTTCCATTGATCTATATCTCTGTTTTGGTACCAGTACCATGCTTTTTTGGTTACTGTAGCCTTGTAGTGTAGTTTGAAGTCAGGTAGAGTGATGCCTCCGGCTTTGTTCTTTTGGCATAGGATTGACTTGGAAATGTGGGCTCTTTTTTGGTTCCATATGAACTTTATAGTTTTTTCCAATTCTGTGAAGAAAGTCATTGGTAGCTTGATAGGGATGGCATTGAATCTATAAATTACCTTGGGCAGTATGGCAATTTTCACGATATTGATTCTTCCTACCCATGAGCGTGGAATGTTCTTCCATTTGTTTGTATCCTCTTTTATTTCACTGAGCAGTGGTTTGTAGTTCTCCTTGAAGAGGTCCTTCACATCCCTTGTAAGTTGGATTCCTAGGTATTTTATTCTCTTTGAAGCAATTGTGAAAGGGAGTTCACTCATGATTTGGCTCTCTGTTTGTCTGTTATTGGTGTATAAGAATGCTTGTGATTTTTGCACATTGATTTTATATACTGAGACTTTGCTGAATTTGCTTATCAGCTTGAGGAGATTTTGGGCTGAGACGATGGGGTTTTCTAGATATACAATCATGACATCTGCAAACAGGGACAATTTGACTTCCTCTTTTCCTAATTGAATACCCTTTATTTCCTTCTCCTGCCTAATTGCCCTGGCCAGAACTTCCAACACTATGTTGAATAGGAGTGGTGAGAGAGGGCATCCCTGTCTTGTGCCAGTTTTCAAAGGGAATGCTTCCAGTTTTTGCCCATTCAGTATGATATTGGCTGTGGGTTTGTCATAGATAGCTCTTACTATTTTGAGATATGTTCCATCAATACCTAATTTATTGAGAGTTTTTAGCATGAAGGGTTGTTGAATTTTGTCAAAGGCCTTTTCTGCATCTATTGAGATAATCATGTGGTTTTTGTCTTTGGTTATCTTTATATGCTGGATTACATTTATTGATTTGTGTATGTTGAACCAACCTTGCATCCCAGGGATGAAGCCCACTTGAGCATGGTGTATAAGCTTTTTGATGTGCTGCTGGATTCGGATTGCCAGTATTTTATTGAGGATTTTTGCATCAATGTTTATCAATGATATTGGTCTAAAATTCTCTTTTTTGGTTGTGTCTCTGCCAGGCTTTGGTATCAGGATGATGCTGACCTCATAAAATGAGTAAGGGAGGATTCCCTCTTTTTCAATTGATTGGAATAGTTTCAGAAGGAAACTCTTCTGGTAGAATTGGGCTTTGAATCCATCTGGTCCTGGACTTTTTTTGGTTGGTAAGCTATTGATTATTGCCACAATTTCGGAGCCTGTTATTGGTCTCTTCAGAGATTCAACTTCTTCCTGGTTTAGACTTGGGAGGGTGTATGTGTCGAGGAATTTATCCATTTCTTCGAGATTTTCTAGTTTATTTGCGTAGAGGTGTTTGTAGTATTCTCTGATGGTAGTTTGTATTTCTGTGGGATCGCTGGTGATATCCCCTTTATCATTTTTTATTGCATCTGTTTGATTCTTCTCTCTTTTCTTCTTTGTTAGTCTTGCTAGCGGTCTATCAATTTTGTTGATCTTTTCAAAAAACCAGCCCCTGGATTCATTAATTTTTTGAAGGGTTTTTTGTGTCTCTATTTCCTTCAGTTCTGCTCTGATTTTAGTTATTTCTTGCCTTCTGCTAGCTTTTGAATGTGTTTGCTCTTGCTTTTCTAGTTCTTTTAATTGTGATGTTAGGGTGTCAATTTTGGATCTTTCCTGCTTTCTCTTGTGGGCATTTAGTGCTATAAATTTCCCTCTACACACTGCTTTGAATGTGTCCCAGAGATTCTGGTATGTTGTGTCTTTGTTCTCGTTGGTTTCAAAGAACATCTTTATTTCTGCCTTCATTTCGTTATTTCCCCGTATTCATTCCGGAGCAGGTTGTTCACTTTCCATGTAGTTGAGCAGTTTTGAGTAAGTTTCTTAATCCTGAGTTCTAGTTTAATTGCACTGTGGTCTGAGAGACGTTTTGTTATAATTTCTGTTCTTTTACATTTGCTGAGGAGAGCTTTACTTCCAACTATGTGTTCAATTTTGGAATAGGTGTGGTGTGGTGCTGAAAATAATGTATATTCTGTTGATTTGGGGTGGAGAGTTCTGTAGATATCTATTAGGTTCGCTTGGTACAGAGATGAGTTCAGTTCCTGGGTATCCTTGTTAACTTTCTGTCTCGTTGATCTGTCTAATGTTGACAGTGGGGTGTTAAAGTCTCCCATTATTATTGTGTGGGAGTCTAAGTCTCTTTGTAGGTCACTAAGGACTTGCTTTATGAATCTGGGTGCTCCAGTATTGGGTGCATATATATTTAGGATAGTTAGTTCTTCTTGTTGAATTGATCCCTTTACCATTATGTAATGGCCTTCTTTGTCTCTTTTGATCTTTGTTGGTTTAAAGTGTTTTATCAGAGACTAGGATTGCAACCCCTGCCTTTTTTGTTTTCCATTTGCTTGGTAGATCTTCCTCTATCCCTTTATTTTGTGGCTATGTGTGTCTCTGCACGTGAGATGGGTTTCCTGAATACAGCATACTGATGGGGCTTGACTCTTTATCCAATTTGCCAGTCTGTGTCTCTTAATTGGAGCATTTAGCCCATTTACCTTTAAAGTTAATATTATTATGTGTGAATTTGATCCTGTCATTATGACGTTAGCTGGTTATTTTGTTCGTTAGTTGATGCAGTTTCTTCCTAGCCTTGATGGTCTTTACATTTTGGCATGTTTTTGCAGTGGCTGGTACCGGTTGTTCCTTTCCATGTTTATTGCTTCCTTCAGGAGCTCTTTTAGGGCAGGCCTGGTGGTGACAAAATCTCTCAGCATTTGCTTCTCTGTAAAGTATTTTATTTTTCCTTCACTTATGAAGCTTAGTTTGGCTGGATATGAAATTCTGGGTTGAAAATTCTTTTCTTTAAGAATGTTGAATATTGGCCCCCACTCTCTTCTGGCTTGTAGAGTTTCTGCAGTGCGATCAGCCGTTAGTCTGATTGGCTTCCCTTTGTGTGTAACCCAATCTTTCTCTCTGGCTGCCCTTAACATTTTTTCCTTCATTTCAACTTTGGTGAATCTGACAATTATATGTCTTGGAGTTGCTCTTCTCGAGGAGTATGTTTGTGGCGTTCTCTGTATTTCCTGAATCTGAATGTTGACCTGCCTTGCTAGATTGGGGAAGTTCTCCTGGATTATATCCTGCAGAGTGTTTTCCAACTTGGTTCCATTCTCCCCATCACTTTCAGGTACACCAATCAGACATAGATTTGGTCTTTTCACATAGTCCCATATTTCTTGGAGGCTTTGTTCATTTCTTTTTATTCTTTTTTCTCTAAACTTCCCTTCTCACTTCATTTCATTCATTTCATGTTCCATCACAGATACCCTTTCTTCCAGTTGATTGCAATGGCTCCTGAGGCTTCTGCATTCTTCACGTAGTTCTGGAGCCTTGGCTTTCAGCTCCATCAGTTCCTTTAAGGACTTCTCTGCATTGGTTATTGTAGGTATCCATTCATCTAATTTTTTTTCAAAGTTTTTAACTTCTTTGCCATTGGTTTGAATTTCCTCCTGTAGCTTGGAGTAGTTTGATCATCTGAAGCCTTCTCCTCTCAACTCGTCAAAGTCATTCTCCATCCAGCTTTGTTCTGTTGCTGGTGAGGAGCTGCGTTCCTTTGGAGGAGGAGAGGTGCTCTGCTTTCTAGAGTTTCCAGATTTTCTGCTCTGTTTTTTCCCCATCTTTGTGGTTTTACCTACTTTTGGTCTTTGATGATGGTGATGTACAGATGGGTTTTTGGTGTGGATGTCCTTTCTGTTTGTTAGTTTTCCTTCTTACAGACAGGACCCTCAGCTGCAGGTCTGTTGGAGTTTGCTAGAGGTCCACTCCAGACCCTGTTTGCCTGGGTATCAGCAGCGGTGGCTGCAGAACAGCGGTGGCTGTAGAACAGCGGATATTGGTGAACTGCAAATGCTGCTGCCTGATTGTTCCTCTGGAGGTTTTGTCTCAGAGGAGTACCCGGTCATGTGAGGTGTCAGTCTGCCCCTACTGGGGGGTGCCTCCCAGTTAGGCTACTCTGGGGTCAGGGACCCACTTGAGGAGGCAGTCTGCCTGTTCTCAGATCTCCAGCTGCATGCTGGGAGAACCACTACTCTCTTCAAAGCTGTCAGACAGGGACATTTAAGTCTGCAGAGGTTACTGCTGTCTTTTTGTTTGTCTGTGCCCTGCCCCCAGTGGTGGAGCCTACAGAATCAGGAAGGCCTCCTTGAGCTGTGGTGGGCTCCACCCAGTTCGAGCTTCCCAGCTGCTTTGTTTACCTAATCAAGCCTGGGCAATGCGGGCGCCCCTCCCCCAGCCTGGCTGCCACCTTGCAGTTTGATCTCAGACTGCTGTGCTAGCAATCAGCGAGACACTGTGGGCATAGGGACCCTCCAAGCCAGGTGCAGGATATAATCTCCTGGTGTGCCGTTTTTTTAAGCCCGTTGGAAAAGTGAAGTATTAGGGTGGGAGTGACCCAATTTTCCAGGTGCCGTCTGTCACCCCTTTCTTTGACTAGGAAAGGGAACTCCCTGACCCCTTGCACTTCCCGAGTGAGGCAATGCCTTATCCTGCTTCGGCTCACGCACGGTGCACTGCACCCACTGTCCTGCACCCACTTTCTGGCACTCCCTAGTGAGATGAACCTGGTACCTCAGATGGAAATGCAAAAATCACCTGTCTGCTGTGTCACTCACGCTAGGAGCTGTAGACTGGAGCTGTTCCTATTCGGCCATCTTGGCTCCACCCTCTTATGTTAAGTGTCTTATTAAAAACTACATTCACCAGTGTGTTCTGTGACACATCTAATTATTCACATAAAGGGAATCACTTTCAAAAAATTGGGGAAATACTGTAAGCCAGAGTCTACAGTTCACATTAAGAAACTAATAGTCTCTGAGAGGTCCCACAGGGGAATAAAAAAAATTAACATGGTTTAATGTAGCTTTATTTGACTATGGAACTCACTTTTTACCTAATACCTATTTATATCCCATGGAACTAATGTTCATTAAAACAAATAATCCAAAGTGTTTTTGCATTATCTCACTTATTCTCACAAATAAAATATTAAAAAGGATTTACTGGTCAAAGGAGAAAAAATCACATAACTCCAATTACATTTAAAGCATATTTATATTTAAAGAGATTACACTAAAAGCAATGTGTACCTTTTATTCCATGAGAAATTAATTTAATCTGACTGCTTGCATCTTATTCTCCACTTAAGTTTGCTGAGCATCTTTTCTTTATTCTCCTTAGTACAGTGTTAAATATCTACAGTCATCCACTGAACAAATATTCCACAGCATTGCTTTTTTTTGTATAAGAGTCTTTTATGTTTTTAATCCAGTATCTCCCATAGTCTACATGGTTCCCTCTACCAACCATGGCCTCTATGGAAGATCATGAGGTATCAGTGTCATTCTTTTGGTAATGAGACAAAATCAAAAGTAACTCCTCCTCCCAAATTTGACCAATGTCTACAAGAAAGACACTTTACCTGAATTTATCCCTTCTTAATTCTAAATTTCTGGTCACCTCATTGACCCTTTCCCACTCCCAGCACCCAAGAACACAGACCCCTGAAACACCCTGGAGCATAGACAATCATGGATCCAGGCCATATCCTGTCATTAAGATTTTAGAAATGAGAACACAGAAAGTTTAATTTATTTAATCAAGATCATACAGCTAGTTAATAGCAATGTAGAAACAGTAATCTAAATTTTTGGCCACATCTTGGCTTCTCTGGCTCATGGATCAATCTCTGGTATTTTAGAGTTTCCAAGGCCAACGACTACCTCTTACAACATACACAGACACTTACATATATACAGAAGCCAAACATATACCACATTTGGAAAAAGGCATCAGTGAGATATCTTACAGGACCATTTACTAAAATAAAATAAAAATTCCAGAAATATTTTTCTTATGAAAATTCAATGACAGTTTTTGTTTCCACATAAGGTTTTTAGAGAAGACTTGCTTGTCTGTCCTGCACCTGCTCTAATGTCATGGAATGCCTGAAAGAGTCTCTTGGTGTCAATAACCCACATGTTCAAGAATTCCCCAAATTTCACGAACGTTACAAACTATAATACTTTTATGGCATTGAATTTAAACTCTCAACAGTGATGCACAAAAATTAGCCATGACAGTGCTTTTGGAGATATTGCAGCAAAACATGATAATAATATACAATACAAAGGGATAAAAACCAAAGCTCATAGATGTCTACATAATGAGATCTTCTATTCAGAATTACTATATATTTATCTTCACCATATTGACTTGTCTAGAGAAAGTGGAGAAACTCTATCTTAGCTGACAAGTTAACTCCCCATATGCTTCCAAGAAACACGGAAATCTAGAAGATGAAGTCATTCTTCTGTGGATATTAACATGCACAATTTTGCAGACATAAATTTTTTGAGAATCTCTTAGAAAACAAAGGGAGTAGGAAAAATTAGTAAGAGGATCAAATAAAAGTGTTGTCTAAGAGGGCTGAGTGGAAACTTGGTGGGATGATGCTCATTATCTTGATGTCAGAATTGGTTGTTGAATGGAAAGATAAAGGAGAAATGATGGAGAAGATGGTGATATTACCTGACAGAAGGCTACAGGAAAATTGAGGAGTAGTGTGAAAGTGATTTTTTTGGGAAAACTGAACAATATGTATTGTTGGGGGAAAATGGGCCTCAACAGAGTGAAGTATTCTTGTCACGGAAAAGATAGAAAAAGGGTTGGGTAGTTACAGGGGGACAACAATGCCAGACTGGGGAGTGTGGACTGGATACAAGAGAATGAGGGAGCTCAGGATGAGCAGAAGGGCGGGGAAGCAATATTCATTAAGCACCTTCTATGTGCCAGTCAATAGGCCAGGCTTCAAATTATTACCTTGCTGAAATCTTCACAGCAGCCCTCTAATAGGTATTTATCCCTGATTCCATATCCATGCTCTGCTTCCCCTCCTATTACAATGGCTGAAGAATTCAAACCCCTTTCAAAGGCTAGCACTGTCATTTGTCCTCTAGATCCCATCCCCTCCATTTTTCTTTTTATTGAAACATTCTCAATGGTATTCAAACATACTCTGCTCTCTCTTCTATTAAATAGGCAAATGCAACTCATCAAGCTCTTTTTCTCCCTTGGCTACTGCCCCATTTCTCTACTTCCTTTCATGGCAGAACTTCTCGAAAGAGTTTTTCACAATCACTTCATTTCCACACCTCTAACTGACTTTTGAACACAACTAGAGGAGGAGTAGGAGGGGACACTCATTCCAAAGTGTCCAATTAAGCCCAATCCTTTAAAAGTATTATGTTGTCATGATGGCTGTTAAGAGCATGGTGAAAAGATATTAGAATAAGATGTGGGGAATCATGACCGTGAGACAGAGAAAGTAGTCAAAGGTTTTCCACCTTTTAAAAATGTACTTGATCCCCCACTAATTGCACAAACTCTGCCCCTCAGACCTAGATCCACCCACAGCATCAGGCCCACACTTCTGGCTTCAATCCACTCTATTCTGTCCTCTATCCACTCCAATAAACTGAAACAGTTCCTATTAGAGTTCACCAATGACCATCATTTTGCAAAATCCAATGGTAACTTCCCTGTCCTCTTTATACTCAACCTCTCAGTAGCATCTGATCCTGTTAACCATGTCTTCTTGTACCACCATTTCTGCTGGATTGCTGGATATCATACTCTCTTGTTTTTCTCCTAGTTTACTGTCTAGTCATTCCCACTTTCCTTTATGTGTTCCTCTTTCTCTGACTTTTAAATCTTGAACTGCAGGCCACTGGGGCAGAGGAAGCATGCACACTAGTGCATGGTGTTTGGTATCTCATCATACCACTTTGGTGGAAGAGCAGTGGCTGTAGAATCTGTTTCTTTTTTTAACTTTGATTTTAGATTAAGGAGTATATGTGCAGGTTTGCTATATAGATGAATTGCATGTCTCGGAGGTTTTGGGGTACAGATTATTTCATCGCCTATGTAATAAGCATAATACCCTATAGATTATTTTTTGATCCTCACCTTCTTCCCAGCCTTCATCCTCAAGTAAGCCCTGGTGTCTGCTGCAGAACCTCTTTCTAGGTATATGATTAGTGACTGAACCTCCAGTGCCCTGTCTCCTGGTGCTAGAGGATTATTTATTTATATATTGCATTAACTTCTAGTTACTTCTTTGCACCTCTGCCCTCTTTCTGCATTTTGCATCCCTACAGGACTATGCCCTTTGGAATTTATCCTCCTGAATTCACTTTTTACTTAACTAAAGTAGTATATTAGAGAGGACAGACAGGTAGTTTCAATAAGGGAATATCAATGCCTATAAGCTCTGTTGTCATATCAAGGAAAAATGACATATTTCAGTAGAATTAGGAAATGGACTTTCTCTTGTTTAAGGGCTGTGAGGTGGTAATTTATAAGGGAAGATTAAAAGAACAAAGTACATATAACTTGGCTTAGAGGGAGGTCTAAAGATCTGCAAATATCTCTAACTGCACAAACATTAGCAAGAGAAAATATTGATTTAGCTTAGTACAAGCTACAAGGTGCTGTAACTAAGAATAATGAAGTTAAATTTTAAGAACACAGAGAGAATGCCATGAAAATATTAGAATAAAAATAGAGTGAGCTATGGAATATTCTGCAAAGGGAAGCTTTTCTAATAAAGGGAAAACAGCTCTGTGAGATGAAACAAATCGTTGTTATGCAAGATCAGTGACATCCTCAACTCCAAGTCTGCACAAATGTAAGAACACTAGTTTTCTATCTTGTGTTACATTAATTGGGATGACAGTTCCTATGCTTCTCAACATACCTATAAATAGGTTCTGGGTCAACTTCTGCCTGTAGGTATTCCTTGATCTTTTAAAGACAATGATTACCCACTTAATTTTTTCACTTCAGAGAACATACAGAAAAAGAGAGGTCCTTCACGTCCCTTGTAAGGTGGATTCCTAGGTATTTTATTCTCTTTGAAGCAATTGTGAATGGGAGTTCACTCATGATTTGGATCTCTATCTGTTATCGGTGTATAAGAATGCTTGTGATTTTTTGTACACTGACTTTGTATCCTGAGACTTTGCTGAAGTTGCTTATCAGCTTAAGGAGATTTTGGGCTGAGACGATGGGGTTTTCCAGATATACAATCATGTCATCTGCAAACAGGGACAATTTGACTTCCTTTTTTCCTAATTGAGTACCCTTTATTTCCTTCTCCTGCCTAATTGCCCTGGCCAGAACTTCCAACACTATGTTGAATAGGAGTGGTGAGAGAGGGCATCCCTGTCTTGTGCCAGTTTTCAAAGGGAATGCTTCCAGTTTTTGCCCATTCAGTATGATATTGGCTGTGGGTTTGTCATAGATAGCTCTTATTATTTTGAGATATGTCCCATCAGTACCTAATTTCTTGAGAGTTTTTAGCATGAAGGGTTGTTGAATTTTGTCAAAGGCCTTTTCTGCATCTATTGAGATAATCATGTGGTTTTTGTCTTTGGTTCTGTTTATATGCTGGATTATATTTATCGATTTGCGTATATTGAACCAGCCTTGCATCCCAGGGATGAAGCCCACTTGATCATGGTGGATAAGCTTTTTGATGTGCTGCTGGATTCGGATTGCCAGTATTTTACTGAGGATTTTTGCATCAATGTTCATGAAGGATATTGGTCTAAAATTCTCTTTTTTAGTTGTGTCTCTGCCAGGCTTTGGTATGAGGATGATGCTGGCCTCATATAATGAGTTATGGAGGATTCCCTCTTTTTCTATTGATTGGAATAGTTTCAGAAGGAATGGTACCAGTTCCTCCTTGTATCTCTGGTAGAATTTGGCTGTGAATCCATCTGGTCCTGGACTCCTTTTGGTTGGTAAGCTATTGATTATTGCCACAATTTCAGATCCTGTTATTGGTCTATTCAGAGATTCAACTTCTTCCTGGTTTAGTCCTGGGAGAGTGTATGTGTCAAGGAATTTATCCATTTCTTCTAGATTTTCTAGTTTATTTGCGTAGAGGTGTTTATAGTATTCTCTGATGGTAGTTTGTATTTCTGTGGGATCAGTGGTGATATCCCCTTTATCATTTTTTATTGTGTCTATTTGATTCTTCTTTTTTTTCTTTATTAGTCTTGCTAGCGGTCTATCAATTTTGTTGATCCTTTCAAAAAACCAGCTCCTGGATTCATTAATTTTTTGAAGGGTTTTTTGTGTCTCTATTTCCTTCAGTTCTGCTCTGATTTTAGTTATTTCTTGCCTTCTGCTAGCTTTTGAATGTGTTTGCTCTTGCTTCTCTAGTTCTTTTAATTGTGATGTTAGGGTGTCAATTTTGGATCTTTCCTGCTTTCTCTTGTGGGCATTTAGTGCTATAAATTTCCCTCTACACACTGCTTTGAATGTGTCCCAGAGATTCTGGTATGTTGTGTCTTTGTTCTCGTTGGTTTCAAAGAACATCTTTATTTCTGCCTTCATTTCGTTATGTACCCAGTAGTCATTCAGGAGCAGGTTGTTCAGTTTCCAGGTAGTTGAGCAGTTTTGAGTGAGTTTCTTAATCCTAAGTTCTAGTTTGATTGCACTGTGGTCTGAGAGATAGTTTGTTATAATTTCTGTTCTTTTACATTTGCTGAGGAGAGCTTTACTTCCAACTATGTGTTCAATTTTGGAATAGGTGTGGTGTGGTGCTGAAAATAATGTATATTCTGTTGATTTGGGGTGGAGAGTTCTGTAGATGTCTATTAGGTCTGTTTGGTGCAGAGCTGAGTTCGATTCCTGGGTATCCTTGTTGACTTTCTGTCTCATTGATCTGTCTAACGTTGACAGTGGGGTGTTAAAGTCTCCCATTATTCATGTGTGGGAGTCTACCAAGGGACGTGAAGGACCTCTTCAAGGAGAACTACAAACCACTGCTCAACGAAATAAAAGAGGATACAAACAAATGGAAGAACATTCCATGCTCATGGCTAGGAAGAATCAATATCGTGAAAATGGCCATACTGCCCAAGGTAATTTATAGATTCAATGCCATCCCCATCAAGCTACCAATGACTTTCTTCACAGAATTGGAAAAAACTACTTTAAAGTTCATATGGAACCAAAAAAGAGCCCGCATCGCCAAGTCAATCCTAAGCCAAAAGAACAAAGCTGGAGGCATCACGCTACCTGACTTCAAACTATACTACAAGGCTACAGTAACCAAAAGAGCATGGTACTGGTACCAAAACAGAGATGTAGATCAATGGAACAGAAGAGAGCCCTCAGAAATAACGCCGCATATCTACAATTATCTGATCTTTGACAAACCTGAGAGAAGCAAGAAATGGGGAAAGGATTCCCTATTTAATAAATGGTGCTGGGAAAACTGGCTAGCCATATGTAGAAAGCTGAAACTGGATCCCTTCCTTACACCTTATATAAAAATCAATTCAAGATGGATTAAAGACTTACATGTTAGACCTAAAACCATAAAAACCCTAGAAGAAAACCTAGGCAATACCATTCAGGACATAGGCATTGGCAAGGACTTCATGTCTAAAACACCAAAAGCAATGGCAACAAAAGCCAAAATTGACAAATGGGATCTAATTAAACTAAAGAGCTTCTGCACAGCAAAAGAAACTACCATCAGAGTGAACAGGCAACCTACAGAATGGGAGAAAATTTTTGCAATCTACTCATCTGACAAAGGGCTAATATCCAGAATCTGCAATGAACTCAAACAAATTTACAAGAAAGAAACAAACAACCCCATCAACAAGTGGGCGAAGGATATGAACAGACACTTCTCAAAAGAAGACATTTATGCAGCCAAAAGACACATGAAAAAATGCTCATCACCACTGGCCATCAGAGAAATGCAAATCAAAACCACAATGAGATACCACCTCACACCAGTTAGAATGGCGATCATTAAAAAGTCAGGAAACAACAGGTGCTGGAGAGGATGTGGAGAAATAGGAACACTTTTACACTGTTGGTGGGACTGTAAACTAGTTCAACCATTGTGGAAGTCAGTGTGGCGATTCCTCAGGGATCTAGAACTAGAAATACCATTTGACCCAGCCATCCCATTACTGGGTATATACCCAAAGGACTATAAATCATGCTGCTATAAAGACACACACACACGTATGTTTATTGCGGCACTATTCACAATAGCAAAGACTTGGAACCAACCCAAATGTCCAACAATGATAGAGTGGATTAAGAAAATGTGGCACATATACACCATGGAATACTATGCAGCCATAAAAAAGGATGAGTTCATGTCCTTTGTAGGGACATGGATGAAATTGGAAATCATCATTCTCAGTAAACTATCGCAAGAACAAAAAAACAAACACCGCATATTCTCACTCATAGGTGGGAATTGAACAATGAGAACACATGGACACAGGAAGGGGAACATCACACTCTGGGGACTGTTGTGGGGTGGGGGGAGGGGGGAGGGAGAGCATTGGGAGATATACCTAATGCTAGATGACGAGTTAGTGGGTTCAGCGCACCAACATGTCACATGTATACATATGTAACTAACCTGCACATTGTGCACATGTACCCTAAAACTTAAAGTATAATAATAATATAAAAAAAGAAAAAGAGAGTATTTGTGTGGCACACTGGATATCACGGCAGACTAGCCAGGGGCTCTGGCTACATCTGACCCTGCTAAACCACTCCAAGGACTGAGGGGATAGATATGTTGGCTCACCTGGAAGCAAATCTTGGCATACTATTGTTCTTCAACACACTTTTTAGGAAGCACTGTGCTTTTCATTTAGACTTGGGAGGCAGCCAGTCTCCAACCCCCAACTCCCAATCCCTTCTTCTATTCCTCCTGTTTCACTACCTTCTTATGGCTCTACTGAAATAAGTCCCTTCCGTCTTTCTCTTTCCTCATCCCCTTCTCAAAGCAGAAAAAAAAAAAAAAAACATGTTTTGCTTTGACATAATAATCCAAACAATTTCTCCCAAGATCCTTACAATGTGGAAAGAGAGCCATAGTCAGTATATCCTGAGGAGGTAGGTAGGCATTTTTCTAGTTCTCTAGGACACATCTAGCTTACCACTACTGTTTACAAGTCTGAGTTGAAGGGAGGCAATGGTCAATTGTTACAAACTTCATAAACTGACCAATGAATATTTGCCTGGTCCATATTTAGGTTGTTCTTTTCATCATGAAAAGTTCCCCAGTTTACTAACCACTAGCAAAGGTTTGTCTCTTAAAAGTTGCTAAGTCTAAATAATAACAACAAACTAAAATTCTAGAATTATTGAGTCTGATTTTATGAGTATCAATTACAGTATTTTAATTATATATTCCTGATCATACTTAAGGCTGATGACTATTTAAAATTTGGCAAAAAGAAAACACAACAGTCTTAGAGTACTAAGCCAAGTTGTAATGCTCAGGCCACTAAATGCATTAAACCTTGTACTCAGAACACTTGTATAAAGCCTGGAACACTTATCAGAATGTCAAAACAATCAGGAAGATAACAGTCTTTGCATCTGAGAGATTCAGTGGGATAAGTGGAAAGAGCACAGGACCAAGACTTAGGAGTTCTGGGTTCTCTCAAGTCTTGTTCCTGTCATTTGCAAACATTGTGCACTTAGGCCTACCAGATCCTCCCAAGTGTTAATAGTTTTGTATTTAAAGACGAATGTGGTTAGATATGGTGAACTGAACATAGGCCTGAATCTCTACTCCATCCCTAAACCCCACTGAAATGACATTAAAGGAATAAAAAGGGTATAACTCATTAAAAAAAAGACTGAGTAGGAAATGACATCAGACAGGGGGTGGTAACAAAAATTTGGAAGCTGGAAAGCAGATGGACAAGTGTTACACTGACTCAGCTGACCTTGGGAAAGCTAAGCCTAAGCCTGAAGAGGAGGGGGATGCAAAGGCAAGAAGCAAGCCCATTTCCACCATAGAACCCCAGAAAGTTTCAAAAGTTAGAAATATCAAATAAATTTTCAGGCAGGGAAGTAGGTTGAGACTGAAAACAAGTGACCTTATGAAATGTCTTTAAAGCAAGTAGTTAGACCCCTAGATATCTTTCCCACACTGTACTCCCAGATAATTGAATCCTCCACTCCTATTCTGATTGGAGACAGAAGGTTTACTCTTTGGGGAGGCTTAACTACTCAGGCTCTAGGCTTAGGAACAGTAGGCCCAGCTGAGGACAGCAAAGATGACTTGTACTGAAAACAGGGAAAATAAGGGAAAGTCTACATAGTCAACAATGAACGTCCCAATGCCCTTTTTCCATACTCAGTTTCCAGAAACAGGTAGCTAAACTTCTACCATGGTATAGATTGGAGCCAGAGGACAGATAACTCTAAGAGCAATACTTCCAAGTGGAACATGAGCCTGATAGCATGCTGACAACTTGAATGTGTAGTTAGAGGAGGTTTTCAATTATTCAGAGAATTTGGTGATGAATTAATTACTGGTATATAGAAAGCTAAGCAACTGAAAAAAATGAGCCAATTAATGAGCTCCAGAAAAATTAAAATGTCATACAAGCAAAGAAAGGTAATCATAATAGAGTGAGTAGCTCAGCTATAAATAATGTGACATAATCAACAATATTGTAAACACTGAACTGATTTAACCAACTATGGTGTATGTGCTGGGTAGAAGGGGCCTTTTAGGAAAGTGGAATTCTCTTCTTATAATAGGAAGTCAGCAGGTACTACCTAATATTGAATTTTAAAAAATAACAGTGTAAGTGTATAATTTAGATGTGTATGTGGAGGCAAACATCAGAAGAAAAAGAGCAGAGAGTTGGATGTTGTTTACTTTGGGAGAAAATATATCAGCAGTTAGACAGAACAGAGCAGGGGACTGCTCTTTGCATTACAAGCCTAGTAGTACTGCTTGACTTTTATTGTGTTTATTTATTTTTAAGTGACAGGTCTCACTCTGTTACTCAGGTTGGAGTGCAGTGGTGTGATCATAGCTCACTGCAGCCTTGAACTCCTGGGCTTATGCAATCTTCCCACCTCAGCCTCCTGAGTAGCTGGAATTACAGGCACATGCCACCAGACTTGGCTAACTTTTTAAAATTTTTATTTTATGTATTTCACAGAGATGGTGTCTTGCTATGCTGCCCAGGCTAGTCTTGAACTCCTGGCCTCAAGAAATCCTCCTGCCTCAGCCTCCCAAAGTGCTGAGATTACAGGTGTGAGCTACCACACCTGGCACTGCTTGACTTTTTAAAGTATGTACATTTATTACTTAGATTAAAAAATTAATCTTAAAAAATTATTAAATTTGGCTAAATAACCTTTGGTCTTTCCTATTTTGAAAATGTAATGACTATGCAAAACATTAATAGTTTCTTCTGAGAGCTTGAACCTCACACTCTTTCATGAAATTAGATATTACTTAGGAAGAGAAAACATTAAGACTTCCAGATCCTCATAGACTTCCTAGTACATGAAGTGCTCAAGCTACTCATGTGGGTTGTTTAAACTGCAGTTTAAATTTAGTTTGGTGCATTTACTTTCTGCCACATATATATGACTGTTTCTACTTTGGATATTGCATGACATCCACATATATGCTAATCCTGAAAAATAGATGGAAAGCAAATATGGCTTGAAGTAACCAGGAATTGAAAACCACCATGAATAGTGTCAGCCTGACCCAGGAGAGAACTTTTTATGTCCCATGAATGACTCTTACCCTATCTTTCAATAGTGGCTGCACTCTGCTTTCTGATCAGAATTTCTCTCTGGATTGAAACTTTTATTTCCTTCTCTTTGCTTGATTCTTAGCATTTACTGAAAAACATCAGTTACCAGTGCTTACAGACATCACTAGCAGTAATTATCAAATTCCAGACTAAACCTACCTTTTGCTTCCTAGTGAATCTAAGAGCTGATTCTTCTCTCTCCCATTCCTCTTTGTCCAGTCCCTGCATTATATCCAGTGCAATGCATTTAAAAAATAAACTACACTTGACTTCCTAAGAACCTTGGCTATAATTTTAAATAAAAGAGGTTGGTGACCATCAGCATTATGTGTAAGTCCTGTTTACTGGTAGGTTTGAGCACAGTGTCCATTCTTGTATTCTTACTAATTGCTATTCTATTAGACACCATTCGTTTTTCATTGTCCTTTCTCTACATCGCCTACTTTACCTACATAAGCACTAACCTTTTTTTTTTTTTTTGGGGGGGTGCTAGACCTAGTAAAAGGGCCAACACAAGCAATTTGTCTCAGGCATTTCTCTATCTCCCTTGTTCTGCCGCCTTCCTCCCATTTGGCAGATAGAACCTTTCACATGATTTTAAACCCCATTCTGCCCGCTCCCTTCACTCCTGAATATCTAGAAATTCCAGTAAAATTCCTTCCACATACAAGAAAGCATCCCATATCCACACCTATCTCACCCTCCCTTGCCTAACAGAACTTAACTCCCTGGATTTCCATTCAGCTTGAGCTACGTTCTTTCTCATCACATGCAGGGAGTTGCATATACCCCTTACATAGAGAGTTCTTTTATTTTTGAATGTAGACTTAATTTAAATATTTGAATTTGGCTTAAAAGATGATGCATATCTAGTAGACACCATTAAATATTATTCCAAAAAGCATCACAGCTTTAGCAACTCATATTTCCTTCAGGCTTTTTCTTTCAGATTAATTCAAACTATTAATTTTGAACCTCTATGTATGCTCGGTATGCCATTTTACTCTGTGTAAAATTGGCATGCTGTTTTAGCCAATTAAAACGGAAAATATTTCTGTTTGGTTTTAATTGATTTATCTATTTATTCACTTACTATTATTTTGGCAAGAAAGGGAGTTCACTTCCCTGAACTATTTCCTTTGGATTGAGAATTCTTGATGTTAGGTTGAGTGTTAATGGTTTTCAGTCCAGCTGTTAATGATGCAGGATTCCTATGCTCTAGGGAGATTTTAGAAGGAATTAAGTGTGAATACCTCCTCACCTGCTTGTCTTCTATTCTAACAAGAGCTTTTGCTCATTAAAAAGTGCCTGCTCTAGCTTAATTCTTCTCAGAGTGAACACTTCAGGATTATGCAAGCAGGCTAGGTAGTCTCCTCTGATTCAATATTCATACCTTTGAAAAGAGATATAATGTGATGAAAAATAGAGATGCTAACTGAAGAACAACTATTATTTGCTATTACCAAGAAAAACTGGATGACATTAAAGAAAATCCCAGATTAACCATGTGAAAAAACTTAATCTGGGAAAAGAAACTCCTTCTGGGAGTCAGTAGATTGAGGGAAAAGAAGAGAGATAGAAAGAAATGGAAGGTATAGAACAAACCCAATGAAAGCATGGTGACTCAACAGCCTGAAGTATCTGTTTTAGAAACGACTTCCCAGACCACCACTGAGACCAGTGCGAATGCAGAAGTGAGCAAGTAAGGAAGCAGCTCTGTAAAGGAAGAAGGAATAGAGATCACATCGCAGCAGGAGTGTCCATTGTGACAGTCTAGGTAAAAGAGAGAGAGGAACCACAGCTGTGAGGGGACAAGTTGGTTCCTCAAAAGATATTAATGAGGTTTTCATGACATGTGTCAGGATGCAAATGACAGGGGAAGAGTCCACTTAACAATGGAGTTGTCAAAGATGTAAAAATTTGCAGCACTACTTCAATATTATTTCACTTACTTAATGTATTTTCATGCTTAATGAACTAAATCACTGGACTGATTTGTTTAGGGCAGCACTGTCCAACAGAAATATAATGTGCACTACATATGTAATTTTAAAATTTCTGGTAACCAAACTAAAAAATATAAAATAAAACAAGTAAAATGAAATTTAGTAATTTAACACAATATAGTAAAAATAACCATTTTACCAACTAATCAATGTAAAAAATCATTGATGGGATATTGCACATTTTTTTTCATGCTGATACTTCAAGACCTAGTGTATATTTTATAATTACAGCATATTTCAATTTGGACTAGTCCTATTTCATGTGCTCAATAGTCACACGTGGCCAGTAGCTGCCATAGTGGACAGTGTACATTTAGAGGAACTCATTTTTGCATCACTACCTATGAAGTAGTCTTGAAAACAAAACAAACAGGATATGATTAAGCCACTATATCTGAACTGTCCAACACCGTCAACACTAGCAACATGTAGAAATTTAAATTAATTAAAACTAAAAATCCAATCCCTCAGTTGCACTAACCCCATTTCCACTTCTCAATAACCACATGTGGCTAGTGGCTCCTCTGTTAGGCACCACAGATTTACAGACTTAATGCCTTTATCTTCCAAACTGAAAATTAGAGAACAATGTCTAAATCACTGGCAATTTGTATCATCCTTGATGAAAACAAACATTTCTTCTTTTTCATTTCATTCCAAAATCCCCTTTTGCCCTGTCAACTTGTTCCCACCTATCCCCTCAATAAAACCTTACCATGGTCTTGCCTGCAGGATGCAAAATTGTTTGAGAGAGTACTGAAAATTCAGTCATGAGGGTAGCATTTCTTACTACTTATGGTTTTTTTTTTTTTCAAGTTTCATAGAGACCTGTGGCATCTTGTGTTTAGAATATATAGCAAACCTGGTAAAGAGTGGTGAGGAGTGGATTTCTGAAAATGCTGACATATCTTTGAAAATATTATAATCTTAGCTGGCACTATGACAATTGTAGAATGTATGGTTTGAAAATTAAAAAGAAGAGAAATGGAAACATATAGCAACATTCGTTTTTACCCCTTCTTCATGTTAGGCAGATTTTCTTTTTCTTGTGGGTGCTCTGGGCATTGTTCTAACTTGGTATTTGCAAGTCAATGGCAAGGCCTGTTCAGTGCTGAGGGAATTACATAGTCATAGACAATTAGTCTTTTAAAAGGTCTGCTGCTTGGAAATTTGCCACTAAACTCAGTATAGCCTCAGCACATAATGTAAATTCTTAATGATTATAACTTTTCTAAATTCAGCCCTTAACAAATCTCATAATAGTGTTTTGAAACTTTTAAATCAAACATAACCCAATTAGGTTGGTATTTGATTAAACTGAACTGCCACTTCACTGAAGTGTTTAAATAAATCAACATTAATATGCTTTTATTATAGTAAATAAAGTTACTTCTATGTAGTTGAAATGTCAATACTCACACATAGCTCTTGAAAATTAAGTACTCCTTGCACTTTGAATAATGAATCCAGTATTAATTGGGGGGAAACTATTGATTTCTTTTTATAGGCCTGTGGAAGTACTTTGCCCCAAAACTCTACAAGTTCTTAATTAAAAAAAAATAGTAAACTAAATATCTGTTAAATTCTGAAACTACTGTCAGAGTTGTCCTTATAGTGGTTCTGATTCATGGCCTTTTCTCCCTAAAAATGCAACACAGACTGATCCTTCAAATAATAATTATAAAGAATCTTTTTCATTCTAATTGAATAAAATTGTTAGAAGATTCTTGGATGCTTTGCTTCCCACAAAATACTTGCACTGTGTGTCCAATAATAGATTTTCTCTAGCAGATAGTCATTATCAAAGGTTAACTAGCATCAAGTGGTAGAAAAAATCCTGTTTCTGTCCATAGGTGCAGCATGGTGAATTCCAATATCTCATCTAAGGAGTAAAAAGTATGCTTTTTGGAAGTAGGACTCAGTACAGCTTTCCATTTGTCATTTCTATTGCTATTCTACAGGTAGTTGCTATAAGATGATGCTACATTTTTTTATGGCATTCGCAGATTTACATTTCATTGATATTCTATCTTTATGTATACTTTAGCAGTCTATTTGATTTTTGACTGGTTGTCTGAATCCTCTGTAGGATGAGTCTCAAAGTAGCCTAAATTCTTATTTAAGTACTCTCTAACAGTGTGTTCCTTACTTTTAAAAAGTTAAGCCTAAAAGAAGTCTGCCTTGGAACTCTTGTTTACTGGACATAGATGTTTACACATTTTTGTTACAAGATCTTTGGGGTGTCGATTTTCCTCCCAAAACCTCTGTGGCCAGTGCACCTTTGCCTGAGTTTTTGTCCTGTGTCCCAGGTCCAGGAAGAATGAGGTACACAGACAAGTAAAGGGTAAAGAAGTCAAAGAAGAGCTTTACTGTTAGAACAGCTCAGAGGAGACCTGCAGTACCTAGATCCTCTGAAGGCAGGCCATCCCCTGAGTGTTCAGCTCTCAGCAGAGAGGAGGCCCTGGAGAGGGTGGCTTTTCTCTGCAGGCAGATTGTTCAGACATCTCTGCAGGTCTCTGAAGCTCTCAGCAGAGAGGGTAGCTCCTTTGTGCAGCTGGTCATCCAGTTGTCTGTCCCTCCTCTGCCCTCTGCCCTGCTCCAAGTTGGGTGCTTTTACGGACCTCGGAGGAGAGGAAGTGCGTGCTGATTGGTCCGAGGGAAGCCATGGGTGGGCCCAGAGCAGGCACACTAAGTCCCCATTCCAGTGGGTCTGCAGGACTGGCAGCTGGGCCCTCAGCCTTCAGGCCCTCCCTGGCCTGAATGTGGGGACCTACTGGGGACCCACCCCTTTTTGCCCAGGAATCTGTCTGCCTCCTGCTGCCATTTATGGCCCTGGGCTCAGCCCAACCCCACTACCACATCAGAGCAGGCGCCAGGAGAAGACAGAGGCCAGGCAGCGGAGCAGACACCCCGAGCCTGCAGGGACTGGGGGGTCATGTCTGCCCCTGAGGTGCAGGCTGCAGAGATGCACAGGTCCTGTGCCTCGGAGGGCAGCCGCAGCTGCACCCAGGGAGCTTCTGCTCAGCCAACTCAGAATGGGTGGGGCTCCTGCTTGTCCCTGGCTTCTGCCTGGTCCATGGAGTGGGAAGCCCAGGTCTTCAGCTGCTGGTCAGCCAGCTGCAGCTGCATCCGAGAGGGCAGATCCCCCCAAGAGCACAGGGAGGGTCGGATCCACTACACAGTTTGGGTGGCCGTAGCCCCGCCCAGGAGGGCAGGGCTCCTGTCTGCTCCAAAGAGCAGGAGGCCTGGGTCTGCAGCCACGGTTTGGGCGACTGCCCCTGTATCTGGGGAGCTCCTGCCCTAACTCAGAAAGGGCGGGCCTCCCACCGGCTGCATGGAGTGTGCAGCTCCAGCCATGCCTCCCTGCGGTAGCCGGTGTGATGGCAGCAGCCACTGCCATCAGTTTCAGCTAGAACAACTATGATTAATTAGAATTAGCCTGGGAGTTGAACAATGAGAACACATGAACACAGAGAGGGGAACAACATACACCAGGGCCTGTTGAGGGTGGAGGATGAGGAAACGGAACTTAAGAGGACGGGCCAATAGGTACAGCAAACCACCATGGCACACATATACCTATGTAAAAAACCTGCAGTTTCTGCACATGTATCCCATTTTTGTTTTTGTTTTTGAAGAAATAAAGGGACAAAAAAAAGGATTAGCCTTGTTATGACTGACAGAAAACCTTAAATAAGAGTGACTTATACAACGTATGTTACTTTTCTCATGCATTCAAGTGCAGAGGTACACAGCATGGCTGGTATGGGCTAGCTCTTTGATCTTGCAGCTCTTCCATGCTTAGCCTATATTCTAAGGCATACCTCATGGTCAAAGAGGCCTTCCTCTAGCCATCATGTCTGCATTCTACCCAGCAAGGAGTAAAGGGAAGAGAAGGACAAACTTTTCCCTTTAAGGACATTCTCAGGAGTTGCATGCTCTGCTTCCACTTAGAGCCCATTGTCTGGGACTATCTCCTGGCCACAACTAGCCGTAAAGAAAACTGGGAAATATAGTCTTTATGCTGGGTGACCATGTGTTCAGCTAAAAATTTAGAATTCTGTTATAATGGAACACAAGGGATATTGAAAGAAAATTAGGTGTCTGTGTAATACTGTTCTCTGGAATGGAACTCATGGTCAGCAAAAGACTATACCGTGAGCCTGGAAGCTGTTGTTAGAAAAATAAAGAAAGCAACTAAGATTCTGTTAGAGCTTTCCAAAAGAAGTACTTAAACTACCTTTTTTTTCTGGTTTGGTATTTTTTCAGAGCCCCTCTCATCACAGCATATTAAAACTCCTGCTCCTCTCATAGACCTTAAATCCCTTGGATTTCAGCTGTTTCTTTTTTTTTTTCTTTTTTTAACTTTAAGTTCCAGGATACAAGTGCAGAATGTGCAGGTTTGTTACATAGGTATACATGTGCCATGGTGGTTTGCTGCACCTATCAACCTGTCATCTAGGTTTTAAGCCCCATATGCATTAGGTATTTGTCCTAATGCTTTCGCTCCACTTGACCCCACCTACCGAATTGCCCCAGTGTGTTGTTCCCCTCTCTGTGTCCAAGTGTTCTGATTGTTCAACTCCCTCTTATGAGTGAAAACATCTGCTGTTTGGTTTTCTGTTCCTGTGTAAGTTTGCTGAGGATGATGGCTAGAATAATCAGTTGGAAATGCAGAAATCACCTGCCTTCTGTGTTGGTCTTGCTGGGAGCTGCAGACCGGAGCTGTTTCTATTCGCCCATCTTGTCCCCTCCCCTCAGCTGTTTCTCATCAAAACTTCCTGTACTGCCTGAAGAAGTTACTTTCCAATTTTCCACCCTAGCATAATGTATCATTTAGAGAAAAAAAGCTGAGTTCTTTTCTGAAATGCCTGAAAATTTTATTCTTTTCCATTTTGCTTTTTTCTTTTGCCACACATTAAAACACCTCTGCTGATGTTAAAGCTGCCTGTACAACCCCAAATTAATTGAAGTTTTGGAGTTGATCAAGTAATAATAATAATAGCCACTGTGTTTTGAGTGCTTACTCTATGCCAGGCACCATGCTATGGGTGTCACTTACATTGTGTCATTAAGTCTTCAGAACAACTCGTTAAGGTAGGACTATAGATGAGGAAACTGCAGCCCACAGAGATTACATAACTTGCCCAAATCCTTATAGCTAGTAAGTGATTGAGTATAGAATTTATACCTAAGAAAACAGAGTCTAGAACCTCCTCCTCCCACACACCCTGATTGGTTGATATTACAGTATGTCCTCACTTAATATGTTCATCAATAGATTCTTGGAAACTGTGGCTTTATGCAAAATGACATATAACAAAACCAATTTTACCACAGGTTAATTGATATAAACAAATAGAGTAAAGTTCTCACAGCATATGTCTGGTCAAAAAAACATCAACAACCTTTTAAATAAAACCAAAACACTTATAATGTTAAACAATGAAATAAATGTGAGCAATACTTACATTTTTAAAAGATTTAATTAGCCAGGCATGGTGGTGTGCACCTGTAGTCCTAGCTATTTTGGAGGCTGAAGTGGGAGAATTGCTTAAGCCTAAGAGTTCCAGGTTACATTGAGCTATGATTGTATTACTGTACTCCAGCCTGGGTAGCAGAGTGAGACTCTGTCTCGAAAAATAAAATAAAATAAATAAAAACAAGATAATTATTTACCCACTGATTACAGTCCTGGGTGGCAGGTGGCCAGAGCCTATTCTGGCAGTTAAGGGTCAAAGTGGGAACCCTCTGTGGACAAGACACCATCCCATCACATGGCACACTAATACACACACACACACATACACACGCATACACACACACTCACACTGAGACCACCTAACATGCACAGCTTTGGGATGCGGGAGGGAGCCAGAGTACCCAGAGAAAACCCACATAGATATGGGGAGAATGTGTAAACTCCACACAGATAGTGGCCCTAGCAAGGATGCATTTTTTTTTCATCATGAGTAAAATGATGTTGCTTTGATGTTCAAGAAACTGCTGTATTGTATATGGAAAAATCTAGATCTGTGCTATCTGATATGGTAGCTGTTAACCACATATGTCTGTTTACTTTTAGTTACTTATTTGTTTGCTTCCTTAAGACAGAATCTTACTATGTTGCCCAGGCTGGCCTTGAACTCCTAAGCTCAAGTCATCTTCCCATTTCAGCCTCCCCAGTAGCTGGGACTACATGTGCATACCACCATGTCCAGCTTATTTACATGTACAGTTAAATTGAAATTAATTAATTTTAAAAAAGTCTCAGTTTTTCAGTCACACAGTCACATATCATATGTTAATTAGATACACGTGGCTAGTAGCTACTATATGGAACAGTGCAAATATGAAACATTGCTATTACCACACAGAATTTTCTTGGACAGTACTGATCTAGATAACCCTGCTCCTAACCTAGATTTCTTTTTAGCCTAAATTGTCTGGCTGGCTGTGTAGATATGGCCAAAGAGAAATAGGTGCAGCCTCTTAAAGAAGATATCTGAATTTATCATTCTGCCCCATAAATTTCACATTTGTAAACAAATATTTAAGTGAAAAATGTGAATTTTCCTTGAATATTATCTCCAAAATTATCAACCCATTAAGATATCCTCATTATAACACTATTTGTTATGTATATGTGAATAGTTCACTGGTGAAATCATGTCAGACATATTTCAATTCTACATAGTTGTCTTAGTCTGTTTTGGCTGCTATAACAAAGTCCCATAGACTGGGTGGCTTACAAACAACAGAAATTTTTTCTCACAGTTGAGATCAAGGCACTGGCAGATTTGGTGTCTGGTGAGGTCCTGCTTCCTGGTTCGTAGACAGTGGTCTTCTTGCTGTGTCCTCACATGGCAGAAAGAGCAAGGGAGGTCTTTGGGCCTCTTTTATAAGGACACTAATCCTATTAATGAGGACTCCATTCTCATTATCTGATCACCTTTCCAAAAGCCCCACCTCCTAATACCATCAAACTGGGGATTAGGTTTCAACATACGAATGTTGGGGGAAACACAAATATTCAGTCTATAGCAATAGTTAATGTCTGATATAACACAGCTGACATACATAGCCTTCATGGCATCTGTTAGCCCTTTTAGCATTATAAAGAATAAGTTGGTTCTTATTATTTTTAGCATTACACAGTGAATGTTTTGATTGGCAAAAAATAAAATAATGAGGAACACAAGAATACTTATCTGTATATAGGAACTACACACAGTCACTCTAATCTCATCCCATTGGCTATTTTATGATTTAATATTTAAATTGAAATCTAAAAAGTGAGTACTTAGTAAAAAGACTGGATTTGTCTGTGAATTTGATGTACAGTCAAATGCAAAATCTTATTCTTTAGAATTGCCCACAGTTACAACTCCGAAACCACTGTAGGAAAAGCCCCCAGTCTCACTAAATCACTCTGGGTTTTTTCCTGAAAAAGCCCAGTGGGTTTGCCTAGTTGGAAATTCTATATTAAGAGACTACTCTGGTAGTTGGCCAGGAAAAGAGCAACCAAAATGACTTAATACACTACTGCATTCAATTAGGTCCACTTTTCTTCTTTCAAAGGTGAAAGGAGAAACATTTGACTTTAAAAAGCAACATCTTCCTATAATTCGAATGTCTATTCTTTGTGTGCTTAAGAAAACATTCAGAACAGAAATTGCAAATATCTCATTACAATTTTGAAAGAAAAAAATGACAGCTTTCTTCTAGTGAATATTACAAATTAATGATTTTCCTACATATATTTCTTATGAATATATGTAGCTCCAACTAAAAATAATAAAATGTCATATTAAGAAGGCAAATATTCTCACCTCCATATACTGGAAGTCTTCTTTGTGCTAGTAGGTATTCTGGAAAATCTAAATTTGCATTTCAATCAAAGAACATCAATAATCGGACAGAGCAGACTGATGATCTTTCAAAGTTCCATTTCAATGCACCTCTGAGATAAAAGAGGACTTCTGACAATTTTCAGCATCCTGTATTGCATTGTCTATTTTGAGGTATTATGTAAAATCCAAAAATATGTTTTGTCATTATAAAATCCATACCTCTGAACTGGTTTAAAAAAATAAGCATCTTAACAGGTATGATAATTACAGTACCAATTTGAAGAAATCAAGAACTTTAAGATTGGGAGAAACAGTTAAGATCATCTAAACCACAGAGAACTCACCATTACCATTGGATGTAGTAGATCAGACCCTGAATCCTGAAGGAGAAAATGTGGCTGTAAGTCTCAGCTCTGAGATTATTTGTGAGACTTTGTCTAAGTCACTTTCTCTTCCCCTGGACCTTTGTTTTTCTACTCTGTAAAGAGAAATTAAACTTCTTTCATATCTAAGGTCTATGTACAATTTCTTGCTATCTGCCAAAAGTTAAGCAGCCATTTATATAGTACTTTAGCAGACTCTACTTCAGTAAAACACTAAATTAGCTAGACTATATTACTATTAATTAAATTTGGAGGAAAAAGAGGCTAAACCCCAAGCAAGCTAGTATCGGGAATTCATATGAAAAAATGACTTCTAGGAAATGTTTTTAGGTCAAAACACAGTCCTAGACATTATAATTTTTGCATCTCCTGCTCTGTAGAGTGAATATTGATGTGCATGGTGATGACCATGACGTTCTGAATGGCCATTATTGCCCAGTAACAATGCAGTCCTATGTGCTAGACTGCATTCACTTGAGCTTCAACTCAATTTGCCTGGGCCATTTAAAAATTAAAAATAATTTTAAACAGGAGTTGAAAGCAACAAAATGCTTTCTGCTCAACTTTTGTTAGACAATTCAATTACCTACAATATCCTATTCTGTAAGCATACTAGTTAATCAAGGTTTTACTGTGTATTCTTTAAACTAGCAAGTTAGTTAATTAATTGGAGGAAGTGAAATGTTTGGCCAGGCTAGATGTCTGCACTGATGTAACTGCTTGGATTTTATTGTTATGTTTAGTAAGGAGCAAAATTGCATGAACAGTGACATGTGTATGTTTGGCTAAGGAAAAGGCACTTTATTTATGGTGAGAATGGTCAGGCTTTAGCAGAAGTAGTTGAAATTGCTATATGATACCCAGATTATACAGTTTCCCAGCTGATCCAGTAAATGATCCTGAGGCCTCCTTACCTATTTCTAGGAACATTTATTAATGAATTATCTTTTTTGGTCTTATTTCCTATGCCAAACAATAATCTAGCTACCTCCATCTATCAGAGTCCCCTTATAATGAAGGAAACAGCAGGATCTCTATTGTGGGGAAGGAAGTGAAGCTGTTCATCTTTGTATCTCTACCACAAACCACAGTATCTAGCACATAGTAGATGATTAATAAATGACAAATAAACAAGGGATTATTTTTGACTGATTGGTTATTTTATTTTTATTTATTTATTTTTTTTTAATTTATTTATTTTGAGATGGAGTCTCACTCTGTTGCCCAGGCTGGAGTGCGGTGGCATGATCTCAGTTCACTGCAACCTCCACCTGCTGGGTTCAAGGGATTCTTCTGCCTCAGCCTCCCAAGTAGCTGGAATTACAGGCATGCGCCACCACACCCAGCTAATTTTTTTTTTTTTTTTTTGAGATGGAGTCTCACTCTGTCGCCCAGGCTGGAGTGCAGTGGTGCGATCTCGGCTCACTGCAAGCTCCGCCTCCCGGGTTCACGCCATTCTCCTGCCTCAGCCTCCCGAGTAGCTGGGACTACAGGCGCCTGCCACCACGCCCGGCTATTTTTTTTTTGTATTTTCAGTAGAGATGGGGTTTCACCATGTTACCCAGGATGGTCTCGATCTCCTGACCTCGTGATCTGCCTGCCTCAGCCTTCTAAAGCGCTGGGATTACAGGCGTGACTCACCGCGTCCAGCCTAATTTTTTGTATTTAGTAGAGACAGGGTTCCACCATGTTGGTCAGGCTGGTCTCAAACTCCTGACCTCAGGTGATCCACATGCCTCAACCTCCCAAAGTGTTGGGATTACAGGCGTGAGCCACTGCACCTGGCCTGATTGGTTATTTTAGGTGGTAGAGTAATAATTGCTCTTTCAGGGACAGTTTTGTAGTCATCTTACATTAGGTTTCTCAAACAAATTTTAGCCAAGAAGAAACAACATGTTACCTGAACATATGTGGAAACTTAACCTCTTCCTTTCTGTGCCCCTGCTGTCAATAAGAGAAAATCAGCCAAATCTTTGATAACAAATGTCTGTTGTAAAGACACATAGTAGAGATTCAATTAAATTTGTTAAATGAATATGTTGGAAACAAGGGCAACTTATCAAATAAAGGTAGAGCCATTTTACAGACTTTTTTCCTTTTCTCCAGAAAAAAAAGGAATGTATGACTTAGAACAATTCAGATAATATCATTGATAACATGGAGAAGGTATGCACATGGAAGGAAAAAAATTTTCTGTTAAATATGAACAAGACTTGGCACCAAGTGAGGAAGATGCCATGTCAGTTTCCATGATGGAAGCCAAATATATTAATAAGGGTAATCACAAAGGCAGTTTTTGTCCTAATTACAGTTAACCCTTGAACAACATGAGGGTTGGGGCAGTGACACCTCTTGCAGTCAAAAATCCATGTATAACTTAAAAAAATGTGAATACACAGTAGATGTATATATTTTTGGGGTACATGAGATATTTTGATACTAACATACAATGCATAATAATTCACGTCAGGGCAAATAGAATATCCATCACCTCTAGCATTTATTCTTTGTGTTAAAAACAATCCAATTATATCCAATTATACTCTTTCAGTTATCTTAAGATGTAAAATAAATTACTGTTGACTAGTCATCCATTGTGCTATCAAATACTATATCTTATTCATTCTATTTAACTGATTTTGTACTCATTAACCATCTCCACTTCCACCCCACCCCCAGTACCCTTCAGAGCTTTTGGTAACCATCATTCTACTCTCTATCTACATGAGTTCTGTTGTTTTAATTTTTAGCTCTGACAGATGAGTGAGAAAATATGATAATTGTCTTTCTGTGTCTCACTTATTTCACTTAACATAATGACCTCCAATTTCATCCATGTTGTTGCAAATGACAGGATCACATTCTCTTTTATGGCTAAATATTACTTCATTCTGTAGATGTACCAGATGTGCCAAATTTTCTTTTCTTTCTTTTTTTTCTTTCTTTTTTCGAGATGGAGTCTCACTGTGTTGCCCATGCTGGAGTGCAGTAGCACAGTCTCGGCTCACTGCAACCTCTGCCTCCCGGGTTCAAGTGATTATCCTGCCTCAGCCTCCCGAGTAGCTTGGATTACAGGTGTCTGTCACCATGCCCAGTGAATTTTTGTGTTTTTAGTAGAGATGGGGTTTCACCATGTTGGCAAGGCTGGTCTCAAACTCCTGACCTCAAGTGATCCACCTTCCTGCCTCCCAAAGTGCTGGGATTACAGGTGTGAGGCACCGTGCCCAGCCCACATTTTCTTTATATGTTTATTTGTTGACAGAAACTTAGGTTGCTTCCAAATCTTGGCTATTGTGAATAGTGCTGCAATAAACGTGGGAATGCAGATATCTCTTTGATATATTGATTTCCTTTCTTTTGGGTATACCTAACAATGGGATTGCTGGATCATATGGTAGCTTTATTTTTAGTGTTTTGAGGAACTGCCAAACTCTTCTCCTTAGTGCTTGTACTAATTTACATTCCCGCTAACAGTGTTCAAGGGCTCCCTTTTGTCCACATCCTCGTCAGCATTCATTATTATCTTGTTTTGGATATAAGTCATTTTAACTGGAATTAGATGATATGTAATTGTAGATTTGGGTGGGGACACAGAGACAAATCATATCATTGCCCATTCAATATGGTACTAACTGTGGGTCTGTCATATACAGCTCTTATCGTGTTGAGGTATACTCCATCTATACCCAGTATTTTGAGTATTTTTATCATGAAGAAATGTTGAATTTTATCAAATGCTTTTTCAGCATCAATTGAAATGCTTGTATGGTTTTATCCTTCATTCTGTTGATATGATGTATCTCATTAATTGATTAGCTTTTGCTGAAACATCCTTGCATCCTTTGGGTAAATCCCACTTGGTCATGACGTATGATCTTCTTAATGTGTTGTTGAATTTGTTTTGCTGTATTTTGTTGAGAATTTTGCATCAATGTTTATTAGGGATATTGGCCTGTACTTTTCTTTTTTCTATTCTTTTTCTTTTTCTTTTTTTTTTTTTTTTTTGATATGTCTTTGACTTGTTTTGTTATCAGGGTAATACTGGCCTCATAGAATGAGTTTGGAAGTATTCTCTCCTCCTCTATTTTTCAGAATAGTTTGAGTAGGATTAATATTATTTCCTCTTAAATGTTACTTTTCTGTTCACATGTTGGATTTCTTTATGATTTAATCTTGGTAGGTTGTATGTGTCTAGAAATGTCTCATTTTCTTCTAGATTTTTTAATTTATTAGCATATAGTTGCTCATAGTGGCCCCAATGTTCCTTTAAATTTCTGCAGTATCAGTTGTAATGTCTTCTTTTTAAATTCTGATTTTATACATTTGGTTCACCTCTCTTTTTTTCTTAGTCTGATTAAAGGTTTGTTTACACCGTTTTTACTTTCAAAAAGCCAGCTTTTCATTTCATTGGTCTTTTGTATTATTTTTTTATTTCAGTTTTATTTCTGCTGTGATCTTTATTATTTCTTTTCTTCTAGTAATTTTGGGCTTGGTTTGCTCTTGCTTTTCTAGTTCCTTAATATGCTACATTAGGCTGTTTATTTGAAGTTTTTCAACTTTTTAATGCAGGAACTTATTACTATAAACTTTCCTCTTAGTGCTACTTTCACTGTATCCCATAGGTTTTGGTATGTTATGTTTCCATTTTCATTTGTCTCAAGAAATTTTCATATTTTCTTCTTAATATCTTCATTGACCCACTTGTCACTCAGGAGCATACTGTTTAATTTCTTTGTGTTTGTACAGTTTTCAAAATTCCTCATGTTATTTATTTCTTGTTCTATTCCCTTATAGTCAGATAAGATGCTTGATATTATTTCAATGTTTTTCAATGTTTTAAGACTTGTTTTGTGATCTAACATATGTTCTATCCTTGAGAATGATCCATGTGCTAAGGAAAAATAATGCATATTCTGCAGCCATTGGATGAAATTTTCTGTATATAGCAGATCCATTTGTTCTGTAGTGCAGATTAAGTTCAATGTTTCTTTAGACAGATCTTCCAGAAAGAAAATCAACAATGATGAAAGTGCCTTGTTGACATCTCCAGCTATTAATATTATTGCATTGGGACCTATCTCTCTCTTCAGCTCTAATATTTGCTTTATATATCTGAGTGCTCCAGTGTTGGGTGCATATATATTTATACTTGTTATATCCTCTTGCTGAATTAGCCCCTTTATCATTGTATAGTGACCTGTCTCTTCTTACAGTTTTTGTCTTGAAATCTATTTTGTCTGATACAAGGATAGATACTGCTGCTCTTTTTGGTTTTCATTGGCATGGAATATCTTTTTCCATCCCTTTATTTTCAGTCTGTGTCTTTATGTATGTCTCTTGTAGGCAGCCAATAATTGTGTCTTGTTTTTTAATTCATACAGCCACTCTATATCTTTTGATTGGAGAGTTTAGTCTATTTACAATCAATGTTGTTATTGATAGGTAAGGACTTACTCCTGCTATTTTGTTATTTGTTTTCTGGGGTTTTTTGTAGTCTTCTCTTCCTTCTTTCCTTCCTTCCTGTCTTCCTTTTAGTGAAGGTGGTTTTCTTTGGCAGCGTGATTTAATTTCTTGCTTTTTATTTTTGTGTATCCACTGTATATTTTTTTATTTGAGGCTACCATAAGACTTGCAAATACAATCTAATAGCTGAATATTTTAAGCTGATAAAAACTTAATGCTGTTTGCATAAACAAACAAACAAACAGAAAAGTTCTATAAACTCTACACCTTTTTTGTCCTTGCTTTTTAACTTTCTGTTGTTTCTATTTCTATCTTATTGTACTATCTATATCTTGAAAAGTTGTTGCAGTTATTATTTTCGATTGTCTCATCTCTTTGTCTTGCTATTTAAGGTAAGAGTAGTTTACACACTACACTCATAGTATTACAATATTCTGTGTGTCTTTGTACTTACTATTACCAGTGAGTTTTGTATCTTCAGGTGGTTACTTATTGCATATTAACATCATTATCTTTCTGACTGAAGAACTCCCTTTAGTATTTCTTGTAGGACAGATCTAGTATTAATAAAATCTCTCAGCTTTTGTTTTTCTGGGAAAGTATTTTACCTTCGTGTTTGAAGTATAGTTTCACCAGATATACTATTCTAGGGTAAAAGTATTTTTTTTCCTTCAGCACTTTAAATACATCATGCCACTCTCGCCTAGCCTGTAAGGTTTCCACTCAGAAGTCTGCTGCCAGATGCATTGAAGCTCCATTGTATGTTATTTGTGTCTTTTCTCTTGCTACTTTTAGGATCCTTTCTTTATATTTAACTTTTGGTAGTTTGATTATTAAATGTGTTGAGGTAGTTTTCTTTGGGTTAGATCTCCTTGGTGTTCTATAACCTTCTTGTACTTGAATATTGATATCTTTCTCTAGGTTTGGGAAGTTGTCTGTTATCCCTTTGAATAAACTTCGTAGCCCTATTTTGTTCTCTACCCCCTTTTCAAGGCCAATAACTCTTAGATTTGATCTTTTGAGGTTATTTTCTAGATCTTGGAGGCATGCTTTATTGTTTTTTATTCTTTTTCCGTTTGTCTCCTCTGACTGTATTTTCAATAGCCTCTCCTCAAGCTCACTAATTATTTCTTCTGTGTGATAAATTCTGCTATTAAAAGAATGCATCAAAATTCAAGCAAGCCCCAGAATTTTTCTATTATTTTAATCTCTTTGTTAAGTTCATTTGATAAAATTCTGAATTCCTTCTCTGTGTTATTGTGAATTTCTCTGAGTTTCCTCAAAACAGCTATTTTGAATTCTCTGTCTGAAAGATCACTTGTCTCTGTTTCTCAGGATTGGTCCCTAGTGCCTTATTTATTTAGTTCATTTTGTGAGGTCATATTTTCCTGGATGATCTGAATGCTTGTGCTCACATAATGACTTCACTCTCCTTCCTCCAAGCACACAGATTATCTTTCTGTGCCAAGTGCTCACCTCAGGGGATGGGGTAGGGGTGGTGTAGGTGATTCAAGACTGTCTTCTATCCTTGTCAATGCTTATTTCCTTAATATGTTGTTTGTCAGTGTCTGCAAATTGATGAGTTAGGTATTTATTTTAGTCTGGGTTTCTTTTGTACTCATTCTTCTTGAGAAGGCTTTCCAGGTATTTGAAGACTTGGATGTTGTAATCTAAGCCATACCTGCATTAGGTGGCACCCCAAGCCCAGTAATGCTTTGGTTCTTGAAGACTCACAGAGATACCACCTTGGTGGTCTTGGATAAGATCCAGAAAAATTATTTGAATTACCAGGTAGAAACAGATGCCTTGTTTTCTTCCCTTACTTTCTCCCAAACAGAGACTCCTTCTCTGTGCTGAGCCACCTGGAGGTGGGGATGGGGTGATACAAGCATCCCTGTGGCCACCCACAGTGACTGCACTGGATCAGACCTAAAGCCAGCACAGCACTGATTCTTGCCCAAGGCTCACTGTAACCACTCCCTGGCTACCACCTGTATTCACTCAAAGCACCAGGGCTCTACAATCACCAGGTGGTGAAGCTATCTAGGACTTTTTTCTTCCCTACATGGTGATAAGTTACCCCAGGACTCAGGCAGGTCCAGAGATGCTATTTGGGAACCAAGGAGTGGAGTCAAAAACCTTAGAAATATACCTCGTGTTCTATTTTACTGCATCAGAGCTGGCACTCAAACCATGAGATGCAATCCTTCCCACTTTTCTCTCCCCCTTCCACAGGCAGAAAAGTCTCACCCATGGCCACCAATACCACAAGCCTATGGGTAGTACTGCCAGGCTGGCACAAATGTTCTTTCCATATTATGATGTTAAAACCAGGTACTGTGGCCTCTTATCTGATTTTTGGTTGTTACGAAGATGCTTTTTTTGTGTGTGTTGATGGTTGTTCAGTTAGATGTTCCTTGGGTTAGGGATGATTGCTGTAGGCTTCTTTTCAGCCATTTTGCTTCAACTCTTCCAATGTATAACTTGGCTACTCAAAATGTAACCACTAATATCTGGAAACCTTGTTAACAACATAGTTGATTAACACATATTTTGTACATTATGTGTGTTACATTCTGTCTTCTTACAATAAAGTTAAAGAAAATATCATTCAAAAATCATAAGGAAAAGAAATATATTTATTTATCATTAAATGGAAATGGATCATCATAAACGTCTTCATCCTTGTCTTCATGTTGAGTAGGCTGAGGAGGAGGAAAAGGGAAGGGCTGGTCTTGCCATCTTAGGGGTTGCAGAATTGAAGGATGTGAAGGTGGAAGGGGAGGCAGGAGAAGCAGGAACACTCAGTGTAACTTTTATTGAAAAAAAATCTCCTCCTCCTCAGCTTCAAATCTTAAAAATGCAAGGGCAGGATCAAGATCGGTTCCCTTTGACTCAGAGTGAATGCAAATCTGTGGAGCTTCTAAAACCTACAGACCATATGTACTGACACTAAATAATTTTAAACTGATTTAGGGGACTGCATGTTATATAGTTTTCTGGAAACAAAGCTATGAGACTGAAACTGACAGCTCAAATATAATAGTTGCATTTGATTGAAAAATAAAACTAAAATTTGCTGTTAATGGAATATCTAGCCCCTGAAGAGTATTGAGTCAAATTTAAATAACTAGAAGGGTCCACCACATCGTAATTGTTTGAGGGTTCATATGACAGACATGGAAATGGTTCTGTTTGGTTTCTATTTTGACATACAATAGATCTTCTTGGATGGGTTTTGCTGACAACCTGTGGTTACAAAAACGTCTCCTGGGTGGTCTGAGACTTCATTCCATGTTTATAGATTATTTATATTAATTTATTTCTATTAGGCTCAAATACTATAATTGGCATCTCATCGTAAAAAGCACTAGTTTCTCCCTCTGGTTAGGCATCCCATCTGATCCCAGACAGAATAAAAAGTGGGCAAGTTGTAGGGGAACATGGAATGAGGACAAAAATGATTTTGAGAAAAATCAAAGATTGGGAATAGAGTCTCAATTGAATAACCTACTGGTAGTCTTGGAAAATAGATAGAACTGATGAGTATGAAGAACATTGCAAAACGTACAAAATATTTTCAGTGTTCAAATACCTAAAAGCTCTCACTTTTATATAAAATGCTGGCAGTGGGGTTGTGTTGCCTATGCTATTTTAAGAAATGGGTTCTAACTACACTTTGTTTTAATGTAATTGTTGTTTTGCAAGTTCCGCTGAGTAAGACCTACTGCATAGAAGATGTCACTTTAGGCAGGAGTTACATTAAATTTGGTAACCAAGACAGAATACCTAGCTGTTGGGTGATGATTCTTTTTAGGTTTATCTGTATGTTTATCTCTCTCCCTTCCCCTACCCCATTCCTTACTTCCCAACTCTGGAGGGGGATTCTTGAAGTGGTTTTCAGATCTGTCTTGGTTTAACACAGTGGGTAAAAGGGAGGTTGGAATAAGCTGAACACTGCAAGTTACTGGTGGTGGGAGACGGGCTATAGCTGAAGGGAGGTGTGATGACTCTGAATGGGAAGCAGGCTGAACCTCATTGGCTCAGAAATGAAAGGCTTTCTGTTTCAAAACACTTATACCAACATTTTCCTTTCTGTCCTCACTCCCAGAATTCAATCTCTTCCTTGCTTCTCCCTAATACTTCAGGGAGACAATTGCCTTTGTTCTGGTCCCAGAACATATCTTCATCAGTTTCCCTAGTCATCCTGCCTACTTACCACATCTCACCCTTGTTGCCTATTAATTTTAACCACTTTATATCCAAAATTATACTTGATTTACTGAGTAACAGTTCCTTGAAACAAAACCTACTACAGTAGTACCAACTGTGATAGTGACTAAACTCAAATGTGTCCTAAGAGCAGCTACTGACATTTTGACTGACAAATATGATTGTTATAAGGGATGGAGAAGTGTATTTTGTCAGTTACATATATGCCTGGACTTACTAGCCCCATGAAAATGTGTTTTTGATAGGTGTCTCAGAGTTGTGAAATTCAAGTACCAACTTGAATTTAAAAAATACCAATGTGGCTTGTGGGAACTCTCAGTAAGTCTGTACACTCAAATAATCAATGCTTTGATGGTGGGTAGTCTTCCCTTTGTTATCATGCTCCCCTTTCTCCGTCGACACATATTTTAAGTGACATTTATTAAATATTATTCTTCATCATGAAGGAGGCAAATTAGGGCAGAGTATAACAAATAGCATCAGGAATATTACAGTGAACTTTGCTTTAAAGCTAAGACAGACAAGGCAATAGAGTTCTAAAAGGAATGCCAAAACTCTCCCTTCCCAGAATCTTCTTTGAAATGTTATCTGAGTTAATGCCCCATCTCTTTAAATATGGCCTGGAAGTGGTGTCAGGAGGGTGCTTTAAGAATTTTAGACTTCGGTTAAGCTGGGCAGATTGGTTGGAACTGGTGAATTGGAAAGGAATACCAATTTGGCAAGTTTATGTTTCAGCATGCCACACAAAGTTAAAAACTGCACTTTGTTTTAATTTAATTGTTGTTTTGCAAGTTCCGCTGAGTAAGACCTACTGCATAGAAGATGTTACCATGTAGTCATCAGTCTCTAGGCTGGTTGTTCTTAACTGAGGGTATTTAGGAAACTTTAAAACTCAGGTAAAATACCTGCAGAGACACACACACGCGCACACACACATACACACGTGTGCGCGCACATACACACATGCACATGAATACACATACAGAGACCCTTTCCATCTCCTTTCCACCTATGCTGGAGGCTTGGATTCAGTAGATCTGAAGTGGAGCCTGAGCATCTGCATTTTAAATGCTCCATAGTACATTCCAATGTACAGCCAAGACTGAAAAACCCCTGGCTCAGACACTTCAATTTGGTCTGGAGTTTGATGTCCTGTAGGTGCTTTATTGTGCAACAAACTTATTTAACAAGTACTATTTGTCAGGCACTGTTCCAAGCATTCTATAATAGCTACTCATTTAATTCTCATACCAACCCTATGAGGTAGGTATTATCATCATCCCTATTTTGCAGATCAAGCGAAAGAGAGATACAGATAATCTTCTATCTTAAGTAAAAAGACATAAAAACTATGTCCCATTGAAGCATACTATTAAGTTAATTGTATATTAAAGTGCTGTGAACATTGTGAAATAAGTACATATGATTAACTGAGGGTATTTAGGAAACTTTAAAACTCAGGCAAAATACCTGCAGAGACACACACGCGTGCACACACACGCGCGCATGCATGCACACACACACATACACGCATGCACATGAATACACATACAGAGACCCTTTCCATCTCCTTTCCACCTACGCTGGAGGCTTGTGGCATTAACCAGAGTGAAAGAAGACACCTTGGTCTGGTTTATGAATACTGAGGAATACATGAATCATCTTTACTCTCGATATCTTTGAAAACAAGATGAATAGCTAAAGAGTAGGCTCTCCAGTAAAACTTCACTCTAGAAGATGAGAAAGGAGCAATAAGACACAAGTCAAACATATTATAACATGTGAATGTTTATTAATATCATTAAAATATATGATTGGGTCTTCCTTTTTTGCCTTTTTATAAATTAAGAAAAACCCTGGTCTACTTGATGACCTTAAAATGGACTCCAGGAATAATAATGATATGATCTATTACTAGCAAATTCAGCAACCAAAACTTCAGAAAACTAGTCCATAAGTTCAGTATTCTGTGTTTATTAATCCATAGTGATGTGTCAACCTTTACAACACAGTCTTTTATTAGTAAAGTTAAATCAGACAGAACTATAGATACAAAAACACCTAGGTTCCAGTCTCAGCCTTGAGACTAATGTGTTCTACGTTCTTTCCCCTCTCAAAGCCTTAGTTTCTTCATCTGTAAAATGGATGCGTTTGCCCTAGATAATCTCTCCAAGGTCTCTACCAGTATAAAAAGTCTATAAATATGTTAAGAACTATTGTGACAGGAAGCTCATGGCTTTTGTTTCTTCGATGTAATAATTTGTTCCTGCCTATCTCCTGGGATCTCTGAGTGAGCATTGGTTAGAAAGAATGTTGAGCTCTCTGGTGGACAGCTGACTTCTCTTACCCAGCAGAAATGAATCTGTCAACTTTCATTAGGCATTGTCGGGTAGCATCATGCTCAGTGATAGATTGTACCAGAAGTAGTGTTAGGTTGACATCCAATTATACCAAGGTTCTAAAAAGGTAGTCTATTTCACTCTTCTTAAAATTCCTGAGAATTTGGGATGCTGCAAAACACGTAAAATGGTTGATAGGAAGCAAAAAATTGTTTGCCATGCATTTTAATACTTTCATTTTGAGGCTATTGAAGCTGTATATGGTCGTATTATCAATAGAAGTGCCTTAAAAAATTGTCAAGGTTAGAAGAACAGGTTTCTGGAACACCTCACAGTTGTGATCACAACTGAGCCTTGTGCTTTTAGCCAAATTGCTCCCTGGCCTGTTCCCCAAGATGGCACAATGTCAGGAGAGCTTCCTCCTAAGGAAAATGGCCCAAGAAAGAAAAAAGATAGGGGTGGTGGTTAGGAAGTGAAGGAGGCTTCTCCTGATTTCCTTGACCTTTTAAACAGCCATACCATCTGGAAACAGAGTGGGCAGCACATCACACAGAGTGGGCAACCACAGAGTGGGCAGTGGCAAATCAGAGTCATCTGGACTACATGAATAATTATGTGGACATTTAAATTCCCACCCAATAAAATCCACTTTACATTTATAATAATTTTAAAATATTAAGTGAATAAAAATATTAATTTTTCCAAACTCTGCAAGCCTTCATTTGGATTTGGCTGTATAAATCTGGCCTGAAGATAATTTCTTTCTATTTACCAACATAGAAAGGAATTCAAATTATGTTGTTAAATGAAACAAGCAAGTTTTATAACACAGTTTTAGTTTGATTCTACGAAAACAATGTAGTATATTTTAGAAAAAGAAATGGGAACATTATGTTGTATGGAGCAAGGGCTGGGAATTCTAGAAATTCTAGATAACTTTATCTTTGTTATATATTTCTATATTTCATTTTTATACAACAAAAACATTTTAGCTTTACATCAGATTAAAACAAAATAAAGTCTTGTTTTAGAAAAAAAAGTAAGGGATATTTGAGGGCTTTGGGGGTAATAATTATTTTCTTCCAACAGGAGTTGAATTATCAGAACCTTTTCATTATCAACTTTTGTCCTTAAACTAAAAGTTAAAATCTATTATTCTCATTGGGATTGATTTTCTGTTTCTTGCTTTACCTCAACAACCCTTTTGGCGAAGATCCATTGAATAATTCAAGAATTCTTTCTAAGGTATAAAACAAGTCAAGATGGCTAGCCCCAGCTCCTTGGTCCCTTGCCTGGGTGAGAAAGATCTCAGCACAGCTTCTTTTGCTGGGCATAGAATGGCTTTTGATTTTCTTGATGTGGCTGTTACCTGATATTTCAAGAGTTGCTCTGAATATGCCTTGGTAATCTCTTGGTCTAGGCAGGCCAGGCTGAAGAGACTATTTTGCTCATTGTAGAATAGTATCTCATAAGGCTCCTTATTATCTGGGCAAAACCAAAAATCTGCTACTCTGCCTCTGGCCCCAGCAGAGCCTTTTCTAATTAATACTTTATTTGGCAGCAGATGTTTTCTGTGTGCCATACACTGAGGCAACAGCTAAGCAGAATCCCTTAAGTGAAGATATTCCACTAGGAAGGGCACCTTCCCCCAACCCTTCAGGCTTCTCTAGTTTGCTCAGGAAGGTCTTCCTTATTGTCATATCTTAAGGCAGTCTATTTTTCTTTTCATAATTGGCTTACTCTCTAAATAGTTACTGTGTTTTCTCAAATTTCTAAAGCCATAAAGAGTATGTTCACCTTTTATAATACCAGCACTTTGGGAGGCTGAGGCAGGTGGATCACTTGAGGTTAGGGGTTCAAGACCAGCCTGACCAACATGGTGAATCCCCGTCTCTACTAAAAACACAAAAATTAGTCAGGCATGGTGGTGAGTGCCTGTAATCCCAGCTACTCGGGAGGCTGAGGCAGGAGAATTGCTTGAACCCAGGAGGTGAAGGTTGCAATGAGCCGAGATTGTGCCACTGCACTCCAGCCTGGGCAACAGAGTAAGACTCTGTCTCAAAAAATAAAAATAAAAAAATATATATATATATTTATGTGTGTGTGTGTGTGTGTGTGTGTTCACCTTTTAAACAATATAAAAGTATACAGAACAAAACATGAAAATCCCCCTTTGTTTCCTTCCCCATCTTCAATGGTCTGATATACATCTTTCCAGTTCCCTTTCTATGCATTTACATACACATGTATACATAAATATATATGATGTTTCTTTGCATCCACTAAAATTTTCTGCAAGGTTGAAAGTGTTCTAAATCTGTGCTATGCAATATGGTAGCTACATGGGACAGCTGAGCACTTGAAATGTGACTAGTGTCACTGAGGGACTAAATTTTTAATTTTAAGTAATTCAAATTTGTTTAAATTTAAGTTTTTAATTGGCAACCCAATGGGAAAGAAGAAATGAAATTTTCTCTGTAGACAACAAGATCATATACATAGAAAACCCCTAAAGACTCCATGAAAAACTGTTAAAATGAAAATGGTAAAAGTGCAGGATACAAAATCAACACAGAAAAATCAGTAGCATTTGTCTATACAAACAATAAACTATCTGAAAAAGATAAAGAAAATAATCCCATTTAAAATAAAATAGAAAAAATACTTATGAATAAATTTAACCAAAGAAGTAAAATATCTTTATACCACAAACTATCAAAATTGAAATAAAAAAATGAAAAATACAAATACATGGGAGGATATGTTCATGGAGTTGAAAAATTAATATTGTCAAAATAGCCATAGTACCCAAAGAAATCCACAGATTCAACGCAATTCCTATCAAAATTCCAAGGCCATTTTTCACAGAAATATACAAAAAAAAATCCTAAAATTCATATGAAATCACAAAAGATCCCAAAGAGCCAAAACAATCTTGAGCAAAAAGAACAAAACCAGAAGCATCATTCTATCTGATCTGAAAATTTACCACACAGCTATAGTAACCAAAATAGCATGGTAGCAGCATAAGAACACTTATACAGACCAATGGAACAGATTAGAGAGCCAAAAAATAAATTAATATATTTATGGCCAACTGATGTTTGACACAGGTGCTAGTAATATACAATGGGGAAAGGACTAGTCTCTTCCATACGTGGTGTTAGGAAAACTGGATATCCACATGCAGAAGAGTGAAATTAGACTCTCACATCATATATGAAAATCAACTCAAAATGTATCAAAGACTTAAATATAAGACCTAAAATTGTAAAGATACTGGAAGAAAACACAGGGGAAAAGCTTCTTGACATTGGTCTGAGCAAAGATTGTTTTGGAGATGACTTCAAAAACACAGGCAACTGATATAGTTTGGATCTGTGTCCCCATCCAAATCTCATCTTGAATTGTAGTTCCCATTATGCCCATATGTCAAGGGAGGGACTGGGTGGGAGGTGATTGGATCACAGGGGAGTTTCCCCTAAGCTGTTCTCATAAAAATGAGGGAGTTCTCATGAGATCTGATGGTTTTATAAGTGACAGTTCCTCCTACACACACTCTTTTCGCCTGCTGCCATGTAATGCATGCCTGCTTCCCTTTCTGCCATGATTGTAAGTTTCCTGAGGCCTTCCCATCCGCAGAACCATTAGTCAATTAAACCTCTTTCCTTTATAAACTACCCAGTCTTGGGTACTATCTTTATAACAATGTGACATCAGGCTAAAATAGGAAATTAGTACCACAAAGAATGGGGTACTGCTATAAAGATACCAAAAAATGTGGAAGCGACTTTGGAACTGGGTGACAGGCAGAGTTGGAACAGTTTGGAGGGCTCAGAAGAAGACAGGAAGATGTGGGAAAGTTTGCAACTTTCTAGAGATTTGCTGAATGGTTTTGTCCAAAATTTTGATAGTGATGTGGACAATGAAATCCAGGCTGAGGTGGTCTCAGACGGAAATGAGGAACTTATTGGGAATTGGAGAAAAGATCACTCTTATTCTTTTTTTTTTAAATTATTACTATACTTTAAGTTCTGTGGTATATGTAGAGGACGTGCAGTATTGTTACATAGGTATACACGTGGCATGGTGCTTTGCTGCACCCATCAACCAGTCATCTACATTAGGAATTTTTCCTAATGCTATCCCTCCCCTAGCTCCTCACTCCCCAACAGGCCCTGGTGTGTGATGTTCCCATCTCTGAACACATGGAACAATGAATCCATGTGTTCTCATTGTTCAGCTCCTACTTACGAGTGAGAACATGTGATGTTTGGTTTTCTGTTCTTGTTGTTTGCTGAGAATGATGGTTTCCAGCTTCATCCATGTCCCTGCAAAGGTGATGAACTCATCCTTTTTTATGGCTGCATAGTATTCCATGGTGTATATGTGCCACATTTTCTTTTTTTTTCTTTTTTTTATTATTATGCTTTAAGTTTTAGGATATATGTGCACAATATTCAGGTTTGTTACATATGTATACATGTGCCATGTTGGTGTGCTGTACCCATTAACTCATCATTTAGCATTAGGTATATCTCCTAATGCTATCCCTCCCCCCTCCCCCCACCCCACAACAGGCCCCAGTGTGTGATGTTCCCCTTCCTGTGTCCATGTGTTCTCATTGTTCAATTCCCGCCTATGAGTGAGAACATGCGGTGTTTGGTTTTTTGTCCTTGCGATAGTTTGCTGAGAATGATGGTTTCCAGCTTCATCCGTGTCCCTACAAAGGACATGAACTCATCATTTTTTATGGCTGCATAGTATTCCACGGTGTATATGTGCCACATTTTCTAAATCCAGTCTATCATTGTTGGACATTTGGGTTGGTTCCAGGTCTGTGCTATTGTGAACAGTGCCGCAATAAACATATGTGTGCATGTGTCTTTATAGCAGCATGATTTATAATCCTTTGGGTATATACCCTGTAATGGGCTGGCTGTGTCAAATGGTATTTCTAGTTCTAGATCCCTGAGGAATCACCACACCGACTTCCACAATGGTTGAACTAGTTTACAGTCCCACCAACAGTGTAAAAGTGTTCCTATTTTTCCACATCCTCTCCAGCACCTGTTGTTTCCTGACATTTTAATGATCACCATTCCAACTGGTGTGAGATGGTATCTCATTGTGGTTTTGATTTGCATTGATGGCCAGTGATGATGAGCATTTTTTCATGTGTTTTTTTGGCTGCATAAATGTCTTCTTTTGAGAAGTGTCTGTTCATATCCTTTGCCCACTTTTTGATGGGGTTGTTTGTTTTTTTCTTGTAAATTTGTTGGAGTTCATTGTAGATTCTGGATATTAGCCCTTTGTCCAATGAGTAGGTTGCAAAAATTCTCTCCCATTCTGTAGGTTGCCTGTTCACTCTGATGGTGGTTTCTTTTGCTGTGCAGAAGCTCTTTAGTTTAATTAGATCCCATTTGTCAATTTTGGCTTTTGTTGCCATTGCTTTTGGTGTTTTAGACATGAAGTCCTTGCCCATGCCTATGTCCTGAATGGTATTGCCCAGGTTTTCTTCTAGGGTTTTTATGGTTTTAGGTCTAACATTTAAGTCTTCAATCCATCTTGAATTAATTTTTGTATAAGGTGTAAGGAAGGGATCCAGTTTCAGCTTTCTACTCATGGCTAGCCCGTTTTCCCAGCACCATTTATTAAATAGGGGATCCTTTCCCCATTTCTTGTTTTTGTCAGGTTTGTCAAAGATCAGATGGTTGTAGATATGCGGCATTATTTCTGAGGGCTCTGTTCTGTTCCATTGGTCTATATCTCTGTTTTGGTACCAGTACCATGCTGTTTTGGTTAGTGTAGCTTGCAGTATAGTTTGAAGTCAGGTAGCGTGATACCTCCGGCTTTGTTCTTTTGGCTTAGGATTGACTTGGCAATGCTGGCTCTTTTTTGGTTCCATATGAACTTTAAAGTAGTTTTTTCCAATTCTGTGAAGAAAGTCATTGGTAGCTTGATGGGGATGGCATTGAATCTGTAAATTACCTTGGGCAGTATGGCCATTTTCACGATATTGATTCTTCCTACCCATGAGCATGGAATGTTCTTCCATTTGTTTGTATCCTCTTTTATTTCCTTGAGCAGTGGTTTGTAGTTCTCCTTGAAGAGGTTCTTCACATCCCTTGTAAGTTGGATTCCTAGGTATTTTATTCTCTTTGAAGCAATTGTGAGTGGGAGTTCACTCATGATTTGGCTCTCTGTTTGTCTGTTATTGGTGTATAAGAATGCTTGTGATTTTTGCACATTGATTTTGTAACCTGAGACTTTGCTGAAGTTGCTTATCAGCTTGAGGAGATTTTGGGCTGAGACGATGGGGTTTTCTAGATATACAATCATGTCATCTGCAAACAGGGACAATTTGACTTCCTCTTTTCCTAAATGAATGCCCTTTATTTCCTTCTCCTGCCTGATTGCCCTGGCCAGACCTTCCAACACTATGTTGAATAGGAGTGGTGAGAGAGGGCATCCCTGTCTTGTGCCAGTTTTCAAAGGGAATGCTTCCAGTTTTTGCCCATTCAGTATGATATTGGCTGTGGGTTTGTCATAGATAGCTCTTATTATTTTGAGATATGTTCCATCAATACCTAATTTCTGGAGAGTTTTTAGCATGAAGGGTTGTTGAATTTTGTCAAAGGCCTTTTCTGCATCTATTGAGATAATCATGTGGTTTTTGTCTTTGGTTCTGTTTATATGCTGGATTATGTTTATTGTTTTGCATATGTTGAACCAGCCTTGCATCCCAGGGATGAAGCCCACTTGATCATGGTGGATAAGCTTTTTGATGTGCTGCTGGATTCGGTTTGCCAGTATTTTATTGAGGATTTTTGCATCAATGTTCATCAAGGATATTGGTCTCAAATTCTCTTTTTTAGTTGTGTCTCTGCCAGGCTTTGGTATCAGGATGATGCTGGCCTCATAAAATGAGTTAGGGAGGATTCCCTCTTTTTCTATTGATTGGAATAGTTTCAGAAGGAATGGTACCAGCTCCTCCTTGTACCTCTGGTGGAATTCAGCTGTGAATCCATCTGGTCCTGGACTTTTTTTGGTTGGTAAGCTATTAATTATTGCCTCAATTTCAGAGCCTGTTATTGGTCTATTCAGAGATTCAACTTCATCCTGGTTTAGTCTTGGGAGAGTGTATGTGTCGAGGAATTTATCCATTTCTTGTAGATTTTCTAGTTTATTTGTGTAGAGGTGTTTATGGTATTCTCTGATGGTAGTTTGTATTTCTGTGGAATCGATGGTGATATCCCGTTTGTCATTTTTCATCGTGTCTATTTGATTCTTCTCTCTTTTCTTCTTTACTAGTCTTGCTAGCGGTCAATCAATTTTGTTGATCTTTTCAAAAAACCAGCTCCTGGATTCATTGATTTTTTGAAGGGTTTTTTGTGTCTCTATTTCCTTCAGTTCTGCTCTGATTTTAGTTATTTCTTGCCTTCTGCTAGCTTTTGAATGTGTTTGCTCTTGCTTCTCTAGTTCTTTTAATTGTGATGTTAGGGTGTCAGTTTTAGATCTTTCCTCCTTTCTCTTGTGGGCATTTAGTGCTATAAATTTCCCTCTACACACTGCTTTGAATGTGTCCCAGAGATTCTGGTATGTTGTGTCTTTGTTCTCGTTGGTTTCAAAGAACATCTTTATTTCTGCCTTCATTTCGTTATGTAGCCAGTAGTCATTCAGGAGCAGGTTGTTCAGTTTCCATGTAATTGAGTGGTTTTGAGTGAGTTTCTTAATCCTGAGTTCTAGTTTGATTGCACTGTGGTCTGAGAGACAGTTTGTTATAATTTCTGTTCTTTTACATTTGCTGAGGAGTGTTTTACATCCAACTATGTGTTCAATTTTGGAATAGGTGTGGTGTGGTGCTGAAAATAATGTATATTCTGTTGATTTGGGGTGGAGAGTTCTGTAGATGTCTATTAGGTCCGCTTGGTGCAGAGCTGAGTTCAACTCCTGGATATCCTTGTTAACTTTCTGTCTCGTTGATCTGTCTAATGTTGACAGTGGGGTGTTAAAATCTCCCATTATTATTGTGTGGTGGTCTAAGTCTCTTTGTAGGTCACTAAGGACTTGCTTTATGAATCTGGGTGCTCCAGTATTGGGTGCATATATATTTAGGATAGTTAGTTCTTCTTGTTGAATTGATCCCTTTACCATTATGTAATGGCCTTCTTTGTCTCTTTTGATCTTTGTTGGTTTAAAGTCTGTTTTATCCGAGACTAGGATTGCAACCCCTGCCTTTTTTTGTTTTCCATTTCCTTGGTAGATCTTCCTCCATCCCTTTATTTTGAGTCTATGTGTGTCTCTGCGTGTGAGATGGGGTTCCTGAATACAGCACACTGATGGGTCTTGACTCTTTATCCAATTTGCCAGTCTGTGCCTTTTAATTGGAGCATTTAGCCCATTTACATTTAAGGTTAATATTGTTATGTGTGAATTTGATCCTGTCATTATGATTTTAGCTGGTTATTTTGCTCGTTAGTTGATGCAGTTTCCTCCTAGCCTTGATGGTCTTTACAATTTGTCATGTTTTTGCAGTAGCTGGTACCGGTTGTTCCTTTCCATGTTTATTGCTTCCTTCAGGAGCTCTTTTAGGGCAGGCCTGGTGGTGCCAAAATCTCTCAGCATTTGCTTGTCTGTAAAGTATTTTATTTCTCCTTCACTTATGAAGCTTAGTTTGGCTGGATATGACATTCTGGGTTGAAAATTCTTTTCTTTAAGAATGTTGAATATTGGCCCCCACTCTCTTCTGGCTTGTAGAGTTTCTGCAGAGAGGTCAGCTGTTAGTCTGATGGGCTTCCCTTTGTGGGTAACCAGACCTTTCTCTCTGGCTGCCCTTAACATTTTTTCCTTCATTTCAACTTTGGTGAATCTGACAATTATGTGTCTTGGAGTTGCTCTTCTCGAGGAGTATCTTTGTGGCGTTCTCTGTATTTCCTGAATTTGAATGTTGGCCTGCCTTGCTAGATTGGGGAAATTCTCCTGGATAATATCCTGCAGAGTTTTTTCCAACTTGGTTCCATTCTCTCTGTCACTTTCAGGTACACCAATTAGACATAGATTTGGTCGTTTCACATAGTCCCATATTTCTTGGAGGCGTTGTTCATTTCTTTTTATTCTTTTTTTGTCTAAACTTCTCTTCATGCTTAATTTCATTTGTCTTCCATCACTGATACCCTTTCTTCCAGTTGATTGCATCAGTTACTGAGGCTTGTGCATTCATCGTGTAGTTCTCGTGCCATGGTTTTCAGCTCCATCAGGTCCTTTAAGGACTTCTCTGCATTGGTTATTCCAGTTATGCATTCATCTAATTTTTTTCGAAGTTTTTAACTTCTTTGCCATTGATTTGAACTTCCTCCTTTAGCTTGGAGTAGTTTGATCTTCTGGAGCCTTCCTCTCTCAACTCGTCATTCTCCGTCCAGCTTTGTTCCGTTGCTGGTGAGGAGCTGCGTTCCTTTGGAGGAGGAGAGGCACTCTGATTTTTAGAGTTTCCAGTTTTTCTGCTCTGTTTTTTCCCCATCTTTGTGGCTTTATCTACCTTTGATCTTTGATGATGGTGACGTATAGATGGGTTTTTGGTGTGGATGTCCTTTCTGTTTGTCAGTTTTCCTTCTAACAGTCAGGACCCTTAGCTGCAGGTGTGTTGGAGTTTACTGGAGGTCCACTCCAGACCCTGTTTGCCTGGGTATCAGCAGTGGTGGCTGCAGAACAGCGGGTATTGGTGAACTGCAAATGCTGCTGCCTGATCGTTCTTCTGGAAGTTTTGTCTCAGAGGAGTACCCGGGAGTGTGAGGTGTCAGTCCGCCCCTACTTGGGGGTGCCTCCCAGTTAGGCTACTCGGGGGTCAGGGACCCACTTGAGGAGGCAGTCTGCCCGTTCTCAGATCTCCAGCTGCATGCTGGGAGAACCACTACTCTCTTCAAAGCTGTCAGACAGGGACATTTAAGACTGCAGACGTTATTGCTGTCTTTTGTTTGTCTGTGCCCTGCCCCCAGAGGTGGAGCCTACAGAGGCAGGCAGGCCTCCTTGAGCTGTGGTGGGCTCCACCCAGTTCGAGCTTCCTGGCCGCTTTGTTTACCTACTCAAGCCTGAGCAATGCGGTCGCCCCTCCCCCAGCCTCGCTGCCACCTTGCAGTTTGATCTCAGACTGCTGTGCTAGCAATGAGCGAGGCTCCATGGGCATAGGACCCTCCAAGCCAGGTGCGGGATATAATCTCCTGGTGTGCCGTTTGTTAAGCCCGTTGGGAGGGCGCAGTATTAGGGTGGGAGTGACCCGATTTTCCAGGTGCCCTCTGTCACCCCTTTCTTTGACTAGGAAAGGGAATTCCCTGACCCCTTGTGCTTCCTGGGTGAGGCGATGCCTCGCCCTGCTTCGGCTCACACACAGTGCACTGCATCCACTATCCTGCACCCACTGTCCAGCACTCCCCAGTGAGATGAACGCGGTACCTCAGTTGGAAATGCAGAAATCACCCGTCTTCTGCATCTCTCACGCTGGGAGCTGTAGACTGGAGCTCGCCAAATTTTCTTTATCCAGTCATGCTGGAGAGGTTGTAGAGAAATAGGAATGCTTTTATACTGTTGGTGGGAGTGTAAATTAGTTCAACCATTGTGGAAGACAGTGTGGAGATTCCTCAAGGATCTAGAACTAGAAATACCATTTGACCTAGCAATCCTATTACTGGGAATATACCCAAAGTATTATAAATCATTCTACTATAAAGACAGAGAGACACATATGTTTATGGCTGCACTATTCACAACAGCAAAGACTTGGAACCAACCCAAATGCCCATCAATGATAGACTGGCCACGTTTTCTTTATCCAGTTCTTGTGATGGTTTGCTGAGAATGATGGTTTCCAGCTTCATCCATGTCCCTACAAAGGACATGAACTCATCCTTTTTTATGGCTGCATAGTATTCCATGGTGTATATGTGCCACATTTTCTTAATCCAGTCTATCACTGATGGGCATTTGGGTTGGTTCCAAGTCTTTGCTATTGTGAATAGTGCTGCAATAAACATATGTGTCCATGTGTCTTTATAGTAGAATGATTTATAATACTTTGGGTATATTCCCAGTAATAGGATTGCTGGGTCAAATGGTATTTCTGGTTCTAGATCCTTGAGGAATCACCACACTGTCTTCCACAATGGTTGAACTAATTTACACTCCCACCAACAGTATAAAAGCATTCCTATTTCTCCACATCCTCTCCAGCATCTGTTGTTTCCTGACTTTTTAATAATCACCATTCTAAATGGTATGAGATGGTATCTCATTGTGGTTTGGATTTACATTTCTCTAATGACCAGTGATGATGAGCTTTTATTCAGGTTGGTTGGCCACATAAATATCATCTTTTGAGAAGTGTCTGTTCATATCCTTCACCTGATCTTTGATGGCGTTGTTTTATTTTTCTTTTAAATTTGTTTAACTTTATAGATTCTGGATATTAGCCCTTTGTAGATTCCGGATATTAGCCCTTTGTCAGATGGACAGATTGCAAAAATTTTCTACCATTCTGTAGGTTGCCTGTTCACTCTGATGATAGTTTCTTTTGCTGTGCAGAAGCTCTTTAGTTTAAATATATCCCATTTGTCTATTTTGGCTTTTGTTGCCATTGAATTTGGTCTTTTAGTCATAAAGTCTTTGCCCATGCCAATGTCCTGAATGTTATTGCCTAGGTTTTCTTCTAGGGTATTTATGGTTTTAGGACTTACGTTTAATTCTTTAATCCATATGAGTTAATTTTTGTATAAGGGGTAAGAAAAGAGTCCAATGTTGGTTTTCTGCATATGGCTAGCCAGTTTTCCCAACACCATTTATTAAATAAGGAATCCTTTCCCCATTGCTTGTTTTTGTCAGGTTTGTCAAAGATCAGATGGTTGCAGATATGTGGTGTTATTTCTGAGGCCTCTGTTCTGTTCATTGGTCTATATACCTGTTTTGGTACCAGTACCATGCTGTTTTGGTTACTGTAGCCTTGTAGTATAGTTTGAAGTCAGGTAGTGTGATGCCTCAAGCTTTGTTCTTTTTGCTTAGGATTGCCTTGGCTATGCGGGCTCTTTTTTGGTTCCGTAGGAAATTGAAGTAGTTTTTTCCAATTCTGTGAAGAAAGTCAGTGTTAGCTTGATGGGGATAGCATTGAATCTATAAACTACTTTGGTCAGTATGGCCGTTTTCATGATATTGATTCTTCCTATCCATGAGCATAGAATGTTTTCCCATTTGTTTGTTTCCTCTCTTATTTCCTTGAGCAGTTGTTTGTAGTTCTCCTTGAAAAGGTCCTTCACATCCCTTGTAAGTTGTATTCCTAGGTATTTTATTCTCTTTGTAGCAATTGTGAATGGGAGTTAACTCATGGTTTGGCTCTCTGTTTGTCAGTTTTTGGTGTATAGGAATGCTTGTGATTTTTGCACACTGATTTTGTATCCTGGGACTTTGCTGAAGTTGCTTATCAGCTTCAGGAGATTTTGGGCTGAGATGATGGGGTTTTCTAATTACACAATCATGTCATCTGCAAACAGAGACAATTTGACATCCTCTTTTCCTATTTAAATACCCTTTATTTCTTTCTCTTACCTGATTGACCTGGCCAGAACTTCCAGTACTATGTTGAATAGGAATGGTGAGAGACTGCATCCTTGTCTTCTGCTGGTTTTCAAAGGGAATGCTTCCAATTTTTGCCCATTCAGTAAGAAAGTAAGGGATATTTGAGGGCTTTGGGGTAATAATTATTTTCTTCCTACAGGAGTTGAATTATTAGAACCTTTTCATTATCAAATTTTGTCCTTAAACTAAAAGTTAAAATCTGTTATTCTCATTGGGATTGATTTTCTGTTTCTTGCTTTACCTCAACAACCCCTTTGGCGAAGGTCTATTGAATAATTCAAGAATTCTTTCTAAGGTATAAAACAAGTCAAGATGGCTAGCCCCAGCTCCTTGGTCCCATTCAGTATGATTGGCTGTGGGTTTGTCATAAATAGTTATTATTTTGAGATACATTCCATCAATACCTAGTTTGTTGAGAATGTTTAGTGTGAAGGGCTGTTGAATTTTGTTGAAGGCATTTCCTGCATCGATTGAGATAATCGTGTGGTTTTTGTCATTGGTTCTGTTTATGTGATGGATTATGTATATTGATTTGCATATGTTGAACCAGCCTTGCATCCCAGGGATGAAGCTAACTTGATCGTGCTGGATAAGCTTTTTGATGTGCTGCTGGATTTAGTTTGTCAGTATTTTACTGAGGATTTTCGCATCAAAGTTCATCAGGGATATTGGCCTGAAATTTTCTTTTTTTTGTTATGTCTCCGCCAGGTTTTGGCATCAGGATGATGCTGGCTTCATAAAATGAGTTAGGGAGGATTCCCTCTTTTTCTATTTGTTGGAATAGTTGCAGAAGAAATGGTACCAGCTCCTCTTTGTACTTCTGGTAGAATTCGGCTGTGAATCTGTCTGGTCCTGGACTTTTTTTGGTCAGTAGGCTATTAATTACTGCCTCAATTTCAGAACTTGTTATTGCTCTACTCGGAGATCCAATTTCTTCCTGGTTTAAACTTGGGAGGGTGTATGTGTCCAGGAATTTATCCATTTCTTCTAGGTTTTCTAGTTTATTTGCATAGAGGTGTTCATAGTATTCTCTGATGGTAGTTTGTATTTCTGTGGGATTGGTGGTGATATCCTCTTTATCATTTTTTATTGCATCTAGTTGATTCTTTTCTATTTTCTTCTTTGTTAATCTGGCTAGCGGTCTATTTTGTTGATCTTTTCAAAAACCAGGTCCTGGGTTCACAGCGTTCAAACTTTACTAAGGATCAGACTGCTTCCTCAAGTGGTTCTATGATCTCGGGTATACTGAATGGGAGATACCTCCCAGTAGGAGCCGACAGACACCTCATATGGGAGAGCTCTGGCTGGCATCTGGTGGGTGCCCCTCTGGGTTGAAGCTTCTAGAGGAAAGAACAGGCAGCAATCTTTGCTGTTCTGCAGCCTCCTCTAGTGATACCCAGGCAAACAGGGTCTGGAGTGGACCTCCAGTAAACTGCAGCAGACCTGCAGCAGACGGGCCTGACTGTTAGAAGGAAAACTAACAAACAGAAAGGAATAGCATCAACATAAACAAAAGTACGTCCACTCAGAGACCCCATCCGAAGGTCACCAACATCAAAGACCAAAGGTAGATAAATCCACAAAGATGGGGATAGACCAGCGCAAAAAGGCTGAAAATTCCAAAAACCAGAATACCTCTTCTCCTCCAAAGGATCACAACTCCTCGCCAGCAAGGAAACAAAACTGGACGGAGAATGAGTTTGATGAATTGACAGAAGTAGGCTTCAGAAGGTGAGTAATAATGAACTCCTCCAAGCTAAAGGAGCATGTCCTAACCCAATGCAAGGAAGCTAAGAACTTTGAAAAAATGTTAGATGAATTGCTAACTACAATAACCAGGTTAAAGAAGAACATAAATGACCTGATGGAGCTGAAAAACACAGCACAAGAACTTCATGAAGCATACACAATTATCAATAGCTGAATCGATCAAGCAGAAGAAAAGATATCAGAGACTGAATATCAACTTAATGAAATGAAGCAAGAAGACAAGGCTAGAGAAAAAAAGAATGAAAGGGAATGAATAAAGCCTCTAAAAATATGGGATTATGTGAAAAGACCAAATCTACATTTGATTGGTGTGCCTGAAAGTGACTGGGAGAATGGAACCAAGTTGGAAAACACTCTTCAGGATATTATCCAGGAGAACTTCCCCAACCTAGCAAGACAGGCCAACATTCAAATTCAGGAAATACAGAGAATACCACAAGATAGTTGTCAAGTATCTACTTTGTCAAGTAGAGCGACCCCAAGACACATAATTATCAGATTCCCCAAGGTTGAAATGAAGGAAAAAATGTTAAGGGCTGCCAGAGAGAAAGGTTGGATTACCCACAAAGGTAAGTCCATCAAATTAACAGTGGATCCTTCTGCAGAAACTCTACAAGCCAGAAGAGAGTGGGAGCCAATATTCAACATTCTTAAAGAAAATAATTTTCATCCCAGAATTTCATATCCAGCCAAATAAGTTTCATAAGTAAAGGAGAAATAGAATCCTTTACAGAAAAGCAAATGCTGAGATTTTGTCCCCACCAGGCCTGCCTTAGAAGAGCTCCTGAAGGAAGCACTAAACATGGAAAAGAAGACCGGTACCAGCCACTGCAAAAACATACCAAATTGTAAAGACCATCGACACTATGAAGAAACTGCATCAACTAATAAGCAAAATAACCAGCTAGCATCATAAAGACAGGATCGAATTAACACATAACAATTGTTGCCTCAGAGGGTGCAAGTCCCAAGCTTTGACAACTTCCACATGGTGTTGGGCCTGCGGGAGCACAGAAGTCAAGAACTGACATTTAGAAACCTCTGCCTAGATTTCAGAGGATGTATGGAAACACTTGGATATCCAGGCAGAAGTTTGCTGCAGGGGAAGAGCTCTCATGGAGAACCTCTGCTAAGGCAGTGTGGAAGGAAAAAATGTAGGGTAGGATTCCTCACACAGAGTCCCCAATGGGGCACTGCCTAGTGGAGCTGGGAGAGGAGGGCCACTGTCCTCCAAACCCCAGAATGATAGATCCACTGACAGCTTGCACAGTGTGCCTGGAAAAGCTGCAGGCACTCAGCACCAGCCTGTGAAAACAGCTGGGGACCGGGGGTGCCCCACCTTGCAAAGCCACTGGGGCAGAGCTGCCCAAGTCCCTGTAAGCCAACCTCTTTCATTAGCATGACCTGGATGTGATACATGGAGTCGAAGAAGATCAGTTCAGCGTTTTAATATTTAGTGAGTGCCTCACTTGATTTTGGATTTGCATAGGGCCTGTAGCCCCTTTGTTTTGGCCAATTTCTCCCATTTAGAACAGGAGCATTTACCCAATGCCTGCAATCTTATCATATGTAGGAAGTAACTAATTTGCTTTTGGTTTTGCAGCCTCATAGGCAGAGGGGACTAGTGTTGTCTCAGATGAGACTTCGGACTGTGGACTTCTGAGTTAATGCTGAAATGAGTTAAGACTTTGGGGTACTGTTGGGAAGATATGATTGATTTTGAAATATAAAAAGTACATGACATTTGGGAGGGGCCAGAGGCAGAATGATATGGTTTGGCTCTGTGTCTCCATCCAAATCTCATCTCAAGTTGTAGTCCCCATAATCCCCACATGTCGAGGGAGGGACCAGCTGGGAGATGATTGGATCATGGAGGCAGTGTTCCCTAGGCTGTTCTCATCATAGTGAGTGAGTTCTCATGAGATCTGATGGTTTTATAAGTGTTTGATATTTCCTCCTACACACACTCTTCTCTTGCCTGCTGCCATGTAAGACGTGCCTGCTTTCTCTTCCACCATAATTGTAGGTTTCCTGAGGCCTCCACAGTCATGCAGAACTGTGAGTCAATTAAACCTCTTTCCTTTATAAATTACAGGCTTGGGCAGTATCTTTATAGCTGTGTGAGAATATACTAATACAGCAAATAAAGCAAAAATACACAAAATATCAATCTAAAAATCTTCTACACAGCGAAGGAAACAACAGAGTGAAGAGACAACCTATATTGAAAGAAAATATTTATAAGCCATACATCTGATAAGGGGCTCATAGCCAAAATATATAAGCAACTCAAAAAACTCAATAGCAAGAAAACAAACAACATGATTAAAAATGGGCAAAGGACTTGAATAGACATTTCTTAAAAGAAGACATATAAATGGCAAGTAAATACATGGAAAAATGCTCAACACTGCTAATTATTAGGGAAATGCAAATTAAAACCACAATGAGATATCACCTCACACCAGTCAGAATGGCTACTATAAAAAAGGTGAAAGATAAATGTTGGCAAGGGTGTACAGAAAAGAGAACTCTTGTATATCATTGGTGGGAATGCATGTAAGCACAGCCATTATGGAAACTTATATGAAAGTTTCTGAAAAAACTAAAACTAGAACTTCCATATGATCCAGCAATTCCATTCCTGGGTATACAGTTAACCGTTGAACAACATGGGAGTTAGGGATGCTGACTCTCACGGCAGTTGAAAGCTCATGTATAACTTTTGACTCCCCACAAACTTTGCTACTAATAGCTTTCTGTTTACTGGAAGCCTTACTGATAACATAGTTGTTAAACACATATTTTTTATGTTATATGTGTTATTTAGTATATTCTTAAAGTAGGCTAGAGAAAATAAAATGTTATTAAAATCATAAGAAAGATAAAATATATTTACTATTCATTAAGTGGAAGTGGTTCATCATAAAGCTTCTCATCCTGGTCATCTTTACATTAAGTAGGCCGAGGAGAAGGAGGAAGAGGAGGGGGTTGGTCTTGCTCTCCCAGTGGTTGCAGAGTTGGAGGAACATCTCTATATAAGTGAACCTGCACAGTTCAAACTCATGTCGTTCCAGTGTCAACAGTATTTACAAAGGACATGAAATCAGTATGTCAAAGAGATATCTGCACTTGCATGTTCATTGCAGCATTATTCATAATAACCAATATATGGAATCAACCCAAGTATTATCAACCTAAGTATTTACCTGTGGAAGAATGGATAAAGAAAATGTGATACACACACACACACACACACACAGTGGAATATTATTCAGCCTTAAAAAGCAAATGAAATCCTATCCTTTGTGACAACATAAATAAACCTAGAGGACATTATGCTAAGTGAAATAAGCTATGCACTGAATGACAAATAAGGCATAATTTCACTTATACATGGAATCTAAAACAGTTGATCTCATAGAGCCAGAGAGTAGAATGGCTGGGGGTGGGGAATGGGAAATGGGGAGATGTTGGTCAAAGGGTATAAAGTTTCAGTTAGATAGGAGGAATAAGTTTTTTGAGATCTATTACACAACATGAAGGCTATCGTTAATAATCATGTCTATTTCAAAATTGCTAAGACAGTAAATTTCAAATGTTCTTACCACAAAAAGTGATAAGTATTTGAGGTTATGGCTATGTTAATTACCTTGCTTTAATCATTCTACATTGTATATATATGTGTGTGTGTGTGTGTGTGTGTGTATATAATCAGATTGTACCCCATAAATATATACAATTATAATTTGTCAGTTTATAATAAAATAAATAATTAAAAAATAAATAAAATTTAAGTTTTAGTAGCCATATATGGCAATTGGCTATCATATTACGCAGTGCAGATCAAAATAGTAGGGACCAGGAACTTAGAAAACAGCAACAGTGTGAGAAATATAACTATGGGTACTAGGGTACCAGTGTTTTACTAGAGATGCATCATCTCACTTTATCTTCACAATCCTATTATTAACAGATTTTTAAAAAAACCCTCAGGCATAGAGAATTTTAGAAAGTTGTCCAAGACAGAAGGCATTAGAGTGTGGATTCAAATTCAGACAATATAGCTCCAGAAAGTACCCCCCTGAGTTTAAGCATGTGGGAAATCATGTGATAAACTGGAAATGGCATAAGTTTTGGTATAGAGAAAACTAATTTTGGATCTTCATCCTGCCACTTATTGGACTCTGTGTGACATTAGGCAAGTCACCTATCCTCTCTGATTCTTTATTATAAAACCTATAATATGGGACTCACAATACTTCTCACCATCAATGGGATATACACTTTAATATATCATATGTTATTTCCCCCTCTTCCATCTTCCCTATCAAATAAGTTTGCCTTTGGGGCAAAACTACCTATAGTAGGGGATGTTTTCACTGGCCATGAAACAGATTAAAATTAACTGAGATTAAAACAGATCAAAATTAAGCAAACACATTATTCCTTGTGGGCCAGGGCTTATTATCACAGAATTCTAGATAGCTGAGCTAATTGAAGGGCAAAGAAGTCTCTGGAACTACCACACTGAATGTAAGGATAAAGGCAAGGAGCAGTTTGGTCTGCTGCAGATTAATTGGCTAATGCCTATGGTTTGTAATCAGATTGTGGTTCAAGTTCTAGTTCTAATAATTACTACTTGTGTGACCTTGGGAAAGTCACCTACCCTCTTTCTCTCTGTTTTCTCATATATAAAATGGGGGTAATAAGGAAGTTCCAGAGACTTTCTTGCCTTTCAGTTATCTCAGCTGTCTAGAATTATGTACTAATTACATGTTGTCTTGTAACCTTTGAGGAAAGATAATATGTAAAGTCTATTTCCCTGAAATTCAGAGCTGGAGTTGCTTTTGTGTTCTTGATTTCTTCAATTTTCTTATCTCTGAAAAAAATGTTGGCACTTCTGCCTATGTGGTTTATGAATCCTGCCATAGTTCGATTAGAGTAATGTATTTTTGTAACACATTTGAACCACATGCTTGTGACATACTCCATTGCATGACTCTTTCGTTAAGATCTACTGGAAATGTCAGAGTCTCTTTAAAGGCAGTTGTTAAACATTAACATAAGAATGTTTGTTAAACTCTTCCAGAAAAGGATACTATGTAAATCATAACATCATTTAAATTGGTCAACCACTATTAATTCAGGCTAATTGTGGAAGAGTCCAAGCTGAACTGCTGATAAATCTAAAGAGTACAGTATATATAAAGGAGTGCTAGCTAGCTGGTGATGAGTAAGACTCATGGTGGGCCTACTTTAATGAAAGATATCATTCATTTGTAATTGTAATCACTATAATAATGGAGTGGAATTAAAGTAATTGAAAGCACAGTTTGGTCTATTAAGTAGTTTGAATATTCCTCTAGCATTTCTGTTTATTCCATTAATTTTCTTAGCAATATCCTTTCATAGATATATCCTTTCATAGATATTGCAAGGTCAACTTAAGCCCAGCCTGGGTCCAAATGATCACAAAACTTGAGTTTATTAGGTCCACATTAATGAGGACTTATTATAATGATAAATCTATAAAGATCAAAACCTGGGGCAGGCTATCGGTTATGCTATCTCTTATTTAATTGCTTTGGTTTTTTTCTATTATAAATTTCACCTTTCATACCACTCTACACATGATGTTGGGATTAGAACAGTCTCCTGAGAACACCATAACTAAATGTGTATGCTTAAATAGAGACCCACTTATTGGTGCCAGTTAATCCTTAATGAATGTAACATCAATAAAGTAGGTAATAAAAAAAGTTAAATTTTATTGCTAATCTTAAATCCTACTTTAAGGAGAAGAAAAACCTTAATGCTATGGCTAGAGTTGAGTAGCACTAGATTAGCATTGGTGTACATTAATAATGAAAATAGCTGAGCCCCATTAGTGTCACTTAAAGTTTTGTGAATTAGAGATATGGCCCTACAAATTAAACACCTTGAATACTGAATGGGGGAATAATTATTATTTAAAAAGTTAAAACCTTCACATCTCTTCTAAAGGAAAATTTTTCATTGGTATAGAATTACATACCATTCACTCTACAGTATGAAAAGGATGGAACTTTGCAGACCATAAAAAGTATAATAAAGGAGCCACTAAAATTGATTTTTATTTAAGCAGATTACTAGTGTTTTCTTCCTTAACTGGAAGGAGTGCCCTGTACTCCTCCAACCTATTTTCAGCCATGATACTATTTCTACATGCATAATTAGACACTGACCCCTTTGAGGAAGTTTAAATGTCCCTTATTATCCCCAACCTCAACTCCAAAACCTTTTTCAGCCAAGCAAGAGAATAGGAAATATATAGAAATGAATGTGCAAAACTTTCCAACATGTGTGCATATAGAACAAATTGTGAGGTCAGTGAAGTGAGTCCCTATTTTCCTTCTTACTCTGTATGCTTCTTTGTCTCCAACCATGCCCAACCCAGTAGTTTCCTCTGTAGCCCAGGGTCTTCTACGTCAATGCCCTAAAAAAGCCTGCACTCCCCTTCCCCACCTCATTTTCCATCCCCTACTCCGCCTCCACAAAACTTACTTGTTCTGAGTCAATTTTATCAGATCCCTGCTGTCTTTCAAGAGTGTTATTAGTAGTAGTAATGGCAGTAGGAGGAATCATACTATAACAAGGAAAACTAATAGCCAGTGTGAGTATAATGACTGTTATATTATGCTCCAGGCACTCTGCAAGCATTTTACATCCAGTACTTCATTTAATCCTCACTTTTACAGATGATAAAATTGAGGCTTAGAAAGAGTAAGTGTCTTGTCTAAGGTCCCACAGTGAATAAGAGGACTCACTCTTGTTTGTTTGTTGTAGCTCTTAACTGCTACAACTCTATACTGCCTACATAGTTTTAGGAAAAGCAGTAAGAGTTAATATCCCAGAAAGCATTTTGAAAAAAGTTAAAATGGTTGTTCCCTCCTAAACCATTTGTAGTTCATTATCGGACTTTGCTGTATTGTCTTATTTTTAAAGTAGGGGGATGGGAGAGAGTAAGGAAGAGGGAGGAAAAGAAAGGAAGGAGGATAAAGAGGAAGAACTGACTTTCAGGCCAGAATGGATACTTTGCCTTAGTCAAACATCCGAGTACATAATATCTAGGCTTCTTATTCTCCTTGACAAGATGCAGGCCAGTAATGCCATGAAACTGGCATAAATACAGTTGTCCCTCAGTATCTCCAAGGATTGGTTCCAGGACCCCCACATATTCCCAAATTCTTGCATATTCAAGTCCCACAGTCACTGCTCTGTAGAACCCACATATATGAAAAGTTGGCCCTCTGTATACACAGGTTTTGCTTCCTGCAAATACTGTATTTTCTATGTTTAACTGGGGGAAAAAAGTATGTATAAGTAGAACTGTACAGTTCAAACCCATGTTTTTCAAGGATCAAATATATTCCCCATCTCCCTTTCCCATCCACTCACAAATTCCTGGTCCAATCACTTGTGGCTGAGGTAGCAGGATTGGTTTCACACAATATAAATAATAGCACATTGTGTGAGAAAAAAACTGTGGGACACTTTCCTTAAAAGTTCTATACATACAGACATAGCAGGCCTCTGAGGTTACCTCAACTTCTCTTAGAGCCTATCAAGTACAAATATGTATGATTCTCTTAGGGCTTAATTAGTGGGTGGACAATATAAAAGTTGAGGACATCCTCCAAATGACAGAAAGGGTGGCCTTATCTCAGGAATGAGAGTTCTTCTAGCCCTAAGACTAATGCCATGAAATATTTGCTACTACACCTTTGCTTCTTTCTCATTTCCAAATCCAGTACTCTCTCCCAGGTACACTCTGGGGTCTTATTGGTTTCATCTAAAGTTCCTAATCAGCCATTAATGATTCTGGCTCCCTGAATGTAAAATTTCTTTTGTTTTCTTTAATATGAACTGTGAGGACTCAGGATCCAGCTGGCCCTAGATACTTAGGGAAACTATTGAGCTCTGCTTTGGTGGCAATTGCCTTGGCTAGTTGAAAGCTCTGTTTAGTTCCCCATCTGTGTTTGTATGTGACTTATATAAATTAGTTACTTTTGAAATTGCAGGTGGTTTTAAAACAAAAACTCGTATTCTAAGTAAAAGGATAAGTGAGGGCTATACCTTCTGAAACTAACCTGAAGTAAGTAATCTTGTATCAGTTTCCTGATCATACTCTAGCTTTCTTCTCCAACTGGAGTGACCCTTTACAAGACATGGTCTGAAGCTTTTTGCAAAGACAGCCTCTTCTCAAATGTATACCTGGCAGTAATTTTCCCATGAATGGTCTTGATGCTAACAATGTCTGATTCATCTGCCTTTTTATTCTCTTCTGTTACTAACTCACTAGAAATAATCTCTGACAAAGTCCACATGTATGAGAATTAGCCTTAGAACAAGAGAAGCCAAGACATTGGCTATTAGATGTTAGGGTGATCAACCATCCTGGTTTTCCCAGGATTGTTCCAAGATTAACACTGAAAATCTTGTGTCCTGAGAAAAACCCTAGCCCAAAGCAAACCAGGATGGTTAGTCACCCTACCAGATGTACATGTAGGCTATATGGTGTATTAGAAAGAACACTGGTCTTCAAAAGTCTGAGCCCAAGTCTTACTACTGTCACTTATTATGTTAACCATATAGTCTTCTATTTTTTCATAATACTTATCAGAATTTTAATTTTGTATTTTGATATTTATTTGTTTAGTGTTTGTCTTTCTCATTAGAAGGTGAGCCCCATGAGTGCTAGAGTCATATCTTGTTTGTTCCCCATTACAACTCCAACACTTACAATGCCTCACAAGAAGTAGGCACTCAACACTTATCCATTGAATTAATAAATTAGTAAGTCACGACTGCTCTAGTTTTCCATTTTCTCATCCATAATGGAGACATTACTTACTTCCAGTAGTTGTGAGGAATTGAGACAATGTGTATGTAAAAGAGACAATGTGTGTTTTGTAAACCATACACAAAACATTATTAATGATGGTACTTATGATGTGTGCTTGATAATAATATCTGTCTTTTATTGAGGAACCTATTCAGTGGTAGGCCTTTTCAATGTTTTTTTTATTTCATTGTTATCGTCCTTCATATAGGTAGGTTGGTATTTTATCCCCATTTTAGAAATTAGAAGATTGAGTTTACAAAGAATTACGGCCAACTACAAGGCTAGAGGGCACAGTCTCCAAGACTGCACTCACTTCTGACACCAACTGCAACTTTGGATGATTCCCAAAACCACTCTTATGTAGGATAAATCACTAGAAAGACTCATAGAACTTACTGAAAGCTATCATACTCATAGTTATGGTTTATTGCAGGGAAATGATACAAATTAAAATCAACCAAGGGAAGAAGCACATATACCAGAATCCAGAAGTACTAAATATAGAGCTTCCATTTTCCTCTCTCTGTGGAGTCAGGACATGTTACTCTCCTGGCATCCTTATGTGACAGTGCTCATGGTGTATTACCAACCAGGGAAACTTACATGAGCCTTGTTGTTCAGAGTTTTTATTGAGACTCGATTACCTAGGCATGACTGATCATTTGCCCACATAGTTGATCTCAGTTTCTGGGTAGACTGATACCATCCAATCCAAAGCTCCTACTCCAAATCACATTGTTAGTATCTGTCTATCATAAGGCCCCTAAGCAAATAAAAATTACCTCCTGGGAGCTGAGGGCAAAGGCCAGACCTCTTTTGGAGCAATTTTAAATTCTTTCTTACAGAAAGGTGCAGAGAGGTCAATCAACTTGCCAAAAGTTGCACAGCTGGCACATGTACACCCTAGTCAGCCTCCCTCTAGTGCCCATGCTATTATTTTCCATTGTGTGCCCTGTGTGCCTGAAAAACAATGCAGTTTTAATGTGCTATAAAATAATGTATAACCCTATACATAGAATAAAGAAAGGCCTAACTGGAAGTAAAAAAAAATAATAGGCAGAAATTGTACTACTTTCTCATCTACCTTTTTCCTCTCATAGCTCTCAAATTTGAACCTTCCTTTATTCCTTGAACCATAACATAGGCCCATACTTGGAAAAGTGCAAAGTGGACAAAAGTGGGTAGAAAGTTTGTCTAGGGTATGCTTCCACTCTACCAACCTCCCCTCTTGTGCACTAGGGCTTATAAATACCCTCATATGTGCACACATGCATGCACACACAGAAACACACACACACACACACACCTCAACTCACAAAGGGGCCTATTTTTTATGGTCTGTCTAAAAAATTCAATTTTATGTGTTAAATAAAAATTGGAAATCCTTCCTACGGCCATTTGCTTTTAAATATGAGCTTCTTAAACATAGAATAACTATGATGACAAAGAAATTAACATCATTTGATGAGATTTATAATAGGGATTTGTGGTTATAGAGTCTCCCTGTGTCTCCAATCACAGTATAGCCAGCCATCCCATACATTTGTGTGCTAGAAGCTGGAGAAGGGTGTGGAAAAATGACAAGTAATAACAGGAGAGGGAAACAAGAAAGGAAGGAGGGATACTCTGAAGCTCTGAAGTAATCTGTACCTATTCAGAAGTGGAGAACAGAATTCAAGGGGCCACATTACATGGAACATCATCCAAAGTTTAGATAAACCAGAGTAAGCCTAGCGAAGACTGAAAGAGAAGGCAAAGGGTTTGGTACAGCCATTTTATTTGTTATCTTTTAGATGGAGGAGAAGGAGTGCAAAATTATAGCTAACCTACTACAGTGGCTAGCAGTAGAAACAGCACAGACCTTAGAGCGAGGCACACCAGAGTTTAAATTCCAACTCCACCGTTAACTATGTGGCCATAGGAAAATTATTTTGCTTCTCCAACCCTCAGTCTCCTCACTTGTATAATTGATGCTAATACTAAAACACATCTCCTAGGACCCTTAAAAGAGATTAAATAAGGTAATGTATGCACAGTATCTCTGAGGTCAGTTACCAGGTCTTTGAGGTCAGTATTGCCTGGAATCCTTACTTGGCAATGGGTAGAGGTGCAAGTCTGATGACTAGAGCATGTGCTGAGCCACCTCCTCAGATGTGGCAAAATGTGAGTAAAGCTTTGTTATCCTACTTGGTACAATGGAAATATCTTGCATTATGGGGTCAATACATTCAGGTTTCAATCCAGGCTATGCTACTTTCAAGCTATGTGACCTACAGGAAAATGTTTAGCCTCTCTGTGACTCAGTTTCCTTATCTGTAAAATGGGTAATAGCACACATAGCTTGCAAGTTCTGTAAAGGACCTATCCCAATATATTGCTTTCTTATGCTCCACAGTGTTTCCAGAGACCAAAGAAAGAGCATCTTCATAAACAGATAGATCCAATAAAATATTTTCATGTAAACTACATATCATACATATGCATATATATACAAGATGTATATGTATAAAAATATATACATACATTGAAAAAATTCTTTCCTTGAGTAATAGTGGCACCACCCTAGTTGAAATCAATTGACCATAAATGTGTATGTGTGTGTGTTTTCTAGACTGTCAGTTCTACTCCATTGATCTATGCATCTATCCTTTTGCCAGTATTGCACTGTTCTGATTACTATAGCTTTGTAAGTTGTGAAATCAAGAAGTATGATACTGCAAATTTTGTTCTTTTTTTCAGATTGTTTTGGTCATTGAGTCTCTTGTAATTCCACATGAATTTTAAAATTAACTTGTTCATTTCTGCAAAAAAAAAGGCAGTTGGAATTTTGATAGGGATTGCATTAAATCTGGAGATCACTTTAAAGAGTATTGCCATCTTGACAACATTAAGTCTTCCAATCTATGAATACAATGTCTTACAGCTTACTTAGGTCTTTAATTTCTTTTGGTAATGTTTTACAGTACTTAGTGTGCAGGTCTTGCACCTCCTTGATTAAATTTATTCCTAAGTATTTTTTTCATGCTATTACTAATGGGATTGTTTTCTTAAATTCATTTTCAGATCCTTGGATGCTACTATTAATATATATTTTTGTATACCAATATCGTATCTTGCAGCTTTGCTAAACTGTTAGCTCTAATAGCTTTTCTGTGGATTCCTGAGTATTTTCTATATACAAGATGTTTCTATATGCAAATAGATAGTTTTACTTCTTTTTTTCCAATATGGATCATTTTTATTCCATTTTCTTGCCTAATTCCCTTGCCTGTCACCCTGTACCTCCAGTACAATGTTGAATAGAAGTGAGGAGAGTAAAAATTCCTGACTTTTTTCTGATGTTTGGAGGAAACATTTCAATCTTTTACCACTAAGTATGCTTCTAGCTTTGTGTTTTTAATAGATTACCTCTATTGGATTGAGGATGTTTCTGTCTATTCTTAGTTTGTTGAGTGCTTTTTATTATGAAAGGTTGTCAGATTTTGTCAAATTATTTTCCTGCATCTATTGAGGTGATCATATTTTTTTCCTTTTTATTAATATTACAAAGCTACAGTAATTATGACTGTGTGGTAATGGCATAAGAGTAGGCATAAAGTTCAGCGGAATAGAATTGAGAGTGCAGAAATAAACTCATATATCTATGTCAATTTTTTTTTACAAGGATGCCAAAAGCATTCAATGGGAAATCAATAGTCTTTTCAACAAATAGTGCTGAAACAGCTGGATATCCACATGCAAAAGAATAAATTTGGACCACTTTCTCATGCCATATACAAAAACGTAAACTAGCTCAAAGAGGTAGATATAAGAGCTAAAACAATAAAACTCTCAGAAGAAAACATAGGCATAAATCTTTGTGATCTTTGATTGGACAATGGTGTCTTAAATATGACATCTAAAACACAAGCAACCAAAGAAAAATACATAAATGAGACTTCATAAAAATTAACAACCTTTATGCATCAAAGGACACTAGCAAGAAAATGAAAAGATCGCCCACAGAATGGGAGAAAATATTTACAGATCATATATCTGGCAAGAGTCTAGTATCCAGAATATATCATGAGCTCTTATAACTCAACAATGAAAACACACCTTAAATTTTTAAAAAGGCAAATGATTTGAATAGCCATTTCTCCAAAGATCTACAGATCAACAATAAGCACATGAAAAGATGCTCAAGATCATCAGTCATTAGGGAAACACAAAGTAAAATGACAATAAGATATCATTTAATATCACATGGAATGGCTATAATAAGAAAAGAAAAAGAAGTATTGGTAAGTATGTGGAGAAACTGGGACCCTCATGCATTGCTGATGGGAGGTAAAAATGTATACCCATTGCAGAAAACAGTCTGGCAGTTCCTCAAAAAGCTAAGCCTAGAGTGTTATCATATGACCCTGGCCCACCAATTATACTCTTGGGCATATATCCAAGCAAAATGAAAACATATATTTATACAAACACTTCTACATAAATTTTCATAGTAGCATTATTCATATTCATAACAGCCAGAAAGTGGAAATATCCCAAATGTCCATCAACTTATGAGTGTATAAATAAAATGTGTTATAACCACACAATGGAGTATTTTGACATAAAAAGGGAATTAAATAATTTATACATGATATAACATGGATAAACCTTGAAAACATTATGCTAAGTGACAAATATCAGACAGAAAAGGCCACATATTGTATGATTTCTTTTATATGAAATGTCCAGAATAGGCATAGAGACAAAAACTTGGTTAGTGGTTGCCAGAGGCTGGGAGAAAGGGGAAATGGGCTGCGACTATTTAATGGACATGGGTTTCTTTTTGAGGTAATGAAAATATTCTGGATTTAAATAGAGGTGATAACTGCACAATCTCGTGAATATGCCAAAGCCACTGAATTGCACACTTTAAACATACAAATTTTATGTTTTATGAGTTATGTATTAATAAAAAAGTTAATTTTTAATCCAAAAAGCACTTTGAGAAAAAAATTAAAAATTAATATGTGTCAGAAAAAAATACGGACAATACAAAAATCTATCACTTGCCCTAACTCTTGCCAGGTGTATCTGTGATACTTTAGGCTGCCCAACCAGCCTTTCACAAGCTGTAGCAGTTTCAAGATGCCAGGGCTGGCAGGGCACAGTGGCTCATGCCTGTACTCCCAGCACTTTGGGAGGCCGAGGCGGGCGGATCATGAGGTCAGGAGATCGAGACCATCCTGGCTAACACTGTGAAACCCCATCCCTACTAAAAATATAAAAAATTAGTCGGGCGTGGTGACTGGCGCCTGTAGTCCCAGCTACCGGGAGGCTGAGGCAGGAGAATGGCATGAACCCGGGAGGCGGAGCTTGCAGTGAGCCGACATCGCACCACTGCACTCCAGCCTGGGTGACAGAGCGAGACTCAGTGTCAGACAAAAAAAAAAAAAAAAAAAAAAAACATGCCAGGGCCCCCTCAGAGTATTGGCCCAGGTCCAAGCTAATTCAGACTGTGTGAACCTTTTCTTCTTTCTTTACAACAGAAATTAGCAAGGGTGTCTCATTTCCAGGAGGGGAAGTACAGAAAAGAGTACTGTGGTTATATATCTCCAAAGTTAGCTAAGATGAAGCTGCAGATTCAAGATTAAGCAACATTAAATTTCAGCTGAAATTGTATATCTGTCTGCTGCCACTTTATAAAATTTTTCACTTAAGATGACACAAAAGCCTATTTATTGAGTTGTGTACACCATTAAAGTTTAAAAGTTTGACATGCATATGCTGTTTTTTGTGTGGCAGTAATTAACTGTAATTGAAAAATATCCCATTTTTTATGGTTCTCTGAATTTTCAGTGATCTTTTCCCCTCCCTCCTTCCTCTCCTCTAACTCTGACTGCTTCACCATAACATAATCCTCCCCTGCCCCACATTCAAGCTACTTTAATAGAAATGTAAGCAATTTAAGTAGGGTACCCGTTACGTCACAAGGTTTTAAAATTATTAAGGCTCCTACTCTCCTAGTCGGGTCTATCTTTGAGATATGTGACTTTATGCCTGGAACCATGGGGGAGTGGAGCTGGGAAATATACCCATCACATAGAAGAAAAGGGCTCTGTTCTATAATATTCCTTTTGTCCATCTCACCTTCTCTAAGAATGGAACATAAACCTCATTCAAGAAAGATGTGTGAAAAACACTTCTGAGATAGCATATAGTAGAAGAAGTGTCTATGCCTTCATCAGGATCCCTGAGAGGTGAAATGTCCTTTTTATAGCTGGCCAATTCTGAATTTTAATATTATCTCCTTCAAGGAGACTCAGGCCTCCTTGCTAAAGCACAGCTTATAATTCTTCCACTTGTACTTTCTAGGCAGGATTTTTATAACTAGATCTACTTTTCTTCATCAGTCTCTTGCTTTCTGGCTTCACTCATTTCATCTCCGGTTCTACCCATAATTCTTGGCTGAATTCCCACTTGATCCTACTACTGGTCATAACCTACCAGGAAAAATCCCCATGGGACATCATTCACTCTGAAATATTTTTGTCTTGCCTCAGAGTCACAGAAATTTCGTCACCTAAGCAAGGAAAATATATTTTCAAATAGTAACATGGTGTCTGCCTGGACACAATTTAAAATAACTCTTAGGAAAATCTCTGATCTTGTATTCCCAAATATTTGGATATATTTTGATCTGCAGGTCTTCTTCATGCTGTTCATACTTTGTATGAAAGGAGTGTGCTTCACAAAGCATCAGACTGAATACAAGAAAATCAATACGCAATCTGTGTGATAATTAATTAAGGTGCCAGAATGAATGACTTTTTCTTCCCCTTCTGATTTGGGTCAGAGTCGTGTTTGATTTGGGAAGTTGTCCATTTTCAATTATGGTTTGTTCTGTGTTCTTTTTATGTGACCAGAATGAATGACTGGCAGAAAATCATGTTATGGCAAAAATCTATGGGATAAGTTTAACACGCTGAAGATGTGGTTTGGCAAAAGTTATTTCCAAGAAAAGGCTGATAAATCAGAGTGAGATCGTTTAGGAGAAAGGCATACCTACATGTATAGGTAAGACTGTGATGAAGCCAACTTTATTCTCTGTGCATTGTTTTCAGTTTTCACATACAGTCATTAAGCAAACATTTGGTGAGCAAATACTCTATGTCAAGCATTGTACAACGCACTAGAGGTGCAGCTATGTATAAGAATGTTGTGCGTTCAGAAAATTTCTAACAAGGGAGAGCAACATTAAACAAAGAGTCCCACACATAATTCATTAAGTACAATTTTTTGTAGTGCTACAAAGAAGTATACAGTAGTTCCCCATTGTATCAGTCTGTTTTCATGTTGCTATTAAAAAATAGCTGAGGCTGGGTAATTTACAAAGAAAAGAGATTGAATTGACTTATGGTCCTGCAGGCTGTACAAGCATAGTACAAACATCTGGTCAGCTTCTAATGAGGGTCTCAGGAAGCTTACAGTCATGGCAGGGGGTAAAGCGGGAGCAGGTACATCATTTGGCGAGAGCAGGAGACGGGTGGGAGAGGTGCCACATACTTTTTTTTTTTTTTTTTTTTTTTTTTTTTGAGATGGAGTCTCGCTCTGTCGCCCAGGCTGGAGTACAGTGGCGCGATCTCCGCTCACTGCAAGCTCCGCCTCCCGGGTTCACGCCATTCTCCTGCCTCAGCCTCCTTAGTAGCTGGGACTACAGGCGCCCGCCACTACGCCTGGCTATTTTTTTTTGTATTTTTAGTAGAGACGGGGTTTCACTGTGTTAGGCAGGATGGTCTCGATCTCCTGACCTTGTGATCCGCCAGTCTCGGCCTCCCAAAATGCTGGGACTACAGGCGTGAGCCACCGCGCCCGGCCGCCACACACTTTTAAACAACCAGATCTTGTGAGAACTCACTCACTATCATGAGGACAGCACCAAGCCATTCATGAGGAATCCACCCCCATGACCCAAACACCTCCTACCAGGTCCTACCTCCAATATTGGGGATTACATTTCAACCTGAGGTTTGGAGGAGACAAACATCCAAACCTCATGGATTTTTGGATGATGACAAACATCATCCCTTATCTGTGTTTCACTTTCCATGGTTTCAGTTATTCATGGTACAGTACAATAAGATATTTTGAGAGAGAGAGAAAAATAGAATACATTCACGTAACTTTTATTACAGTATATTGTTATAGTTGTTATAGATTTTATTATTAGTTATTGTTGTTAATCTCTTACTGTGCCCAATTTATAAATGACAATTCATCATAGATCTGTATGTAGACGAAAAACATAGTATATATAAGGTTTGGTACTATCCACAGTTTCAAGTATCCACTGGGGGTCTTGGAATGTATCAGCCACAGATAAAGAAGAACTACTGTACCTTGTCTAGCTGGATTTTTCCATAACTCTAAAGTTACTATTCAGACTAAAGCCAGGAAACATCCAGAAAGCTTTCTATGGCCTTCTGTACATGAAGGCTAAGGGCATAAATAAATAATGGATGGAGGGATTCCTTCTCAGGGATAAAGTGAGAGGTCTGGTGACCTCAGTTTGGGGTCTAGAGTATCAGACAATGTGCCCCAACCAAAGAAAGCACTCAATAATGTAATGCAGCTCATTCCCAGTCCAAAGCTCAGCTTCCTTTATGCTTATTTTACTTGGTGAGAACTAGTTCTCATTGAACATTGCCCAGAGACAGGTTGATAATGATGATCAAGAACAGGCTGTTAGTGAACTCCAGAGGTGGTAGGGCTGATGACAGACCTAATTCTCTGGCAAGGGGATGGCCTTAATGTCTATTAATAATAATTCTGGATTGCTTGGTGTTAAAAATATCAGGATGATTGAATGAAGGAGGCTAGAGAACATCTATAAGTGAACAGGGTCCTATTCATTCTGGATGATATAGGCATCACCAGCCTGAAGGCAGGGGACCTGGAACAGATCTCTTCAGGTATAAGATTCTGTGAAGTTTAACTTGCTGAAGGATTAACACTCCTAGAAGAATGGCTGAATGCCAATTCCACTTTCCTTAAATGTGCATTGAAATAGTACTTGCTGGTGCCAATTTATTCTTAGCTCTGTGGGCCTGCCCATGGATATTTCACATAGAGGGGAACATTACTTATATTTGATGCAAGGGTCCCAGCCTAAAGGTGCTCACAGTTTTCATAACTCAATTTAGTGTAATTATACTCAACTTAGGGAATGAACAACTCCCGATTCCTCTCCCCAGTGGGCACATGATTAATTGGCTTAGTGACGAAAAAAATGGCTTCAACACAGACCTAAGCTCTAGTGGGCTCCCAGAAGATTAGGTTTTAAATTTCGATAGAGTTTACTTGGCCCTCTGTCATTAAACTGGGATAAGTCAAGTTTAAAAACCAAGGCCTTTTTATATCAGCAAGGGCAGAAAAACCCTAAAGTAAGGACAAGAGTTTATCTAGCATATATGCCAGACAGATGCCAAATGCCAGTTGACTAGCACATCTTTATGGGGAAGGATGCCGCATTTTAATAATTAGCCCCATTTTAGAATAATTGGCATGTAGAATCTTTTTGAGATCCTTTGGAGATAACATTTTTTAGGAGTCATTCTGATTCTATTTGCATGTTAAGCCCTTACCAGTATCTACTTGGTCTGGGCTGTTGCAAATGTAATGATCTTAGTCATGTTCAGTCATTTGTGTAACCAATATACTATATACGTAAGTGTATTTGTAGCCATCTGAGCATGAATGCATGTTTCACTCCCTTTGTGAGAATTTGGAGATGTTAAAAAAAAATGGGCGTCTGTAGGAATGGTGTATCCCCTTTGGCAGGTATATGTTGCCACTCCACTTACATACTCTGAGAACTCTACAATCAGGGATTTAAAGACATTGCTTCTGTTAAATGTTCCCTCTAAACATGTATGTCTAACTGGGGGTAATGCTTTGCAAAGAACGTATGCTCTAGAAAAGGGTGGTTTCAAAATCAGTTATTGCCACTCAGCCTGCAGTCATCATTTAGCTGAATGCAGGAAGCAGGGCTTTTTTACGTTTGACTCTTCCATACCATTGTGACCCCCATGCCTAATTCAGGAAATGATGTGGAATAGAAAAATTAAATATTTTAAAATGCGCAATGTGTGGAGTGTGGAGAGAGACACTATTTAAAGAACACCTATAGGGAATTCTTAGTCCCATCTAGTTTTCGAGAGTAGTCATGCAGAAAGTGGTAAATTATACATTTAGCTGGGCCCAAGTTTCTGAGGAGTCAGGTGTTACAAGTCTGATTTCATGTCATCCTCTTCCAGTTTAGCTGACTAGTCTAACCCTTCACCCACACCAATTGTGCTCTCTGAAGGATTTCAGTTTAGCTGTATGCTAGGCCAGGAGGTAAATAAAGGCAGATAAAGTTATGGCATCCAGTTGCCTCAGCTCTTGAAAAGATTTGATTCTGACTCTACCCTCCCCAACACACCGCACAAATGCTATATCATTCTCCTTCATCCTGTACAAATATTCTGTTTCTGACAACCCACATATTCTCAACTGACTTACTAGTTATTTAGCCACTTATATTAATCAGGGTTCTCCAGAGAACAGAACCAATTGTGTGTGTATGTATGTGTGTATATACATATGTGTACACACACTTACATAACCAATGGGCTACATGTTAGGGCATTTGTGGCTATCTGAACATGAATGTATGTTTCAGTCTCTTTGTGATTGAAACATAAACACATGTATGTACACATGTGTGTATATATGTGTATATATATAAAGTGATTTATCATAAGGTATTGGTTCTCATTATTATGGAGGCTGGTAAGTCCTATAATCTGCTGTCTGTAAGCTAGAGAATAGGCTATTGCAATAACCCAAAATGAAAGCTGACAGTGATATGAACCTGGTGCTGGCAATAGAAGTGGTGAAATGTGGTTGGATTCCACATATATTTTAAAAACACAGGCAACAGTATTTGCTGATGGGTTGGAATGAGGGGTAAGAAAGATAGTAGTAAAAGATGATAGCATGGCCAAGCAAAGGAAAGGATCAAGTTGCTCCTTACTATAATGAGGAAGCCTGGAAGAGGTTTTTGGGGGTGGAGAAATTTTGAGCACAGTTTTAAACATGTTCAGTTTGCCACCTTTTCAATATTAACATACAAATTAGATGTGTTTGGTGCCTGGAACAGTGCCCAGAATGAGGCCCGTACTCAGTAAATAGTTTTAACTGAATGAATTAATACTCTTTAAGTTCTCTCTGCCTCCTCTCAGTTACAACCACATCATCTCACCAAGTTAGTCTGCTTCTTCATTATAACTGATTCTCACATTTGGTGTTAAGTGAGCCTAAAAACACAACTGATGATTTCCTTTGACCTCTTTCTAAGATAACTCTACTTAGTCTCACATACTTTCTATTTTCTGGGAGTGTCAAGAAGGCCCTGTTTGCTCTGGTTTCCCATCTGTGAGCAAGAAAAACAGGTAGGAAGCCTGTTATTAATCTTCTTGCATCAATACTTACATTGTAAACCTATGCCGCCATCTTTCATTAGTCACAGAGAAGACTAATTACATTGACTAGACTGATGAACTCAGTATGCAAATGTTCATGTAATAAGATGGTCTGCCCAATTTTCTCCTGCAGTTATTCAAATACCTCCCCAATGTATAGCAAAGCCAGAAAGTCCTACGGTTCACTAATGTTAAAAAGTATATATGTGTGGGCTTCTGGGCCTATGGATACATAAATATGTAAAATTGGCCATCTTTACAACTTGATGGTGGTCAAAGTAGAACTAGGCTAGGGTACTGGGACCAAGAAAGGCAGTTAATGTGTATGAGTGTCCCCTAAGGGTATGATATTTGACAGGGATTTGCTAACCAGGACTAGCACAGACTAGTCATTACAACCTGAAGGAGGCACAGTCATCCATGAAGATTATTTCTGCTGTGCTGAGGGTAAGCTGAAGATAAAGGGTGTTCCTGGTCCCATAATAAAAGAGAAACAATGAATTATTTTGTATAAGGCAGTTTTCAAACGCCTGGGTAAAAGTCTACCCTGGTGGCTTCCTTTCCTGAAGCAATGGCGTTAATCACTGGAAGTTAACTAGCAGGTCCAATAACTGTAGTCACAATAATGAGAACCTGGCAAACAGTATTTTGTTCAGAGGAGTCTGAGCTTCAGGGCCTGTCTTCATTAGTGGGTTCTAGTTTAGCTGAGAGTTGTGGGCTGAGCAGAACTTCAAGCTCTTTCTGAGCCCCAGACCAGCTATAGTCTCAGAAAAGGATTTTGTGCCATTAAAGGTGGGTCATTAGCTATAAGCGTTTTATCTCCACCAAGAGGGGTAAATTTCCCACTGATTATTGTGCTCTGTTTTGGAGAAAGTTTCAGAAAAAAACACTAGTGACGAAGCTTTATAGCAGATGTTGGGGGTGGAGAGTTATTTTGTTATTTTTTGTGTGCATGTGTGTGTTGGCAGGAAGGTATAAGATCTAAAAATTAAATTTAAAAAACATAAGAATTGGAAAGTAAGGAACAAATTTATTGAAATCTGGTGAGTGTAACTGGATGAACAATGGATGTAAAGATGAACAGCTTCTCATGGCCAAACTAGGACTAGAGCTCTTAGCTGGACTCTGGAGCAGTCAGGGCACAGAAAGAACTCACTGATCCCTAGGCAAAGGCCAATGGTGCTAGGGGACCAGAGAGGGAAGATTTGCTCAGCAACTCATTCATTCTTCATTCATTTATTCATTTAACAAACATTTATTGATTAGTCACTCTGAGCTGTATTGGGGCCTCAGTCTACATTGATGAATCAAACAAACGTGACCTGTCCCCTGGAATTCACATCCCAGTGGCTGAAATGGACAAATATGTAGGGAAAAAATACAGTAATAAAAAGCTGTGATAAATGCTATTGAATGCTGACCATAAAATAGACATTGCACAAGGAGATTTAATCTTTCCACTTCAAGGCAAGGATAGACCCTGTCACTCTCTAACATTTTTTAATTACTTGAAATGATTTAATTCTTAAATAATATATTTATTTTCTGTTTTCTCCAAGTACATTGAAAGCCCCCTGATAACAAGTCTTGTTCACAATTACATGTCTTGTTCACTGCAGTGTCTTTCTCAGTGCTCAATAATTACTTGTTAGGCAATTGAATGGATGAATTTTTTATTATCTTCATGTTAACCCTGTTAGATGTGAAATACAAAAATCAATTATGCCCATCTTATAGATGAGGATATGAGGCTTTGGAATGGATCTGGATTTGGGAATCAGCATCTTATTAAGATATAACTACTACTAATAATAATGATTTATTGGATGCTCACTATGTGTCAGGCAGTGTGCTAGGTTCCCTGTGTGGATCATGTTATTGAATCCTCACAACAGCTCTGTGACATAGATGCTATTATTATCCCCTTTATATACATGAGGAGTATGAGGATCAGAGAGATAAAGTTACTCATTCTAGATCAAGGGGGTGACAGTCCACAACTAATTTGAATGTCTGTTTTGAAGACCTAGGCTCACTCCACCCACTATACCAGAGTGCTTGCATGGCCTTTATCTGTTCTACAGGAGAATGCCAGGCAGACACTGTTTCTGACTTACTTTACTACCCGTTGGGCTCGTTAGTTTGGTTTGAGTACAGAGGAGGAAACTAGAACCAGTTAGTTCCTTATGGTTACATAGTCTTTTATGACAGAGCTAAGGCCAGATCTAGGGCTTCTGGCTTCCAGGCCAGTTTTCTTTGATGTGACCACGTGATCTCTTTTCTCAGTGACTTTGAAATTTAATCCCTCCTATAAAGGTTTCCTTTCTGAATGGGGCCACAAATATTAAAAGCTCCTTGTACTTTCAGAAACTTGAACCTTATACATGATACTTGTATATATCTGAGCAGCCCCCAATTCGATATTTCATATTGAGAAGGAAGAAAATGACCTGAGCAAAGTAGAATCAAAATTCTCCTCATCCTGAAAATCTACCCTCAGCTTTGTAGTCCGCCAAATAAGTTCCTGGACGATTTGTGGAAGAGAAGTAGCCCAAAAGACTGAAAACAAAAGCACACTGTATAAAGACAGGTAGGCAGAATGAAATAACTAAAGATTCACCGGTGCAGAGATAGTGAAAAAGCAACCCCCTCTTCAGTATGGATTTCAGGAGCCTCAATGCATGAAAGTCCCATGATTTTCTTCTTAAAATTATCTTTGTATGATTCTTAAGTTTGAAAATGTAAAAATAACAAGAATAAGAAAATATAAAAAGGTTATGGCACCAACTGTTTGTCACTGGTTCATTTATTACTATAGCTGTCACCTAAAAATGTATGAAGAATGTGACATAGAAGAGCTAAGTTCAGGTGAGAGAACATATTCATGGTTAAGAGCATGGCCTCTGGAGCCATTCTACCTGCTTTGGAAACCGGGCTCTTCCATCTACTGGATTGGCAGCCATGGAGGAGTCATTTTATCTTTTTGGACCTCAGTTACCTCATCTATAAAATAAGTACTAGTTGGATAATATTATATTACTATATATTATATATGATATTATGTATTCTGTTTTTCTTAGGTCATTTTCCTTCTTGTCAATATGAAATATAGAATTGGAGTCTACTCAGAAATATACAAGTGTCATGTGTTAAGTTTAAGGTGCTGAAAGTACAAGGAGCTTTTAATATTTGTAGCCCCATTCAGAAAGCAAATCTTTGTAGGAGAGATTAAATTTCAAAGCCACTGAGAAAAGGGATAAGATAAAATAGTCGTGCTGAGGAAAATAATATTATCCACACTAATACCTACAACCTAGAGTTTCTGTAAGTACTAAATGGGATTACACCAATAAAAGGCTTAGAACAATGTCTGTCATAATAGTAAATGGTAATAATAGTTTTTATTACATGGGGGAAAGATCATAAAATTAAAATTTATTTCCTTATATTCTACCATGCATTTCACATTTATTGATCTCTCCTTCTGGGCCAAGCAGTGTGCTAGGCACTTGACAGATGGATGAGATGCATCCCCTGCCATCAAGGAGTATCCAATCTAGGAGAACACAGACTCATACACAACTGATTATAATGATATGTCTATTCCCAGTAAGCATTTCCAACCACAGGCATTATTTGCCATCATGTATCTCTTTCTCTTTATCACATTGCTATTCAGCATACAGAATGTTAAAGACCAGATGGTGTTAAGCTGCCCATTTTAGGACTAGTTGTAAAAGTTCACTCCTTATCTCACATTTAACACATTATCTTAATGAGAAAACCATTCACAAAGCATTTACGGAGTACTTACTCTTAGTTGGTACCTTGAGAAGGATATAAAAAGGAGTGCAGCTATGGGGCTTTGGGAAAAGCACCAGACTTGAAGTCAGAAATCTTGAGTTTGAGTCAGGGCTTTGCCACTGATCAAATTGATTGACCTTGGATGAGTCACCTAAAAACTGTGTAGCTGAGAATATTAAATGAACTAGAAAATAGGAAAACAGCTGGCTTTCAATAATTTTCCAGTTATTCAGCCTTTCATTTTTTCAGTATAAGACACAAGACACTGACGAATTAATGAATGTCAGTAAGATGGACGAATTCACTGTAAAAGATATCAAAGCAATTTTGTGATTAACATAGCTTTCTCCTGACACCTAGAGAACCCAAATGATAAAGTGGGGAGTTTGAAGAAGTAAGCAGCTGAGTGCTTCAGGAGGATTCACTAGTGGTAGGTGCAGGATGGCTTTTTGGCTGGGGCAACAATGGAGGGTCACCACTTTTAATGAATTCATTCTTTTTGAGAATATTTAGAAAGCAATAAAAGGTCAAATCTGGCATCTCATCCTCCCATCCATTATCACGTCACTGAAATTGACTTTTGCTAAGTTCACCAATGACTTTATTGTCAATGAAACCAATGGTCACTTCTGAATCCTGATTTTATGTGACTGTTTAGTAGTATTCTCCATAGTTGGCCACTCTGTCTTCCTTGATACAGTTACTTCCTTGGACTTCTGTAACACACTATCCTGATATACTTTACAGGTGCTTTTTCTCAGTCTCCTTTTTGAGCCCTTCTTCTATTATCTAAAAATTATATGGCAGAGGTCCTCAAAGCTCAGTTTTTTCTAGACCCTCTTTATTCTTACCACTCTACCCTCCCTAAATTCAGTTACCATGTATACATAAATGGGCCCCAAATCCAGCTCTGCTGGACTCCAGACTCACATAGCCAACTGCCTTGTCAACATCTGCATCTGGATGTCCACATCCTACAGGTATGTTAAACTGGACATGTCACAGGATGAATTTATCAACTCACTACCCTCTGCAATAACCTTGACTGTACTTGACTATACTCCTCTTCATTCCTCCCAAATCAAATGCACCAGCAAGTTCTGTTTTTGTTGTTGTTGTTGGTTTTGTTTTTGAGATGGAGTCTCACTCTGTTGCCCAGGCTGGAGTACAGTGGCACAGTCTCAGCTCACTGCAACCTCCATTTCCTGGGCTCAGGTGATCCTCCTGTCTCAGACTCCTGAGTAGCTGGGACTACAGGCCTGTGCTACCATGCCCGGATTTTTTTTTTTTTTTTTTTGTATTTTTGGTAGAGACAGGTTTCACCATATTGCCCAGGCTGGTCTCAAATTCCTGACCTCAGGTTATCAGCCTCCGTTGGCCTCCTAAAGTGCTGGGATTACAGGCATGAGCCATGGCAACCAGCCAAGTTCTGTCATTTTTTGCACCAAAATATACTTTGGCTATGTTAAAGTCTCTTAATCTTCTCTGCCACCACCTTAGTCTAAGCCTCAGTGGTGTCTGAGCTAGACCACTGCAACATTCTCTTAACTGAATTCAGCATATATACTATTGCCATTTGCCTGGATGATATTTTACAAACGTAAATTAGATAATTTCATGCCCTTGTTTAAAACTTTTAAAATAGGTCCCCATTATCCTTAGAATAAAGCCCCAAATAATTACTATGCTCTATAAGGCCCTGCATGAACTGACCTGTGTCCATATCTCTGACCTCATCTTGTACCTTTCTCCCATTTGCTCTCCCGCTTCACTCTACAAACATATTGGGCTTCCTGTCTCAGTGCTTCAGCATTCTCTTTCTCTCTCCCTTTCTTACATTTCAGATTTCAGTTCAAATATCACTTCCACCAGGAAGCCTTGCCTCCAGGCTAGCTTAGTCTACCTGTTTTGTGTTCCATAGAAAGCTGCACTCTCTCTTTTTCCCTCTCAGAACCCATTTTCTTACTTGTTTAATGTTTTCCTTCTCCATTAGACTCTTAAGTTTCATGAAGGCCAGAACTGTGTCTGTCTAATTCACCAAGCACGATACCTGGAACATAGCAGATATCTTTAAAAAATGATTCTTACACAAATATCCAAAGCAGCATCATTCATAATACCCAAAACGTAGACACTGCCCACATCTGCCACTTGATGAATGGATAAGCAAATGTGATATATCTATACAATGGAATATTATTTAGCCATGAAAAATAATAATGTATTGATTCATTATACAACAAAAATGAACCTTGAAAATATATAATAAAGAAGTGAGTCACCAAAGATCACACATTGTATGATTCCATTTAATAAAAAAAAGTCCAGAATAGGCAAATCCATAGACACAGAAAGTACATTCATGGTTGCCAGGTGCTGAGAAGAGGGGAAAATGAGAAGTGACTGTCAACAGTATGGAATTACTTTTGGGGATGGTGAAAATGTTCTAAAATTACATAGGGGTGATGGTTGTACAACTCTGTGAGTATAATAAAAACAACTGAATTGTACACTTTAAATGTGTGAATTTTACATATGTGAATTATATCTCAATAAAGCTGTTAAAATGAATTAATGAGAATAATATAAACTATAGATCTGACAACGTAGAAAAATGCTGAGTGACTTTTAATTTACGAGAGAGCAAAGAAACAAGAAATAGTAAAGCTTCATCTCGTGAATTGCACACACTTATTTCATGCAACTGCTTTTACCTCCTTAGGAACCGGCAACTGAAAGAGAAAACATGGGTCCTAAATTTGGAAAGGACCTCAGAGATTATGTAATTCAACTATCTCACTCTACATATGAGAAATGGAGGTGCAGAGGGAAAGTGACTCTACAAGTTCGCACAGCAAATTCATGACCAGACATATACGAAAGCCTTTGTCTCCTGAGTCTCATTTCAGGGTTCTTTCCATGATACCCAGCCAAGTCAGCTTCCTTAAGAGTTTTTCCAGTAGCCCTTCACAACTTCCGTTTACAAAGTAGTAATCCCTATCTGCAAGGGAAGCTGTGAGATATAGTTTCTGTTAGTAAGGAAGAAAGGGAGAACGACCCTTTGGGAGGCAACTTGTATTTTCTGCCACAAGTTCTTTTGCGGAAAATTTTGGATTGGCCAGTATTTAGATCTGGAAGAATCCAATGTTCTCTGCTGTTACCTCTGAAGTCAGCATGAACATTTCCAGTACAGTGTGAATACAATAGCCACACATGGAACCCCTTTCATGATAAACATCTTTAGCCCCAGTTGAGAGTCTCCACAATTCCTGAGCAATTTGCATTTGGCAGGGCTGTGTGCAAGACATTACTGGCTCAAATGAATGTAAATTTACTTTAGAAACAAATCAAGGTAACATTCACTATCCTGGAATAAAGAAACAAGGTGAAAGATCCTTTTAGAATGCAAATTGCAACCTGTTTTGTAAAAATACTGAGTGACAGCAGGCACAGTGGCTCACACCTGTAATCCCAGCACTTTGGGAGGTCAAGGTGGGCGGGCACGAGGTCAGGAGTTTGAGACCAGCCTTGCCAACATAGTGAAACCCCATCTCTACTAAAAATACAAAAATTAGCTGGGCATGGTAGCGTACACCTGTAGTCCCAGCTACTCGGGAGGCCAAGGCAGGAGAACCGCTTGAACCCAGGAGACAGAGGTTGTGGTGAGCCAAGATTGTGCCACTGCACTCCAGCCTGGGCAACAGAGCGAGACTCCACCTCAAAAAAATAAGTAGATAAATAAATAAAAATAAAAATAAAACATGGAGTGACTTTACTTGTCTTTTTAAAAAAATAAAAGTTTAAATTTTCTTTCCTACAGGTTTTTTACTATATCTAATTACACTGGCTTTGGAAAAGAGTTGATAAACATGGATAATATTTTAATTTAAAATTGTTTAAAAATGTGGCCAGGCATGGTGGCTCCCGCCTGTAATACCAGCACTGTGGTTAGAATGTAACAAAAATTGCAGGAATTAAAAAAAAAGAAAATGTTTTTTAATCATTCACTTTACTTTTGAGCCTAGTGGTTTTAATAGGATGTAATTAACAACATTTTCCATGTTTTTCTATTTGTTTTCTCTGCTTGTTGCAAACTACCTCTTTAAAGTAAAATTGTATTGGAGAAGTCTAGGGTACAGTGGCCTCTTCTCTTGTAGTTTGCAACAACTTTTCCCCAAGTAAATTGATACTAATGGCACTGAAAATACCTGGAAGCTTGATGTCTAGAGGACAAAAAGGAAAGAGTGGCTGCTTCTTCCCTATATACTGTATGCTAACAAAGAAACCAGGTCTGCAGAATCCTTTTAACTTTCTTGACTTAGTTTCATATCAACCCCAAAAGTCATGTAGTATTGACCATTTGCAGAACAGAGCAATGACAACAATTCCTCCAGATAAGTTAATTATCTGCATTAAAGAATGCCTCATGTTTCTTGATCTACTAATAATATTAGATAACATGGGCTATTCCAAGGCATTTTAATGAGTACCCTGGCGATGACAGTCTTTGGGAAAATATTTCTGACTTCTAATTAACTTTAAAAGTTTCCTTGGGCATTTTTTCTGGTTGTTGTTGTTTTGAAACTGAGAATGAAAGAAGGAAATTATATGGTAGACATTTAATGCATTCTTTCTGAATCTTTCTGTAGATGACATAAATTAATGGCTGTTCTCATTTTTCATGCTCCCATGCATGAAAAGAAAGAAATTAAGACAATAATGTTATTTAACTATTATAAGAGGAATTCATCTTTGATCAGAATTATCCAGAGCTTTCTACCTCTGGCATCTGTGTACTTTACTGAGACACCTCCTGGGCCAATGAACCAACTCAAGCTCTGCCAAATGTAAATGTTTAAATTTTAGTGATTCCGGCCCCAAATCTTACTGTCTATATCCACAGCATTGGGAGAACACCCTTTTCTGAAGCATAAGAAATTCTATTACCCAGCAGCCTGGGATAAGTTAAATTAGTCAGTAGACAATTTCACTACAGGAGTATCTGCCTCTAGGAAAACCATTAATTTTGTTTAAAGTGACTGTGTCACAATTATTGAGGACTTTTCAAATTTTTCTATTGCCAGAGAGTCTTGCTTAAAGAGAAGAATGTTGATTGACTACATAATTTTTCTTGCTCCTCTCCTCCTCAAAAAAATCACACACACAAATATGCAAATATGTACAGATATTTAACTCAATTTTGACTGACCTTTCAATAAGTTTTCTGGATAATTAAAGTAGGGCCTTTATAAGTTAAAAAGATAATCAAAACTGTGGTACTGGACTTATGCTATGCACGAATGACAGTGTCTCACATAAAGGTATTATATAGAAAAATGAACAGAAAAGTGAATAACAAATTGTACGAAATGTAAGGTGTGTGGTCTATTAATCTAAAGTACAACAATCTCACTGAATATACGTATCAGCTTACATTTTTGATGTTATGTTTCAGTTTGCATTTTTGTGAACATGAAATCCTCAAATGCAACATAAGTCTGTGTGGGTCAAGTCGGCCATCCTCACTGCACACATGTGCGAATGCAGGCATCCCCTGAATCCAAAATTGTTACAAAAGAAACTGCTAAAGTAGATTAATTCTGCATGTAGCTTTCTTGGTGCCCTTAAGGGCAGCAAGTATTCCTCCAGGGAATTATGTATGTTCACTCTTCATTGTTTTCCTCTAAAGGGATCATATTATCAGTGAAAGACCCTATTGGTCCCAGGCCTACTTTAGAAGTGTCTTTTAAAAGATTGCTAGGCCTTCCTAAGAATTAAATAGAAGAAAAAGGCAGTCTGTACAGATCTCACCTCTGGTAACCAAAAGCAAGCATCTTTGCAGCTAACTTTGCTTCTGTTGCAATTGATACAGGGACAAATGGCTGTAATTATATAGGGGAGGATACCAAATCTCTATTTAGAGACCAGAGCTCTATTAGCAGTGCATTTTCCAGGGTCTGATGACTAGTAAACAGGAAATAAGCCTATCTACCTTGAATGAGCACAGCTATCCCCCTGGGGAGTTCCATTAAGGATAACAGTGATGATGGTATGTGCCACTACTGGGCACTCTTCTATGCAGCGCATGCTAAGTGGAAATGGCATTCTTTTCTCAGACTCTCTGCTCACTTCCTGTACTGTATATAACTGCATTATGAGATCTTGGGTGTCCTTCTACAGAGGTAGGACCAAGTGTTCTTTCGAGGATTGAGAGAAGAGAGATTTGGAGGTGGGACAATCTAGCCAAATAATCTTAGTCACTTTATTATTCATAAGGATGTTAACCAAGAGTTCCTTAGTAGCAAAATGAGATTCTTTATGTTGTCAGTTTTCCAAAATATATTCCACTTCTCTCTGTCTCAGAGCAGGCCTTTTCAGAGTAGAACATTGTGCCTCCACTGAATGGTACCTTGCTTTGGCTTTGAAGTCTCTCTATCATTTTGTATTCCTAACTCCTCTCCCCAAGTCTCCATCTATCTGTCCTGAATCCTCTCTGACAGTCATCTTATTGTAGATTATATATGAAATGAAAACCAACTAGATTTTTTCAGTTATTGCTGTTGCTTGTCATTCCTTTTTCTTCTCCATATTCTGACTTCAGATTTGAGGAATGGCTACAATTCTTGATTATCTATGATAATTGTGGGGCCCATGAAAGCTATTTATTCAAAGCACAATGTAGAAAAAGGGAGGGCTTTAGAGTTGCACAGCTCTACACTGAAATCCTATCACTATCCCTTACTAGTTAACTGATTTTGGGCATATTAAGTTCTCTGAGCCTTGTTTACTTCCTCTGGAAAATGAGTGTGAAGGACTAAATGTTTATGCTCCCCCCACTAAAATGTATATGTTGAGATTCTAACCCCCAAGGTGATGATATGAAGAGGTGGAGCCTTTGGAAGGTGATTAGGTCATAAGGGCTGAGCCCTCATGAATAGGATTGGTACTCTGAAAACAGAGACCTCAAAGAGTTCCCTAAGCTCTTCCGCCATGTGAGGTTACAGTGGGAAGATGGTTATCTGTGGGGGAGGAAGCCCTCATCAGACAATGAATCTGCTGGCACCTTGATCTTGGACTTCCCAACCTGCCGAACTGTAAGAAATGAATGTATGTTGTTTATGAGCTACCCAGTTTATGGTATTTTATTATAGCAGCCTGAACAGATTAAGGCAATGAGTCTAATAAGAATATCTACTGTTTGGAGTTTTAGGATTGAAAATTATTCCCCTTTGCATATTCTGAGTTAGGAGCCACTCTTTGAGTCAGGCAAATGGAGATACAAATGTCAATTTCATTATTAATAAAGTTGATTTAAACCGGAGACTGATTACTGCTACTACTTTCCTACTCATCCACCTTGAATTCCAAACTTACCCAGCCAGGCAGTCATAGACAGAACTGTGCAACTGTGGTCTTGCCCTACAACGGGAAATCCTTCCCCAAAAACTTTACTAATGGCTAGGCTGGGAATTTACAGGTTCTCCAAAAGAGAGACTGAAAACTCATAAGTGAATGAATCATACCTGCTCAGTCCCTTCTTTCAATGTTGCCAAGCAGCTTTTTCCCCTCTTCAGTTAGGCAGGAGTGGTGAGGGATGACTTGGAATTGCTCCTCCCCTATTCTTTTTCTTCTCTATGGAAACTTGAGCAGTGAGGCACAAGAGTTGTCTTATTAACAGCTAGGATTAGTGTGAGGATTAAATGAGATACCACATGCCAACTATCTTATATAGTACCTGGCACATGATAGAAGTTCAGATGGACAATACAGGAATCAAAATCCAGCATTACTCATTAGCCATGTGGTTTTGTGTCTGGAATTTGTGGGTTCTTGGTCTCACTGACTTCAAGAATGAAGCTGCAGACCCCCGCGGTGAGTGTTACAGTTCTTAAAGGTGGTGTGTCTGGGGTTTGTTCCTTCTGGTGTTCGGATGTGTTTGGAGTTTCTTCCTTCTGGTGGGTTCGTGGTCTCGCTGGCTCAGGAGTGAAGCTGCAGACCTTCGTGGTGAGTGTTACAGCTCATAAAGGCAGTGTGGACCCAAACAGTGAGCAGTAGCAAGATTCATTGAAAAGAGCGAAGGAACAAAGATTCCACAGTGTGGACGGGGACCAGAACCGGTTGCCACTGCTAGGTTGGGCAGCCTGCCTTTATTCTCTTATCTGGCCCCACCCACATCCTGCTGATTGGTCCATTTTACAGAGAGCCGATTGGTCCATTTTGACAGGGTGCTGATTGGTGGGTTTACAATCCCTGAGCTAGACACAAAAGTTCTCCATCTCCCCACTAGATTAGCTAGATACAGAGTGTCGATTGGTGTATTTACAAACCCTGAGCTAGACACAGAGTGCTGATTGGTGTATTTAAAAAACCTTGAGCTAGATGCAGAGTGCTGATTGGTGCATTCACAATCCCTTAGCTAGACATAAAGATTCTCCAAGTCCCCACCAGACTCAGGAGCCCAGCTGGCTTCACCCAGTGGGTCCCGCACTGGGCCGCAGGTGGAGCCGCCTGCCAGTTATGCGCCTTGCGCCTGCACTCCTCAGCCCTTGGGCGGTTGATGGGACTGGGCGCCCTGGAGCAGAGAGCGGCGCTCGTCCGGGAGGCTCGGGCCGTGCAGGAGCCCATGGCGGTTGGTGGGGAGGCTCAGGCATGGGGGCGCTGCAGGTCCCAAGCCCTGCCCCGCAGAGAGGCAGCTAAGGCCTGGCGAGAAATCAAGCACAGCAGCTGCTGGCCCAGGTGCTAAGCCCCTCACTGCCTGGGGCTTGTGGGCCAGCCAGCAGCTCTGAGTGCGGGGCCGCTGAGCCCACGCCCACCCAGAACTTGCGCTGGCCTGCAAGCGCGTGCGCAGCCCTGGTTCCCGCCTGCGCCTCTCCCTTCACACCTCCCTGCAAGTGGAGGGAAGCCGGCTCTGGCCTCCGCCATCCCAGGAAGGGGCTCCCACAGTGCAGCCGCGGGCTGAAGGGCTCCTCAAGCGCGGCCAGAGTGGGCACTGAGGCCGAGGAGGCACCGAGAGTGAGCAAGGGCTGCAAGGGCTGCCAGCACGCTGTCACCTCTCAGTTTTAGGTAATTTACCCAACCTTTCTGAACTTCCCTTGTTTGATCTTTAAAATTAAGGTAATAACAATTAGCTTGCACAGTTGTAAAAATTAGAGAAAATATCTGTGAAGGGCCTGGTGCATAGTAGGTACTTAGTAAACTGCAACTATTATCATTATCATGATCCAGTTGTATAAATTGATTTGTAGATTGTGTCCTGCATTTTTTTTTCCCATAGCAGATTGACATAGCAGTGCTCACATTTATCAATGGGAATAGTCAAGGGTTGAATTGGTAAAAGTGTAGCTGAGAAGCAAGTCCAGGACCCAAGGCAAGCATTCTGGGAATGTAAGAATTTCTGTGGCTCATCCATAGAGCAGCAAACCTACATGTAAATATTTTAGAGGTGACTGAAGTTTGAAACGTCCTTTTGTAATATAAGTATATTTTTGAAGATTAAAAAAATATTTGTTTTGCAAAGAACATTTTTTCCCATATGGAACTAATTTTTTGGTAGGAAATTAGACTTGTAGAGACAAGGTTTTCATGCCTTTCATTCTTTTCAGGCTTACAAAGTATTTCCTATCTGGAACCCCAGTTCTTGGCCAATTTAATGTTGCTGACAATTGTATTTGGTAGGATAATTTCAGTTTCACCTAGGTTCAGAGAATAATTGCCAATATATTTCGGAAAGACTCTCTTAAAATGTTAAGTTTTTCCCTAGAGAGCAATCTAGTACAATGAAATCTTCTTGAAATATTATTTGCCACCATTTTAGACCTTCCAGTTTGGTGAACGTATTACTGTCATACTTCATTACTGTGTATTTTTGGTGTACCTTTCACATCAAAACCACCATTCAAAACATTTTGTGATTTAAAAGTACAAAGTCTTAAAAAAGAACATAGCACTTCTTCTTATCAGAAATCCAGCACAGATGAGAAGATTTATTGTCTGATAGTCAAGATTGGATTGTGCAGTTGTTTGTGAGAAACCAGTGGATTTGATCAGAAATGGAATGAGTATACTGATGTGGCAGAGAGAATGGAAAATTTGGGTTTTGGGTTTTTGACTTTTTTGGGGAAAATGTCTCTAAAACATTGTTTTCTTAACAAATTAATTCTAATGGAAAGGTAGTAATCATTTAGGTTTAACCACTGAAACAAACAAGTTGCTTTCCCAGAGTTGACACAGACACTCAACAGGTGAGTGAATGGGCTCTGTCCTTGAAGCTGTGTCCCCACCCAAATCTTATCTTGAATTGTAGTTTCCATAATCCCCACATGTCCCGGGAAGGACCTGGTGGGAGGTAACTGAATCATGGGGGCAGTTACCCCCATGCTGTTCTCATGATAGCGAGTGAGTTATCATGAGATCTGATGGTTTTATAAGGGGCTTTTCCCCCCTTTGCTCAGCACTTCTCCTTCCTGCTGCCCTGTGAAGAAGGTGCCTTTCTTCCCCTTTTTCTTCCACCATGATTGTAAGGTTCCTAAGGCCTTCCTAGCCATGCGGAACTGTGAGTCAATTAAACTTCTTCATAAATTACCCAATCTCAGGTATTTCTCCATAGCAGCATGAGAACAGACTAATACATATTGCTCATAAGAGGGACTGAGTGAGAGTAACCCAGCTACACTACTGTATAAACAAGCCAGAGCTTAAGGGATATTGTTGAGATCATTAATATCATTTAGGTACATGAAGTACAGTGACCCACTTTCTACCTTCCAGAACTAGGCAGAATAAAGATAGAAATAAACTCTTCTTTTAAACTGTCTCTGTTAGTTGTTGCCTGACAGACTTGAAGTCAATGTTGGACCCATAAACCTCAACAAATATTCAAAGGGAAATTCCAAAATAGTTGTTTAAAGTGGCTAAGTTTTCACCCCAGTGTAGAGAACAAAATAGTCTGTATGTACTGTGACTGTGTCAAGAAAATATTTGAGGTGGCATTATCAAACAATTTAAATGTGGTCTTTGATGATCCAGAAACAAAAAACCACCAGAGAAGTCAATCTGTTATTCCAAAGGTCAGGGCCATCAGCCCCAGTAGCTGAAAAAAGGAAATAATGCAAAGAGCTTCTGGTCCTAGGGCTGATCAAGTGAGAGGAAAGGACATCCCCAGGAAGCCACTCTTCTGTATTCTTGGCTCAGAGGCAGCTGGTAATGCCAAGTGAGTTACATATTTACTCCATTCACAAATGTGCAAGTAAATTGAGGCCAATTTGTGTTAGGATTAAATTTATTCCAAAGAGGTGCTCACTTGAGTGGTCCTAGCAAGCCAGCCATTTTTAGTTACTTCAGCTCTATGGGTAAGTTTAGGAATACCAAACTAGCAAATTAAGAAGGAAAAAAAGGAAAAGGAAAACATGTTATAAAAATCTAAAATCTCCATGGACTTTTGAGCAATTTCTGTTGTTCTTCTGAAATGTATTGCTTTTCATTTCTCCAGATTTGATGTTTAAATGATAGCTGACAATTCCTGTTTGGGAAAACTCATGCACAGATAGTTATTACCCTGTAAGAAGAGATGTGAGCGTATTCGGAAATGTTCATCATGTGCCATAGCTCAAAAAACATATGGTACACAGCCCCAATAAAAATGAGATGCAGAAATTAAAATGGGCGGGTGCTTCTGGTTTTTGTTTGTTAACTGCAACTATGTAGGTCTAAACTTCATGGTTTTGTAGGTAAGTTACTGATACAGTGGTTAGCCGTGCCAGTGTCTTGGGGACAAGCCTTATGGATCCCAGTATTGCAGAAAAACCAGGCTCAGTGCAGTTGTTACATTTCACAGGACACACTTTGACCTGTGATGTAGCCAGGTTTTTAGTTACAAGCTCCATCATAACAGGGCTCTGTTGTGTTTTGTACAGTTCAATAAATCAATTTGAACAGATACATCTCTTGTTGGAAAGAACTTAGATACTTTTTTTTTAATGAGGGAGCAAGCATTTGAATTGAAGGATTTGAATACAAATTGAAGTATATTCTTACATGTCTTAGAGATTATATGATTGCAAAAAACAGGAATCTTCACAAGTTAAGCCTAGTAAAGGAGAATGCATTTTAGGGTAAAGGAAGTCTCATGGAACCCCAACTCATGGGGGATTAGAAATTGTCAGGCAGCTAGCTCATCTTTCCATCTCTTGCTCTCTGTAGCAACACAATCTGTCATCTCTGCTTCTTTCTGCACAGCGGCTCGATCCTGCATTCTACAAAATGGCTTCCTCTGCCTGGCTCTTAATTTCTACTTCCCCACACCTCCAGCTCAGCTGTAGCTTTAGGTTGTTGTTGCACCTATTCTGGCCCTAAATGTTTTTGACCTAATGCTTTCGGTGCCCAATAACTTCTGACCTATTTAGTCTTTGTTTTCTCTTTGTTCAAATTTTCAAGAAAATTGGATTGGCTTTTGCCAGTCAACAATTGATTCACTCCCAGCATGTGTGTCCACTTAGGCAGTGTTTGGGGGAAAAAGTGTTAACAAAAAATGTACAGCTGTAAGCAATGTAGTTTAAACTAAAAAGTTAGTTGGATACTGTGAAATGACTAATGTATCAAATACATCCATTATTGTAATGATAATGATGATAACAATGACTATAGTAATTAAATTACTATAGTAATTTAGTATAGTAATTAAAACAGCTACATTTATGGAACTCTTTGTAAGCTTATTATATAGACTTATTTAATCTTCACAACAACTCTAAGGAGTAGGTATTATTACTGTCCCAGTTTTTACTGATGGGAAAATTTAGGCACAAAGAAGTGACTTATCCAAGGTCACATGGCCATTAAGTGGTTGAACAAGCCTCAAACCCAGACAGTCTGACACTAGAATTTTGATGCTCTACTGATGATTCTGACACTGTTACAATGAATTTGTGAAATGTGGGGCTGCAAGATAGCTTCTTTGTGAAGAAAAAGGAAAATTCATTTAAACCAGCAAAACCTGTATGATACATACTAGATATATATATTTAGTCCCTCCAATATCCTTTACCCAGGGAGAAAGGGATTAGGATCTCAAGAAATATTTGTGTCTCTATGTGGGTGGAAAGAGAAGAATTACTCTCTCATCTGAGTTATTTTAGTACTTTTAGATAAATGAAATAACCTTTAAATATTCGTGATCAGAGCATTACCCAATTGTCTCTTTGCCTTCATATTTATTTGAATTCAAATTAAATCTGCCTTTTAGCAACTATCGAGAATAAGATCTGGCACTTTGGAGTGGAAGCCAAAACTGGTATGTATGTGATGTTACTGCCCTCTTCCCAAGCCACCATTTTATTGCTCTTCTGGGAATCCAGTTAAATTACAGCTGCTGATATATTGTGGACTGAGGATCTAAATTCAGGCTTTGACCAAGTCATGGGCTGGTTTCTTTGGGCAATATTTCACTTCCTGTTTTATCTGTGCTGTCACCTAAATTTAGCACTTAGACTATACTCCCCGATGTCTGCAGAAGTTTTAAATTATTTTCCAGTGATGCATACCGTGTCTATGCAGAATTGAGTGTGACAGATTTGCAGTAAAATCCTGGAGCTCTCCAACTCCTTTTTAAATGAATTAGATCAGTAGCTCTCACGGATTTGACTTGGAATGGGTTGTAAGGTGATGTGTTTCCTGCAAAACTGATTGAGTTCTCTTTGGTGTCCTTTTTTTTTTCCTCTGCTGTGCATTTTACCATTTGGTGGACTAATCAGTTTCTTAAAAGCAAAAGATGGATGCTGCCTTCTAAACCATGGGAGGTGTCAAATGCCTGCTGCATTAAGACCCTTTCCCCTACTTGCAGGAATGATAGCTATGGGCAGAACTGTAATAGTGTTCTAAATTGAGAAATCTTGAATAAGACATAAATCTAAATTCCACACCTTTCTTTTTTAATGTGGGCTTCAACAAGCGTCAGCTATAATTGGTAGAACAGCCTGACCTATTAATCCATAGATAAAAATGATTCAATTAAAGAGAAATATAAATATTGAAGGTAATGTAAAACCAAATGAAGCACATCACCGAATTTATGTGCAAATAAATTAACTTGAATAAAAATTCTCCAGTACATACAATGTCCATATGCTGTCTTGGTAATGCTATAATTAAGTCAGAGAGTCATGTCATACTGGCCTTTTCCATCTGCTCTGTGATCTGTTAAGGGACCCATTCAAACAGAATGACAGCTGACCTCAAAATGATACACTCTACTACTGCCATTTTAACAGGGCTGTTGGTTATGCACATTTTGTCTTCATTTATACTGGGCTACGAGTGTTTTTCCATTAAATCAAGTAAATTGGAGCATGTGGTTTTCTATTAAATAGGTTTATTTAAACCAATATTTTATTTTCTGAATAAACTTTTTTTTTATTTTTCAGAAGCAATTGATTGTATTGGAGACATTTTTGTTTTGTTTTGTTCTAAATTCAAGTGGTGTTAGAAAGAAACAGTGATTAAGAATAGCAAAATAAAGGCACTCTTCTCTTTTTCCTTCTAATTCTTGTTATTCGATCAAAGCAAAGTGGTTAATTCTTGGAGCCTCAGGATGTTGTGTATGTAATTGACACAAAAGATGTGTAAAAGAGGAGCCAATATTTATAATACTAATTGATTTCATTTATTTTACTTCCCTTGTGTATGCCTCACTGTCATTCTTGCCATTATCTTAATGTTCTTGTTTCCAATAGCACTCAGAAAAGTCATTTTAAAGGCAGGGGATCTGGAGCACAGATGTGTCAGGTGTAAAGGCTCTCCTCCACAGAGACATTCAAATTGGCTAAAGGAAACCCCACGGAATAGTGCAGCTGAAGATCCAGCATTTGTCCATCTGTTTATATCCAGGTTACCTTGTGACAGTCTATTTAATTTCTGGTCCCTGGAGTGTCTCTATTTCAATAGTACATGCATATTTCTTTTATTAGAACTGCAGAAGGGGAAAATTGGTAACTCTTGGAACCAGGATGACCTTTAGAAGATTACATTTTTGTTTTGTTTTGAACAAATAACACAAGTTCTACAAGAGGGTTTGCTCTAGTCAAACACTCAACTTCTTAGAGGGAATTTTAAATGTCTCCTATTTGGCCTTGGAGGAAAAAAGGAAGAAAGAAATAAATTATACTTGCAATACAACAGAGAGTGCTTAGAAAATGGGTTTAAAATATATTACAATTTAAAAACTTTTTAAAGTAAAACCCAAGCCATACCAGAGACAGACAGTATCCATAGAGTGACCAAGACTGACCCACATAAGAGGCTGGAGAATTACAAAAGATGATCATCAGACAGATGCCCATTGCTCTCTGGGGAATCTTGACCTTGGCATGTTGGTTTCTGAATTAATTCAGAGAACCTAATTTGCCAATGTGGAAAAGTCACATAATACATGGTATCTTATTTATAAATAAAAATCCAGATGGAATTTCTTAGTAAAATGTATTTAGGTAAGTCTACAAGGGACAAGGACCATATTCTTTTACTTATGCAGTCTAGAAACATTTGCTGAGCATCTAATATGTCCCTGGCATTATTTTAGCTTCAAATGATGTGTTAGTGAGCAAAATGAAGTCTGTGCTCTCATAAAGCTAACATTACAGTGTGGGGGTTGTGGGAAGGCAGACAGTAGGCAAACCTGTTATCTGTTCTGTACAGGGCCCAGGACCCATTAATTAGCCTTGCATCTGGATGTTGGTTCAAAGATAAATATTTATGAGGCTTTCCTGAAATTGTAAACTTTATACCCAAGAGCATCCTGATGAGCTAAAATGAAATTGACCACATATACTCATTTCAATGAAATAATGTTTGAAAAATTTCCTTTCATTTTGCCCAAGTCCATATAGTACTTTATTGTAGTGTGGTGAAAAGGATATAGGATTAGATTCTGCCAAGAAACTTTTACCTGAGGTATTTATATCCCAGTGGAGAGAAACAATGATGCCTAATTAAAAGATAAAGATAGAAAAAAGGGGCAGAGCCAGAGAAGGAAAAATAGGGAGTAGGGGTGGAGGTAGGGTTAGGAAAACTTTATTCCTGCAATATTCTTTAAATATATAAGAATTTATTTTCATATCAGGGCAATATCCTAGTAGCTTAGTTTAGTTGGTGAGAGCCCCACGTTAGGATGGCATCATAGTTAAAGATTCAGTTCTTATTTGAACCAGTTAGCTTAAATCTATCCCATCCCTTTAACCCAACCAGTCATGATACGAATATCAGCCACAAATCACAAGCAGTTGCACATTTTCCACACTACTGGAAAAAAAGAATGAATCAAACACATCTTCTTTCTGTATGATCAGTGAGGCATGAGAATAATTGGTAGATTGATGATCTGAGATGTAGTTGATGAGTTAGAACCATGAATTCTGCCAGACCTTTGGAACAAAGCATATTAAATAGTATTTTTTTTGTGGGTGCCAATGGCAGTGGTAACATGGGAGAGGATTATTTAAAATTGTGTTTAAATATTCAAAGCTGTATGTGCTAGGTATATAAGTGAACTAGTATTTCTCTTCCCTTAAGTAACCTAGAGATAGGACTACATTTATCAACGTTCTCTTTTTATCTCCTTCTGCAGTCTTCCTTCAAAACCTACAGGCTTTTAAACAAAGACCCTCCATGACTCTTATCAACATATCTGTTCCTGGGCCTCTCCCAAAATGATTTAGAGATAAATTGCCTCAAACCTGGCTTGGTTTAATGCTATAATCCATTATGGTTCCTTTTGGAGGTAGCAAATTCTCATCAACTTCATTCTTATTAATCACCTATCTAAATGTAGCATCATCAGAACAATTTCAGAGGTTTTTAAGGCACAACCTTGACTTCCTGTCATTTGTAAATTGGCTTATAACAGTCCTGGCACTCTGCTAAAGTGCTTAACTGGTCATTATTCCTCCTTGTACTACATAGCCTTTATGCTGCCAGTAGCCCATCTCGCCTTTCTGATGTCCCATCATATTACCTTTAAAACAGTAATTTTGTTTTTTTGAACTTTGTGATGGGGGGTTAGAGTAGGTCATAGGCTATTTTTGAGAATCTAGAGAAAACAGAAATCTCTACACAGGAGAAAATATACATGAACATATGGTTTTGTGTACACTTTCAAGGGATTTGTAAACTTGTGAAGCCCATCCATATACCTCAGAGTACAAAGTCATGGCGTCAAGATTATATGATTTACAAACATATTTAATTGAAGTAAACCCCATATATGCCTATTTATAGGCTCATAAATGTTATAACATTTTTATTTTTATTTTATTTTTCCATCTAAACTTCCTCCACTCAGGGTCAGATTTGCATTGTGGTCTGCCAGCTTTTCTAGTCTTCTTTGACTCCCTCCTCATTTTCTATTACAGGAATTTCCCTTAATGACATTCTTGCATGTTCAATCCTTTCTTGGCATTTGTTTCTCAGAGATCCTAGACTAACACATTCTTCTACTACTTCTATAAAAAGATACTATCATATTATAATATTTTTAGGACTATTAAGAGAAGGTGTCTATTTCTGTTTTTTCCATTTCTTTGAATTTCACTTTAAATTTTTTTCACCTGCTTTGAAAAACGTGATTGTTCATTAAGTTAGCCACAGTGACAAGTGTATAAAATTTGAATAAAATGTTCCTGGTATGTTTTTATGATTCCCAAATGCATTTTCTTTCTCCTTTCTTTCCCTCCTTTCTTTTCTTTCTTTCCTTCCTTGCTTCTTTTCCTTTCAATTTTATTTAAAGATTTTTTAAATGTATGTTACACCTTACAAAATCATACATTTATCTAAGGATAGTCTGAAATTCTTGGTTCCAATGACATTTCATTTGTGTATGGTACTTTCTTTAAGCTGCTTGTTGTTGATTTCCAGGCACTTAAAAAAGAGAATACTGTTTGTTAAGTTCCAATATATTTCTGTGTTAAAGGTACAATGGTTAATGTTATCATTTCCATGAGTGAAAGGGGTTGTCTGTTTTATTTTCTACCACATATATTCCCAGAACTTAGCACAGTGCCTGGCAGAAAAAAGGTGCTCAATAAATGTGTGTTGAACGTATAATAAGGCATTAGAGCTTATACCTTGAAAAAAACTTAATGTTTTAAAAAGTCATTTAATTATCCTAATCCCACAAGCTTCTTAAATGTTCATCCATTTTTCCCAAAGTCACGTGCTAACTCTTTACTAATTCTGTCTAAATGGCTATTGCAATGACAGGTATCCCAGGGAAGGAAGGCCAGTCAAAATAACAAAATATCTTTAAAAGAATGAAACTGTATTTCATTCAAGCACAGAAATTATAACTAAACTAATAAAAACTGTTTCAATAGAAGTTCTCTGATTATGTTTAAGAAATAGGTAATAATTTATTACTTTTTTCTCAGTTGATATTTACAAAATACAGTTGACCCTTGAACAATGTGGGTTTTAACTGCATGAGTCCACATATACATGGTTTTTTCTTCAACGAACTCATATCAAAAATACAGTATTCACAGGATGTGAACCCTGTGTATATGGAGAGCCAACTTTTCCTATATGTGGGTTCCACAGAACTGACTATGGAAATCGAGTAGAGTGGGTCCTGGAACCAATTCCCCCCGTGTATACTGAGGGAAAACTGTACTTAAAATCAATCCTCTCTGAGAATAAAGGCAATAAATAAATAAATATGAAAATAATTCTCTCAAGTATGTTAAAAATAGTCCTAGAAAATAGAATTCCAGAATTAGAAGGGACCTTAGAAACTATGTAGTTCAAGTTTTTATCCAGTGTAAGAAATTCTTAGACAGTACCCCTCTGTAATGGCAGAACATGCTATTTTTGTAGGTAGTCTATCTCATTGCTGAGAAGTTCTTCCTAAACACTGAGGCAAATCCTGGTTGTCTGTAATTTTCCTGTACTTGCTCCTAGTTAAGCCTCTGTAGCCATACAGAATCAATGTACTTTCTCTTCCATTTGAAAGTGCTCTATGTATTTGATTATATCAAATGGATGTCACAGATTTGCTATTGATCTATCATGTAATTCTATACCAGTCTATACTACCTGGTGTCTGGGAAATTTCAAGTAAGGAATCAGTTGGAAAAAGCCATTTGGAGATTAAAGAGACATCCACAGCTTTCTCTCTGATCTGCCCTCTCTCTAGGAAATCACCTCCCATGACTCATTGCTCATAAGGATGTGGATATGAAATCATGCTAGCAAACATCCCTGCATAATTGACACTGGCTATTCCCTATGTAGTAATTTGTTTACTATGTTCCTTTTTTCCTCCTACATATGTTGGAAAGCAAACTTTAACAAGGTTCCTTTCTGAATTCTTATAAGTTCCAAGCTAGTTTCTTTTGTTAAGGATTAAATAAAATTTCCATTCAGCTATTTGCTAAGGAGGTGAAATTATGTTTTTAGTGTTTGGAATATAGCAGGTGAATCAAGGTGAATTAATACGCCATTGAAATTAGTTGCGAAAACCATTCTCTTTATCTTAGTTCTCATTATAGATGTGTAGGTCAGTAAGGTTTGTGTCATAATGTAGGCATCAACTGTATTATTTTCTGTGAATACCGACAAAACATTTCTTTAGTAACAAATGTAATCAGGCAACATACCAGATATTCAGTATTCTTCCCAAGTTGATTGGGCATTGCTTCCAGTTTCTGCCAGAAGAGCATCACCACATATTACAAGAAGCATAGCCCTCCACTCTATAACCTTTGATATTTTGCCCAGAAATGTTGAGAGTTGGAAATCAATTACAATATAGCAAAAATGTATGAGCATCAGCTAAAGCTTCATCTTTGCTTCCTTTTTTCTCTCTGAAAAATTGAGTCTGGTGATTCTTCAGTTTTTACATGTGTGCTATAGAGACTCCTAAAAGAGCAAGCAAGGAAAGGAATTTAATTGCTAAATGCACTTGAGTAGATCTCAGATAAGAACAGGTAATCTTTGAAGTTATAAAGCAGCAAGAGACCAATAACTTTTTCTCTAACCAATGGTTTCGATATTTGGAAGATTGACAGGCTTAGAGACACTTTCTTATTCCAGCAAAAGAATAAATGTATTGCCAGCTACCTCCCCAAAGGCTGTCAACCAAGTATTTGTTCAATATATTTATCATGGTTTATTATTTTAATTTATGCGTAGGTATCTGCATTATGTCCTGAATAAGTCATGTGACTGAGGACCATCAGTGGCTAGTTTGAGCATGAGTGTAAGTTGCATGTGGTAGTTTTGTAGGATAACACATTTTTAGGATTGGAAGAAACAGAACTTTTCAGTTTCCAACTATATTAGACTAGGAAAATTATACACTTAAAGGAACAAACTGGCTTGTCCAAATTCACATGGCTGGTTCATAGGAAACACAGTGGTAGAACTCTTTATGTGACTCTAGTTAGAAGTCCTTATCCAAAAATAATGGAAAAGACCACCAAAATAATTTCTTCAGGTTTTTATACCAAATCTGAACCTTGCCAAATAAGTTGTATTAAACTAAAGATTTCTTGTATGTAGGTCATTATTTAATACCTTTAACAGTATTTCACAAGGAAAATGCAAACAAACTAAAATGCTTCAGTTTGGAAGAGACAGACAAATGAAAAAAATTTTTATTGAGAATTTTAAAATAGGTAAGCAAAAACTACAAATAGAAAACAGCCAGAGTATACATACATATTCAGTTTAATCTCCTAGACTTCATTCCATTTAGAAATGTGGGAAATTTTATAATACATATAGTACTCAGAGATATTTTTGTGAGAATGCATTGTGATTTGGTGTGTATGCTTACAACTAAATTGTAATAATCCAAAGGAGTCTGCTATCTATCTCTAATTCCTTCTGCTTAAGTAACATGTACCAACCCTTAAGCAGTGGCTAAGGAAAGGACATGACAGAACTCTTGATCCTCCTTTTTTATGTCCCTGGGCTTCTTCCTGCCAGGTTTTGCTGAAATATCTCCTCTTTGCCTTAAGACTGTTATTGCTCATTCTTATTTGTTGTTTATTTTTTATGTGCTTGCCCAAAAATTGGTCTGTGTTATGACTTTTTTCATTCTTTCCCTTCCTATTATGTTGCCGTTTACTACCCTCCTACATCAGAACTACTTGCCTTCCACTACTTTGAAACAATATTAACAACATGATGTGTATATCTACACAACTTTCTATATGCATAAGCATACACAGGAAATTTTGTTTGTTTTACACAAGTGAAATTATGCTATGTACACTTCTCTGCACTCTCACTTAATGGTACATTTTGGAAATTCCTTCAAGTCATTTGGTATGATACATATAACTCATATTAAAAAAGGTATAGTGTTGTGAGCTCTGGGTATATCACAATTTATTCAACCATTTCCCTGGTGTTTACTGACTCCATACATTTGATAATATTATTGACCCACCGTGTTCTTTCTTTTTCTTCTGATTCTATATAGTTTATGCTCTGACTGACCCACTACTTCTAGCTCTTGCTTCTAGTTTTCCTTGCATTGCCCTCTAGTGATTTCTTATATTTAGGCCTTAGTTCTATGAATGAATTGTAAGCTTCTTGAAGACATACATGTTTCGTATCTAATATTAGCTATAGTACAAAACAAAATGTGTCCACAAAGTAAGAGTGTTAGATTGATAAATTGGCCATGGTGGAGTAGAAGTTTTAGAGCTGTGAATCTAGACTAGGGAAGAATAGAAGAATCTCAGAGCCTTAATTAACTTTTCTGTTGTGTTGTTATTTCTGCCAAACATCTAAATTTTTTCCAAATCCAACTGAGAGTATATCTCTTCTATGAAGATATTTAATTCTGTGAAGTTTTTAGTCTCTAATAACTTATGTTGTCTTAGTCCATTGCTGCTGCTATAACAAGATACCTTAGACTGGGTAATTTATAAACAAGAGAAACTTGTTTCTCACAATTCCAGTCTCACAATTCCAGAGGCTGAGAAGTCCAAAATCAAGGCTGCCAGAAGATTCCAGGTCTGGTGAGGGCTTGCTCTCAGCCTCATAGAGGGAAACTTCTTGCTGAATCTTCATATGTCAGGAGGTGAAAAAAGGGACAAACTTGCTACCTCAAATACTTTTATAAGGGCACTAATCTCATTCATGACGGCAGAGCCCTCATAGCCTAATCACCTTCCAAAGGCAATACTTCTTAGTACCATCACCTTGGGGTTTAAGTTCCAACATGTAAATTTTGAAGGGACATATACATTCAAACCATAGCATATGGCACCCTCTCAGATCATTGATTTTTGTCTCATCCCCCTGCTGACTCTTAGGCAACATGGTTGATTTATTGGCAGAATAGAAAGACTGCAGGGGTTTTTAGATCGGGGGTCATTCCTAATCTCAGGTAACTCTGCAACTGCTGCTAATATCTGGAACCAGGAGGTATCTCAAATGATATATCATCTAATTTATATATTGAAGATGGCTGGGATTAAAGAATTCCTTAGTATGCAGCCCAATACCACAAGCCTATTGTGAAATAGGTGATCCTTCTTGACCTTTTTTGGTGTAGATGCCCTCACCATCCACCAAAGCCCAGTTCATTAAAGCTTGGGCAACTCTTCTGCTTAGAACCCTTCAGTGGTTCTCCAAAACATCCAGATTAAAGTGCAAGTTGATTAATATTGAAAACAAGACTCCCACATCATCTTTTCTCATCCCACCTACGTATTCAGCTTAATCTTTCAACACTTCTGTTGCTGCTGCTGGTGCTAATAATGATGATAATTCTGATGATAACAGCTAATGTTTTACTGAGTGTTTTCTGTATACTAGACACATGTATTTTGTATTTGAATCTTCACAAAACCCCTATAAGGCAGGTACTTTTGTTATGCCCATTTTACAAATGGATAAATCAAGCTTCAAACAAGTTATGTAACATGATGTCACAAGGCTATTGAGAGAACTAGGAATGTTTGACTAAAAAATCCATGTTCTTAACCACTATTCCAGTGCTCCTCAAATATTGTGCACAGTAATCCCATTGACTGCTTTTAGAAAAACATGATTTTCAGACCTCACTCAAGAGATTTGGATTCAGTAGATCAAGATTTAGGGCCAAGTAATATGTGCATTTACTTAGCACCTCCAGGTGATTCTGATGTATTACCGCCGACCATTTGAGAAGTACTATTCTGTACCAATGCCTCTCAAATTTTAATATCTGTATGAATCAAATCACTTGGTGACCTTATTATCCTGCTGATGCTGAATCAATAGAATTAGGGTAGGGCCTGATTTTCTGCATTTCTAACAAGCTTCCATCCAGGAGGATGCAAATATTATTGGTCCACAGATTACACTTGAGATAGAAGTCCTATACTACATGCCTTAGTGATAAAATGCGAGTTTAGCATAAGAATGAGGTATATTTCAGTTAAGTAGTGTGTTATACAAATAGATATATCCCTAAAAAACTCAGACACAAATCTTTTCTGTCACTTGAATTCCATTTTCACATTGACTTTCAGGATCATTTCAGAGTTACTACCATTATTTATTTTTAGTAGATCTCTAGTAGCCTACCACTTCAACTTTGTCAGTCAAGTACTTAGTAAGTGATGACCTCTTAAGCAAACACTCAAGTACCCTAGAAGAGCTTACTAGAAACAGAAAGCCTGTCATGAGTCCTCTAATAAAGTGGATATTCTTTTTGTTATATAAATACGAAATTTGAAAAGAGGAAAAGCAAATGTTAGATTTCTAGATCTGAAAAGGACCGGAGAAACAATTTCATTCAAACTGAATTTTACAGGTAAGAAAAGGCAGGCAAGAATGGGAAGGTAGTGTAACTAAATTTACACAGGGGATTAGTGGCAGAGCTGGAACTCAAATTCTAGTCTTGTTGGAGTTTTTATTTATTTGTTCTTGTTGGTTGGTTGGTTGGTTGTGTTTTGAAAGCATATCCTTAATTCCATCTTAGCTTCAGTGTTGGAGATCTGTACTTCTAAGCTGTATTTAAGGGGAAAGGGCAACAATTACAGCTGTTTTTCCTAAGTAAATAGGACTCTACATCGGGGTTAGCAAACTTTTTATTTTCTGTAAAAGGCCAGATAGTAAACAGTTTAGACCTTGTGAGCCATAAGGTCTTTGTCACAAGTGCTCAATTGCTGTCATAGTATAGAAACAGCCATATATAATTATATATAACATATTAATATATAAACAAATGAGGGTGGTTGTGGACACTGAATTTAGAATTTCATATAATTTTTACATCATGAAATATTATTATTTTCACTTTTTAAAAACCATTTCAACCTGTAAATATTTTTTTTTTTTTGCTCATAGGCCAATACAGAAACAGGCAGCATACTGGATTTGGCTCAATGGCCATAATTTGCTGACACCTCCTGTAAATTAGTTTAGTTCTTCCAAACGCTAATATAATTTATCCTCAAGTTGAGCAGGTAGTTCTTGAACATTACATAGAAAACAAGTTAGCTATTCAAAGTTCACTGGTAGGATTAGTGGCATTGCATGAATTTTGTTTACTGGAAAAATGTAACAGTCAGAAAGAGATACACATTAGCTTATGAGTGGGGATATCTGCTTTGCTGAATTATTTCTAATCTCCAGAGAGGAAAAGTAAAGCCCAAGGCGTAGGCATACCATAAAACAATTTGTTTCATGATAGCCATAGTAGTCTTTTTGACTAAAAGGGCATTGAAATTCTTTTAAAGACTTCTGTGAATTGGCTGCCATGCTCTGTGTTACTCTCTGGTGGGTATAGGAAATTTGCTGAAGTCTTAATATGTCCTATTCCTTTAATTCGTGGCAGGGAGGCAGGAAAATGAAAATAGTTTGAAAGCAACTGAAGTATAGATGGCACTTGGTCAAATACCAAAGGTTTCAATGAAAGTCGTCTTGGTTCATTGTCAGATCATCCCAAAGAATCAAGAAAAAAAAAAAAGAAAAAGAAAATGTCATATTAGCATAGTTGTTTTGCAAATGTCGGCTTTAACAATGCTCAGGTTACAAAGTTGATGCTCTACCACATATTTATTTATTTTAATTTAAAAAAAACACAGTTGGAAATTCAACCAGAATGTTGTCAAATGCATTGAGCCTTTTAAAGTTTTATTGAAAATGGTGGTTAAGCTGCTTCCTCTCAAAAAGTTCATTTAAGATAATTTCGCCATTTAAAAGGAGGTGAGGATCCTTATAATAATAATAGTGATCAAACTTTGAATGCAGAGTTCTTTCAAAAAATAGATTTTCAGGGGAAAAAAAACACAAGAACAAATTTAACCATTCCAGTATGATAGTTTCACAGACTGCCCAGCTTTTGGATAACCACCTGCAACAGAAAGATAGCTAAGAAAAGAGGACAATGTGCCTGGATGGTTTCCCACTCTATTTCCTTTCCAAAACAAATGAGTTCCCTTATATAAAGTTATCCTATAAGAGAACCAAGGAAAGTATTCTTGTTAGGGATGTATATGAAAGAAATAATTAAAATCTGAGTCTATTTACCAGAAGAGATTATGTTGTTTCTTCTATTCTTTATATTGTGATTAAAGTAGAGAGAAGACATTTTTGGGCAAACTTACTAGGGGGAGAAGTGCACAATTTGAAGTTTCTTGGTTTCTCAAAGATGGAACTTAATTGAAATCAATATGAGAAAAAGCAAAAAATAGAAAGTGCTGTTCTGAACAGAAGAAACTTGAATTAGCTAAAAGTGTGATATGTGTAGCGTTCCTTGCAGTGTTGAAATGTATTCAATAAAAATGTTTCTATGAAGTAACATCACTTTCCCTATTTCACTGGCAACAGTTGAGATTCGGAATCACCACCGTTGTTTCTTTTATAGCATCCACTGGTAAATCTGATGATATCTATAACTGTCTAAAAATTATACCAAAATGTTGAAGTGGAGATGATAGATTTCATTTTTCTCAGTTAACACATTATGAGAAATATTCTGTGTAAATATAACCTCTGAATCAAATTCTTTTTTCTGTACTGATTTTCATAATTTTAGAGAGATATGTAACATTATTTTTATTGATTTTTAATAGACTATGGTTGATAGCACCTTAGCATTGTTTCTTTTCCCTCTTCATTTCTAATTTTTGTCAAATGGCACATTATAAGCAGATAAATGTACTTGCAACTTAAGGAAATTCAACTTTAATATTTTCTGTATGGTAAAAATAATTTTTATATAAATAACTGCTTCAATTTATCTCTTCTTAATTTTAGCATTTAAGTAATGCATCTGATGTGTGTGTGTGCACACATGCACACACCCCAAATGTCTTTCAAATGAATTTGCTCACAGAACCAACAATAACAATAATTACAAATATTATAATATTTTTGTTTTAGTTCAGGCTGCTATAACAAAATACTTTAGACTGGGTAATTACTAAACAACAGAAATTTATTGCTTATACTTCTGGAGGTTGGGAAGTCCAAGGTCAAGGCACCAGCAGATTTGGTGTCTGGTGAGGACCTGTTCCTCATATATGGGGACTTCTATGTGTCCTTGCCTGGCAGGAGGGGCAAACTCCCTCAGGCCTCTTGTATATGGTAACTAATCTCATTCATGAAGAATTTACCCTCATGACCTAATCACCTCCCAAAGACTCCACCTCTTAACACCATCTACTTTAGGGATTAGGTTTCAACATATGAATTTTGAGGGGACACCCGTAGTCGGACCATAGCATTTTTATAGTATACCATCACAGAAAGACCTGCAGGTATTTTCTTATCAGAAAATAAGACATTCTATCACTTTTCTATTTTAGTAAGATACATTATAGCTTTGTGTTTGTAAAATTGTCTTTCTAATCTCAGACTGCATTTTATTTCCATTTGCTGTTTGACCTCTTCAGCTTTTGTGATTTCTGATGCCACAGACTGCTTTTATTAACTTTAAACATTTACTTGTGATGCCAGAACAATTCAAAATTGATTTAGTCATATTAGCTAATTATCTGATCAATTCAGTGAGCAAATTCAATTCAACCTCTTTTTTGATAGAATTAGCCAATGGCTTAAATGAAATTTCTTATCAAATAAATAAAAGTTGTAGAACCAGTAGTCATGTAGACACAGCCATACTATGAGCTTTCTTCCTTACCCCATGTTATTGAACTATTGTAATATGTTGCACATTCATTCATTCAACAAATATTTACTCATTGCCAATTATGAGTTGAGCACTGTGCTAAGTTCTACAGATATAGTAAGTATCTCTCTCTTTAGTATGTTTACACACAGAATTATTCAAGAGTAGTCACTTAGTTTTTCCTACTCTATCAACATTGTGGTTTTAATAGCCATGTAGGGTTCATTTAGTTCAGGTACTTAATACTACTGTCTACAGGAGCCAGATATCTGAGGGTGAGGAGAGACTTTATGAACAATAAAAAGTAGATGATTATGGAGGCCCAAACTCTATAATAAGGACTATATACAGTTTACAAAGTCTATACAATGAATTCTAATATCAGCTTCCATTTGTTCTTCAGAAAGGAGCTAGTACTAGTCCTGGCCAATTATGGATCTTCTTGTGTGTGCCTTATGTTTGTACCTAATCTCAGAGTCTGATCTCTACCTTTTTCTTTTCTTGTAAGATCCTTCATTCTATAACTTAATCGTTGGCCCATAACTCCAGAAATTACTGTGAAATTGCTGTATTCCTGCATCTCCAACTAGAGTTTGCTATCTCTGTGGTCTCACTACATGGATCAAAGTTGTTCTGACGGTGATAACCAAGATGACAAAGGAGTGCTACTTTGGAAAAGCCATATCTTACTTGGATTCAGAGCTACAAAAAAAAAAAAAAAAGATGCCCACTTGCAACATTGCTATTTGTCCATCCCATTTTCTGAGTAATACACTTAAACATATTCAGGTAATAGTAGTTACTATTTAATATATTTAATATGTATGCATTGCCAAACCTTGTGGAATATACTAGCATGAGAAATCTCATCCTCATCCTTTTACTTCACTTGTTCTCTAACTATTGTAGTGGGTGACTGGTGGTTCAGTAGTTAGAGCAGCCATTAAATGATCTGGTGTGTTTATAAGATTCTCCCACAAAAACTTGTAACTATTATTTAGTTTCAATTTTTCAAAGGCTGACCAAACATCAAAATTAGTTGGCTGTTTATCTAGATTAAAATAAAAGGAGAATGTCAAAAGCAAATCTTTATGCCATTCAAGCATTTCATTATCCATTTGCAGGCTGCATGATAGGGAAAGCTTCATTTTGCAATAGCATAATACAGATAATTGCTAATGAAATATATTTGACACTACTAATATATGATGGTAGAATGAGACTGGAGAATTAAAATGTAAGGTCCTTGAGAATGTGAGCTGTATCTTAAATCATATTTTCCAACCCTAGTAACTGCACAGTGATGGGCACATAAATGCTCAAAAATTATTACGTGATTCAAAAATACCAAAATAATTATGTTGATAATTGGATCCTGCTCTAGCTTAGGGGTTTCATAAGGAAGTTTGAGAAATAGCCACCTTTTATAGTCTTCCACAAGGAGATATGTTATGCAGATGCCCAGATCCCCCAAAGACAACTGCCTTTGCACACTGTGTCAAGTGGGATTTAGGGTTTTGAATTACTGGTTGTCCTTCTGCTCTACTGAAACCTTAAGCAGAGGTTCTAAAAACATAAGCTGTAGATTTGGGACTAACTCTGCATTTTGGCACTTGGGATTACTATCACAGTGAAACATGGGAGAGAAGAGTTCCACAGATGGCCAAGCAGGCAGTATCATTAGCTTTAATGAAATCAGCTCCATGTATGCCCAATAAAGCGTGGGATGAAGACTAATCACAAGCATCAAAGAAGATAGTGTTTTGTGACTTTGTGCATTATCGAATGTATTCAAGTGTTAAAAAGATGACTATTCATTGCACTTGAATATGCGTCTAGGTTAATTTTTTTTTATTGAAAGGAAATTTCATTAGGATAGTGTTTATTCACATTGATCCAGCTGACTTCAGAATATGGTTATATATTTTTCTGCATCCAACTGCTATTATAAGACCCAGGCTTATATTAGATTTTCTCTGGTATTAATTTTGCTTACTTTGACCTTTATTTCCTGTTCCACCTGAACCCTCCTTTCTGGACAGTTGCGAAAGGATGCCATAAATATCCTCCACAAAGGCACGTGTAAATGTGATCATATTTTCGTGAGTCTTTGCTATGTGCAGTGCACAAATGCTATGAAATAAATGAGCACTTGGATGACTATAGTGAGTCACACCATTAAGAGGGTGTGCTCAAGTATAGTGTTTGTTGATATGCACAAATTAATTCTAAAGAGTGTTATCATAATTTGCTCATGGTATATGTATTCAGATTCTTTGGAAGAACTGAAGCCATCATTAGAAAATTACAGTATTATCTCAATATTTTAGTTGACAGGAGGTTGTAACAACAAACTTTCCCATTGTCTTCTAACTCCTCTTCATTGTATCACTGACTTTGTGTACTGCATAGCAAGAGATAAGAGGAGCAGGAATAGAGAATGGGTAGGACTAATGTGAGGAAATTTTCTGGAGAAGTCCATTTCAATGTTAGCTTGTAAAATGAGAAAGATATGTGTAAGGAGGCAGTAGAACCAAATTAAAATGCCCTGCTACATTCTTTTATGCCTTGGCATGAAGAGATCTTGGGCAGAGATAAAGCTATACAAATTCATATGGATAAAGTCATTTCCCTATCAGAAGCCACCCCATGCCCTGCCAAGTAAGCCAAGTTAGGAATGTGGTATCTGAGTCATTGTGTGCTTTCTGATGGGAGAATGAAGACTTATGAGAAGAGAATCTTGATGAAAGGAGAGGGCAGAATACCAGATGTCCTAAGGCAGGTAGAGAGAGTAGACAGCACTGTAAGAGGATGGCCTGTCTTTCCACATATAAAGTTGTGTTGTCCAATGTAATAGCTACTAACTACAGGTGGCTATTTAAATTTAAATAAGCTAAAATTAAATTCAATTAAAAATTCACTTCCTTAGTCTCAGTAGTCACATCTAACATGCTCAATAATTGCATGTGGCTAACTGCTGCTGTATTAGCACAGATGTAGAACATTTCTACCATCACAGAAATTTCCCTTGGACAACTCTGTTCTAGAGCAATGAGCAGAAATAACTATTTGACACACTGGGGGCTGGGAGGTCTCTAGAGAGCTATGAGTGCTGACATAACCAGAAAACTATTTTTTGGTGAATAAGTGGGAACACCAATGGTATCAAAGTGGGAATCAACATCACAAACAGGTATATATTTCACCATCCTGGAAAATAAAAATGCAACTCTGTAATGCTTTCCACTGGAAGAATAAATATGACCATATATTTCAATGAAGGTGATTGAGGGTTTCTTCTTCATTTTTTAAAAATTTGTGTTGATTTGGTCTGATGTTTTTAACTAAAGACACCTAAATGACTTAATTGTTAAACTGTCATCTATTTTAGTCTCATTTCCTATGTGAAACTAGTTGTCATACTCCCCTCAAAATATAATCTAGGCCAGGTGTGGTGGTTCACACCTATAATCTCAACAACTTGGGAGGCCAACATGGGAGGATTGCTTGAGCCCAGGAGTTCTAGACCAGCCTGAGCAACATAGTGGGACCTCGTCTGTACAAACACAATAAAAAATAAAAATTAGTCAGGCATGGTGGCATGTGCCTATAGTCCCAGCTACTCGGGAGGCTGAGGTGAGAGGATCACTTGAGCCCAGGAGATCAAGGCTGCAATGAGCCATGATTGTGCCACTGCACTCCAGCCTGGGTGACCGAGTGAGATCCTGTCTCAAAAAATATGTATATATAATTTATTCATAGGCAAGGATTGTGATACAGTTGTTCCCAGTAAGTCCTTATTGAATTAAAAGGAAGCTGCCTGCCTATGCTTGGTCAGATGACAGCCACTAGTATTAAGTCTCCCTTTGCACCATTCCTGGCTACCTCAACTGATCAGGAAGAAAATCCATTTATTTCAAATAAATTTGAAAATATTATATTTGCTTGAACAAATTTGTTTCAAATGCTGCCTTACAGGAATTAAGGCATTCATTTATTTTTTCAGTCTTTTATTCAATAATGGAGCACCTTTCATCTTTGAGGCACTATCAGCAGGCCTTGTGGACTTTATGAGGTTAAATTAGTCACTCTTTGCCCTGAAGGTATTTATAATCCAATGACATATAATTACCAAAAAAAAAAAAAAAAAAAAGCAGAAAATGAAAAATCACCAAAAAGAGAGGTAAAGGCAAGGTGTTATAAGAAATTAGAGGAAGAAAGAACTCCTTTGGGGTTGGGAAACTGGAAGGAGAGCTGCTATTGAGTACCTACTATATACCAGGTTTTTAGCCTATGTAATTCCACTGTTATGCCTCCCCATGTTCAAAAGGTTCATTCTGTTATTGAAATCATCCATTTTTAGTAGTAGCTAAATATGAATATTCTTAGAGTCCAGTGGGTAGTGGATAGCATTTCTTGACTTTGTAACTTGCAGAAAGTCAGCCTCAAATCAGCATTTGGGAGTACCTTACCTCTTCCCCTTTCCACCTCTCTGCTGTCTTCCTAGAGTTCTGGCTCCATCATGCTAGTGGCCTATATGGTGGAAGCCTGTGAGACTATCATTCCTGGATCCATGCTGGTTCTTTCAGACTTCCACAGAGATAAGGTTACATGCCTTTAGATTCATGATAATGAGGCATCTATAAAGAGAAATAAATCTCTCTCATACTAATGGTGATAATTTATTGTGTAAAACTTTGCCTTGGGGTGCTAAAAAGAACGTTTACCATACATAAGGGGTAAGATTGGAAAGGAACTATAGAGCACAGCACTTCCGCCTGCTCCTTCTCCCAGCATTCACATGTATTATCTCATCTAATCAGAAAGATTTTATGGAAGACATTGAGGAATGTAGATATTGAATATGGTAAGACACTGTGTGTAAAAGGACAAATTCAAGTGCCAAGTTTGTTGTTGTTGTCACTGCTTGTTTGTTTTTTTGTTATTCAATCAAGCATATTACACAGAATAAATCATATATAGATTAATTCTGAACAGTGAGTCATTGAGTTTGAAAAAGGGGGGAGAATGTGGAAGGGATCAATGGGACATAATGCTGCAGAAGTTGGTAGGAAGTTGGCTAGGTTGAAGAGGGTCTGAAATGCCAACTAAGTGGCTTTTCTTAGTTTGGGATGCTAAAGCAAAGTACCAGAGACTGAGTGGCTTCTAAACAATAGAAATTTATTTCTCACAGTTCTGGACACTGGCAGCCAGAGATCAGGGTGCCAACATGGTAAGGTTCTGATGAGGGCTGTATTCCAGGTTGCAAATTGCTGGCTTCTCCTTGTGTCCTCACATGTTGGAAAGAGAGCTAGCGCTCATGTCTCTTTTCATAAGGGCACTAATCCCATTCATGAGGGCTCTACCCTCATGACCTAGCCATCTTCCAAAGACCTGACTTCCAACTACTACCAAATTGGGATTAGATGTTCAACATATGAATTTTTAAGGGACACATCCAGTCCATTAGAGGTTGGAAATTATTCCATAGAAAACAAGTAGCCAAACCGTCATTGAATGCGACTCCAGCTTTTTAAACATGATGCATATTGCTTGTTCTCCCTTTTTATGAACTAAACTCACATTCACACAGACAGATGTCATCTAACACAGTGGGAGAGGAGGATGTGTGGTAGAGCTGCCTACTTGGTTCATTCAGTTACCATCAGGCATCGAATGGTTCACATATGCTAAGGGGAGGAGAGAGAAACAAAAGAAATAAAATTGATGACCTCCGACCTGAGGAAGTTTATAGTTCAATTAAAGAATAGGTTGTGGCTACATTTAACATGAGTGAAAAACACTGTAGCAGAAAATGTTATTGAATACTCCATAGTCATTCTCCTTTTACCTTCCTATTAGAACTCCAATTTTGTTGTTGGCAGCAACCTGCCTTCTCAGATTTGCTTACACCTAAGGTGGCTGTGTAACAGACTTCTGCCCAATGACATATGCTGAGATTAGGCACTACCTCTTCCGGCTTTCCTTCTTTTCTTGACTAGAATGCAGACATTAGGCTGGAAGTGGAACAACCAGCCTGGGACCATGAAGTGACAAGTACAAAGTTGGCAATCAAATGCCAAAGATAGAATAAAAGGATATAATGAACCTGGAACGTGAATGGCATTCTGGCACAAAGCAGCCCTGGTCTGTTTACTTCTGGCTTTTTTGTTATGTGAGATGAAAAAATCATCCATTTGCATCAGCCGCTGAGATTACATTTTCTGTTACTACTCAAAGCCAAATGCAAACCAGTTGATACAATACTCATGGAATAGCCAATCCCAGAGTGCAAATGAATATGCAAATGCAAAGACCCTAAGGAGAGTTTATGGAAAAATTTTTCAGCTAGGTGTTTGAAGGATTAAATGAATAATTTCAGATGTTCAATAGCAAATGCTAATGCAGGGTTGTAATATAAAATTATGTTCATGAGACGAAAGCATTTAAAGGAAACCAATTGTGAAATAAATTAGTATTAGGGGTATGAGAAATGGATGTGGATATGTAGAGGTGAAGAGGTGCCAGTGGTGGGGAGGAGCATCAGAAATCATGGGGCCCAAACAGCAACTAGAAAAGCTTCCAACCTCGTTATCCCAAAAAGAGGTTGCAAGGGAATGACCTGGCCAGAATAGAAGCCCTTGCCCTGATATTCACATCCTTATTTATTCTGATAAATGAATCTATAATGTGTCTCAGGCCAAGCCTAAATGAATGCCATTCTTTTTCATTAGTAAGTTATTTAAAATCAATGTTTTCGTTAAAAGAAGCTTTCAGATGTTACTAATTTAAATCTCATTAACTGCTTACTTTATTTTCCAGAGTTCAATCTAAGCTGCATCTTTCATTTAGATTTTAAGCTATAGGCTATATGTAATTCTACAAAAATGCCCTAGATAGAAAGGAAGGAGTATTTGAAGCCCACAGGTGAACATTAGTTTAGAAAGCTTCAAGCATTGCAAGTCTTTGAATGAGGTTTACCTTTATAGGCTACTTAAGGGATGTCAAGCAGAAATAACTGGTGGTATCATAGCTTACAATGCTGGGGTTGGGGGCTGAGATCTTTTCTCCATCTTAAATTTGCAACTCAAAAAAAATTTGGTTACAATTTTTTATGTGTAGCACTAAAGGCACACTACTGTGTTCCAGAGAAAGGCAACCTCAGATCTCATTTTTGATGCCATGTTTCAGAATATTTAGTTTTAAATAGAGCCCCCAAATGACATTATAAAGGGCATGCAGCTTAAGGCAAGCTGTCATAGAGACTAAAAATTTAATACAGTTTTCCTCTAAAAGTGGTTGGCTACAAGCGTAACAGTGGCACCCTATTATTTTCTTTGCATAAAATTAACATATCACAACCAATAGTTATTTTCAATTATGTGGCATCAAATGAATCTTAAGAGATTGAAATAAGATCCATGGTAGCTTTGGAGGATTTCTGCAATTGACAGTTTGACACAGCATGGCTTCAGATTATGTCAAAACTGACAAAAGCATGTGTAGCCTGCTTAAAAGAATATTTTTTCAATTCTGTCTTGTTGGAAATACTTGCCATGAAGTAATAATAATACCTTTAATATGCAAATGATTATAACTGCATTTATTACACTGTCAAATGGAAACTCAAATACCAGCTCTTTGTTTTACAACCCAGCACATCACACAAAATAAGAGAAATGACTGCTTTCATCATAGAGTTCATAAGTGGAAGAACAAATTCTCTTTTCCCTGAGGTTGCTTTCATTTTCTCTCAGATATGTTCTTTTTCCACAACTCTGAAAAAAAATAAGAATTTAGTTGATCACTGAAGCATTCTGACATTCAGATTTTCTCCTTAGTCTTTATCTCCATCCTGATGATCCTATATGTGTCCAACACTTTTGCGAAGAAAAATTGCACCTTTGAAGGGGACTTTACAGTAAAGTACCCCATATAACTATCTTTATTCTTATCCATTGTTTGATCTTACTGCTCATTTTTAAAAACTTCCCAGGGGTCTCATTTTTTCCTCATCACTTAAACAGGAATAATGTTTTGTGCTGTTCATTTCTCCAGCAACCTCCACTTCATTCACCTTGGCTCATTTCATTAGCCAACAGTCCCTGAAGCACTGCCATCTTCCACTCCTTGCTGGAGAGGCCCTGCCTGGATGCGGTGGTTTTTCCACCATTAGGCACATGCGGTGGGAGGGGTGGAGAAGCAGGGGGAAGTAGTTTCTTCGTATCTTCAGTGAAGATACTTTAAATCTGTGACATTTTTTTTTTTAGCTTTCACATTCTTTTTTTTCTTTTATTATTATTATACTTTAAGTTTTAGGGTACATGCACGTAACATGCAGGTTTGTTACATATGTATACATGTGCCATGTTGGTGTGCTGCACCCATTAACTCGTCATTTAGCATTAGGTATATCTCCTAATGCATCCCTCCCCCCTACCCTCACCCCACAACAGTCCCCAGTGTGTGATGTTCCCCTTCCTGTGTCCATGTGTTCTCATTGTTCAATTCCCACCTATGAGTGACAACATGCGGGGTTTGGCTTTTTGTCCTTGCGATAGTTTGCTGAGAATGATGGTTTCCAGCTTCATCCATGTCCCTACAAAGGACATGAACTCATCATTTTTTATGGCTGCATAGTATTCCATGGTGTATATGTGCCACATTTTCTTAATCCAGTCTATCATTGTTGGACATTTGGGTTGGTTCCAAGTCTTTGCTATTGTGAACAGTGCCACAATAAATTGACAAATGGGGTCTAATTAAACTAAAGAGCTTCTGCACAGCAAAAGAAACTACCATCAGAGTGAACAGACAAGCTACAGAATGGGAGAAAATTTTTGCAACCTACTCATCTGACAAAGGGCTAATATCCAGAATCTACAATGAACACAAACAAATTCACAAGAAAAAAACAAACAACCCCATCAAAAAGTGGGCAAAGGATATGAACAGACACTTCTCAAAAGAAGACATTTATGCAGCCAAAAAACACATGAAAAAATGCTCATCATCACTGGCCATCAGAGAAATGCAAATCAAAACTACAATGAGATAACATCTCACACCAGTTAGAATGGCGATCATTAAAAAGTCAGGAAACAACAGGTGCTGGAGAGGATGTGGAGAAATAGGAACACTTTTACACTGTTGGTGGGACTGTAAACTAGTTCAACCATTGTGGAAGACAGTGTGGCGATTCCTCAAGGATCTAGAACTAGTAATACCATTTGACCCAGCCATCCCATTACTGGGTATATACCCAAAGGATTATAAATCATGCTGCTATAAAGACACATGCACACGTATGTTTATTGCAGCACTATTCACAAATCTGTGACTTTTGAAAGATGCTTCCAGCATATGGGCCTTCTCTATTTTCTCACAGAGACACTTTAATTCAGAACATTAAATACTTAGGTCTCCATCATAGGTGGGAATTGAACAATGAGAACATATGGACACAGGAAGGGGAAAATCACACACAGGGGCCTGTTGTAGGGTGGAGGGAGAGGGGAGGGATAGCATTAGGAGATATACCTAATGTTAAACGACGAGTTAATGGGTGCAGCACACCAACATGGCACATGTATATATATGGAACAAACCTGCATGTTGTGCACATGTACCCTAAAACTTAAAGTATAATAAAACAAAACAAAACAATAAACAAAATAAAAAAAAAATACTTAGGTCTCCTAGTGTACATCCTGTACTCCATAGATTACAGTCAGAGTCTCCTTTCAACAGATGGGTGTGTGTGTGTGTGTGTGTGTGTGTGTGTGTGTGTGTGTGTGTGTGTAGGGGGGTAAATTCATTGTCTTTCCTCTGTTTTTTCACTTCCCCCATTTGCTTCTGCCAATCTTTCCTGTGCTCTTGGCTGATTTCCCTTCTCCCATTGGTGGATCTAGCTACTTACTAACACCAATACTTCATCATTCCCAGTACTTTATTTCTTTGGATTATTCTTTACTATGATTTTTCCTCCCATCTACCTATGGTAGGTAAATGAGCAGACTTACCTTCAATATGGGAAGATTCTGGGCCAAGACATTTTGTTCTTTCTTTTCACTCCGTTGAATCACAGTTCAAACTCGTAGTTAAGATGTAAGTCTTCTGCTTAAACCCTTCAGTGACTCCCTGTTGTTTACATGATAAAAGTGTAGCTCCTTAGCCTGGTAAAGATGTTCAGGACTAGGCCTTAGTAACTATCTTCTGTCTCTGACTATCACTCACCATCTTCTTACTTTGCTTTTTAGTCATGAAGAATTGTTTCTACTTTTCCCATGTAACCCAAGTGATTTGATGCCTCTGTGTCTTTGTTCACAGTGTTTCCTGTATCTGGAATATACTTTTGCTTATTGTTTGGCCAATAATCCATCCCCAAGTCCTGCCTCCCATCCCCAATGCCTGCCAATTTTAGTAGTACATAGTAACTGCTAAAATTGTATTGGTTGAATGATTGAATGAATGAATGTTTTTTGTACATCTCTCAACTTTTCTCAGGGATTCTTTCACTGAGTATATCCACACACCCTCTTCACCAGTCCAAGGAGCTAGTCAGGTACCTCTTCTTGCCCCCAAATCACCCTATATTCCCCGCCATTTATAACACTTACTATAATGCTGTGAGCTTCTCTAAAGGCAAGGACCATATTTTATTCTGCTGTGTCCCCAACACATGAAAGAGGGCCTGGCTGAGGACGGATGTTCAGTAAATGATTTTTGAACTTAAATGTTTCTTGAACCTATTTCCTATTTTGGTGAATAAGAATCAGCAAATCCCTTGTCAAGTAAAACCTAATTTCTGCTTTTCTAACACCAAACCAGTCTCCTGAAGCCAGAAGATCTCTTAAGTCCTTTGAATAGTGACCACTATTTTAGATATTAAACTGAAATAGAGCATGTAAAATTTCATTATGAACCGTACAGTGTTATACTGATGAGTTGCATTATTATCTGTTTTGTACATGTCAAATGAAACTTCTCAGACCACTTCCAATTAAGGCTGGGGCCCTGTACTTTCCTACTTCTTCCTTCCCCTGTTTCCTGTAGTCCCTAAAAACCCTAGAATTCCCCTGCAATCGGTAGTTGAGTACACAGAAGGAGGCAGGTTGGTTAAGAACTGTCAGAGTTGAGATTATTTACTAAGAATAGCATTAGCAGGGGTCTAACTTTATTAGATTCAAAATTGCCCAGCTGCTAAGGTGGCCCTGCAGACTCAAAGTAACACTTAACAGATTCACCAGATAATCCCAGCATGGCCACTTACTTTTAATCTGCTTTCCAGTCTTTCAGAGAGATAGGAAGTCCCCCTCTATGTCCCTGTGGATGTCGAATCATTTATTTGGGGGGCCTAGGTTTACTACAGTGATCCAGCCTGCACTAATGTCAGAATCCTCTCCTTTGCTACTAAAACTATATAGTACCTCTCACTCATATCCTAAAAAATCCAATCTCGGCTGTGAATGACATTAACCCTGTTCTACCCTGCTATGGTTTGAACGTTTGTGTCCCCTCCAAAATCATATGTTGAAATCCTAACCCCCAATGTGATAGTATTAAAAGGTGGGGACTTTGGGAAGTTATTAGATCAAAAGGGTGGAGCCCTCATGAATGAGGCAAGTGCCCTCATAAAAGAGGCCTCAGGGAGCTTCTTTGTCCCTTCTGTTACATGAAGACACAGTGAGAAGGCACCATCTATGAAGCAGAAAGCCCTCACCAGACACAAAATCTGCTGGTGCCTTGATCTTGGACTTCCCAGCCTCCAGAACTATGAGAATTAAATTTCTATTGTTTATAAGCCACTAAAATTTTTTGTCATAGCAGCTTGAATGGATTAAGACCTGCCCCTTCCTGCAAACTAAATATATCCTACTCTGCTTTCTAGGATTGTCCAGGGGGTTCTATTCCCATTCCTACTGACCTTATGCCATATTCTTCTGGCTCTAAATTTGCATTCTAGACCTTCCCAGGGCCTTGCCTTCTTATTCCTGTTGGCCAAAGAAAGTCTTAGAAAATTTCAGAAAGCATCTTATAGCCCTGGTTTATAAGAGGGTAGAAAAAGGTTTTCAGCCCTACTCATTCCTTCTACCTGAGTAGCCTAGAGTTTACCAAATTTTCTTATATGGCTAATATAAATATTTGTATCTTATACTAAAGAAACTACCCTTTCTGGCTTTCTAGTAACTTAATTTTTTAAAAAATATAGCGACTTTATTGAGATATAATCCACATACCATGCAGTTCTGCCATTTAAAGTGTACACTTCAGTGATCTTTAGTATATTCACAGAGTTATCTTACCAAACCAAATTTGCATCTGTCCCCCTGGTGCAGCAAAACCAAACAGTGACATTGGGATTTGCAGTGAGAAAAAATGAGACATTTATTGCAGGAGACCAAACAAGGAGAATTAGACAGCTAATGCTTAAGACCTGAGCTTACCTGAAAACAGGTAAGGGTTTTTAAAGGTTGGGAGGCAGAAGTTATAGGCAAAGTCATAAATCATTACATAGAAGCTACATTGGTTTGGCGTAAAAAGGCAGGACATCTTGAAGAAGGGTATTATAGGTCATAGATTTTGGATTTAAAGGTTTTCTGATTTGTGATTGGTTGAGTAGGCAAAGTTTTGTCTAAAATCTTGGGGTCAGCAGAAAGAAATGTTGAGCTCTGGCATATGGGTGTGACTTTCTCCAGGCCCCTCAGGAAGACATTTAGAACAAAGAAGGGATGTCAGGGTTTAGTCCTCAGTTTCCCCAGAGCTGAAGTCTGTGTGCCAGTGGATGGCATTTTCCATTTGATGGGGGTCTGGGTTTCTGAAAAACAACTCAGAGACATAGTTAACATGTTATCTTTAGTTTCTATAGGAAACCAAACATTCTGTCACTCTAACTTCCTTGGCTATTATTTTAAGCTATTATTACCTTCTCACTTATCAGGCTGCTCATTTACTTCTCAGGGTTAGCTCGGTGACTAGAATTTCCCTTGAAGGTACAGAGATTTTCCTTTATTTCCATGCATGAGGGGAGGACAAGAAGAACCTAAGAGGGGTCCCTGCTTGTCTCAGTTGTGTAATCATTACCACAATCAATTTAGGAACATTTTCATCATGCCCAAAAGAAACCCAGGCCTATATTAACAGTCATCACCCATTTCCTCTCAACACCCCTCCAATCTCCTGGCAACCATGAATCTACTTTCTCTTTCTATGCCTGTTCTGGATATTTCATATACATGGAATCATATATGTGGACTTTTGTGCCTTCTTTCACTTAGCATAATATTTTCAAGTTTCATCCATGTTGTAGCATGTATCAAAACTTCATTCCTTTTTATGGCTGATAATATTCCATTGTATGTATATGCATATTTATATCATGTTTTGTTTATCCATTCATCTGTTTATGGACATCTACATTGGTTCAACTTCTTGACTATTATGAATAATGCCATTATGAATATTCATGTACAAGTTTTTATATAGACATATGATTTTATTTCTTTTTTGTATATACCTAGAACGAGAATTGCTAATTTACTTCTAAAATTAAGACCCGAGACTGCTATAGAAAACAAACATCTACTATGTTCTCTAATGGGGGTGGAGGGAGGAAAGCTTTGCCATTCCCACCTTGTAAATCAGTAGGGTAAACAAACCTAATTATTAAAAAGAGTTGCTCTTTTCCTGTCTTTAGAGTAATCAAAGCAGAGCATTATTGGTACACAAGCCCCACGTCAGGAGGTAATTGTTTTATTTTTTGTGTTTATCAAAAGTCAATGATATATTGACATTTGCATTACTAGTCATCCTGTTTCAAAGTGAGTGATGAAACACTCTTCTCCTAGGAAGCTATTTTTTTTTCTCCATATATGGACAGAGCTAATTAACAAATGGACCTATGGCCACCTCCATGCTGTGACACATATTCTATATTCTCAGGAGCCTGTGCATATTACAATTCTGGTGGTAAGTGTAATGTCGTAACTTTCATTTTATACCTGAAGAGCAGTGGTTGGTTGACAGCATACAAAGGAACATATGTGAAAATGTACTTTACTAGTTGGATTTTGTGAATAGTATGTTATGAATTTGTCATGTAGTAGATTTCATGAAACCTGTATGTTTTAAAAAAATTTCCAGCATTTTATTGATATTTAGAAAATCTGTTTTGGTGCCAAGAAATAGAAGTGCAATCTCTTACAGGCAGGTGCAAGGGTGAGGAATATAGTGATTTATAGTTTCTCCTTAAAGAGGGTTTCTGAGTTGCCATTTCACATCCATTCATGGATTTAAAATTGTTTTTCTGAATCTTAGGCATTTTTAAAAGGAAATCTCCTTGAATAGCAAGAAAATTATCATAGGTCTTGCTATTATCTCAATATTTGTGTCCCCCTAAAATTCATATGTTGAAGCCTAATCCTCAAAGTATTGGAATTAAGAGTTGAGGCCTTTGGGAGATGATTAGGTCATGACAGCTCTTTTATAAGGATTAGTACCCTAATAAAAGAAGCTCAAAGAATCTTGTTCATCCTGTCTACCATTTGAAGACACAGCAAGAATGTGCCATCTTGAAAGAAGAGAGCAGCCCTCAGCAGACACTGAATCTACCAGCACCTTGATCTTGGACTTCCCAGCCCCCAGAACTGTGAGAAATAATTTTCTGTTGTTTATAAATTACCCAGCCTGTGGTATTTTGTTATAGCAGCACAAATGCACTGACAGAGGTCACCAGATGCACATGTTCTTTGGCTCTGTATACAAGGCTTTTAAAAACAACAAAAATTAGCTGCTCCTGTAGTACGATGCTCTTATCTTTGGTTTCTTTATGGGAGAGGATCTATGGAATCTTTTTAAATGCCAACATGAATTTAAGGTATATCTATATGTATGATCCCCTTGGACTGAAATTTCACTTGAGTAACCTGAGGACCTAGAAAGAGTAACATAATAAAAGCCCTTAAATGAAAGTTCTACAAAATCTATAAAAAATAGCGAGAATAGAGGAAATTGAGCAGCAGACTTAACATCTAGTTCAAGTCCTAGTCTGCTGCTTATTAGGTATATGACAATGAATATGTTGCTTAACTATTCTTTGCCTTAGTTTCATCATCTGTAAGTAGGGGTAGTAATAATAGTACCTACCTCATGATGTTGTGGAGATCAAATGAGAACATGTATATTAAGGCGGTATACAAATGGTAAAACATGGCCAGGTGTGGTGGCTCATGCCTATAATTCCAGCACTTTGGGAGGGCGAGGTGGGTGGATCACCTGAGGTCAGGAGTTCAAGACCAGCCTGGCCAACATGGCGAAACCCCATCTCAACTGAAAAATACAAAAATTAGCAGGGTGTGTTAACAGGCATCTGTAATCCCAGCTACTTGGGAGGCTGAGGCAGGGAGAATTGCTTGAACCTGGGAGGCGGAGATTGCAATGAGCCAAGATCATGCCACTGCACTCCAGCCTGGGTGACAGAGCGAGACTCCATCTCAAAAATAAATAAATAAATAAATAAATAAATAATACAAATATGTGTTTACATAATTATTTTAAAATTGATTTATATTTTAATAATCATAAGAAAGCAAGGTCCTATGGTATGTGGATTGAGGTATAGGGGCAGCCTGGATTTACATGAATTTAAATTTTCGTCAGTTAACACAAGTTCCTTTCAAAATTTAGGCTTTTGTTTCCCTTTACTTCTTCACAGTAACATATATGAGATGAAGACACTCATGTATCAGATTAGTTCAACATCAATATAGAATCATCAGCCAAGCAGGGACATGACATCAAAACAAACTAAACACTAGTTAATGAAGAACTAGAGCATGCAAATACTATTATCAAAAGACACACTGTGTCATCAGGACTTGATTTTGGTTATTCTCTTTGGTACTGGGTCAGAGTTCAACCTTTAATTTTGGTCTGCCAGTGAGGTGGAGTGATAGCAAAGCGGAGCAACCTCTACTTTCAAGGTCCTGAGGTACAAGCCTAGTTTCAGCTACATCTGTTTCCACTAGGCCCATTGAGGGTTAAAAATCTATCTGTTCAAATATTTCACTGGAGCTAGAAATGGCTTGTTTAAAGGGCCCACAGGTGCCTTTCTTTCTCTATACAGTGCATTCTTTTTGGTGTATCTTTGCTTCTTGGTCTTGTTAAACATCTTCATTCCTTGGTGTAAATGAACAGCTGTCTCAGTAGAAAGGAGATTTGCTGTCTGTTTCAGACTAGACTGGACTGACAGTTCTTAGGCTGCCTCAGCCTTAGGGGAAAGAACTAAGTGATTTGTCTTTCATGGAGGTTAATAAGCACTTCTCTTGTTGGTTGGTTTGTGTATAAACGGCTCAGGCTTTGGCACGCAATCTGTCACGGATCTTAATAAATTACCCTCTGTTTATGCACTTAGAAGTAACACTTGTATTACCAGTATGGCAACCAAATGTTGAAGTAAATCACCACACGTGACAAACAGACCTTAAATCATTTGCCCAACTATTTCCTTGACCTGTCTTGGAATGTGAGGAAATGGAAAAAAAAATCAAGTGATAGGAATGTTTTGCATTTGTGGAGAAATAGAGGAAATCCACTGTAGTTTTAAGGGAAAATATGCATAGCAACTATAAATCCAAGGAGATTGTTTAGGTGTCACTATTTCAAAGTTTGCTATATATTTTCAAGTTGTTAGGAAATATTTCTAAATTGTGTCTACTTCCCTGTCTTGATAAAAAGTTGATCAAAGTTAAATAAATCTTTCTATAATGCTGGGAAATCTCATCGTGTCCCTGAGCATCTTTACTGTACAACTGTGGTGCTTGGTGTCTCTGGACCACTGCTTTGATCATCAGTGAAATATGTCTAGGATCATAGATGGAGATGTAAAAGGTTTAGGAAATTGAGCTGAATTGCGTTGAGCACTTCATTCCTTGGAAGTATTTTTAGTAAAATTACTACCATGATTTTTTTCTATGTGACTTGACATTTTTTTTAAGTGGAACATTCAAAACATGACTTGAGAGTTCTTTTAGTTGTGATCTGGCTGATTAAGATTTTATTCTATTAGAATAATTAGAGAGAAAAAGGGAGGTAGAGAGAGAGAAAGACATAATATTATATTAACCAAAATGGTGTCTACTCTACAGGCACATTTACGATGTAGAAGGTTTTTCTGTTTTTTTTTGTTTTTTCGTTTTTTTGGTTTGTTTGTTTTAGTCTAGAGATTTATCATAGTAGACAGGAGATAATTCAACTAAAAGGAAAACTCCACTTCCTCTATTTTATTGACTATTGAAGTTGGGAGCAAGATGACAAACATAAATAATAAAATTGGGATAGTACCCAGAACCTATGTTGTTTCAACATAGGCTTTCAGTTTTCATTAGAAAGTGGGCAATATGCAAATGCCCATCAATCAACAAGTGGATAAAAAAACTACAGTGTATATATATATATATGTGCTGGAATACTAGTCAGCCATAAAAAGGAATGAAATAATGACATTTGCAGCAATCTGGATGAGATTGGAGACTATTATTCTAAGTGAAGTAATTCAGGAATGGAAAACCAAACATCACATATTTTCACTCATATGTCTGAACTAAGCTATGAGGATACAAAGGCATAAGAATGATACAATGGACTTTGGGGACTTGGGGGAGAGGGTGGGAAGGAGGTGAGGGATAAAAGACTACAAATACAGTGGAGTGTATACTGCCCTGGTGATGGGTACACCAAATTCTCACAAATCACCACCAAAGAACTTACTCATGTAACCAAACACCACCTGTACCCCAATAACCTATGGAAAAATGGAAATAAGTAAACTATGGTATCACTATAAAAAAAGTGGGCAATATGATTACACGAAAAAGTCTTATTCCCAGAAAAAATATTTTTTCAGGTATATACTGCTGAACATGAATGCATACAATTCTTCTTATGAAAGAATTTTCAGGTGGTTGACTCTCTTTCTATTTGTAGTGCACTGAATGTGCTCTATGGCCCATAAAAATAACAAGGAAACTTCTTATTATTTGATACTGCATTATTCTAAGTTGCCTCTGCATAGCAACAACTTCTTCCTTTGTTGTTTGGTAAATTCTCAAATCAAATTAATTGAGACATTTTATGTGCCCTATAATTCATTTAGATCATACATGGTGAGCATTACATGCAAAATCTTCTGACTATCCATATGTAGTTTACATGGGCCTTATTCAAAATCACTTAAAAGTCTAGTCAGAAAACTTTCAAATTCCTGAATATCACGAATCTAATTTAATGAGTTTGAATGTCCCCTATGAAATTCACATTGAGATTTAATTGCCATTTTAACAATATTAAGTGGTGGGACCTGTAAAAGGTGATTAGGCCATGACAGCCCTACCCTCATAGTGGGTATATATAACACCATTATAGTGGGAGTGAGTATGTTATTACCAGAATGTGCTTCTTATAAAAGGATGAGTTTGCCCCTGTTTTGTCTCTCTCATCCTCTGTTTGCTCTTCTGTCATTGGATTGTATGGCAAGAAGGTCCTTGCCAGATACTGGCCCCTTGATCTTGAATTTCCTACTCACCAGAACTGTGAGCCAAAACACTATTGTTCAGTGTAAATTACCAGTCTGTGGTATTCTGTTATGGGTGCACAATCATACTAAGACAATCAGTTGATTGTTTTGTTTATTTAGCTTAAATGCTGACTGCAAGATTTTTTTTTTCTTGAGACAAAGTTTTGCTCTGTTGCCCGCAAATTTGACGTGTGTGTGTTAGTTCTCTTTCAACATATATTAATACCAGATTGACTTTGAATAGTTCTTCCAACTTGGAGTTCTTTTGGGAAAATGAGCAGGTCTCTGTAAAGGACACCTTGTGAACTAGATTATGTGCTAATGGTAAATACCATTTTAACATAGCTAACATTTATTGAACTTGTTTTATATTACAGCCACATGACGTATATAAACTTAATTCTGACAACAACTCAGTGAGGTAGACATTGTTTTCATTACTTCCAATAGATGAGGAAAGTGAATCACAGGGTGGTTAAATAAATTGCTCAAGTTTGCACAGGTTCAAAGTGGCAGACCTGTAATACAGACTCAAGCACTCTGACTTTAGTTTTGTAAAGCAAAAAATATCCGAGACAGATTTTAATCAATTTAAATAGAGGCTTATTTTGCCAAAGTGAAGGACCATGGCCCATGACAGCCTCAGGAGGTCCTGAGAACATGTGTCCAAGGTGGTTGGGTTACAGCTTGGCTTTATACATTTTAGGGAGATGGAACTTATAGGCAAAGACATAAATCAATACATGTAAGGTATACATTGGTTTGTCCCAGAAAGGCATGACATCCCAAAGCAGGGGCTTCCAGGTCATAGGTGGATTCAAAGATCTCCTGATTGGCAATTGGTTGAGAGAATTAAGCTCTGTCTGAAGAGTTGAAGTCAGCTCGAGTGAAGATAAGGGGTGTTGTGGAAGCCAAGGCTTTTGTCATGTATATGAAGCCTCCAGGTAACAGACTTCAGAGAGAATAGATGGTGATTTTCTCTTATGGGACCTTAAAAGGGTGTCAGACTCTCCAAAAATGACCTAGTAAGGGAAAGAGATTCTTTCTCTACAGAATGCATATTTCCCCCACAAGAGACAGCTTCGCAGGGCCATTTCAAAATAGGTCAAAGAAGTATATTTGGGTGTAAAATATTTTGATTTCCTTCAGGGCCTGCTATCTGTCATGTGATGTGATACCAAAGTCAGGTTAGAAATTGGTATCTTATTGCTACAAATATTCTGTTTTATCGGTATTAAGATCTCTGTTTTAATGTTAATGCTGGTCAATTGTGTCTAAACTCCAAAGGGAGGAGGCTATAATGAGGTATGTCTGACCCCACTTCCTGTCATGGCCTGAATTAGTTTTTCAGGTTTCTTTGGGATCCCCTTGGCTAAGAGAGGGATCCCTTCAGTCAGTTGAGGGGCTTAGAATTTTATTTTTGGTTTACAGTATCTACACTTTCAATCACTGAATCATATGACCCAGCAATGCCACCATATGTTATAGTAGAGCACCATTATATCAGAATTGTTGGTTGATCCTCTTGTGCCCTTTAGCCTGTGTCCCATTTTGTCCTCTCCTATCCTTGGTGCCAAACACCTATTTCCTACATTTCCTTACCATCAGGGCATGCTATATCCTGTGCAGATGGCTTTGGTCTTTAATAGTAGCATCTTGATCTCCTAATAGAATCAGAGTTGTCAAGTTTGTTTTGTTTTGTTTTCTCCTTTATTGTGTTTAACTCTCTGTTTGTTACACTCTATTATTTCTTTCTATTGTTCCTGTGTCTCCTCCACTGGATCCTCTTTTCTTGTTCTCCCTTTTATTTTTTTCTTCATTCTTTCTCTTTATAAATGCATTTATAATCATGGCTCCAGTGAATACCTCTGAGCAGCTTTCTCGCCAACCTCTATCACCAGCTGTAATCATTTTTATAAGCTCTTTTCTCTCTAACCATGTACTATATCCTGCCATGAGCTCACTTAGCCTAAAACAAACTTATCACCCTCTTTACCAAACCAGTTTGACACTACCTTTAAAATTTTAATGGCACGATTCAGCCTTAAAACTTCCAACTCATTTGTTATTCAACCTTCTTGTTCCTTTATCTTGTCAATCATCAAGTCCTGTTGATCCTTCTTTGGTAATATATCTCATCCATTAATTCCTTTGTATTCCCAGGGCCTGAATATTTTCCAGGCCTCATTATATCTTGCTTGTAATAGTATAATAATCTAACTAGTCTCCTGGCTTCCATGGTGCTTACCCCCTAGTGTCTTTCCCCATTTCATATCCTCATCATCTGTTCCACTGAGGGTAGAGAGAAGGAATATAACTATAATAAATTAAAGTTAAAATAAGTAGAAATAGAATAGTTTGAAGTCAGAGGAGCAAGCTGTCATTGTTGGTTGAGATAATCAGGGAAAGCTTTAGGAAGGGGATGGAATTTAGAATTTATATAAATAAAGAGGTCTGAGGAGGGCATTTAAGATTGGGGAAAACTGGGTGAACAGAAGCTTGGGATGGAAATGTAAGAAGTTTGGGGATACTTAGTAGGCCTGGCTGAGCTGGACCATTATTGTAGGAAAAATGAGGTTGAAAATATAGTCTGGGCTCTGATTGTAGGGATCCTTGGATACCAGGCAAAGGAATTTAAAATGTATCATGTAGAAAATGGGTAGAGACATGATGAAATTGGCATTTCAGGAAGATGAATCTGGCAGCTGTGTGTAGGGTAGATTAGTGGGAGGAGAGACTACAGAGAGGGGGCCTGGTTAGGAGGTTGTAATAGGGTTCAGATGTGAGTTAATGATGGCTTTGAATAGAACGACAGAACAGAACTGATGAGATGGATGCAGATGTGCAAAGCATTATGGAAGGAAATTTGATAAGGTTTCCTTGAGAGGCTGAATTTGCAGGCAGTTGGGAGAGGAAATGGGAGGGTTGGACTCTGGGTGACCAGGAGAATATGTATCAAAATGTTCCCATCCTTCAAGCTTCAGTGCTTCCTCCTCTAAGAGTACTTGTCCCAACGGAGCACTGTGAGCAAGCCACTTTGACTGTAATAGATGCTCAAATAGAATTAAGGAAAAGCCCACTCCAGCTGGCAGTGACTTTGCATGCTCTAAACTCCTAGACACCTATTGACTCTACTTTTAGTAAGCACTTAGCATACATGATTTCTACTAAACTAGCTTTTAATTTGAGGATGTTTTACCTCTACAGTGAGAGAGATCAGGAGAGTTTTGAGGGCAGAAATCATGCTTTATTCCTTAGATTCCCACCTACCTAGTCCAGTTTTAGACCCATACTAGTTGTTAAAAATATTTTCCTTGATTGTTTCCTTTCATCCTCTTAGGGGGCTTGGATTGATCATCTCACAGGTATACTTTCCTATCCATTATTATGCTGATGAGACTTACAGTTTAAATACATTACCACACCTGAGCCTCAGGTACTTATAGAAACTTTTCATGTCCCATCTTCATAGTCTCTTTTCCTTTTCCAGTGCAGTTTACTGAGTCTGATCACGATCACGTATTTTGTGTTTCAGTAGGTGCTTGTTAATTGTTGGTTTACTTTAAGATTCCTGGCTGTGGTATAAGCTCTGCTACATAGCTAATGCAGCTTTAGTTCCATCTGCATATTTTAGCAACACTACACAAAGTGAATGTATTGGCACAAATGACAGACTTTGTTGGTTTAATTTTGTAAACTGTTTAAAATTTGGTTCATTTCTTTTCATTTGCAAAATATTTTTATTCAAGTGTATTATATAGCTATTCATCTCAGAAGAAATTTGCTATTGCTTGAAAAATACAGTTTGCTTTATGATCCCAATATTATAAAGGTTCAGAGAAAAGAATATCTCTACAAACAAAATATTTATTTGATCTCGAGACCCTTCTCAAATACATTTTATTCGTATCTGATCAGAATTTCTAGAAACATACAATTACACGTTACCTTAAATTGGTAAGATTTAATGTATTTGACAGTAATTCCCATTAAAGGAAACTGTTGCAGGACTCTCTCTCCTATGACTATATTAGAGCCCTGAATTCCAATGCCAGATCTGCCCTTTAATTTCTTTGAGAACTTAGGCAAGGCACTTGGCATTCCTGGGTCTCTTTCTCCCATCTATAAAGCAAGAGTATTGAACAAGATCACAAGATCACCTTCTATGCTAGCATTAATTTTGGTTTCGAGTTAGCAAAAAAAAAAAAAAAAAAGATCTTTCCTTTTTTTAAAAAAAGCATATGCCATGAAAATTTCAAGAACTAAGGGCAGATTATGCCCCAACATACACAGTCCTCATAGAAATTGGAATGGGGGACAGGAAAGCCATCAGGATTGGAGGTTATTTTGTCTCAGGATCTGGCTAACTACAAAGCTCTCTCTCTCTCTCTCCTTTTCCCCACATATCTGCAATATTCTCTTTCTACTGCTGACTTCCTTGTATCTTCAGCTTACATATGGCCCAGAAAAGTTCTATCTTCAAGTCCCCCATGTCCTTCTAACTCAGCCGCTACAATTATCAGGCTCATCCTCTCAATTTTCAATTATAAAATTCAAGAGAGAAAATAATTGACTCAACTCATTTTTTAAAGCCAGATCTTGTAAAACATAGATTGGCTGGTCAGGCTATAGAATGAATGCATTTGTAAGAATTGTTCACAATGGTCCAATTAGTTGTGGCCAGTGGAGGTGGGAGGTTGATTCATTTGGAACTGAAATGAGAGTTAAGGATTGCAAAAGTTATATTCTAGAAAAGCACTTAGACAGATAAACAGGTACTCTGAATTGCACCTAATACATCTTCCATCACTGAAATTCTGTTAATCAAAAAGTATTATTTCTTATTGAATGACAAAAGAGATGGTGCTCTAATGGTTAGGATTTCAGGAATTAGTCAGCAAGTAGGAGAGATTTTAGTTTTGTTATTGTTAAAATATAAATTCCAATGTAAAAGTAAGATATGCTTCCAGCTGTTATTATTTATCTTTAGAATGTATGAGTTTTAGCTTCCTTTTTGAAAAGGTGAGCATTGGATTCATAGAACCAACTTGTTTAAAAAAAGAGTAGAACTATGGGGCACGGAGGAAAAGCTTCATCTACAGTAAGGCTGTTTTTTACATCTTAACCTTAAAAATCTAGGCAAGGACCCACCAGGCGCCGTGGCTCACGCCTGTAATCCCAGCACTCTGGGAGGCTGAGGCGGGCGGATCACGAGGCGGGCGGATCACGAGTTCAGGAGATCGAGACCATCCTGGCTAACACAGTGAAACCCCGTCTCTACTAAAAATACAAAAAAATTACCTGGGTGTGGTGCGGGCGCCTGTAGTCCCAGCTACTCAGGAGGCTAAGGCAGGAGAATGGCGGGTAAACCCAGGAGGCGGAGCTTGCAGTGAGCCGAGATCGCGCCACTGCACGCCAGCCTGGGTGACAGAGCGAGACTCCGTCTCAAAAAAAAAAGAAAAAATCTAGGCAAGGACCTCAATAATGCATCTCAGTCTTCACATGTCCAAAACTGAACTTTTGATTCTTACCTTTCCCTCATCTACTCCTTGTCACTTCTTTTCTTTCCCCACCAAATGGCAATTCCATTCATTTTGGTGCAGACACGAAACCTGAGTTATTTTTTATTTCTCTATTTCTCCAATACCCCACATCCAATTCATCATCCAGTTCTTGAAAATATATTCCAAATTTTATCATCTTTGCCATTGCTACCTTGCTAGTTAAAGCTATCATCATCTTTTACTGGGACTATTGCAATAGTCTGTGTGATGGCTTGTTTTGGGCCACATAATAAAATACGTAAAGTAGATTTTCAGGGGGTGGCTTGAATAGGAAAAGGGAACTCTTTTAGAGAGTCACATAACATATGGGTTCTGGTCCCATTTCTTCTATTAACTAGCTGTGCAAACTGGGGCAAGTCAGTTCACCTCTCTGGAACATGAAGGGGTTTCTAATGGATCTCTTTCTGTCTCGGCATTCCGCACCATACTTGCCCTCATCACCTTGCTTCTGAATTCCCTGCTGTGCTTTCTACTGACCATCTGGAGGGACCCTCTCTTCACAGCATCCAGTGCTCCAGGCTGGTGACTGTGGGAAAGGGAGTTCTACTATTTATGGTGCTCACTGTGTACCAGGCATTATACCAGGTGCTTTATGCACGTTATCTAATTTAAAATTCTCCATAACTATATGAAGTAGGTATTATTTTATTCCCATTTTGGAGATGAATAAATTAAGCTCTAGATGCATTAAACAGCTTACTCAAGTTGTAAAGCTAATAAGAAGTGGATCAGCCTTTTCCAGGCTGTTTGTAAAAGGAATATCATTCTGTTTTCTAGAACTTGGAGCTTCGAGGGAAGTTTTGACTATAAAGGTCAAGAGTGGAGATGAGGAAAATTTCAAGTGCTGATGTTATTCCCATTCAGATTGAGAAGCCAAGCAAACTGGAAATCCTCATCTGTTTCTGAAGATTCCTACAGAAGTCTTTCCCCACCTCCTCTACCACCAAAACAGGAAACAAGGCAGGGAGACAGAAAGAATGGGATAGGAAATGAGATATGAAATAGGATAGGGAATGGCTTGGTTTTTCTGTACCAAATCCCCTATGGGACACTCTTTTTGTATAGAAATGAACTAATGTGCACTAACTTGGTGGAAATGGGATAAGAGGTCCTGAATCTCATAAGTTTCCAAACACATTCTGGAAACACATTGCTTTCCACACAAATTACTGTAATAGATGGGGAATTTTAAGTTCCAAACTGAAACAGTGGAAGAACCATTTGGGGGCAGACATGTAAAGCACTTCAGGCTGACTCCTTCTCTTCACTCCACATAGGTAGCTGTTCACTCTGCTTTCTGCAAGACTTTTCATGCTCTCTGACATTTGGCTTAATCTGATACCAGAGAATAGGTGATTATTTTGTCATCAAAAAAGTAGAAACATTGAATTTGAAGGGAATTTAAAATTCGTGTAGCCCAGGCCTTTTTCCTGAGAGGAAACAGATTACATGGGTTAAGTGACTTGCGGTTACTCAGCTAATAATTAGATACAGCTGACTTAAAGAACCCCCCCCCCCACTCCACCCCATTTTTTTGTGGTTGTTTGTAACAAAAATATTTGCTTTCACAAAGCGTAATCTATTGGGGCCTGACCTAGTGATCCAATCTGAGGCCTGTATGATTTGAACATTTGATAAACACTAGAGCTCAAAGAAAGCCTTCACCAACTTTTGTTGCCTGGATTTCTTTCCCTCAAAAGTTGATGAGAATCCATATAACTGATGAATTTCTTTGCAGTCCGTTTACGGGTGTGTGATTAAATCCCAGGTTTCTCGTGGATGATTCTGAGCTTGCCCATGCTTTAAGGACTCATTGATCCCTGCATTTATTCTACAGCCCAATACAAGCAGATATGGAAATTGTCCTGGCATCCTGGATGCATTCTTCCATGTTATTTTTATTATATTATATGATGAAATTTTGTAAATATGTTTCCTACATCCAGGGATGCCTGCACAATTTAGGGGCACTCAAAAGAAGAATGAGAGAATGGACTTAGAATTATGTGTAATATATATTTTATTGTGCTCATATATTTAGAGGCCTTCCCCATTTCAATTGTGCAAATGCTTGAAAAAGTTTCTCTGGAAAAAAAAATATATTAAAACAGTTTACCCATCTACACTTCATTTCATTCTCCCCAAAACTAATCATCTAGAATTTAAAATAAACCATAAATCTAAGAGAGAATGTAGGGGAGAGGGAAGGAGATAGAAAGAAGAGGGTATTGATTGAGAGGTTGATTGATTTTTATTGTGATTTATCTGAGGTCACCAAAAAGGCATCTAGGTTTCTCATTTTCTCTGCTTTTAAACTGGACAAGTCTACCCATTTAATTCTTCCAAATACAAGGAAGAAAACTAAACAGAATATCTTATTGAAAATTTGCGCTTCTGGTCAAGACATGAAAATATTTGCAATGGTCCATCTGGATTGTAATCTCTAGATAGGTAGACAGTGTTCCTTTGAATTGTGCATGGTGGCAGGGCACATTGGCTCACACTTGTAATCCCAGCACTTTGGAAGGCCAAGGTGGGAGGATTGCTTGAGGCCAGCAGTTTGAGACCAGCCTGGGCAACATAGTAAAACACAATCTCTACAAAAAATAAAAAACAATAAGCTGTGCATGGGAGCATGTGCCTGTGGTCTCAGCTACTCAAGAAGCTGAAGCCGGAGGGTTGCAGTGAGCCATCATTGTGCCACTGCACTCCAACTTGGGCAACAGAATGAGACCCTGTCTCAAATAATAATAATAATAATAATAATAATTGCGTGTGCTTAAAATAACTCACTACTTAAATTGCTAATCTGTTTTAGAAAGTACATCAACAGATTACTGTGTTTTTTTCTCATTCACTTGAATTTAAAATTGGATTTTTGGTAACAAGATATGAGGCAAATGGGTACAACAACTGTACAGTATAAATTGCTCCAGGTGATGGTGCCATAGCAAAATTATTACAGGCAGATTCAAGATACAAAAATTATTTATTTGACAGCAAGCAGAATGACAAATTACTCAGAGGCTGTGTACATGTGCTTCTATAATTGCTCATAAATTATTATGGTTCATGTTAAAATTCAACGAGTTTGCCTAGACCACATGGTTTTATTTTAAATAAGAAAGTGGCAAATTATTAGCAATTGGGAAATGTAATCTGCAGTATAAAATCATTACACTGGAACGTGGTAATTTTGTGTGCAACTTTTTCATTTGCTATCGCCTATCTGTCAAAATCTTCATTTTGTAACAGTTTTTAAGATTATGGAGCTTGCAACAGAAAAATCTGCCACTCGAATCTCACTAAAATATTATTTGCCATAAATTAGAGTTAATTATAAGGTGGATATAACTTGGACCCTCTCTGAGGGGATTTAGTTACTGGATGGCATAAGATACTTTTCCTCATGATGTGGCTTTCCTGGCTTTGGTCCTAAAAGCGGTGTTATGGGAGACTTCAGGTGACTTACCTCTTCATAGCTTCTTGAACTAAGTTTAATGATTGGAATACATTTTCTTAGCCCAGGAATAAATGTCTAGTTTTTCAACCCAGTCTATGCCCACTCACCATTGTTAGATGACACTGTAATTCCAGAGTTACATAATAATATAAACTAGTTGTCATACTTACGCTACAATGGCAAGAGCACTTGTTATAGAGTCAAACATGGAGTTGTAACTTACTGTATGACATAAGTAGGTTGCATAGCTCCTCTAGGCCTCAGTTTCCTATATAAGTTGTAATACCGTGAACTCTCTGTCTACCATCCATGACTGCTGTGAGGAAGAAAACAAAAAGCCATGGGAAAGTGCTTTGTAAATAAGGCCCCATAGAAATGGAAGACATTAATTTTTTGCTGAACTGAAAATCAATTGCTTTACAATATTATTCAGAGTATATGTGGTGAGGGAAAATTTTGGAACTTAAAAAGCACTCAAATCAGGCACAGTATTCCAGGGCATGTTATGTATAGTGGCCACAATCTTCTAAAGAGAAAATAAACACAACTTTCCTTAAGCATTTATTTCTGAGTTTCAAATAATGTTAGGACAAAGATGTTTCATCATTTCATGTAACTGAATTATTATATATTTTTAAAATGCTTAATAAGAGAAATATAATGAGTGCTTTTTTATAAGCATTTATACATACACACGCACTTACGTACACATACTTAGGAAAACGTGGATACTGTGTAACACCATGTATGGAGGGTGTGTTAGTCCATTAGGTCTTTTATAACAAAAATATCATAGACTAAGTGTCTTGCAAACAGCAAACATTTATTTCTCATAGTTCTAGAGGCTGAGAAGTAAGATCAAGGCACCAGCAGATTTGGTGTCTGGTGAGGGTCTGTTCTTCCCATTCCTCATAGACAGTGCCCTCTAGTTGTGTCCTCATGTGGTAGAAGGAACTCCTAATCACCTCCTCAAAGGCCGCACCTCGTAATTCCATCATGTTGGGAGTTACAATTTTAAAATATGAATTTTGGAGAGACGCAAACATTCAAACCATAGCAGAGGGACAGTTAAGCAATTGTCTTGGGGTCCCTTTAACTTCTAGATCAGCTATTGCAAAACTATGACCCAGGGGCTAAATCTGGCTCACCAGCTGTTTTGTAGTTTTACTGGAACACAGTCATGCTAATTTGTTACATACTGTCTATGGCTGCTTTCTCACTACCGTGGTAGAATTGAGTATTTATGGCACACTATGGCCAAAAAAGCTGAAAATATTTATCGTGAGGCCCTTTACAGAAAAAGTTTACTGATTCCTGTTCTATGCTTTGCTGAAAAGGCTGCTCAAAAAGCCTCCCTCGCTTTTGCCATTTCAAATGAAATGCACATTTCCCCCTTGATGTGCACCAGGTTTGTAGTTACTTATTTTGCCAAAAGAAAGAATACAAAAGGGTCAACTGACATGACTCCGGGTTTTGCTTTTGGTTTCTTCCATTTATCTTCTCAACTTTCCCCATAATCAATAAGAATAGTAGATAATCTTCACTAAATGGAGTTTTCTTGAAAGTTTGGAAGGATTTTATTTTTCATGCAAGTATTTTGGGAAGGTGAACTGTATTTTCTAGAACCTTTGATATCTCTGCTAATATGTCGTGCATATTTTACATTGAGTTAGCAGAATCTGCAAGTATGATACCACAACAAATACATTCTGTGCTTTTTACCTTGGTTTCTGGGAGCTCCTGTCATTTCTGTATCTCTAGGTCTTGAGAGTGTATGGCTGAACAACACCCCATTCCTAAGAAGATGGTCATTTCAGGCTCAAAAAAGAGAGTAGCTACTTATAGTTAGGCTTGGCCCTAAGTAGGAAGAGACTGGCCCAAGGTCCTTTCCTATGTAAACTTGTCTGTCATGTCACTGAACTTTATCTAAAGACCTGCCATTTGATTGCACCCCCTCCACTCCACCTGAGTACTACAGAGGAGAGTTAAGAGAACTCTTCCAAAGGTTATCTTTATACAGTAGCAATACTCTCTACAAGGTATCTCAGCAGCTGACGAATTAGACATTTATTTTAATGAGTTGAAGACATTCATGTGTTCTTGTCAACAGTTAAAGGTAGGAAAAAATAACCTAAAATGATTTCAATTGCCTTTGGAAAAAAAAAAAACAAGCAGAAATCTTGTATTATCTTGGAATTCACTGATTCTGAGCTGACAGCAGATTGCTCAGTAATCGGGCTGTGTCTCAGAAGCAGTGATTTGATTGAGTTCTCATATTCTTCTTTGAATGAGAGATGTTGGTAAGATGGAAACTGGCCTGAGCTGATCCCAAAACTTACCAGACTGAATTATGGTTAAATGTGTTGAGAGTGACCAATGTGTTGAGGGCGACCAATCTGTTGAAGTTTGCCCAAGACTGTCTGTATTTAAAACTGAAAGTCCTGCATTCTGGGTAACCCTTCAGTCTCAAGGAAACTGGAACAAGTTGGTTACCCCAGGGGGACTATGAGATAAAATAATAGCTCGACCTTGATACTGTGCAAAGAAATGTGAATAAGATAGGTGAAATACCAGTTAGTGACAGAAGTGAGAAATGCTATTAAGCAAAAGGAACAGGGCAAGAACAAGAGCTCTCTTAAGTTATTGCAATGGTTAGCATACTTCAGGGGCTCCTGACTTAACCATATCCTCCTTTAAGTACTTTCAATTCATGCTCTATATCTGCTATGGATTGACATTATAGCATAGTGCTTAAAACCTCAGCCTTGGGAATCAGACAGTGTGGGTTTAAATCCTGGCTCTACCACTGATAAGCTGAGTGAGTTTGAACGGATTATATACACTCTCTGCCTTTATTTCACCATCTGTAAATAAGGTTACTAACAACAGTAGCTGCCTTGTGAGGCTTAGGGAGAGATTAAACACGTCATTTTAAATCACTTTGAACAGTTTCTGGAACATAGTATGTGCTTAGTGTTAGCTACTATTATAATATTTAAATCCTGTTTTATTCTTCTTTGCACATATCACTACCGTGTAGGTGTCTCATAGGCACCTCCAGCTCAATGTATCTAAACCTGAACTCTTCATCCTTGTCCCCAAACTGCTCCTTCTCCTGTGTTGGCTCTTTCAGTGAAGGAAGGAAGTTACTTTAGATTATTCTGGAAGGAAGGAAGTTACCTTAGATTATTCTGCAAACCTTAGATTATTCTTGATTCTTTTCTTTCCTTCACCCTCTACATACAGGAAATTATCCTTTGTACTCCCCACTGACCATTCATTTATTCTTTATTATATATTCTTCCTTTTATTATAAAACATTTGAGTGCCACCCACTGTTCCATAAAAATTTGGGAGCTTAATAGTGTTGCCACTGAAGCAGAAACCTAAAAGCCATGAGCCCTTTCCATAGTTCTCCACATGCAATCTCTTACAAGTCTGATCTACCTCCACATCACTTATATCCCTATCTACTCTACTGTTCTCTTTGCTACTTCCTTGGTTCACCTTCACTTTTTTATCTCAACTATGGTGACAATTTCATAAATGATCTCTGTGCTTCTAGTCTTGACCTCTTCCAGTCTTTGTTTCACGCTACTACCAGAATGATCTTTGTAAAAAGCTAATCATTAGAGATCCTTCAATGGCTCCACATGGCTTTCAGGATAATTTCCAAACTTCTTGACTTACTATACAAGGCCTTTAAATGATCTGTCTCCTATTTACTTCACTGGTATCTTCTAACATTTACCCATATGCTCTAGCCATATGGAACCACTTGTAATTTCCTGAATATGTCACATTGTTTCAGGCCTTCATGACCTCATAATTGTAGTTTCCTTTGCTTGGGATGTCCTGTCCTCTGTATTCATCTAGCTATTGGCTCCTCATTTTTCAAAATTTAGTTCAAGGGCCAATTCCTCTGCAGATCCCTCTTTGATCTTCCAATCTGGCTCAGTAGCTCCCAAGACACCTCATTCTTTCTTTCGTGGTATATTGAAGATACCTCTGGTATGCTTAATGGTTAAAAGCATAGCCTTGGGAGCAGTATCCTTGAATTTGAATATTGGCTCTCACACTTACCAGTAAAGTGGCCTTGGATGGGTTACTTAATCCTCAGTGTCCTTGTCTATTATATGGAGAAATCATATTGATAAAAACTACTTGCAAGGATTAGATAAGTTAATACACGTAAAGTCCTTAGAATAGTACCTGGCGCATGGTAAGCCCATTGTATTATCTATTAATATCATCACCACAAGTACTTATTTAATAATCCCACTAGAAGGTAAGCTTCCTGAGACAAAGGCCCATATATTATTTGACAGTGTAGCCCCAGGGCCTATTCCAGTGCCTGACGTATAGGTGCTCGATAAATGTTGTTGAAAAATGAAGGAATAAATAAATGAAATAAAGAAATGGAGAACTGAAATGCCTTCCCCCTCCAAAAGCAATTAACTTCCCAACCCACCAAGCGCCATTTAGCTTCATATACCTGCAAGAGGGAGAGACTAGTGACTTTAGCTGGTCCTTATTTTTACATTTGTAACATCTACTGTGCTATTTGGAGGAAAGTATGCAGGCTTGGCTCCATTTTCAAATGCCAGAAGTTTTTGCCTTCACTATCACTTTAAACCTTGTGAAAATAATCAAAAGATGATACTGTCCCCTATTGCAAAAGTGAAATTCTAGCAAATCACAAAAGAATAAACGGTGAAAAGTCTTCTTAATCATGGAGCTAGCTGTGCTCCATCCTGCTCATTCTGGACACTTGGAGAGATGATTTAGAGAATTTGCCAGATTGCAGATTAATCAGAAAGCACATGAACTAAGGTGAGTGACAGCACAGTAAGAAGAACATCTCTGCTTCACATAAATGGAGACAAATTGACTTACATTTGAGGCTGTACAGTTACACAGGAGAAGTCTTCTTGGTTGTGTTTTTAAAGTGGAGTGGGGAAAAGCCATCAATTTGATTGGCAACTCTTGTATAATAAAAACTTAAACTAACTACAAGACCATTTTTATAATGCCACCAAATGTTATCAGCCTTATTATAAATTATTACATTACTTTCATCTATTTCTCTTTGTCATCGTTACTACTCTGTGGGATTTGATCTTGCCCTTCTTCAACCAGATAACTAGGCAAGCTGGATTAATGGTCCAACTTCTCTCATCTCTTATCTGAACCTACAATCAAGGAGTCCCCAGATCATCAACTGAAGTAGTGAGATAGCAGTTTGAACTCTGATATTCAGATATAGTGAGATGGGGGAAAGGGTTGGCCCAACACTCTGTGATGAAGAGATGGGAATATTTATCATTTTATGACCAACAATTTTCTGGCCCTGCCAAAGGAATTTCTGCCTAAGGAATGATTTCATAACTCTGAGTCAGCTATATGGGCTGAGATGAGATTTTCAGGAGATATTTTTACCTTTACTTGGTCAATTTTGTTTTTCCTTCTTCAGACCTGTTTATCATGGACTTGTTCCATTTGCAAAACCACTTTTGCATTGTAGCTAATGATGGCAAAGCACCTGGTCGATTTGGTTGATTCAGTCTACTGGTGAGTCACTTTAACAGGAGATGACTCCCCGCCATTCCCAAAAAAAGGCAGTTCTTTGAAAACAGCTTTGGAAGGGCTGTAAAGCTAAGAGAGCATAGCAATGCCTCCTCCCCCCGCCCACCCCCCCACATACCCACATCCATGTGGCTTCACTTGCAGTAGAAGTGGCACAGCTTCATTGCAAAACTGTAAAGCTGGGGAAGTGTGTCTTCAGGAGAGGCAGGGAAAGAACATGGACTTTGGAGTCAGAGATACCCTGTTTTGCCATTTTATTATAGTTGTTATTATTATCAGTTGCATGATTAGTATTTACAGAGTATTTGTAGGTGCCAAGATCTAAGTCAAAGTCTTTTATATAATTTGCATTTCATTCTGTAATGACCCATGAGAAAGGCACTATTATAATTCCCCTTGTATAGGTGGGGAACCTGAAGCACAGAGAGGTTATCTTAATTGTTCAAAGTCGTACAGCCAAGTCAATGGCAGATCCTGAATTCAAACATCGGTATATCTGATTCTTAACATTTTTCTTCTGTTTCTCTAACAAATACATGAACTTAATGAAGTAATATAATCCTGAGTTTAACAACCATTATGTCAGAGATCGGCTACAGTGATGCCAACACATTGATCCATCAGCCCTTGGGATAGCCAGACAGGCCTGGGATGGCCAGCCACATTGGTCTGCTAGAAGTCTTGTCATTTTATCCCAATGAGGCAATACATTTTATAGTTTTTTATGTGTACGATTACATGAAAAATTTGGGCAGCAAAATTTAACTTCTACGAGTGTCAGTGTTTTCCTCTAAATGCGGGGCTATTCATATGTTTTGCTAAGGTTTTGGTGAGGATTAAATGAGTCATTGTATTAGCCAGTGTTCTCCAGAGAAATAGAACCATAGGAGGTGTGTGTGTGTGTGTGTGTGTGTGTGTGTGTGTGTGTGCACGTGCATGTAAAGAGAGAGAGGGGGAGGGAAGGAGGAAGAGAGAGAGAGAGAAAGAGAGAGATGGATTAAAAGTATTGGCTCATAAGATTATGGAGACTGACAAGTCCTAAAATCTGCAGTCAGCCAGCTGGATACCCTGGAGAGCCAGAGGTGTAAGTTTCAGTCCGAATGTCAGCAGTCTTGAGACAGAGGAAGAGCCAATGTTTCAGTTCAATCTGAAGGCAGGAAAAAAAAAGATTGTTCCAGCCCTAAAGCAATCAGACAAAAGGAATTCTCTCTTACTCTGACTTTTTTTTTTTTCTATTCAGGCCTTTAATGGATTGTATGAGGCTCACCCACAGTGGGGAGGTCAATCTGCTGTACTCAGTCTACTGATTCAGATGGTAATCTCATCCAGACACACCCTCATAGACACGCCAGAATAATGTTTGACCAAATAGCTGGATACCCCATGGGCCTGTCAAGTTGACACATGATATTAACCATCACAGTCAACTAACATGATGTTTGATATGTGGTAAGGACTTAACAAACGATCCCTCCCATCAGGTCCCCTTCTTTGATGTTTATAACAACTCTACACTGTAAACAGAGCTACTCTTTATTTTACAGATAAGAAACTCATATTATACCCAGGTATCTTCAAATCTTCTATCCTTTTAACTATACCATATAACCTTCATGCCACTTTTTGTCGAATGATGTTACTTAATAAGGACCAGAGAGCCCCTATGGGCCAAATACTCCTTTCCTTTTTCCTTCTTTCAGCTCTACCCAATTAAAAGTCACTATCCAGAGTACAATTTATTCAGCAGGTTTGTGCTGGGTGATGATAGTGGGTATTGGCTTAATTTGATAAAATAGTCTATGCTAATACATAATAATGATATCTCTGCTAGGAGTTTTGTCATTTCTAGAGTACAAGACACTCTAATTCAGTGAAAAAAAAAAACAACCATGATCCCTGAAGTCTCTAAAAGGTGGTACAAAGCAAGTAAAGCACTTTTGGTTGAGAAACTTTCAGTTTCTTTCTTTCTTTTTTTTTTTTTTTTTTTTTTTTTTTTTTGAGACAGAGTGTGACTCTTTCACCCAGGCTGGAGTGCAGTGGTGCGGTCTTGGCTCACTGCAACCTCCACTTCTTGGCTCACTGCAACCTCCACTTCCCAGGTTCAAGCGATTCTCATGCCTCAGCCTCCCAAGTAGCTGGGATTACAGGTGCATGCCACCACACCTGGCTAATTTTTTTTATTTTTAATACAGAGAGTATTTCACCATGTTGGCCAGGCTGGTCTTGAACTTGCGACCTCAGATGATCTGCCCGCTTTGGCCTCCCAAAGTGTTGGGATTACAGGTGTGAGCCATCACTCCTGGGCCCAGATTATTTCAAACTGAATTAGACTTTATGGATGGTAGGGATTTGGTGGAGTGGGTGGGGAGGTAGGTTCTGCTTGTTCCTCCTATAAATTGAGTTGGTCCTAGGTAGTCAGGAAGAATAGGCTTTTTATGCTGTAGCTTTGAAAGCCAATGGACATCAACAAGGTGTCCATCTCAGGTACCTTCTCCTAGCCACCTGATAATATTAAAATCAATGTCATGAAGGATCAAAAGCAAATAGCCACAATTTCTAACTTGTTATAAAAAGCTTCCATGCAGCTTGATAATAATGACCCTCTAAAAAAATGTAAAACAAAGGGAGAGAGTCTTTGGAATCATTTGTATTTGTCAGCTAAAAAACAGTGGGCAAATATCATGATAATAGGAAAAAAATACAAATGAGCATATAAAAATATTTATAATATCTTAAGATGAGATTATCAGAATAGTTAAATTATGGTTGCCAGTATGAACTGAATTATCACTTCTGATATTATACATTATTTCCAATAATATAGATGATCATTCCTTATATTAAATATTTCAAATGTTATAAATTATATTACCAATAAGAATAATCACTGCTAAAGTTATAAATCAAATTGTACTTACTATTACTAATATTGACAATAACTAATACACTAGAGCTAACTAGATGATGTTAGATACTGTTTGTTCTAAGTACCTGACATGTATTCATTATTAAATACAATGACCCCATGAAGTAGTCACAAGTGTCATTTGTTTTGCTGACATGGAAACTGAAGCACAGAAATGTTAATATGACTTCCCCAAGAAAACTTAGCTAAGCCATAACAGGAGTAGTAAGTGGACCTAGTTCCAGCACCCAAGTCCTTAACCCCATGCTATACTGCCAGTCAAGAAATTTCTTTTCTAGCCTTTTCTAGTATCTCACTCCATTTAAGAATCTGTAGAATTAGGCAAAGAGTAGTGTAAAAAGTTCAAGAAGAACTAGACTTCATGAGGATTTCGATGAAGCCCTGCTTCTTTCATTTTTAATTTTTGAAGTAGGATTCAGAAAAGTTTAGACACTGGCCAGAAGTCACACAACATTAGTCAAGGTGCAGCCAGAGATTGGAGCCTGTGCCTAGGTTCCCCCAATTATGAAGGTAACAGGCAGCGGTAAAGGGTGGTAGACTTCCCCTGGAGATGTTCAGCTTATATTCCTTCATGGAGTTGTTGAGCCAGCAGACTGAGATAAAAGATGCAATAGGATTTTAAAAGAAAGTTCAGTTTTGGGAGGAGTCTAAGACCCTCTATGAGGCCCCACCTCTGCTAATAAAAGGATGTCCAAATCTTTTGAGAATTCACCATTTTGGTCTCAAAATTGAAAGAAAATGGCCCTATTTGATCCTGGGAGTTGTGGCATCTATGGAGGCAGACAACACTTCGAGTAGGTATCCCCACAGTGTCTCTACAGAACCTGTGACAGAGACCTCTGGGGCCCATGGTAGGAGAAGTTTCCCAGGATGTGAATGCAGAAGAGCCATGTGTCACTGAAGATGGTCACACACAGGGATAGAGAGAATAGGACTGTGGAAATCAGGAAGAAGGTGGGGTATGTGGTAGGTGACAGAAACAGCAGGTCCCCCGTTCAAGGCCAGCTTGCTCCCTTTGGCTCTCAACTCCACATCCCCCTGTAGCATAGGGAGTAAGGCTAGGTTTATATTCTGAAGGGCAGTCTTTTCCCCCTGCCCTGTATTTTGGAGGTCTATGGAGGCAGTTGATCTACCTTCCATCATATAGAATGTGGCACAGCTGGGAACATTGATCTTAATATCCCCATTTGTTCCTGTCCAGGCTTCAAGCCTGCTAAACTCAGTACGGACTCAAATAGTCAAAAACTGCATGTTGTGGGTGTGTGTGGGAGGGTGGTGGGGGTGGGGGTGCTGGACAGACCTTATTAAACACACTCCCATTAATCTCTACCTCACCTTACCTGGCCCGCTTACCTGCTTATGTCAGCCCAGAACATATACACCCAGAAGAGTGGAGACTAGTGCTGGTGGAACAGGGAATGCCCCTCCATGTCCACCTCTACCACTGGCAGTTCATGCATCAGAAAATCTTTCCAGAGGAGTCACGATGTGACAGTGTCAAATCATAGATTCCTTTAAATCCAACCCCTTCTCTGGCTCTAGATGGAGTGAGAAAAGAATCAGCTATGCTTGGCCAGTCTTGGGTGTATATTTGGAGGAAACTCAATGGTCAAAATGCCCCCATGGCATGTGTGGAAGGCATGAGGGTAAAGGGTTTGAACAGAGCAAAGGCAGCAAGGGCAAGAGGCTGAGAACATTATGGACAAAACGAATCATCCTCCTGAATGGATGAGGAGAGGAACTGATATGTGGGGCCCCCTCAGGGGCCTGATAACCTGTGGAGGAGAAAGGGAAGGAGGTTGGGGATTAAGAAGTTATATTAGTTTTCTATTACTGCCATAACAGATTATCACAAATTTAGAAGATTTAAATAATACCCACTTATTAGCTTACAGTTTTGTATGTCAGAAGTCTAGGAGGGCTTACCTGAGTTCTCTGTTTAGGGTTTCAAAAGTCAAGTGTCAGCCAGGCTCAGCTCTTACATAGGGCTTCTGGGGAAGACTCCACTACCAAGCTCATTCAAGTTGTTGGTAGAATTGCTGAGATTCTTGTCTCCTTGCTGGCTGTTAGCCAGGAGCTATGCTCTATTCCTAGTTGAGTTTGCTGGCATTCCTTCTCAAGTGTCCCCCCTCCATCTTCAAAGCTAGCAATTTTACATAGAGTCCCTATTGTACCTAAGATTTTTTCTGACTTCCCTCTCTTCTGCAACTCGAGAAAGCTTTCTGCTTTTCAGTGCCCATGTGATTAGGTCAGGCCCACCTGAATAATCTCCCTATTTTGTGGTCAACTGAGCCATATAATGTAACATTACCACAGAAGTAATATCCTGTTCACAGGTTCTGGAGATGAGAATGGGGGCATTTGGGGGGTCATTTTAGAATTTCTGCTACAAGAGTGTTTATGGAGTTGGAGGGCAGGGACTTAGTATTTCACTAGGAACACCAAGCTCCAAAGACTCACCCCATATTCTTAGCCAAATCATGGTCTAGAACCTTAAACTTTGGTTGGAGAGATAGGCGTAGGGATAAGATGATGGGCATACCCTGTTAATGGTAATCTCTTAATAATTTGTGGTCTAGGTGGTGATGTTGGGCCTCAGAAACTGAACTACAATGACTAGGGGTGAGGACAGAAGGTCCTTAAGATTCTGGGACTTAAGATTTTCCCATCCCCAAGTCTTCTAAAAACAGAGTATGCAGAGCTGTCCTCCCCACCTGGCCACCTACATGGAAATATTATTCACCCCTCTGGAATTTCATGATAAGACCTATGTGGTAGGGACATTTCTGATGTCTCTCCAGGCTCACTCATGTCTCAGTCACATTAAACAACCTAGCGATATGATGAATAACAACTGCGGGTTTGCCCGTGGATGGTTCAGGACAGAGCCAGGAGCAATGCGGAAGCCAACAGGAAAATGAGGTCTGATATCTAACTCTGGTTTTCTAGAGGGAGGAGAGTTTCCTTGGAGAAGGGAAAGAAAGTAGCCAGGCCTCTGTTGTCTGGTGGGAGGAAGGTACACTGAATCTGGAGCTCCTCATAGCAGTGTTCTTAACCTTGGCAGTCTGGGTTGTGTTACTGTCAAAGTTTCTGCAGGATGCCCATGCTCAATGACAGATAAATAATTAACAAGAGGAGGCTGTGGCCTGGCCTAGGTAGTTGTGCCCTGGTAACCCATACTCCCTTGGTTTTACCCTCTAGAGCTTTCTCACCCAGCCGTCTGCTAGCATATGGAGTTGATGTTGAGGTGTTATACCTAGAGTTCTAACTGCTGCTTCTTTTTTTTTTTTTTTCTTGTTTGAGACAGAGTTTCGCTTTGTTGCCCGGGCTGGAGTGCAGTGGCATGATCTCGGCTCACTGCAACCTCCGCCGCCCAGGTTCTTGCAATTTTCGTGCCTCAGCCTCCTGCGTAGCTGGGATTACAGGCACCCGCCACCATGCCTGGCTAATTTTTTGTATTTTAGTGGAGATGGGGTTTCACCATGTTGCCCAGGCTGGTCTCGAACTCCTGAGCTCAGGCAGTCCACCTGTCTCGGCCTCCCAAAGTGCTAGGATTACAGGCGTAAGTCACTGCACCCAGCCTCTAACTGCTTCTTAAGCAGACTTCCAACCAATCCTTTTTTTTAGGTCTCATCTTTACCCTCCTACCACTTCTAGAGGGAACCCCTGCCTCTAATCCTTTCCTATGAGGAGCTGACAAATTTTCAAATCTCCACCCCATTAACAAATCTCCCTTGTTCCTTCTCTCAATTCCTCATTCACCCTCATTCATCATCATCATTCATCCTTTCATAACCCATTCCCTGCTTCCCCACGGATGAAGACTCACTCCATTCTCTTGGCAATCTTCCAGGCCATATCAGTTGAGCTGGACCTTATCCAAGTATATATTGGACACATGCAGGCTGGAAGTCTTAACCCGCTGTTTGATCTTGAATATTGGCTGCATAAACAGACATAAACAACTGGCTGTTGACATGACATTTTTCCTTTGAGCAGGGAGGGCAGGGAGGGTGGATGAAGATTGGGAGGATGGTACCACAGCTGGAGAGAAAAGGGCTGTTGTCATCCACTTACTGAGTACAAGGAAGAGTATCTTTCTTTACCCTTTTGCCTTTTTAAATTTTGCTTACTCTTTTTACCTGGGCTAGTAGGAAGCTAAGAGCCATATTGAATGATTAAAAAAATTTTTGAGGAAAATTTATTGTGTACCAACACTATACAAGATGCTTTTGGCCTGAGCTATTTCATCTGAGTCTGCTGCCAACATAAGGAGGGACAAATTAATCCCCACCCTCACCCTGTACGCTCTGGCTGAGTCCCGAACATCAGCACCTTCAATGTCACCCACTGCTGGTGCCTTTGACTGTTTTACACATGAGAAAGTGGGGAACTCTTCTTCTTCACTGATATAACAATAAGATCGCTATAATTTGAATAAAATACTAGTTATGTGTGATAATTATTCCTATCAATACCCATGAAAGTAGTAGCGGTTAAGAGAAAGGAACCTGGACTCAAACTGGTTGTGGGACCTCAAGCAAGGCATTTAACCTCTGTCTCAGTTTGCTCAAATTAAATTGGGTATATTTATAACATCTGTCTTATAAGGTTGTTGTGAGGATTAAATGAGTCAATGAATGTAAAGCACTTAAAGCAGTGCTTAATACACAGTGAGGAGTTAAGAAACTGTACTATTATTATCATCATTACTATCATTATTACTACTATTTACCAGCTTATAAATCACTTAAACTTGACAAAAACCCTGTAAGGTGTAAATTTCTCCCTAATTTACAAGAAACTCTCATTCCTCACAGTAGCATTAATTCCAATTATAGTACTAACAAATGCAAATCTCAATCCTCACAGTAGCATTAATTGCAATTATAGTACTAGCAAATGCAAATAATAATAGAAATAACAGTGATGCTTCATAATTATGTCCATTTTACAGATGCATGCCAAGATTATCAGGAGTGATATTAATTATGATTATGCTATCAATAGAGTATGTTACTGATATTCCAAAATCATCTTAATTTAACAGGTAAGAGCAGATAAAACAATTATTCTTATATTGGTATCCATTATTAGGATAGTTACCAAAATAACATTAGCAATAATAATAATGATAACGTTAACTAGGTAATATAATTTTGCCATTTCCCAGAGTGGAAAACACCATACCAGCAGTACCAGGAATGGCAGTTACTATGGTTTTTTTTAAAAAAATACTGTATTCAAATACTGCAAATAACTGCATTAACATTTTACCTCACTTATTCTGATTCTGACAAGATGAAAGGGTAATATCAGGATTCCTTTAACAGCATATAACTAATTTGTTATTAACTATATTTATTAGTAAATTATTAATTAAAACTGTGCTGTACTTACTGTAATACTTGTAATGATTATGATATACATAACAATACATAATATATAATGATATTGATTATAACGATTAATGGTATGACCATTTAGTTATGACCTGAATTATAATAATTGATGCTGTAAAGGTGAAATTATTAAATAATATAATAATAACGTAAACACAAATAATAATGGGTGCAGAGTAATTATACTCAGTTAACAAAAAGTAAAGCGTAATAGAAACTTTCCTGGTAGTACTTCCTGGTTAACTAATATTATAATATTATGATATTAATGTAACCACCAATAATAGTATTAAGGATATACTAGAATTAGGCCCCTTTCACTGCAGAGACAGTCAGTACATGGGCACAGTTAAATATATTTAATCCTCTAACATCAACCTAAATGCATATAGTAACATGGAATATCCTGTAACTACACCCATTTCCCAGAGGGAAAAAGGTGAGGCCAGCATACTGGGTAGTTATTAGGGCACTAACACTACAGAGACACAAGTTATACTCAGGAAGTATGCTATATGTGGCCATTTCCCAGCAGGAAAGTCTGGGACAGCTTGGCCATGGGTGATGCCCCTTGATCAGCCTCATAATGCCATACTTCTCATTCACCCCAATGCATGCCCCCAGTCCTGGCCCCGAGAAGCTTTCCAGGATCACCGGCATCCTGAGAGCCCCAGTCTTACCTCAGCCTTCATCCACAGAGCATGCTGCCTTCCGAAGGTCATTGTCAACTGGCACCTCCACTGTGCCAGTTGCATAAGCACTTCCTCCTCAAGGGCACCTACTGACATGTACTCCCAGGTACCCCACAGCAACACCACCCCATCCACCTGTGGGGAGAGAAGGGGGGTGGGGCTGCTTCTGGGGGCAAGCAAGGAGGAGTCCTCCCTCTTTCATTACCACCCCTCCTTGACATTAACCTGGGTGAGGCCATAGTTCACCAGGTGGACTATGTGAATGAATTTGCAGGGTGGAGGAAGTGCTCAGGGTCTGGGAGCTGCTGCTTGAGATGATGAAGGAGGGGTTTTAACCCACTGATCCCTTTGTCCAATCAGATCTGGAATTAATCCAAGAATCAGTAAATTTCCCTTACTCCCAACCTATTTGAACAGATACATGAAGAACACTAGCTATCAGTGAGTCATGTAGCTATCTGAGGGAACAGTGTATAGCAGGGGTCTTCAACCTCCTGGACCACAGACTGTGGCCTGGTACCAGTCTGTGTCCTGCTAGGAACCAGGCCACACAGCAGGAGGTGACTGGCAGGTGAGCCAGTGAAGCTTCATTTGTATTTACAGCCACTCCCCAATTGCTCTCATTACTGCCTGAGCTCTGCCTCCTGTCAGATCAGGGACAGCATTAGATTCTCATAGGAGCACAAACCCTGTTGTGAACTGTGCATGCCAGGGATCTAGATTGCATGCTCCTTATTAGAATTTAATGCCTGATGATCTGTCACTGTCTCCTATCACCCCCAGATGGGACCATCTAGTTGCAGGAAAACAAGCTCAGGTCCCACTGATTCTACATTATGGTGAGTTGTATAATTATTTTATTATATATTACAATGTAACAATAATAAAAATGAAGTGCACAATAAATGTAATGCCCTAGAATCATCCCCAAACCATCTCCTCCCCCAATCCCTAGAAAAATCGTCTTCCATGAAACCAGTCTCTGGTGCCAAAAATTGGGGACTGCTGTGTAGAACTAGGCATGGGGCACAGCCATTGCAAAGGCCTGTAGGCTAGAAGCTGCTTTACTGGTTTTATGAACTCTCTGAATGGCCCTAGAATGTACAAATTTGTGTGACAAATAATAAAAATACGTACCAACTAACAAAGCTTTTCCCAACCCTATCTGGCTCTACTCCCTCTTTTAAGTATAATTACAATTTTATATAAGAAATGTTTATGTTTATAATATTTTATATAAGAAATATACTAGGATGAATCATACAAAATTGTCAATATTTGAACTTTCTAAACAATTTACCTTTCTTGATACATAACAACTGTGTGTATTTATGGGGTACATGTGATACTTTGTTATATGCATAGGCTGTGTAATGATCAAGTCAGGGTATTTAGGATATCCATCACCTCATGTTTTTATCATTTTGATGTGTTGGACACATTTTAAGTCCACACTTCTAGCTATTTTGAAATACAAAATACATTGTTTTTAGCTATAGTCACCTTATTCTGCTATGAAAAATTAGATCTTGTTTCTTCTATCTAACCATATGTTTATACCTATTAACCAATCTCTCACCTCGCCCCACATACACCCTTCCCCAACTCTGGTAACTATCATTCTACTTGCTACCTCCATCGAGACCAATTCTTTTAGCTCCCAATAGGAGTGAGAACATGTGACGTTTGACATTCTGTGACTGGCTTATTTAACTTAATGACCTCCAGTTTCATCCATGTTTCTGCAAATGACAGGATTTCATTCCTTTTTATGACCACAGAGTATTTCATTGTGTATAGATACCAAATTTTCTTTATCCAGTCATCTGTTGATGAATACTTAGGTTGATTCCATATATTTACTATTGTGAATAGTGCTGCAATTTACATAGCAATGCAAGTATCCCTTTAATATACGGATTCCCTTTCCTTAGGATAAATAACCAGTAGTGGGATTGCCAGATTGTATGGTAGCTCTGTTTTTAGTTTCTTTTTGTTTTGTGTTTTTTCTTTGGTAAATTGCCATACTGTTTTCCATAATGGCTGTATTAACTTACATTCCTACCAACGGTGTATAAGAGTTTCCTTTTCTCTGCATCCTTGCCAGCATCTATTATATTTTTCTTTTTGATGATAGCCGTCCTAATTAGGGCAAGATGATATCTCACTGTGGTTTTGATTTGCATTTCCCTGATGATTAGTGATATTGAGCATTTTTCATATATCTGTTAGCCATTTATATGTCTTCTTTTGAGAAGTGTCTATTTGTGTCTTTTGCCCACTTTTCAATGGAGTTATGTTTTTTTCTTACTGAGTTGTTTGAGTTCCTTGTGTATTCTGGATTAACTAGTCTCCTATCAGATTAATAATTTATAAATATTTTCTCCCATTCAACAGGTTATCTCTTTACTCTATTGATTATTACTTCTACTGTGAAGGAGTTTTTTAATTTAATCAAGTTCTATTTGTCTACTTTTGTTCTTACTGTCTATGTTTTAGAGGTCTTAGCCATAAATTCTTTGCCTAGACTAATGCCCAGGAGAGTTTTCCTTAGGTCATCTCTTAGTATTTTTAGTTTCAGGTCTTACATTTAAGTCTCTAATCCTTGTTGAGTTTCTCCTTGTATTTGGTAAGAGATAGGAATTCAGTTTTATTCTGCATGTGGCTATCCAATTTTCCCAGCACCATTTATTGAAGAGGGTGTTCTTTTCCCAATATAAGTTCCTGTTGGCTTTGTCAAAGATCATTTGTCTTTAAATATGTAGTTTTATTCCTGGGTTCTCTCTTCTGTTCCATTGGTCTGTGTGTCTATTTGTATACCAGTGTCATGCTGTTTTGGTTACTGTGGCTTTGTAATATATTTTGAAATCACGTAATGTGATGCCTGCAGCTTTGTTCTTTTTGCTCAGGATTGCTTTGGCTATTTCAGCTCATTTTTGGGTTCATATGAGTTTTTGGGTTGTTATTTCTAATTCTGTAAAGAATGATGTCAGTATTTTGATAAGGATTATATTGAATCTGTAGATTGCTTTGGGCAATATGTTTATTTTAACGATATTAATTCTTCTGATCCATGAGCATAGGATGTTTATCTATTTGTTTCTGTCACCTTCAATTTCTTTCAACAGTGTTTTACAGTTTTCCTTGTAGAGATCTTTTACCTCCTTGTTTAAATTTATTCCTAGGTATTTTTTTTTTTTTGTAAATATAGTGAGTGGGATTGCTTTCTTGATTTTTTTTTTTGCCTAGGTCATTATTGATGTATAAAAATGCTAAATTTTGCACACCGATTGCGTAACCTGTAACTTTACTGGATTAATTGATCAAATCAAAGAGTTTTAGTGGAGTCTTTAGGTTTTTTTAGATATTAGATTTTATCATCAGCAAAAAGGGACAGTTTTACTTCCTCATTTCCAATTTGGATGTCTTTTTTTTTTCTTCTCTTGCCTGATTGCTCTGGCTAGGACGTCCAGTACTATGTTTAACAGAAGTGGTGAAAGTGGGCATCCTAGCTGGGCACAGTGGCTTACACCTGTAATCCCAGTACTTTGGGAGGCTGAGACTGGCAGGTCACCTGAGGTCAGGAGTTCGAGACTAGTGTGGCCAACATGGTGAAACCCCATCTCTACTAAAAACACAAAAATTAGCCAGGTGTGGTGGCAGGCAACTGTAATCCCAGCTACTTGGGAGGCTGAGGCAGGAAAATCACTTCAACCCAGGAGGTGGAGGTTGCAGTGAGCTGAGACTGCACCATTGCACTCCAGCTTGGGCTGCAAGAGTGAAACTCCATCTCAAAAAACAAAAACAAAAACAAAAAAAAAAGAAAAGAAAAAAAGAAAAAAGTGGGTATCCTTGTCTTGTTCCAGATTTTAGAGGAAAGGCTTTCAACTTTTCCCCATTCAGTATGTTGTCAACTGTGGTTTTGTCATATATGGCCTTTACCTTTATTAATTTGAGATGTGTTCCTTCTTTGCCTAGTTTGTTGACTGTTTTTCATCATAAAGAGATGTTGAGTTTTATCAAATGCTTTTTTCTGCATTTATTGAGACAATCATATGGCTTTTGTCCTTCAGTCTGTTGATGTGTCGTATCATGTTTATTGATCTGCATATGTTGAACCATCCTTGCATCCCTGATATAAATCCCACTTGATCTCAGTGTATTATCTTTTTGATGTGCTGTTGGATTTCATTGTCTAGTAGTTTGTTGAGGATTTTTATGTCTATGTTCATCAGATATATTGGCTTGTAGTTTTGTTGTGTCCTTGTCTGGTTTTGCTATCAGTGTGATGCTGGCCTCATAGAATGAGTTAGGGAGAATTCCATCCTCTTTGGTTTTCTTGGAATAGTTTCAGGAGGATTGGTATTAGTTCTTCTTTTTATGTTTGATACAATTCAGCTGCAAATCTATCTGTTCCTGGGGTTTTCTTTTTTGGGAAACTTTTTATTAATGATGCAATTGTGCTACTCATTATTGTTCTATTCAGGTTTTCTATTTCTTCCTGATTTAGTCTTGGTAGCTTGTATGTTTCCAGGACTTTATGTATTTCCTCTAGGTTTTACAGTTTGTGAGCATACAGTTATTCATAATAGTCTCTGATGATCTTTTGTGTTTCTGTGGTATCAGTTGTAATGTCCCTCACTTTATTTCTGATTTTGAGTTTTCTCTCTTCTTGGTTAGTATAGCTAGTGGTTTATCAATTTTGTTTATCTTTTCAAAAATCCAACTTTTCATTTTGTTGATCCTTTGTATTATTTCTTAGTTTCTATTTCACTTAGTTCTGTTCTGATCTTTTTATTTCTTTCCTTCTGCTAATTTGGGGCTTGGCTTGTTCTTGCTTTTTAGTTCCTTGAGGTGTATTGTTAGGTTGTTCATTTGGCATCTTTCTACTTTTTTGATGTAGGTGTTTACTACTATAAACTTCTTAGTACTTCTTTTGCTGTATCCCGTAGGTTTTGGTATGTTGTCTTTTCATTTTTATTTGTTTCAAGAAATTTTTTATTTCCTTCTTAATTTCTTCACTAACACAGTGGTTGTTCAGGAGCATTTGAACAACTTCATGCATTTGTACAACTTCCAAAGTTCCTCTTGTTTATTTTTTGTTTTATTCTATTGTGGTCTGAGAAGATATTTGAGGTGGTTTTAACTTTTAAAAAAATATGTTGAGCCTTTGTTTTGTGGCCTAACATACCATCTATCCTGGAGAATTTTCAATGTGATGATAAGAATGTATGTTCTGGCTGGGCGCAGTGGCTCACGCCTGTAATCCCAGCACTTTGGGAGGCCGAGGCAGGTGGATCACGAGGTCAGGAGATGGAGACCATTCTGGCTAACAAGGTGAAACCCCGTCTCTACTAAAAATAGAAAAAAAAATTAGCTGGGTGTGGTAGCGGGCGCCTGTAGTCCCAGCTACTCGGGAGGCTGAGGCAGGAGAATGGCGTGAACCCGGGAGGTGGAGCTTGAAGTGAGCCAAGATTGCGCCACTGCACTCCAGCCTGGGCGACAGAGTGAGACTCTGTCAAAAAAAAAAAAAAGAAAAAAGAAAAAAAGAATGTATATTCTGCAGGTGTTAGATAAAGTCATCTGTAAATGTTTGTTAGATCCATTTGTTTAAGGTCCTATTTCAATCCAATATTTCTTTGTTGATATTTTGGTCTAGATGATCTGTCTAATGCTGAGATTGGGGTGTTGAAATCCCCCTCATTCTTATATAGGAGTCTATCTCTTCCTTTAGATCTAATAATATTTTCTTTGTATATCTGGGTGCTCTGGTGTTGGGTGTATATGTATTCAGAATTATTATATCCTTTTACTGAATTGATCCCTTTATCATTTTATAATGACCTTCTTTATCTCTTTTTATTGTTTTTGACTTAAAATCTGTTTTATATGATGAAAATGCAGCTATTCCTGCTCACTTTTGGTTTCTGTTTGCATGGAATACCTTTTCCATCCTTTTACTTTGTCTATGTCTTTATATGTGAAGCGAGTTTCTTGTAGGCAGCACGTAGTTGGGTCATGTATTTTTTTTATACATTCAACCAGTCTTTATCTTTTAAGTGGAAATTTTAATTTGTTTATAATCAAGGTTATTATTGATAAGTGAGTATTCCTGTCATTTTATTAATTGTTTTCTGGTTGTTTTGTATGTGTCTTGGTCTTTTGTTTCTCTCTTACTGTTTATCATTGCTGTTTGTTGGTTTTCTATAGTGGCAGCAGTGGGACAGACAGATGGATAGGATCTTGGACTCCTGGCCAGCATGTGTGGCATCAGCAATAATAGTAGTGGTGATGGGACAACACTTGGACTCCCTGGCAGCACTCACTATTGTTAGCAAGGATGGGAGGACAGTCTGCAGCCCCCAGCTGGGTGCATGCAGGTGGGTGCAGGTAGTGGGGATAGTGGCAGGCTGGGTGGGCTCATCCTCGGGTCTCTGGTAGGAATGCATAGATGCCAGCAAGGGTGGACTGGGCATGGTGGTCCCTAGGTGCCTGCATGGCATCCTCGGCACTGTGGCGAGTGGAGGGTGGTGTTTCAGACTGGGTGGGCCTATCTCTAGGTCCCCCAGTGGTGCACATGGGCACAGATTGTGATAGGCAGGGCAGGATGACCCACTGTGGTGGGTGCAGAGAGCCTAATGTCAGAGTGCATGAAGCACACAGTGGTTCTGTTGCTGTAGGATGGGCGGTGGGGAGTAGGCGGGGGGGCAATGGTTGGTGTTACTTGGAGCAACTCCAAGCCAGTGGGCAGCTTTCAGGCTTTGGAGAATATTTGTTGTGGCCTCTGGTGGCAGCAGCAGCAGCAGTTGTATGCAGGGAAAGCCTGTCCTCATGGTGTGTTAGTGCACAGCAGCCATGCTACTTTGGGGATAGAGGTTGCTGTCAATGGCAGCATCCCCAGGCAAGTGGGTGGCTTTCAGGCCCTGGGGAGCACATGCTTCAACGTCTAGTTGTGGCAGGAGTCACAGGTGTGGTGGCAGCAGTGTGTGGGGAGAACTTGTCATCAAGTCACATGCTAGTGTGCAATGGCCCTGCTGCTGGTGTGGGCAGGGTTTCTGTCAACAGCTTCAGATAGGCAGCTCTCAGGTTTTAGGGAGCATGTGCTTTGGCTCTCTTTGTCCCAGGGGCAGTCTCCCTGACATGTTACACTGCTCTGTTTCCTGGAGTATAGGAATCTGTAGGGGCTAGAATGTTGGGAACCCTGCCACACTGCCAGGCCCAGCTGGCATTGCACCACTGAAGCTCTCCAGGTGAATGCAGCTGGATGTAACTGGGGCTCCAGGGGTTTGGAGATGCAGGGACTAATGTCAGCACAGAATCCAGTCTCTTGAGGGCTGGCTCTCAACATGGCACCATGGCACAGTTTCTTAGGTCTCAGGGGATGTCTGGGATCCAGGATTAGCTAGCACCCTCTGTGGAGCAAGCTGTCACATGGTCTCCTGGAAGCTCCTTACATTAGTGCCAGGTTCCAGGAAGATTCAGGGTCTCTCCTATGGCTAGGGTTGCAGGAGATCATGGTGGGAATGTGGACTGCTGGGGTCACTCACTTACCCTTCCCCCACATTGGAGAGTCTCTCCAGGCTTCCAGCCTATCCTAGCCAAGCAAGCGGCCTCACTTTCCTTTCCATCCTTTTCTTAGGTGTTTCCTGTCACTTCTTTGTTGAAATTCAGCATTCTCTCTTAGGTGTTCTCTTTGAAGTGTAATTATGTACTATTTTGGTTCTTCTTTGTGGAGGAGGTGAGTGTTTGATACCTCTAGTAAGCCATCTTGAATCCTTCCTGAATATTTGCCTTTTTAACTTAAAAAAAATTTCATATAATTAAACTATTGCAGTTGACATATAAATGTAATTATATATATTTAATTATAACAATATGTATTATATACATTATATAACAACATAAAATATTTGAAGAGCACATGATATAAATACATACACATTTATAAATTATGAATATAATATGCAATTGAATACATTTAAATAATATAATTTATAAAATATGAATATGTTGTACAATCTGTAAAATATTGGAATATAAGTTATTATAATATAGCATATACCAAGTATACATATGATAATGGTATATAGTATTATTACTGTATACTATACATGTATTATTTCGTAGTATTATGTAAAATGAATATGTTTGAAAATATAGGTTAGAATATTTCATAATGCCCTTTTACTGTCATGAAGTGAAATTTATAGGTAATATGACTCACCTATGACCTAAATTTGAAAAAAAATGTAATGAATTTAATATAAAGATGAAATATAAGTAATTTAGTTTGAACTAATATGTATTATATGTAAAGGCTTGAGAGGTACAGTAGAATAATTAACAAAATAAGTATATAATTAACATAAGCAGTAGTAGTGGTAGCAGTAGGAATAGGAAAGCCTTACTGAGCATTATCTGTGTGTCAGTCCCTGTTCTAAGTACTTTCAGGTGTGTGATCACCTTTACGTACACTCTCTTAGACGTCAGTTGACTGGAACACATCTCAGAAGAACCTTCAGTTAACTGACATTTATTCCCACCTACACCCTCTCCCTTGTAAGACAAGCTTTTAGTCACTAATATCTTTTTTTCAAGATACTTATCTATGTATATAAGAGCCTAAACTTGAAATAAATAGTGGTTATCTCAAGGCAGGGGTTTGATATGAGGAATGAGGATAGGACTGTGTGTGCTGAATAAAGGAGACATTAGCTATATCTGCAATGTTTTATTTCTTTAATAAAACAAAGCTATTGAAAGTGAATTGGAAAAAAGTTAGCATTATTAATTTTGAATGATGAAATCCTGAGAATTTTTAATATTATTCATTTTAGTTCTCTGTTAACATTGAAATTTTAAAAAATAATAAAGAAAATCACCAGGAGACTTTCCAAGTGATCACATATGCAGCTTATCTTCCCAACCTTGAAACTCACCAACTCAGATAATCCATTTTACCGGTACTGGGTTAGAACTTGTCTGGTTTAGCACCTTCATTTCTTTAAGGAGTAGAAACTGGCTTTCCTTAAATTGGGTATCTTGTTAATGAGGCAGAGGTGGAAAGATAACTCAGATTTTCTGATCTCCAGCCAGCTCTCTACTATTTTCAGTACCTTGGCATTTGGGTCCAGGATGATGACCTCAAAAGCCTGACATATCTTCAGTCAAGCCACAAGGATTTTATTCGCTTCACAATTCTCTACTTATTGGGACAGAAAAGTGGATTCAGATGTTTTAGAAAAGATTTCTGAAAATCCAAAGGTTAATTTCCAGCTAATGTGAAAATTAGTTAACCAAAGCAGTTCACTCCACTAGCCCTTAATTATGTGAGTTATCGCAGGATGAGAATTTATGGATTCAGCACTGTATATCCACAGGTTCCACATCCATGGATTCAACTAAGCATGGATCAAAAATATTAAAAACAATATAACAATAAAAATAACCCAAACAAAAATAGAATATAACAACTATTTACATTGTATTAGGTATTATAAATACTCTAGAGATAATTTAGAGTATGTGAAACGATGCGTGTAGGTCATATTTCAAATACTACACCATTTTATATCAAGGTCTTGAGCATTCAAAGATTTTATTATCTTAATGTAGGGGAGAGGGTCCTGAAACCAATCCCCTGTGGATACTGAGGGCTGACTATAAACCTGAATTCAGTAAGACCTCCTAAGTTTCTGATCTAGGAGGTACTGAGGGGAGATGAAGAGTAAAAAGAAAGAAAGAAAAACATGAGTCTCTGACCTTGACTAAAGTGCAAATCAATAAGGTAGGAAAACCAAGATGCCATTTGACACCTACTTAAGCTCAGAGCATGACTAGGATTTGGTTGGGATATGCATGGAAGGTGGGAAAAATGGTATGAGGATGAAGACAGGAAAGAGCTGGCTGAGCAAAGGCCCACAGCATAACTGCTTTCTGACAAGGTTGGATAAGGTGAGACAGGGAGGGAAGTCAGCCTGTCTAGAGCAGGAAGTTTCTCTTGGAGAGTGGTAGACAGACACTTCGATAGGGTAGGGCTGATTTGAAAGGGTGTGGGTGGTAGACTTTGTGATTTTGACTATTCAGCATGGAATCACGAGTTCTGGAGTACAGTTGTAGCAGAGAAATTATTTTGTTATTCCTGTTTGTTAGATGCTAGCTAACCCAATTAAAAAATGAGCAATAACTGAACAAACATTTCTGAAAAACACACACAAATGACCAACAGATATATGAAATAATGTCACCATAACTAATTACCAGAGAAATCCAAATTAAAACCAAAATGAGACATCACCTTACACCTATTAAAATGGCTATTACCAAAATGATAAAAGATTGTGTTGGCCATAGTATATAATTTTAATGTAGCAAACCCCCACAGTGTGAACATGCCTCCCTATTCAGCTTCCTCTCTGATGACTGTCTGCCATCATGCTATACTTCACCAACCCTTAACTGCTTACAGTTTTGAGTACACACTCTATTCCTCACCTTTGTACCTCTGCTACCACAGTCCTCTTCATCTGGCTGAACTCTATCTGGTTCTTTAGACTCAGCTTAATCAATATCCAGGAGCCTACGCTTACCCTAAAATGACTTTTAAGAAATGCACATAAAAAACTTGTAAAGCACTGATACATAGAAAAAAAATTACCATAAACTCTTAACCCTAATGTGAGCATTATAACTGTTTGATTATTTTCCTTCCAGCCTTTTAAGGCCTATTTTATTTAAACAATAGAGATTTTATTGTACAAAATTTTGCATTCTGTTTTTTATTTGATTTGACATTATCCTTTGAGCATTATCCCATCATTAAAAAAATATTTAAATGGCCTTATAATATATTCCACCATGTTGGCTTACTTCAATACATCTAATTATTCTTCTATTAAAAAAAAACAGATTGTGTTGGCAAGGTTGTGGAGGAAAGGGAACTCTTGCACACTATTGGTGGGAATGGATATTTGTATACACACACACAATGGAATACTATTCAGCCTTTAAAAAGTAGAAAATCTTGTTATTTGCTTCAACATGGATGAACCTGGAGGATATTATGTTAAGTGAAATAAGCCAAGAACAGAAAGACAAATACCGCATGATCTTACTTATATGTGGGATCTAAAAATGTTGAACTTACAGAAGCAGAGACTAGAATGGTGGTTACAGGGGTGGAAAGTGAGGAATGGGATAATATTGGTTAAAGGGTACAAAGTTTCAGTCGAACAGTAGGAATAATTTCAGGATATCTATTGCACAGCATAGGAGCTATAGTTAATATATACCTGAAAATTGTGAAGAAAGGCGATCTTAAATGTTATCACTACAAAAAAATAATTCATGTGAGGTGAAGGTTATGTTAATTAGCTTGATTTAATCATTTTACAATGTATACACATAGAAACATCATGTCATATATCATATATATATACAATTTTATTTGTTAATTAGAACTTAATAAAGACAAAAAAAGAATATTGAAATAATCCAAGCAAGACATGAGAAGCACTTAGATAGTCTTCAGTGTCTTTAAGAATAGAAAGGAAGGGAACAGATTTGAGTAACTTCAGAAATGGCAAGGCTTAATGTTTTATGGAAAGGGTAGGAGGTGGTCAGTGAGAAGAGAAAGTCAAGATTCAGGGATGACTCCACACTTTTTGGCTTGGATGACTGTGGACATGAGAGGTGGGGCAGATTTGGTAGGGGAGAGAAGCTCACTGCTGAGCATCCTGGATTTGAAGGGACAGTAGAAACCCTGTTACAGGGTTTGGTGGGCAGTGCTACTACCCTGTCTCCCACAGGCACATTAGCATTAACATCAGTGCATCTGATTGTCTTGGCTAGTGTCTAATTCCCAAGGAGACTCATCAGGCCTCAGGAAATCAGAAGTTGAGGAGCTGGTTGTAATGCCTCACCATGGCTTCACTTTCAGAATGCATTGGAGGCTCATTCATGGGATAAAGATGAAAAGAGTGATCTTGACAAAGCATTGCACAGATTCTATAATGAGAGGGAAATGAAAATGGTTGTCAGCCCATTATTAAGTGTAATAACTAGGTTGCAATGAGATGAAGGACTTCATTTAGGCAGATCTTTCCCATTGATGAATAGTAGGGGGTAAAAGTGTGAAAGGGAAGCATATAATCCAATTCATAAAATATGTAAACTGAACAGAAATTTCTGGAAAGGTATTTTTAAAAACTTGAGGCAATAATCATTCATTGTATATATAGAGCTGGAGTGGGAAATCTTTCTATTGATGGACAATGATGCACAGATGAAATTTTAAAAATCAGTATTTTTTTCCACTGACAGAACTTTATTTTAAAAAAAATGACAAAAGCTCTGTCTGTACTTCTAGGCTAGGAGAAAAGAGGCACAGGTGTAGCAACAGGGGCACAGGCCACTCACATTTTAGAGAGTTTGACTTGCTTGTGCCTGTGGAGTGCCCATTTGAGGCAGACGGAGTCCACTGTGCTGGGTATAAACAGGAAGAAACTTTTCTTAGATGGGGGCATATCTGAGACAGAAATAGAAGGCATTCAACTCCCACATTAAAATATTAGGAAAAAGAGCACAACATTGTATTCAATAAGTAAAATATACACAAATGTTAAAATAAACACAACTATATTTCTGTTTTTTTAAGAGGAATTGACTGAATTTTATTTATTTATTTATTTTTGAGACAGAGTCTTGCTCTGTTGCCCAGGCTGGAGTGCAGTGGCACGACCTCTGCTGGTGTGCAGTGGTGCGATCTCTGCTCACTGCAACCTCTGCCTCCCGGTCCCAAGCGACTCGTGCCTCACCCTCCAGAGTAGCTGGGATTACAGGCATGCCCCGCTAATTTTTGTATTCTTAGTAGAGATGGAGTTTCACTGTGTTGGCCAGACTCGTCTCGTACTCCTGGCCTCAAGTGACCTGCCTGTCTCTGCCTCCCAAATTGCTGAGATCACAGGTGTGAGCCACCGCACAGGCTCACACACAACTATATTCTTAAATATAATGGTAGGATGGGATAATCATTCCTAGATACTTAATTTTAAATAAATTGTTATGGGTCAGATAAAGTTTTCCAAGGTCTAGATCTGACCTTTGGAGGTTACGTCAAGAACATGAATTATTAATAATTAATTACTCTGTAAACACTGTGTATAATTCATAGATAAATAATTAGCATACATTACCTTACGGCTATTCTTCCCACAATGGTTATTATTTGGGAATATGATGTCCCTCACCTGGAAATGTCTACTCCTGGAGAGGCATGAACTCTGTGGAATACATATGACAATTTGGATAGCACCAAGCAAATTTTAATCTTTTACTAGCTCATGGGCTGGGATGAAGAAGAGTATAGGAGGCAGGATATAGAACACATAATGACTAAGATTATAAGTTCTGTGTCTAACTTATTTGGGTTAGAGTCTGAATTCTGCCACTACAACTTGAGTGACCTTGAGCAAGTCACTTAAACTCTCTGAGCTTTCTTTTTTTCTTATCAGTAAAGTGGAAATAACAAGAGTCCCTCCCTCCCAAAGTTGACATGAGAATGAAAGGAGAAAAATTTGTGCAAAACACCTAGCACAGTTCTTGGATGTTCTATTCTAAGGGCTCAATGAAACTCATAGCTGCTGCTGCTGTTACACTTTTCTGTGCTGGGTCATTCACTGGGTGGGGGGATGGGGGTGTAGCCTGGTTCCCCAGTTTGAGCAAGATCGCAGCTGTATTCTCAACTTTTGGCTTCTGTCACCTACAATGGTGCATCCCCATAGGTGTGCTGTGATTCTTCTCAAGCAACCAGCAGTTGGTCAATGATAAATCCTTAGTTTTAAAGCTTATGTGGGGAAAACATGTAAAACAAAAACTTGGACAGCTCGCCCTCTAGTGGTAATTTTATGAATTGCCCCCCAACAATTGCCCTTTTAGCTCACAGGAAAACTGATAGTAAAAATGAATGGGATTAAGTTTACATAGTTGAAACACCTGGTTTAACAAATGAATTTGTTAATCACAAACACATAATAAGCTAGTATAGGGTACACATGCTTGCATATTTTCTCAAGTGCTGATTAGCCATTATACCTAACAAGGGATTTCCAATTTGGGGAAAAAAAAATCCAGAATCAGCAATTCTATACATAGTTATATATCCTGTCCCCCAATAAATAATTGTACATAGTCATTAGAGTCTAGTTTTATTGCACTCAATGTTCTTTTTTTCTAAAATAATGTTATAATTGTTGATAATAACAACTTATCCTCTTACAGGTATGTATAAACTTTTCACAGGGTTTTGTTTTTACAACAGATAGATGCGGCAGGATTTGCCTTCCTGGTTGTACTGAAGAGGAAGTAGGAGGCTTATCTATAAAGAGGCCAAATGAGTTTGCTTGGGACACCCAGGGCACTTTGCAGGGGACTGCACTAATTTTTACTCCTAGGAATCTCCTCCTGGCAAAATAAATTGCATAGATGCTGGCATGTTCCTTTCTAGTCTTTAGATGCTCCTTCTTTGGAATCTTTATGTCAAACTCCCTAAACATACATTGGTTGTACAGATCAGAATGAAAATGATTAAAATAGAGATACGAGTTTTATACAAGTGGCTTTCTTCACTCCATTATAATTGTTTTGGAGAACTCAGATATTAAAGCATTTTGTTTGTTTGTTTGTTTGTTTTGAGACGGAGTCTCACTGTGATGCCCAGGCTGGAGTGCAATGGCACGATCTCAGCTTGCTGCAACCTCCGCCTCCCAGGTTCAAGTGATTCTCTGTCTTGGCCTCCCAAGTAGCTGGGACTACAGGCATGCGCCAACATGCCTGGCTAATTTTTGTATTTTTAGTAGAGACAGGATTTCACCATATTGGCCAGGCTGGTCTTGAACTCATGACCTCAGGTGATCTGCCCACCTCAGCCTCCCAGAATGCTGGGATTACAGCTGTGAGCCACTGCACCCGGCCGATATTAAAGCATTGGTACCCACAAGACTAAACCAAGAGTAATAACTTTTTGAGCCTTATAGAAATCTAAGTCAAGGGAGTAGTGATGAGAATCTTAAAAACCTGCAATTGTTCTTTTAAATACTGAAATTGCTATTCATAAGACTTGAGTGAACAGAGAAAGGATAATATAGGAATAGGAGGTGTTTTCAAATCCAGGGACAAGAATATTTATAATCATACTCACTGATTGTGAAACAAAGGGCAGACATACATTCACTTATACTTTCAGTGGGTTCGTTCCGTAGCAAGCTTCAGTCCAACTGCAGAGTTTCACTATTCAGGGGAAGTAGTGAAATTCCCTTCCTTCAATGCCTCCATTCACATTTGTGGCTGGTCAGGGAGATACAGTTATCAAATCACCTGTGGGAGAAGCCAAGCTATCTAGTCAACAGTCTTCTCAGGAGCCCTGCAAGGAGCTTGCTTAAATAGGTACCACTGGAATTGTGAACAGTATAGGGCTGGATACCTCCTGTGGATTGCAGGCTTGTGCAGATGAGATCAAGCGCACCAGTTGGCTCCCTCTATGGGCTACTCAGTTCCACTGCGGCCCCAATTGATCAGTAGCCTGCACCTTTGTCAGCTGCATCACAGATGTATTCATTCAGTATTTGCCAAATATGTATGGAGAGTCTACATGCAAGGGGCTCTGGAAGTATGGCATGTGATTGCAAACTCCTGATGACAGAAATCTGACTTGCATGCATTACTTTTAATGGCACTTGGCAAATTCAGTTATATGTGACCTTTCATCTCTTCTTGCCCTTTTGTGACTTTCTGACACCTCTAAGCTCTTCCCTCTTAACGTCAGTGTTCAATCCCTCCATGTTGACTGATCACCTGACTTTTCAGGCCTCTTACCTCAGCCTATACTTCTTAGTTGCTTCCCTAGTCCCAAATCTAAAAATAAATGTGCTACATCCTTTTCTACCTCCTTTTGTCCCACTCTTGGTTTATTAAGAATAGCAATCCAATAAAAATTAATCATACCAACTTGTTGGAATCTAGTAGGGGTCTAATACTCTAATTTAGGTTTAAGGCTACAATGCCTTAGCTCATGGAAATTGATTTCTACTGATGAGAGTGTAGTGTGGGAAAATATTTGGTGGCACGTAGGCATTCATAGATCCGTGTTATCATACCTCTGGTCCATTTTAATGGGAAAATTCCCTGAGATCTCTTGAAATATGTTGTAACCTTACACTGCAAATACTAAGGGAAAAGAATAAATGGGGATAACGTTTAGAAATTATTTTCTCCATTATTGTATTGCTGTTCTCTGGCTATTGACTACCTTATAACTAAATACTCTGATACCTAAGGCAAGGGAACAGAAGAAAAGAGACCATAAATCTATTAAGTCAAATACATATTGCTCACATGGCCCTTAAAGGGAAATGAATTATCAGTGTACGCTCCAGGTCTGCATGATAAAACTAATTGTAATGGCAATTAAATGTCTTACACTGCCATTGAGCATGCTCGCTGTGACTCTGGAGCAGATACATTGATTACCTTCAGTACTTACCATGTCCCATCACAAATAGGCCAAAGCAGACTGTTAACATTGTAAAAGTGTAGAATTATGCAATAGATCACTTAGAAGACTTAGAAGAGATAACTAAAGAGATTTGGGAAGCAAATTGAAATAGCATTTCAATTTTTTTTTCTATCAAGTAGGTAATGATAGAGTTTGATGCTATTTTGCAAAGCCAAATTTGTTAATTCAAAAATATTTGCTGTGCATTTTAGGATTAGGGGAAAACAAAAACTGAAATAATAGTTTAAAAAAATATTCCCGTGGGGTTTATTTTGTTTCTATTAACCAACTTTTGAAAAACAAGCTGTGAGAAAATATTTATTTTCTAACATACTTATATCATTACCTCTCAGTTGTTTTAATGCATGCAAACAGTATCACAGATAATTTATAAAAAGAATAATATAAAATCCATTTAAAGATGATAAAACAATAAATATTAAAGTTGTATTTGATCCAGAGGTGTATCACTAGTAATTTATAATGATCCAGAAAGTTCAGCAAATTCAAGTTTCCTTCTTTTCCTTCTTGAAAGTTTTGCAGTGACAAATGACAAGTAAATGATCCAATAGCAAGGAGTGAATTTAAAAGACTCCTGAGAGACAACCAGTGATCAGTACATATTTAGTCTAAACCACTGTACCTTCTTAGCTTTAACAGTGTACAGTGATCATCAGAATCCATAGTGATGAATCTCATACCTCTGAATCCTCGAAGAAAGTTTAGATGCCCTTCACTATCAATTTAAAGGGAGTTATTTATTTGTTTGTTTGTTTATTTCTAATGAATACTTCACATACTATAAGAGGAGTTGAGGCAGTGTGTAATAACAGCCCACGTGCAGCAGGCCAGTGAAAGCCAAAGTCAGAGAGAGAGATCAGAAACCAGAGTTCAAAATCTTTCTTGGGCCATAAAACCCTTTGAAAATCTGAAAAAAAAGGGCTATGGAAAATTTCCCCAGAAAAGTATACCTGTGCAAATAGGCACATTGTTTTGCCAACTACCTTGAAGCCCATGCAAGCATCTTCCCCCTGGGTGTCCTTGAACCCTAGTTCAATAATCCCTCATATAGAGAAAGTGAAATCCTGAGGTAAGATAGTTATTACACTTAAACATTGCATTTAGCTCTGAGCTTCCTGTCAACTGAAGTTAAAAGATTAAACACGCTGGGTTAGAGTTCTCAACATCTAAAAAAGGAAGCAGATCAGTTCACAAAATCATAAGTGAAACATATAATTTTAAAATGGCAATGTTTATACATTTCTCTGAGATGATTGTTTTTTAAAGGGTAATCAAGAAAAGTGAAAGGATACAGCGTATTTTGATGACATTTTTTGAAAATAAGCAAATTAGAAATAAAATAGCTATGCTAATTATATTGACCAGCATATGCGATTGGCCACAGCATTTCATTTTTAACCGTTCTGGAAAATAAGGAATTTACTGTACATGTCTTTCTTTAATGGTAGATTTGCCTACCTAATATTATTTGATTACAGCTGACAGTAATATAATATATTCCCATGAGCACTCGGCAGCTAAGCAGAAAGGGAGGCCTAAGGGTATAAAGAGAAATTGACCTATGATTAAATATATGCTATTAATAGGTCATACCATAGAAAACTGGCATGTATATAACAGCAAATAATCACTTTAGGTGCCTACTACTTCCAACCAGAGCATTTACTTTCTCAAAGGCAAATAATAGCACAATTGTTATTGTCACAATTATAGGCATAGGCAGTATAGGGTAGAGGTTAAGAACACAATCTGGAATCAGAGACTGGTCTTCCACCACTTATTAGCTGTGCGACCTTGGGCAAAGTCATTTAACTTCTTTTGTCTCAGTGTCTTCATTTGTAAAATAAGAAGAAAAGCCTTCATCTCAGGACCGCTTCTAGGCTGTGTAGAGGTCTCTTGGAAATATTTGTTTTGTGGGGCTCCTGTCTATATAAACAATTCGAGTCACCTAAAACCAGTATGTCAGCAGCATCATTCTAGTAGTCCAATTTCATAGGCTAATGTGATGGATAGCAGAAGCAAACAATTTGCCTGGCTACTCTGCTGGAATTAGGACCTGGCCATGGTGCCACAGGACAACCCTATAGGCATGAGTTCTGGAGCTCCTTGAAGAATCTGGTCCACCCCAAGCAGAAGGTGGCTGTAGAATATTGGAAGATACCCCAAAGGCACAAGACTGGAGCAGGGGCTGTGCTTACTAAGGTCTAAGCAAGATACAAGTCTATCTCATAGGATTACTGGGAAGATTGAATGAAGTAATCTATGTGGAGCACTTAGGACATGTTGGTGATGATTACTGCTCACACTATTAGTGTCAACAATGCTCACTGTATCTTATACCTCTTCTGATTTTCTTTCAGTGGATGGCTGCATTGACTGGTCAGTGGATCTCAAGACATACATGGCTTTGGCAGGTGAACCAGTCCGAGTGAAATGTGCCCTTTTCTACAGTTATATTCGTACCAACTATAGCACGGCCCAGAGCACTGGGCTCAGGCTTATGTGGTACAAAAACAAAGGTGATTTGGAAGAGCCCATCATCTTTTCAGAGGTCAGGATGAGCAAAGAGGAAGATTCAATATGGTTTCACTCAGCTGAGGCACAAGACAGTGGATTCTACACTTGTGTTTTAAGGTGAGTGTTGTGTGAAAACATTGCCCAATCACATGGCTGATAGTCTTTTGAGTGGGACTTGAGTACATGTAGGTATGCCTCATGTTGTATAATGGATATGTTCTTGAAAGGTTGCAGTACATGTGGAGCTTCAGTAAATTCCAGTTCTAATTATCTATCAGAACTACATAGCAAATTCCTATTAGATTTTCATAAAATAGGATTCCCATTTACTGTGTGTGCTTATTTAATTTAGAAAATTTTGTGACTCGGGCCGGGCGCAGTGGCTCACACCTGTAATCCCAGCACTTTGGGAGGCTGAGGTGGGTGGATCGCCTGAGGTCAGGAGTTCAAGACCGGCCTGACCAATATGGTGAAACCCTGTCTCTACTAAAAATACAAAAATTAGCCAGGCATGGTGGCAGGTGCCTGTAGTCCTAGCTCCTCAGGAGGCTGAGACAGGAGAATTGCTTGAACCTGGGAGGCAGAGGTTGCAGTGAGCCGAGATCGCGCCACTGCACTCCAGCCTGGGCAACAGAGCAAGACTCCATCTCAAAAAAGAAAAAAAGAAAATAAGAAAATTTTCTGACTCATTTCTTCCCTCACTCCACCCCTGCCGCATGGTCTTATATTAACAATTAGTTTTGCATACAGCTAGTTGACTCAATTATCTTGATATCTGGCCACGAAAATGATCTAAAATATCATTTTGGCCATGGTCTTGCCTTTCTTGTTGATGAAAAATAGTTTCAAATGCGTCTAGATTTCTCAGCAAATGTACTACTGCTGAAATCCTTCATAGAATTTGCAATGCAAATTTGAGTCCACTGTGTCTAAATAATCAACATCGAGCTCTGTAAATACACAGTCATCCTGAGTTTCTGGGTACTATAGTGGAAAGATATCACAGACATAATTCTTGCTTGCAAGAAGTTTACAGTAAAAAGCAATATGTTTTTTCCCTTAGGGATTCTACAGTATGTTCTCCCTTCCCCCTCTACCCCAGTGATAGAATCTAGGATCTAGCATCTAGCATCTCAAATAGAGACTGGATTAGGTATTGAAGTAGGTAGCTGAGACGACCTTTAGGCCACCTTTCAATTCTGCAATTTTGGGAGTCTTTGGTCTTGCTCACCAGGGACCTGCACTCTACTATTTGATTTTAACTCCTTGGAAATGCAGACCTTTCCTATTTTTGTGTCCTGTGAACTTTGATGCCAAAGCTATGTCACTTCCTCATCAAAAGCACTTGGAAGCCCCTGGCGAGGTCTCATTGTTCAAAAGCCCAGGAGAACAAGGTGGTATATAAATAGAGAGCCTTCTGGATGCTCTAAGAATCACTTTTATGTGTAGGGGAAGAAAATGGAGTGATGGGGGAGCAAATGGTGAGTTTAGTCTCTGTTTGTGGTAGGCAAGATCTTCAGGATCTTGGGAGAACAGCAGTCATTCTGATCACACCCTTAGTGTTAAGCGGTATTTTCTCCTACTTGGGCAGCTCTTGGCAAAATTGAGAAGCAGATGTAATTCAGCTTTAGTGACTGACACTATATTCCCTAGGGTGCTGCTACTCTTTCCTTGCTTATCTCCTCTCCATCCCACACTGTCATTAAAAACCCACCAATCAAAATTATCTCTCTTCTCCTCCCCCTGCACCATTTGCTTTTTGTTTGTTGTTTTCACAAATTTAAAGTTTTATTTGCAAAGCATCAGTCCACTATGTACAAGTGCTAAGCTTACAATGAATTATTAAACAAATTATTGCTACTTCCCCAGGCCTGCTAATGTCTTCAGTCTTGTTACCTCCCCTCTTTTCCATTCTCCGCTCTAACCCCATTCCTTTACTCCTAGCAATAATAACAACTTAGTGATCCCTACATGCATTTCCCCTACTGTTTTAATTATACAAACATACTGACATGGCTATTTTCTCCTCATTGTTTTATAAAATGAAAGGAGGGTTATAGATTTCTCTGCATTTTCTTAGCTTAGTAAAAATACATGGTATAAATCTCTCCAAGTCAACTGATAGCTTTTTTTTTTTACTTTTATTTTAGGCTCAAGGGTATATGTGCAGGTTTGTTATACAGGTAAACTGCATGTCATGGGGGTTTGGTGTAAAGATTATTTTGTCACCCAGGTAATAAGCATAGTACCTGATAGGTAGTTTTTTGATTCTCTCCCTCCTCCCACTCTCCACCCTCAAGGAGGCCACAGTTTCTGTTGTTTCCTTCTTTGTACCTATGTGTTCTCATTGTTTAGCTCCCACTTGTAAGTGAGAATATGCAATATTTGGTTTTCTGTTCCTTATTTTACTAAGGATAATGGCCATCCACATTGGTACAAAGGACATTCTTATTTACAGCTGCATAGTATTCCATGGTGTATATATATGTACCACATTTTCTTTATCCAGTCTACCGTTGATGGGCATTTAGGTTAATTCCATGTTTTTGCTATTGTGAATAGCACTACGATAAATACATATGTGCATGTGTCTTTATGGTATAATGATTTACATTCCTTTGGGTATATACCCAATAATGAGATTGCTGGGTTGAATGGTTAAATATATAATATTGTATGTTGCTTAATATTTTATGATAACACAAGTCAGTCAATCATTTCCCTATTGATGAGTATACACTTTGTTTCCAGTATTTTGTCCCTACAAAAGGCGCTGTAATAAAAATCCACTATTTGCTTTTCAATAAACTTTAAGAAGTCTTCGATTTACGTAGTTATTGCAAAGATAATATAGAGTTCCTGTACACTTTATATCCAGCTTTCCCATTTTATTAACATCTTACATGACTATAGTACATTTGTTACAATTAATGAACCAATAGTGGTACATTATTATTAGCTAAAGTCCATATATTCTTCACATTTCTTCAGTTTTTCCTTAATGCCTCTTTTCTGTTTCAGTATCCATCTCTGGTAGCGCATTGTATTTGGTTGTCATGTCTCCTTAAGCACTTCTTGGCTGCATCAGTTCCTCAGACTTTCCTCATTTTTGATGACCTTGACAGTTTGAGGTGTACTGGTCAGATAGTTTGTAGAATGGTCCTCAACTGAGATTTATCTGATATTTTTCTCATGGTTAGACTGGGGTAATATGTTTTGAGGAGGAAGATTACAAAGGTAGAATACCATCCTCATCACATTGTATCAAGGGTATAAAGTATCAATATGACTCATAACTGTTGATGTTGACTTTGATCACCTGGCTTGAGGTGATGTTTATAATTTTTCATTGTAAAGTTACTTTTTTTTTCTTCCTTTCCATACTGTAGTCTTTGGAAGAAAGTTGTTATTCACAGTCCACACTTAAGAAGAAATATCTACATAAATTATTTCAAATTCTTCTGCATGGAAATTTGTCTCTCCCTTTCCCCACTTACTTATGTGTTCCATCATTTATTTGTATCAGTATGGACTCATTTTTATTTATATTATACACCGGCTTGTAATGCAATTCTACTTAATTTTCTTGCTCAGATTCTTCCACCTTTGCCCGTGGGAAGCTCTTTCAGTTGGCTCATTTGTCCCTTTGATATAATTCTATCATTGTGGAGTGGTGGTTGTATTTTTTTTTTTTTTTAGCATTTCCTTACATTGTAGAAAGATGCTCCAGGTTTATCTTATATATTTTGTGCCCCAGTTCTAGAATTAGCCATTTTTCCAAGGAGTCCTGTTTTTTTAATGGATAATTGCATTAGAAACCTAGATTTGGTTGCTAGGTATGCTCATTGCTATTGGGGTGTTGTTGCTTCTAAGTCTTCTCAGCTAACAGTCTATTTGCTTTTAAACAAAGCCATAGATTGTGAAGGAGTACTTTAGGGATAGTGGAACTTCCCAAGGTCCCTGAAGTCCTTTCCTATAGGTGGCTCTCTCTTTCAAGTACATTTCAGATTGGCCTTTTTTATGTCTATTTTGGATACCATATGAGTCAGAGGTTCTCAACTCACATCTAGACCAATAGAAGATAAAAGAATTCCACTAAGATTGGAACATAACTTGTGACTTTTTAACTTTTGTGCAGCAAGCCTTAGGGAGCTATTGGGACTGATAGAGATAGGTGGAACTGTTGAATATTACCTCTCATGTGTGCCTTAGTAAGGAAAAAATGTTTGGAAATCACTGTTCTAATAGAATCAACCAGGCTTTTATCAACTCAGAGATACATAAATCTATTCCAGGTATATAAGTGAAATAGCTAGCATATGTCTGTGAATAATGAACCTGTTTTTCATATCTAGTAGTGGCCACTGACTTCTACTATGTGCCAAGTGAGAAATTCCGTCCATATAGGTGATTTTATGCAATTGCCAAGAGTGACATTTATTGTGAAAAGGGCTCTTAATTTGACAATGTCAGTATTCACCTAAAATCTCCAGTTAGATACCACTTTAAGGTAATTACGAATGACTTTTCTATGTTTTATTGATCTCATTAAAAGTTACTCTACTGATGTCACTGTGATTAAAAATGAAGATATGAAATATTTAGTAATATTCTCCACCCATGTGAATGACAGCAAGAAAAATTTACTGTTTGTGACCTTTCAGTGGCCACTTGGCTAATGAATAATTTTTAAATTTTTCCTTGGCCAGACTCAAGAGTGATTAGTTGAATTTCCCAGCATAATAATGGGCTGGTAATATGAGAATGGTAGAGGATTAAATCATATTGTGAGAGACGGTGCCAATCGAAGAATCACACCAATATTTTCAATGGAGGCATGAATTAATAGGATAAAAATGATAAAGGTAATCTTATTTGACAAAATCTCACATATCATTTTCTCAACAACTTGGAACAAGGGGTGACTTAAGCTGTGAATGAAGATAGATATAGTCATATAATCCTGCATTGAATTCACAGATATTGAAAAGAATGATTGGCCAGGTGCGGTGGCTCGTGCCTATAATCCCAGCACTTTGGGAGGCTGAGGCAGGTGGATCACATGAGGCCAGGAGTTCAAGCCCAGCCTGGCCAGTATGGCGAAACCCGGTCTCTACTAAAAATACAAAATTTCGCTGGGCGTGGTGGTGCACATCTGTAATCCCAGCTACTCGAGAGGCTGAGGTACGAGAATTGCTTGAATCGGGAGGCAGAGGTTGCAGTAAGCCGAGATTGTGCTACTGCACTCCAGTCTGGGTGACAGAGTGAGACTCCGTTTCACACCCACACACACACACACACACACACAAAATTAAATATAATTGAACATCTGTAAAAACCTAACATTTAGGGATAATTATGGCTGAGTGCAGAGAATCAGTTAGAGGTTCAAAATTATTATGACCATTTACCTCTGCAACGAGGTAAACATAACAAGGAGTTCCCTTATAAAATGGGAGCATAATCCCAATATTTTTGGTCTCTAATAGTCATTGAAAGAAGTGAGGTTCTCAAAATCTGAATGCCTCACAACATCTTTCTGAACAGTTCCTTAGTATATGTCTAGCCAGGAGGCACAATTGCTTTGATTTCAAATGTGAATAATCAATTCACAGTTGAATGATTATTACTCCAGCAAAACAGCATCAGAAGAAAAGTTGAGGGAGTGGATACACTTGAAACGAAAAGCATAGCATGTTGCTAATTTTTGAATCTGTATGGTGGGTACATGAGGATTCATCATATTGCCCTGTGTATTTTTTATCATGTTTGAAATAGTCCATAACAAAAAAAAGAAGAAATAAATGTAAGTATACAGTAATTTTACTTGATTTTATTGTCACTTAAATGATCCTGGCCTATAAATACCTAGGTATCATATATAAGCGAGTATTTTTATTTCAGTCAACAAACATTCATTGAATACATATCATGGGACTCACTTTATGGCATATTGCAAGAAGACCTGTGTCTTTAGAAAAGAAAGTGATGCTCTAGTCTACATCAGACACAAAGAAATGGCTCTTAGCACCTTCCACTCTCCTACCCTACTTCCCATCGCGGTTACCTAGAGATTTTCAAGGACAGTGAACATATCTCATAATTCAATTCCAACTTAACTATTGATCCGTGAAAAGTTAAGTGTCAACAAGTCGGTTACCCAGGTAGCAATTTCCAGGAGAGCAGGTAGTTTCTTGTCAGAAAAATGAAAGCCTGGATCTTATAGAATTAATTGACCTCAGAAAAGATCAAGAAAGTGTAGCAGGATCTTGAGACAGCAGGAATTTCATTCCCGAAATGAAATGTAATTAGTTATTTTTCTATCTGTTTTTGGTTATAAGCAGGGGTCTCTGATTCCATTATTTTTATGGCAATTTGATAATCTACTTGTTAATAAAATTATATAGGAAAATTTTTACATAGCAAAGAAGTAACCATTTTACTTTATTTTCATTTCATTAGCATTAAATTAGATATGTTGTAATGTTTAGAAATATAACCATACTATTGTACATTAACTATGTAATTTCAACTTCATTCAGTTTGTTTACTGGAAGGAAGCAGATGCTTACAGTTTAGTCAGCAGGAGTACCTGCTTTGTAAGAATTAATAGGTTATATTTGATAACCACAAAAGAAGAATTGATCTCAAATAGTCACTGATGAGTTGGTTAACACTGTTATTTATATATACTTTTTAGTTTAATCCCTTGTATAATTACACAATCTTAAGTGACTTGGTTTTATGGCTATCTTGCTCAGAATCAAGGTTTTAACCTAATGCAGGGTTGTAAACTCAAAATCTTTTCAGAGGTCAAGAAGGTAATGTAATGAGTGTGGCAGGCCACCTGAAACATTTTGGAGTGTTGGAAGTTGTAGCAATCCCCTCCATAATCTCATTTCATGCATTCTACTCTATTGCCACTACCTCCTATTTTTCTAGCTCATTTTTTTCTATACCTTACCTCCAATAATCTATTGATTCCACCCAACCATCTTTCTCATTGATCTCACATGTTTTCCACTGTACCTTGTTCTCTTCCCATCTAGCATAGTTCCAATTCAGTGGATCAATCATTATAATCACTCCCATATACACCCTCTTGATTCTCTTAACCCTTTCTCCCTTCATCTTACTCGCTTGTGAAAACCACAACACTGTTTAAACCTAACTGTCCATCTATACTATGCCTGCATCCTTGCAGCTAAACTTGGCTGAAGGAAAATATATAATAATGTTGACTGGTTTCACATTAAATTCATTGTCATGGACCTCAAATTGACCTTTAATGCTACCAGGTAGTTTTATTTTATATTCTTAGACCATTCAGTCTCCCATCTGCCTAGATGACTATTTTATATCATCTCCACTCCTCAGATCTCCAATATCTCCTCCCCCTTGCTTCCAGTTTCACAGAGAAAAAAAATGTAGTCAGGAAAAAAACTTCCACTACATCTGCCCACCTACTGGCATCTATACCTACATATTCTGCCTTCCAGCCTGTTACCACAGATGAACTGGCCTTGCTTCTATGTAAGGCAAGTCACTTCATGTGTACACCAGATTCTATCCCTATTTGCTTACCCAAGAACATCACCTGAGCAATTCTCCTCTCTCTCTCCCATATCATGAAATTTTCTATTTCTACTGGATCATTTCCATCAGCATGTATACAGATCAGTATTTATGCCATCTAAAAAAAATCCTCTCTACTCCACTTTCCTGACAGCCACTATTCCCGGTTTCTTGCTCCCATTTGGAAAAAGCTACTTTAAAGAATTATCTGGTTATGGTATCATGGTTGTTTATATAAGTCCAAACCCTTCAAACTGTACCCATTAAATATATGCAGTTATTTGTGTATCAATTATATCTCAATAAAACTATTTATAAAAAAAAGTGTTGTCTGCATTCAGTTTTGAGTTCCTCTCCACTTATTCTCTAGTAAACCCATTCCAATCAAAATTTTACCTTCAAACTCTTCCAAACCTGCTCTTATAAAAGTGTCCAATGACCACAACAATACTAAATCCAATGGGCATGCCAGTTTTCAGTTCTCCTATTACTTGACCTGTAATGTCATGTGGCATAGTTGATCACTCCCTTCTTTTTGATAATGCATTCTTTACCTGACTTCCAGAGAATAGTACTCTCTTGGCTTTCCTCATACTCTATCAGTTACTCTTTCATAAGTTCTTTTCCTGGCTCCTGGTATTCTTTCTGACCCCTTAATGTTAGAAGGCACTAGGGATATAGGCCCAACATTGCCAGTTTTTCTGATGTTTTGAAAGCTGAATAATTGTGTGAAATTTCTCAATTTTTAAATTTATGGGATCCTCCTGCCCAAAAAAGCCCATACTCAGATTCAACCATTGAACTCAGTTCTCATACTCTAAACTAATAGGTTCTGACTCCAACATTAACCTAGAGAGCGATGGTATAGTCATCTTAAAGTAGGACTGCAGCAGGTTTTATCTGTATCAAAGTGAAGCAGGAAAATCAACACTCCAATGGCAAGATAGATTAAAGGAAACCCGCCACTCTCCCTAGAGTACATTTGAGCATTCAGTAGTAGAGTCATATGGTGTCCCTTTATGTGGCAACTGGCCCAATTCCAGCTTAATCCCTTGTGTGGCTATTGGAGTCTTCAAAAAATGCACTGATCAGTATAGGGGTCCTTATTGCTAGCTACGGTGTACTGAAATAGGTATTCTATCAAGAGGATTCTATTGCTATAAAGTGCTGCTTCTCCTCCACCTTCCTTCCTGTCAATGATCAAACAGCAACTCTTTAAAAGGGCAGAGGACTGAAGATGTGCAATAACTCTAGTCCCAGGCATGAAAAGTAACTTCAGTGAAAATATCCATTCAATGCTTATATGGACTAATATTGTGCCTATCACTATGGCGAACCCAAGAGAAAATTATGACACAGCATCTGCCTTTTAGCAGTTACTAAAGGAGGAATTACTAAGAGTTACTGAACTAGCTAGGACTCTTCTATACCTAACACTGTGGTGCAATCTTCTATATTACTATTAATACTACTGTGTCCTATTAGGAGTATGGTCTCTGGAGCTGGACTGCTTGGAGTCAAATCTCAGTTTTATTACTTACGAATTGTGTGACCTTGAGCAATTTATATGACTACTCAGGTTCAACCAGGGGACTCACAGTTTGCAAACTCTGAACTATTGGTTCTGACTCCAACATTAGCCTAGGGAGTGATGGTATATTATGGCTGTGTGACCTTTGCCTTGCTTTTCCTCACATGGAAAATAAAGACCCATTTGGTTATTCAACTTAAAATATTTTGAACACTTGAATTAGGTGTTGAGTAAATGCATTGAATGAGAGATTAAAGTAATGGAGCTTCCATTCTAGAGTTGGGAAAACATATAAATAATGCAATCACAAGACTACACTGGGTAATCGTAATTCTACAGTGGTGAGAGTGAAGAAGGGTCATGTTAGGGGAGTGACTGACTGAGAGGCCACTTTCAGTTAGGTGATCAAGAAGGGCTTCACAGAGAAAGTGACATACAAACTGAGACCTGAATGACAAGAAGGAGCCAGTCTTGTGAAAATCTTGGGGCAGAGTATTCCAGTCAAAGTGAATGCCATGTGTAAAGGTCATGAAATGGGAACAGGCTTGATTCGAGAAAGCTAAAGAAAGGGCTGGGTGCAGTGGCTCACACCTGTAATCCCGGCACTTTGGGAGGCTGAGACGGGCAGATCACCTGAGGTCAGAAGTTCGAGACCAGCCTGGCCAACGTGGTGTAACCCCTGTCTCTACTAAAACTACAAAAATTAGCCAGGTGTGGTAGTGCACGCCTACAATCCCAGCTACTTGGGAAGCTGAAGCAAGAGAATCGCTGGAACCTGGGAGGTGGAGGTTGCAGTGAGCTGAGACTGCGCCACGGCACTCCAGCCTCGGCGACAGAGCAAGACTCTGTTAAAAAAAAAAAAAAAAAAAAAAAAAAAAAAAAAAAAAAGTGCTAAAGAAGGGCAGTTTGGTTGGAGTGTGGTGAGCTGGGGAATAATGCTACTAGATAAGGCTGGAAAAGCAGGCAGAGAACAGAGGACAGATGCTGTTGCATATTGTGGACCAGAATAAAAAGTTGATTTTTAAATTAGTAATCAGAGATAAAATGAGTATTTATTTTTGTTAAACTGGAGAGTAACATGATCCAATTTCCATTTAAAAAATGATTACTTTGGTTGCCTGGCGAGAATGGACTACAGGGGGAGAAGCAAGAAGACCAAGTTGAGAAGCAATTGTATTAGTTGAGGAGAGATGTGATGGTAGCTTGGATTGTGGTGGTAGCTATAAAAATAGGGAGACATGAATGAATCCCAGATATATATTGAAGGATGAGCTGATAGGACGTACTGATGTCCTGGATGTGAGAAAAAGCTGAATAAAGGATGACTCCTGTTGCTTTTGACTGAAGCAACTGTGTGAATCATGGTGCTATTAACTGAGAGAGAAGACCTGGAGATGAACAAAGATCATAGTACCTACCTCAGAGAATGTTGATGAGCACTTATCACCAATACTGACATAGAGTAAGCACTCCATACATTATCTCTTATTTCTACTTTTACTACCACCACCACTGCTACTACTAGCTATAATTTTTTAGCTTTTATTATATGAAAGTATTGTGCTAATCCTTAGAATAATTCAGGAGGTAGGTCATATTATTGAAGATGATAAAACTGATACTTAGAGAAGTGAAGAACTTGCCCAAGGACACATGGGTAGTAAATGATGGAGCTGGGATTTGGAAAGGTTTGACTCCAGAGCTCATACACATTATCAGTTTTCTCTACTGTCTTCTCAATTATTATCTGTTTTCACTGTTCTTTATAGTAATCTGTATTTGTATATTACAACAAATGAGATATGGTTATTTACATTAATTCTTGCCTATATAAAGTTCTGTGCTTCTGTGTGTTTTTAGTTTCATCAGTGAACATTATTGTCTGGTGATGAGGATAGAATTTTATTGATTAAAGATGGATAATAGAAGGCAATGAAATAGAGATTCCAAGTTCATGAAAAGTGATGATTAAGTTAAAGCAAGAATTTTCAGAGAACTAGTCTTCTTGTTTTACCAAGTTTAAAATCCTTTGTGATCACTTTTCAGTTTACATATGCAGAAGTGCTTAAAAGTTGTTTTCCACCAAAGAATAGAGATGAATTTTGAAGCATATATATCCTTAAATGGCTCTTTTTGTCTGTTTACTCTGACTTCAAAACCTCTAATATATAAGACTCGTGATGAATCAATTAGAGAAACATATACATCAGTATATGACAAAGTGCTAGAATGAATATAATCAGGTGTCATAAATGTATGGTTATCTTTTTCAAAAACTCATTGCATGACACTACTTCCCTCCATTCACCTTAAAGTTGAAAATGTTCATGGTGGAACACAAATGAGATCTCATTCCTTCCTAACTACAGTTTTGTTTTGTTTTTGTTTGTTTTTAATAAAAGCGATGTTTTTCAGCCAATATCCTTTTAGGTCTCAGGTATTTATTATTCATTAAACAAATATTTATTGAGTACCTCCTGTACAGAGGGTACTAAAAAAAAAGCAAAAGTGAATGATAGGGCTCCTGACTTATAACAAATTAAAAGGGGAATTAGGACATGTATACAAATCACAATCAAACAAGCATAACTCCCATGTGGTTCATCATTAAATTGTATCCTAGAAAACATAGTCTAGCAACTAAACATATTTTTTAAAGTCTGAGGATAGATTTAACGTAGTCCCTTGAAAAATATCAAAGGTAAGCCCATTTGTAACCCACAGCAACAAAAATCATTGTTTGACATTACTATCACTCCTAGTATCTCTTGTATGTTTCAGCTGCCCAGAAACCTCTCTCATTGCTCCTCTTGTTACCTGCTAAAAAACTCTTCCTGGAATGCATCCCCTATAAGTTTCTTCTCTTTTTGCCCTTTCTCATCCTCTAGCACTTTTTTCCTTTCAAGAAGCTCTTTTTTGCCCTTTCCAATGTAATTTAATTAAACTAGCAGTGCTTCTTGCAATTCTTCAGCTCTTTCTGCCCATTACTCCTATTCTGCACAATAAAATCTCAGGAACTAACCTGCCATACCAAGGATCTTTGTAAAAGTTGTTGCATTTAAAAAGACCAATGCAGTGAAAAAGAGAATTATGTTTAGAAGGCAAGAAGAAGGGAAAAGCTGCAAACACTTAACTTGATGGCTTTTATTCCATCATACATGAGGGAAAGTGATACGTGCTATAGGAAAGATAAAGTAATAGTACAGTAAAAAGTAGGAAAAATAGCTTTTGTCTTATAGAATCGTGCTTGCTTCAGATGGCTCTTGAGGATCTAAACAGGTGGTGATAGTAGAGGTCTTCCCAGGCAGATAAAACAATGTCCCAGGGCAAGGAGGTAGTAAAACATGGGCCATGCACAGGGAAAAACAGGGAGGTAAATTTGGTCGGAACCTGGATTTATCGAGGCGTTTTTTTCTGAGTATGAACCTAACAATAATACTTGCTTTATGAAGGTTTCAGATGTTTTTGAAACATGAGATTTTAGACATTGAGCAATTCTTAGAAAAGAAGCTAAAAGACTCAACTAATGAGCACCTTAACTTGCAGTCAGGTAATAAGGCACGTTTTTTGCAGATGATGTTTCCACAGAGAAAATGTATATTTAAAGGAGGCAAATTCCCTTCTATGACCTGACCTTCATTAAAGAAAGGCAGTGCTGCTGACTAAAGCGTTGTTAGTCTTAGCATGTACTCCAACCAGTTTTCTCACAGGTGTTGATAAATTCACATGGAACCATCCCCACTCTCTCACCACACCGAAGAGTGATCCACCTTGGTAGGATGGCTCATTAATATTCGATGGGTATAGTCTGTATCTATAAATATGAGACAGAGAAAAGCTAAGTGAGAGGGGTAATGTATATTTCCACCTTGGGGCCTTGATCACATTCAAGCAAGACCCAAGCCAATACAAATCTACACACTCGTTTCCAGACCAGATCTCACTCTTCAACACTAAGGCAATATACACTTACCTGAGTATAGAGATATAGTATATACATTTTTAATTTTTTATTCCTGTTACCCTGATCCCATCAGTGCCTTCCCTTTACTTCCTACAAGGAAAGTGGCTTGACCATGTTTCATATTTACATTATTATCTTTTACTCTTGAGCAAGAGATCTCTCCTCCTTTTAAGCTCAATCTAAAGCTTGCCACTTAAGCACCATGCACACTGTCCACACACAGGGCAGCCTTTCCATACATACTGATTGTTGACTTATTGGCTGAAACCCTCAGATCAGTAGGGTCCAGACGTTTTCATTTTGCTCACATGAATCTTTTTTTAGTATATTGTTTTACCAATAGAAATAGATGACAGGAAGGCAATTTTACGAGGTGACAGTCCAAATAATAATATTGGCAACGCCAGTATTTTACAGCAGGGTACAAAGTCACAGAAAATTCTGATTTTTAAGCATTTAGGGAAGCTTCTATATTAGGTAATGTCACTATATACACACTCTGCTCAAATTTTGACTTTGATCCCACATGACATGAAACAAAGATAAAAAAAATCACTGCTGTTTCTAAATAAAATATAGTTTAATTTTACTTTCCATTATTTTAGAGACAGGTATAGCCAAGTTTGACTTCCTGGCATGTGGATGGGTGATCAGAAAAAAAGAGGTCAATGAAGGCTTCCCTGGTTTTTGCCTTTCACCACTTCACTTGTTGTTATCTCAAATGGCAAGCCCAGAGAGGACCATTACAGCTTTTCTAGAGGTAAAACTCACTGTTTTTGACCAAGGCATTGGTCCCCATGAAATATCCATCCCCTTCCCTCACCCATCAGAGCTGGGCCTTTCTCCCAGCAGCATTGTTTTTAAAGCTGTCTTCCTCTGTAACTGCCCATCTCACTAAGCATGCTTACTCAAGGGCTCAAAGGTCAGGTCAGATTGCTTCTGCTGGGTTTGTAGAGGATATTCAGTGATGGAAGTAGAATTAATTTTTATGTATTAAAACCTTTCCTCTGGACTTACAGAGAAAAAAACTTTAATAGGCATAACACAGGAAATCATGAAAATGTTAATATCTTTCCATAATCCTGCCAAATATAAAACCCAAATCCAAGCAAACTGATTTAATGTTTTACTGAAAAAAAAAGTTATGAAAACAATTTGTACGACCAGAGAGATAAGTGTCTGGTTCCCTTCCTGGAATTATTCACCTTCCTTTCTAGTGCCCCCTCCTAGGGTCCCACTGCTCTCCCCTTTGATTTTCTTTCAGTTGGGCCCTACCCCAATCGTGTTTTTTATGCAGCTTGATGATCCTTTCCTCCCCCTCCTCCAGTCTCCACCCCATCCCCTAAGTTATTCCTAAAGGTACCACTGTCCCACCACCACCCTGACCTTATAGGTCCTTACTAACCCTCAGGTGCCTTGTCTAACAGACACAAAGGCAGGAAACCCCTTGGGTTCCCACCCCCTTACCACACAGTGTCTGCTCTCCTTTTCCCTTCTGTTCCAGAGGAAGAAGTGGCCTTTCCAAACCCATCCACCTAGTAAATTAACTTCTTTATATTGTTTTGTATTTCTGTGAACATTTAATTACTTTACTGTCACAAAACACAAGAATATAAAGAAGTAAAGGCCCTCTATCTCATGCCCCCTACTCTACCTCACTCCACCCTATACCCTAATGTCCCACTGCCTACCATCATTTGACCCCTGAGCCTACCCTCCCTAGGTTACTCATAATGATTTTGCCCTCTAGTGGACATTCGGCAATATCTGGAGAGATTTTTCGTTGTCACAATTTGGGTGGGGTGGGAAATGTACACTACTACTGGGCATCCAGTTAGTTGAGGCTAGGGATTTTGCTAAACAACCTACAATGCACAGGATGGCCCCCAGAAATAAAAAAGCATATGGCCCCAAATGTCAAGCATGCCAATATTGGGAAACCCTGCCCTAGAAGGATATAGACAAGCCCGAGAACATTTTTGACGAGTACAAACTCTTTAATAACTAGTTAGGGAACTGGCCCCAAGTCCTGAATGACTGTCATAGATTCAACAGGAAACAAACTAATGTCACATCTAGCTGCTGCAGAGATGTCCCAGGGCCATGACAGCTTCTTAGTCACTAGGTCCACATGCCCCAGGTGATGTCCAAGGCTCCTCCATTTGTGTCTCAATCTGGTTCAGGTCTAACTCCTCTCCATCCTTCCACCTGTTAGCTAAAACATACATGTACCCCCGATCAACACAGCTTACAGTCATCAAAGGGATAGAAGGAGACCAACCTGCCACCCACCTTTTGACCCCACCCACTCCTATCCTCCCCCACCTCACCCCTCCCTCTGAAAGTTGATTTCCCACTGGGATATGTTTCTGTTCTGTTTCACATTTCTAAATTCACTAAGAGCTTTGTAGCTAGATTTTCCTCCTACATTTATCATGGTGGTGGGTTGGAAGAGAAATTCCCTCAGGATGATGGCATCGTGCTTTTGCCCATGGTCTAAACCAGGAAACCCTCTGAGCACTATCAGTTGCTGACTCACCTCCTTGGCAGTGGCAGGAGTTCTCTGTTCAAATCTGACTGTCCCTGGTTCTGCTCACTTGGGATTGAGGAGGATTCTGCTGTCATGAGAGCTGTAGAGTCATAGCAGTCCTCGCCTGGAGCTGGTGCTGGCATCCTCTGTATGTAGCCCTGAAGGATTCCCTCAGGAGTAGCAAAGCACTGCCATGTCGATTTGAGTCAATCATAAACCTGGGGTTAACCCCAGGCCTGTTTTGATTGTTTGTCATGATATAACTCACTCAGATCATGAATGAACTTTCTATCCAGTTCATTCCTAGAGACTCCTGGAATGCAGGAATCTCCACTACTCACCATACCCTGATGCAACTCCCCAGCTGGTTCGAACATATTATTTGATGGTCTCTTATTTGCAACTGCTCTCCTGGTACCAATTTCTGACATAAAAATAATCTGATGGGGAGGCACCAAGATGACCGAATAGGAACAGCTCTGGTCCACAGCTCCCAGCGAGAACAATGAAGAAGGCAGGTGATTTCTGCATTTCTAACTGAGGTCCCCAATTCATCTCAACAGGACTGGTTAGGCAGTGGGTCCAACCCATGGAGGGTGAGCAGAGGCAGGGTGAGGCGTCACTTCACCCAGGAAGTGCAAGAGGCCAGGATCTCACTCGCCAAGCCAAGGGAAGCTGTGAGGGACAATGCTACCCAGCTGGGTTACTACGCTTTTCCCACAGTTTTTGTAATCTGCAGATCAGGAGATTTCCCTTGTGTGCCTACACCACCAGAGCCCTGGGTTTCAAGCACAAAACTGGGCAGCTGTTTGGGCAGACACTGAGCTAGCTGCAGGAGTATTTTTTCAAACCCCAGTGGCACCTGGAACCCAAGCAAGACAGAACCGCTCACTCCCCTGGAAAGGGGGCTGAAGCCAGGGAGCCAAGTGGTCTCGCTCAGCAGGTCCCACTCCCACAGAGCCCAGCAAGCTAAGAACCACTGGCTTGAAATTCTCACTGCCAGCACAGCAGTCTGAAGTCAACCTGGGATGGTCAAGCTTTGTTGGCGGAGTGGTGTTCGCTGTTACTGAGGCTTTAGTAGGCAGTTTTCCCCTGACAGTGCTAAGGAGGCTGGGAGGTATGGACTGGGTGAATTCACCACAGTGTGGCAAAGCGGCTGTGGCCAGGCTGCTTCTCTAGATTCCTACTCACTGGGCAGGGCATCTCTGAGGGAAAAGTAAAAGCCCCTGTCAGGGACTTACAGACAAAACCCCCATCTCCCTGGGACAGAGCACCTCAGGGAAAGGGCGGCTGTGAGTGCAGCTTCAGTGGACTTAATTGTTCCTGCCTGCCTGCTCTGAAGAGAGCAGCTGATCCTGACAAGAGGGACTCTCCCAGCACAGCACACTAGCTCTGCTAAGGAACAGACTGCCTCTTCAAGTGGGTCCCGGACCCCCATGCCTTCTGACTGGGAGAAACCTCCTAACAAGGGTTGACAGACACCTCATACAGGAGAGCTCCAGCTGGCATCAGGTTGGTACCCTTCTGGGATGAAGCCTCCAGAGGAAGGAGCAGGCAGCAATTTTTGCTGTCCTGCAGCCTCCACTGGTGATACCCAGGTGAAAAGGGTCTGGAGTGGACCTCCAGCAAACTGCAGCAGACCTGCAGAAGAGGGACGTGACTGTTAGAAGAAAAACTAACAAACAGAAACCAACAACATCAACATCAGTATCAAGGAGCCCCACACAAACACCCCATCCAAAAGTTATCAACCTCAAAGATTAAACGTGGATAAATCCACAGAGATGAGGAAAAATCAGTGCAAAAATGCTGAAAATTCCAAAAGCCAGAATTCCTCTTCTCCAAGTGATTGCCACTCCTCTCCAGCAAGGGCACAAAACTGGATGGAGAATGAGATTGACAAATTGACAGAAGCAGGCTTCAGGAGGTGGGTAATAACAAACTCCTCTGAGCAAAAGGAGCATGTTCTAACCCAATGCAAATAAGCTAAGAACCTGATAAAAGGTTACAGAAACTGCTAACTAGAATAACCAGTTTAGAGAGGAACATAAATGACCTGATGGAGCTGAAAAACACAGCACAAGAACTTTGTGAAGCATACACAAGTATCAATAGCCAAACTGATCAAGCAGAAGAAAGGATATGAGAGATTGAACATCAACTTACTGAAATAAGGCATGAAGACAAGATTAGAGAAAAAAGAATAAAAAGGAATGAACAAAGCCTCCAACAAATATGGGACTATGTGAAAAGACCAAACCTATGATTGATTGGTGTACCTGAAAGTGACGGGGAGAATGGAACCAAGTTGGAAAACACACTTCAGGACATTATCCAGGAGAACTTCCCCAACCTAGCAAGACAGGCCAACATTCAAGTTCAGGAAATATAGAGAACACCACTAAGATACTCTTCGAGAAGAGTAACCACAAGACACATAATCGTCAGATTCTCCAAGGTTGAAACGGAAAAAATATTAAGGGCAGCCAGAGAGAAAGGTCAGGTTACCTACAAAGGGAAGCCCATCAGACTAACAGCAGATCTCTCTGCAGAAACCCTACAAGCCAGAAGAGAGTGGGGGCCAATATTCAACATTCTTAAAGAAAAGAATTTTCAACCCAGAATTTCATATCCAGCCAAGCTAAGATTCATAAGCAAAGGAGAAATAAAATCCTTTATAGACAAGCAAATGCTGAGGGATTTTGTCACCACCAGGCCCTGCCTTACAAGAGATCCTGAAGGAAGTACTAAATATGGAAAGGAAAAACCGGTACCAGCCACTGCAAAAACACACCAAAATATAAAGACCTCTATGAATAAACTGCATCAACTAATGTGCAAAATAACCGGCCAGCATCATGATGACAGGATCAAATTCACACATAACAATACTAAACTTAAATGTAAATGGGCTAAATGCCCCAATTAAAAGACATAGACTGGCAAACTAGATAAAAAGTCAAGACCCATCAGTATGCTGTATTCAGGAGGCCCATCTCATGTGCAAAGACACACATAGGCTCAAAATAAAGGGATGGAGGAATATTTACTAAGCAAATGGAAAGCAAAAAGAAGCAAGGGTTGCAATCCTAGTCTCTGATAAAACAGAGTTTAAACCAACAAAGATAAAAAAAAAAAAGACAAAGAAGGGCATTACATAATGGTAAATGGATCAATGCAACAAGAAGAGCTAACTATCCTAAATATATATGCACCCAATATAGGAGCACACAGATTCATGAAACAAGTTCTTAAAGACCTGCAAAGAGACTTAGACTTCCACACAGTAATAGTGGGAGACATTAACACCCCACTATCAATATTAGACAGATCAATGAGACAGAAAATTAACAAAGATATTCAGGAACTGAACTCAGCTCTGAACCAAATGGACCTAATAGACATCTACAGAACTGTCCACCTCAAATCAACAGAATATACATTCTTCTCAGTGCCACATAGCACGTACTCTAAAATTGACCACATAATTGCTAGTACAACACTCCCTAGCAAATGCAAAAGAATGGAAATCATAACAGTCTCTCGGACCACAGTGCAATCAAATTAGAGCTCAAGGTTAAGAAACTCACTCAAAACCGCACAACTACATGGAAATTGAACAATCTTCTCCTGGGTAAATAACGAAATTATGGCAGAAATGAAGAAGTTCTTTGAAACCAATGAGAACAAAGAGACAATGTACCAGAATCTCTGGGACACAGCTGAAGCAGTGTTAAGAGGGAAATGTATAGCACTAAATGCTCACAACAGAAAGCTGGAAAGATCTGAAATCAACACACTAACATCACAATTAAAAGAACTAGAGAAGCAAGAGCAAACAAATTCAAAAGCTAGCAGAAGACAAGAAATAACTAAGATCAGAGCAGAACTGAAGGAGATAGAGACACAAAAAACCCTTCAAAGAATCAATGAATCCAGGAGCTGATTTTTTGAAACGATTAACAAAACAGATGGACCACTAGCTGGACTAATGAAGAAGAAAAGAGAAGAATCAAGTAGACACAATAAAAAATGATACAGGGGATATTACCACTGAAACCACAGAAATGCAAACTACCAACAGAGAATACTATAAACACCTCTACGCAAATAAACTAGAAAATCTAGAAGAAATGGATAAATTCCTGGACACATACACCCTCCCAAGACTAAACCAGGAAGAAGTCGAATCCCTGAATAGACCAATAACAAGTTCTGAAATTGAGGCAGTAATTAATAGTCTACCAACCAAAAAAAGCCCAGGACCAGACGGATTCACAGCCGAATTCTACCAGAGGTACAAAGAGGAGCTGGTACCATTTCTTCTGCAACTATTCCAATGAATAGAAAAAGAGGGAATCCTCTCTAACTCATTTTATGAGGGCAGCATCATCCTGATACCAAAACCTGGCAGAGACACAACAAAAAGAGAAAATTTCAGGCCAATATCCCCGAAGAACATCGATGTGAAAATCCTCAAGAAAATACTGGCAAACAAAATCCAGCAGCACATCAAAAAGCTTATCCACCACGGATCAAGTCAGCTTTATCCCTGGGATGCAAGCCTGGTTCAACATATGCAAATCAATAAATGTAATCCATCACATAAACAGAACCAATGACAAAAACCACATGATTATCTTAATATACACAGAAAAGTCCTTCAATAAAATTCAACACCCCTTTATGATAAAAACTCTCAATAAACTAGGTGGTGATGGAACATATCTCAAAATAATAAGAGCTATTTATGACAAACCCATAACCAATATCATACTGAATGGGCAAAAGCTGGAAGCATTCCCTTTGAAAACTCACATAAGACAAGGATGCCCTCTCACCACTCCTATTCAACACAGTGTTGGAAGTTCTGGCCAGGGCAATCAAGCAAGAGAAAGAAATGAAGCGCATTCTAATAGGAAGAGAGGAAGTCAAATTGTCTCTGTTTGCAGACGACATGATTGTACATTTAGAAAACCCCATCGTCTCAGCCCAAAAACCCCTTAAGCTGATAAGCAACTTCAGCAAAGTCTCAGGATACAAAAGCAATGTGCAAAAATCACAAGCGTTCCTATACACCAACAATAGTCAAGCAGAGAGCCAAATCATGAGTGAACTCCCATTCACAATGACTACAAAGAGAATAAAATACCTAGGAATACAACTTACAAGGGGCGTCTTCAAGGAGATCTACAAACCACTGCTCAAGAGAATAAGAGAAGACACAAATGGAAAAACATTCCATGCTCATGGATAGGAAGAATTAATATTGTGAAAGTGGCCATACTGCCCAAAGTAATTTATAGATTCAGTGCTATTCCCATCAAGCTACCAGTTACTTTCTTCACTGAATTAGAAAAAAAAAAACTACTTTAAATTTCATATGGAACCAAAAAAGGGCCCGCATAGCCAAGACAATCCTAAGCAAAAAGAACAAAACTGGAGGCATCACACTACCTGACCTCAAACTATACTACAAGGCTACAGTAACAAAAACAGCATGGTACTGGTACCTAAACAGATATATAGACCAATGGAATGGAACAGAGACCTCAGAAATAACACCACACATCTACAACCATCTGATCTTCGACAAACCTCACAAAAACAAGCAATGGAGAAAGAATTCCCTATTTAATAAATGGTGCTGGGAAAACTGGATAGCCATATGCAGAAAACTGAAACTGGATCCCTTCCTTACACCTTATACAAAAATTAATTCAAGATGGATTAAAGACTTAAATGTTAGACCTAAAACCATAAAAACCCTAGAAGAAAACCTAGGCAATACCATTCAGGACATAGGCATGGGCAAGGACTTCATGTCTAAAACACCAAAAGCAATGGCAACAAAAGCCAAAATTGACAAATGGGATCTAATTAAACTAAAGAGCTTCTGCACAGCAAAAGAAACTACCATCAGAGTGAACAGGCAACCTACAGAATGGGAGAAAATTTTTGCAATCTACTCATCTGACAAAGGGCTAATATCCAGAATCTACAATGAACTCCAACAAATTTACAAGAAAAAAACAAACAACCCCATCAAAAAGTGGGTGAAGGACATGAACAGACACTTCTCAAAAGAAGACATTTATGCAGCCAACACATGAAAAAATGCTCATCATCACTGGCCATCAGGGAAATGCAAATCAAAACCACAATGAGATACCACCTCACACCAGTTAGAATGGCGATCATTAAAAAGTCAGGAAACAACAGGTGCTGGAGAGGATGTGGAGAAACAGGAACACTTTTACACTGTTGGTGGGACTGTAAACTAGTTCAACCATTGTGGAAGTCAGTGTGGCGATTCCTCAGGGATGTAGAACTAGAAATACCATTTGACCCAACCATCCCATTACTGGGTATATACCCAAAGGATTATAAAACATGCTGCCACAAAGACACATGCACACATATGTTTATTGCGGCACTATTCACAATAGCAAAGACTTGGAACCAACCCAAATGTCCAACAATGATAGACTGGATTAAGAAAATGTGGCACATATACACCATGGAATACTATGCAGCCATAAAAAGAATGAGTTCATGTTCTTTGCAGGGACATGGATGAAGCTGGAAGCCATCATTCTCAGCAAATACAGGAACAGAAAACCAAACACTGCATATTCTCACTCATAAGTGTGAGGTGAAAAATGAGAACACATGGACATAGGGAGGAGGACATCACACACTGGGGCCTGTCAGGGGATGGGGTGTGAGGAGAGGGAGAGCATTACGACAAATATCTAACACATGCGGAGCTTAAAACCTAGATGAAGGGTTGATAGGTACAGCAAACCACCATGGCACGTGTATACCTATGTAACAAACCTACACGTTCTGCACATGTATCCCAGAACTTAAAAAAAAAATCTGTCCACCCACTCAAGTTAGCTAAAGAAAAGAGGTTCTGTGTAAAGGGGATTTTCATGTAGCACAACTGTAGGAAGTGAAAAGTGGTTGTGCTGCTGCTCTCTCCATCTCTCTGGAGTCACAGGATGATTCCTCTGTGCCTGTCTGCTCCCTGGAACCACGTACTAGTGACTCCCAAAGACACTTGCCTCTGGAAAGCACCCAGTTCTATTCCTCCACAGCCAGGGCCAAGCCTCAGCAGTGGCCTCAGCAACCATGGCTCCGGTCCTGGCCCCAACTCCAAGTGGCCTACAGCTTCATTGCTCAACATCATGGAATCGGCCTCTCTGTTCAGAGTGTCTAGCATGAAAAATCCATTTGGCTCTGGATGGGCCAAATATCCACTCCTGCTCCAATCATCTAAGGCCTAGATGCGAGTAGAGGGTGGGGTGTTATACACATGGTTGCCTCTTTTACCAGACACTAGGGCAGGGAGAGAGCGAGCGAGACATACACAAATAAAAGCTGCAGCACTTCTGGGGTATTGAGTGCAAGTGCTCTGGAATACAAAGGGGGTCACCAAAACATGTCTGTCTCCATGTGTCTCTCTCTCCCCACCCCAATCTATACCTCCCCTGGCCACCACCCCACTTCTACACCTCTTTCACAACCCCTACTTTCCTCCCCCTCCTCCAGTCACCACCCCTATCTCTGAAGTTATTCGTAAAGGTACCATTGTCTCACCTCCTTCCCCCACTCTTCCCAGCCTTCTTCCCCTACCACCCCGGCCCCCGCCACCACAAGCCTGCCCTCTGAAAATTAATTCGCCATCGAGATATACATGCTTCGGTTCTATTTTGCATTTCTGCACTCAATGAGGTTTTTGCAGCCAGATTCCCTTCCCACAGTCGAAGCAAGTATCCCTCCGTGAAAAATTCACAGCGTTACACCAAGGGCAGTCCCAGTCCCCTGGCCTGCGATATACTGGAGGTCTTTGCTGATGAGGTTCGGAGTATCTCCTGTCTCTTGGGTGCTCCTGATGGTCTATTCTGTGGGGCCCCCCATCAGACCACAGGCTAGTATCAAAGGCCTCCCAGTCGGAAGGCAGCTGAGGCGGAACTGGTGCTGTGACTGTTGCTTGTGGAGGGGATATAGTGGGTATGTCTGAGAAGGAGGAAAAAGGGCTTGAGTATGAGTATGAGTATGAGGCAGGGAGCTGGACAGGAAGAGGTTCTGATGAGGCTCTGGACCAGGGGTTCGTGGTTCCAGAGAAATAAGATGTGGCTGTTTCGACCGACCGGAGATCTCCCTCCTTCTGCCCCCAATAGGTGTACTTTTCCTGATCAGCATCTCCAAGGAGCTGCAGGAGGATTCTCTCCAGCTTCTCTGTGGTCTCCATGGAGGCAGCCCTGGCCTCCACGTGGGGGAACTGGGTCTCCATGGGGGCAGCCCCAGCCTCCACAGGGGGAGCCATGGCCTCCACAGGGGCAGCCACAACCTCCACATCCCTCTGCTCTTCTTCTGCTCCTTTTCCTCCAGCAGCACCAGCAGCAGCCACCGCCGCCTCTTCTTCCTCCTCAGCTGCTCCTTCTGTGCAAACCCCTCCGGCAGTGGCCAGGCCTGGCCACCCTGCCCCCTGCTCCCACTCATGGGGAGACACCAGCTCCTGGAGAGAAGTGGGCAGGGCTGAGGTGTGTTCTGGGGGCAAGGCGGGAGCACTAAGCAGGGTAGGACGGAGCTACCAGGTGGGAAGGGCGGGGCAGGGCGAAGCCATGGAGCAGGGTGGAGAGGGGTGGGAATGGGGCAGGGCAGTGGTACTGGGCAGGGACCAGTTGAGGGATCTTACTGCATGGAGCGGCTTCCAACTCACCTTGTCTCTCTCTTTCTGCACCTCCACGAGGCTGGTCTGGGCCATTCTTAGCCGGGAGGCCGCCTCCTTGCGTTCCGTCTCCTGCTGCTCCCTGAGCTTCTTCAGGTCTGATGCCAAGGCCTGTGCGGCTGATTTGTGCAGTTTGGCGAAGCCGTGCAGCCACCGCACCCTGTGCCTTTGTAGCTGTGCCTGCCTGTGGGCAAAGCGCACTCCCAAGGCCAGGCTGCCCCAGGTGCAGGCCTCTTTGACCTCACTGGGCACCTCGCTGTCCTCCAGTATGGCCCTCAGCTTGTCTTCCACCTTCTCCCAGGATAAGGATATATTCTCAAGATAGAACTCGGGGCCTTTCGTGTGCCTGGCCATTTTCTCGTTGATGAAGGCCACCACGTTGCTATGCCGGAACCCGCTACTGGGGTCCTCAGGTCTCAAGGCCATGATCGCCTAGGGGTTTAACGGTTTCACTAGCCCTGTGTGGATGGAGCAGCCAATAGGTTCCTTTCCTCCCCCTTAGCCCCTCCCCTCATCCATCTTCTCCCGCCCTCTTGTCCCCGCCCTACCCGCTCTGACAAGACCGTCCTAATGACCCCCTGACCGGCTTGTCCTACCCTAGGACACCTCCCACCAGGCCTCACCTCTTCAGCCAGGGCCAGAGGAAGTACAGGCCAACCCCGCTGTCTTAACACGCCCGAAGAGAGAGGAAGATCTCTCTCCCTCCTAAGGTTCCAGGGAAAGGAAGACTCAGGGCCAACGTCGGCTTTTACTCTGGGACTGTTCCAATTTCCAGAGATACCAGGAGTGGAAGGGAGTGAGTGAGGAAGGCCCCTGCCACTCCATTGGGATTTAAGGGAACCTGTCACATGGTTGGGAGCCCTTAAAGGTCGGAAGAAACAGGAGTGGTCAGAAAAGACTTAGAACCAAGAAAATTAAGCCCTTATAATCAAGTCAAAAAAGTCCCATGTATCCCTCCCTCTTGACAATGGTTTGTCCCATGCCAACGGCTAGTAGGGACCCCCCTAGAGGTTGAAGGGGGAATAATGGGTATGTTCTAGAACACGAAAAAGCCCCCAACCCATGAAAATTCTGCAGTTCATTTTCCAGACTCCTAAATCCTAGTATACAGGTTAGTGACCTTTTTCTGAAACGGGCAAGATAGCAGGCATTTGAGGCTTTGTGGGCAAAAGATTATCCCAACTACTTGTAGCACAAAAGCAGCCATAAATAATACCTGAAGAAATGACCATGGCCATGTTCTAATAAAAGTTCATTTATAAAACCAGGCAGTTGGCATGATTTGGCCTGTAGATGTCAAACTCCCAATCTAGATTCACATTTCATACATGTCCTACAGACACATACAATCAGAATGTTCATGATATGACTCCCCCTTTTCCCTGTTAAAAGAAAAACGTTAGACAACGTTAACAGTTTGTTTACACATAAACAACAACCAAAAAAAAAAAAAAAGAAAAACGAGTCATGAATTTGTCAGTACTCAGAACCAGAAGAGTTTCAGAGAGCTATTCCCAGCAACATGAGAAGTGAATTTTTATAGGCTGAGTTTGGACACAAAAGAGAAAAATCACCTGATTGGCTACAGCAAGGCATTTGCCTTATTTGGACATGGTCTTGTCACTTGACTGCCTGTAATTAGCTGGAGCCTGGCTAGTTGTGTTTGGCTGAAATTAGGCTGTCTTTTATACAGCTTATGTTAAGTTTCAGTCTGTTTACATGCTAAGTTAGTTTGCGGTTTGTTAGATAGGAACTCAAAGTATGGAAACAGCTTCAAACTAATGGCCTCTTGCTTATTTTAATATATGCAGGAGATGATTCCCCTCCTAAATTCCTATGTTGTCCAATACAGAAACCTCAAAATCAAATTTTTAAGTTACCTACCCTTCATACCGACCCTTAAAAACAAGTCAACTAAGAGACAAAATCTTGTTGCTGTGACCTCAGAAACTTCTAAGACATCCATGCCCACTTAGGGAATGTCCATGTTTCTTCTCAAATAATCTTCCTGTCTTTAATTTCTTCATAATCCCTAATCACTTCCTAATCTTTCCTATGATCATGTTTCTCTTAAGCTTAAAATCATTTGATGGATCCTTGTGGCACACTCCTTGTCCTGACATTAGAATCTCACCCCAGGATACCATTCTAATTTAACTCTCTCCACAATGTTATCCACCATCATTTATGTACCTAAGGGACTAAGCCATACAGGGATACACTGATTTTGGCGTTTTAAGTTATTTTCCCTTCTGAAAAATCAGAGCATTCATTTTTTATTATATGGGCATTATGTTCTATTCTATGAACTACATTTAAAAAGACAATATTTCTTCTCTAAGGGTCCTATGTCAGATAATTAGAGAGGAAAAAGACAATAAATCAAGCATTAAAATATTACCTAAGAAGGTAGTTAAACCCCAGAGGCATAAAGTCCCACCATTTAAATGCTGTTTTTAGATGCTGTTTTGTGATTTCTTTCCTTCTCAGCTTGTATATTTTATTTATCAGCCATCAGTGGAAAGGGTTCATGTTTTGGCTTATTCTAGAGTGACTTCTACAGAAAGAGCATCCAGAAGATAATGTAGAAAAGAGAATGGTGAGGAAAGGGGGAGAGACTGGAGTCAGGAAGACCCATTAGGGAGATGCTAAAGCAATTCAAGAAGTAAACTAAAGCAGTGGAAATAGGGATGGAGAGAAGAGTGTAGAGAGCCATTTGGTAGATAGAATGCATAGGGATGTCAGGGACAAGGATGAGGGAATGCTGAGGATAATGCCCAGGTTTCTGGTATAGGGGACTAAGTAGATAGCCCTGTTATTGACTAGTTGGAGAATGAAGAAGAATTTTTTGGGATGAGTTCACCTTTAGACATATTAACATTAAAATACCTGTTGGGGCCATGTGTGGTGGCTCACACCTGTAATCCTAGCACTTTGGGAGGCTGTGGTGGGTGGATCACCTGAGGTCAGTAGATGGAGACCAGCCTAGCAAACATGGCAAAATCCTGTGTCTACTAAAAATACAAAAATTAGCTGGGCGTAATGGCGCACGCCTGTAGTCCCAGCTACTTGGGAGGCTGAGGCACAAGAATAGCTTGTACCTGGGAGGCAGAGGTTGCAGTGAGCCGAGATCATGCCACTGCACTCCAGCCTGGGCAACAGAGTGAGATTCAGTCTCAAAAAAAAAAAAAAAATACCTGTTGGGCATCCTGGTGGAGATACTTAGTAGGCAGTTTGATATATGAGTCTAGAACTTAGGAGAGACATCAGAGCTGAAGATGTAGTATTGAGAGGTGAAAGCTGTATTTACAGCAGCGGTTGAAATAACTCAGGGACAGAATATGGAGCAAGAAGAGTAGAGGGCTGAGGACAGCACCGTGGCCTGCCTTCATGGATCTCCTCCTTTCTACAGCTGTGTGCTACCATTGGTGATTTTATAGTTGTCCCCCTTACTCCTTTGTGTTCTTGTCTACTAAGTTCAGAACATCTTTTACCTTATCTCTTTTATTCCCTCTATAATACTTTAAACATGAACTTCAGTTTGTGATTAGTTGTCTCTTTATACTGCCATTCTCCCACTTCCGCTTATAAACACTTTTAAGAAATTAAAAGTAAATTGTTTCTTTTAGCAGCCTGGAGGAGGGAGAAAGTGAAGACAGAGAAACCTGTTAAGAGGTTCCTTCAACAGTGCAGACAAAACATGATTAGGGCTTGAACTGTGGCAGGACCTCGATGAGATGTCAGATAACAAGAGATTTTTGACATACAGTTAGCATGACTTGTTAACCAATTGTATTAATATATGAGAAATAAATATGGGTGTTGGAGCGGAAAATGATTTTGAGGCATTTGACTTGAGAAACTAGGTTTTGTGACAAGTGATGCCTCAAATCGTAATAGATATGAGGAAAAATAGACTATAGAGAGGAGATAATAAATGCAGTTTTGGATTGACAAATGCCTTTGTGATAGTTATATTGAATTATAGTTGAATGGCTGTACTGGGCTGGAAGTTAGGTGAGAGGACAAAACTAGAGATATGTATTATAAATTTGGGTGTTTTCAGTGCTCAGTTTGTGGCTAAGACCTTGTGCTTCAATAAAATTGCTGGAGATGAAGGTTGGAAGGAGAGAATAAGCAGGACAAAAAAACAGAGGAAGGAATCCCGAGGTCTTGGAAAGGGTAGCAGATACCTTTAGGGATAGGATAAGGGAGAACAAGCAGTAGGAGTAGTCAGAGAAGTAGACAATCAAAAAAGGGAGATATTTTAGACCTAAGGAGAAATTTGGAAGGTAAAAAGAGTGTTATTAGTTTCATATAATGCACAGAGGTTACATAGGATGAGGGTGAACAAAAGGTCATTAGATTTAGCTAATAAGATATCCTTAGTGATTCAAGTGACGAGAATCAATAGAATGGTGAGGCAGGTGCCAGATGATAGGAGATCACAGAATGAAATTAGAGGAATAAGTAGAAATTTTGAATACTGACTAGTCTTTCAAGATCTCTGACACAGTAGAGAATTCTACCACCAGGAGTCAGAAAATAGATCATGGAAGCATAGGATATGACAGCTTATTTGGTGAGACAACTAAGTTATACAATTTTCAACACAAAGACGGGGAAAATAATCTGATATTTACTGTATGAAGAAAGGTAATCATATGTAAAGAAAACTCTGTGTTTTGCATTGTGACCCAGGAAATAAGGCCAAACCTTTGTGAATTCTATGATAGTAACTATGAAATAACATATTGACAGATGCAAAAATATCAGTGTAATCTGATATTTACAGAGAAAGAGTGAGGAAGTGAGAAATAGTTATTAGAGTCAGTGAAATTGGTTGGGGAAGGATTTCTGGAGGAGAGTTATGTTCTTGTTCTTAATAGAAACATCAGGGTTCTCCAAAGATTTATGAAGACCTTTCTGTTTGTAGCATGATGTGTCTCAGATTACCATTCTTAAAATTGTCTTCATCCAAACAAGAAAGCAGGAATCACTCATACTATGATGTGGACAATGGTGGTGTCAGGGAACCTTTCAAATTTACCTTCGTTATTACCTTACCTTTATCCACATCCTCAATCATTGGTAGTCAGATTTTGAACAAGCTGCCTGTACCCTTAGGTGGCATATTGCAACTGCCTTTCCCTTAGGAATGGTGACATGAGCTCACCACTAGAATGATCCACAATTCTTAGTTATATGTAAATGGATTGCTACATATATATGTACTGTATACTTTTTTCTTGAGTAGGTTTCTAACTTTAATGTACAGCCTCCAAATAAATTATAGTTTGCTTTGAATTCAAGGTGAAGAATATTTTGATGACAAAAATTTTATTTTGAGTGAGTAGTTTTTAAAATATACATAATGTTTACTATAACCTTGTCCACAAGCTACTTTTTTAAAAAACAATTACAAGAAGAAGAAAACAAAACATCTTTGATTCACTTTATGGGTTGGGTTGGGAATCGGTAGATAGCATGATAATAGTGGTGATAATGTTAAAGGAAATTAGTTTTTATTGAGTACTTAGTATATGCCAGGCACTGTGCTATGAGCTTTAAATGAACTATCTCATTGTTAGGAGAGAATTCTCCATGGGGCTTTTGCATTTTTTACATGTCTGTGAGCAGAGTATCCTTTGCCCTGGATTATCTTTTCAAAGGTGTATGTATAGAAAACATACTTTTATTTTATTTTATTTTATTTTATTTTATTTTTTTTTCTGAGACAGAGTCTCCTCTGTCACCCAGGCTGGAGTATAATGGCACGATCTTGGCTCACTGCAACCTCCGCCTCTCAGGTTCAAGTGATTCTCCCATCTCAGCCTACCAAGTAGCTGGGATTACAGGCACCCACCATCATACCCGGCTAATTTTTGTAGAGACAGGGTTTCACCATGTTGGCCAGGCTGGTCTTGAACTCCTGACCTCAGGTGATCTGCCTGCCTCGGCCTCCCAAAGTATTGGGATTACAGGCGTGAGCCCCCGTGCCTGGCCAGAGAATAGCCTTAGAAGATAGAAATAGTGTCTATCTCTAGAGCAAAAGGCAGGTTTGCTTATAGCCTTGGAAAATACAGTTAGTATCTGCCTCTGGAACAAAGGGCCGACATGCTTATGGCCCATTGTAAGAAATTTGTGTTTCTTAAGCTTGGGGTTCTTCTGTAATACAACCCAATACTTCTACAAGTATCACCTGATCCTCTTTGTATTATCCTATGGGAATTGAGTTTGTGTAAGCAACACAAATACTGATACTTTGGCTACTGTCATTGCTCCAATTAACTGTTTATTATTTCTGACCTAGGATTCTGGTGTCTTCTACCAGCTTCCATGAAACTGGCAGGCTAAATTTTTAGTGCATAAGTAAGGTAAAATTTCAGACCCTTTGCCATTCTTTCTTTTCCCTTTTTTTTTTTTTTTTTTTTTTTTTTTTTTGAGACAGTGTCTCACTCTGTTGCTCAGGCTGGAGTGCAATGGTGTGATCTCAGCTCACTGCAACCTCCGCCTCCTGGGTTCAAGTGATTCTCGTGCCTCAGCCTCCTAAGTAGCTGGGATTACAAGAGCATACCACCATGCCAGCTATTTTTTTGTTTTGTATTTTTAGTAGAGACAGAGTTTTGTTACGTTGGCCAGGCTGGTCTTGAACTCCTGTCCACAAGTGATCCACCCGCTTGGCCACCCAAAGTGCTGGGAATACAGGTGTGAGCCACTGGGCCCAGCCCCCGTTACCATTCTTAACACTTGCATAATAAAACAACCCTATTAAGTTAGCTGCTTTTATTATTCTCATTCCACGCATACCAAAAACTGAGATTTAGTCACCCATGCAAAGATCCATAGATAAGACATTATAGAGCTGGGATTTGAACCCAAGTCTAACTCTAAAAGCTGCATTATCAAGCAGTAAGCTACTCAAGTCCTTGGATTAACCTTTTATCTGACTGCATCATGAACTATAAGAAAGTTATGCTTAAATAATTCTGGGTTGCAGATTACCAGTGTCCTGTCAAAGGCTGAATGTTCATGTCAGCAGGAGATAAGAACAGTTAAAAAACACAGGAAGGGGAACATCACACTCTGGGGACTGTTGTGGGGTGGGGGGAGGGGGGAGGGATAGCTTTAGGAGATGTACCTAATGCTAAATGACGAGTTAATGGGTGCAGCACACCAGCATGGCACATGTATACATATGTAACTAACCTGCACATTGTGCACATGTACCCTAAAACTTAAAGTATAATAATAATAAAATAAAAAAATTATGATATGTTTATGCCCCCACAAATCCTTGTTTGTTTAATTACCAGGTTTACACCTTACGGAAAAAATGTACATAAACTTAAAACCTATTATATTGACATATTTACAGGCTAGAGATATCATCTATGAATGATGGCATTCTTTGTTCTGTTTTGTTTTATTTTAAAAAAACAATAAAACAAAAATCCCGGAGCTCTTTACAACTGTACAAGCCTAGAAGTAAGATGATTTACTTAAAGACTAAAAGTGACAAAAATGAGTTCATTCAATAGATCCTGTATCCCCAAACTTCTTCTTATTAGCATAGATATTTTTATCCTTATATTAGGTTTACATCTGCTTTTCAATGTATATAAACAGCATGACACATAGCAGGTGCCCATTAAATGTCATTTGAATGATTCTAAAGGGTTGTGGGTCTTCATAGAATAATAATACACAGTTCAGGGCTTTGGCCATCTTGGTCTTTTAATGCATTAACATTGCAAGTTTGCAGTTTTATGTAATTATTTATGCAGACATCTGAAAGTCCCCTTTCCAATCAAGCTTAAAAGATTTTTCAATAAAACTTTCTTTTCTTTTTTAATATTTGCAATTTAAACTTTTTTAAATAAGGTAAAATATACATATGTAATTTACCATCCTTACCATTTTAAATGTACAGTTCAGCTGTAATAAATACATGTATATTCTTTTTTCCCCCTTATCCCCCTTTACTAGAAAACCTTATTTTTCTAATGATTTTTGAGAAATAGAACTTATCAAAGGGCTTGAGATCTTGTTTGTTTATTCATTTGTTTTCCTTCCTTGAATTTGCTACAGTATCAGTTGCTAGTTCTTATGTTTTAACGTCAGTCTTATTCAATGACTGTAGATCGATTAATTGATGTTATATGTAGCAAATCAATTCACCTTATAAAATTTCAGACAGTAAAGCTTGTTTTAGTTTCCTTATCATTAGATGGTCTCTGAAATTTACAAGGAAAGTATTTTGAAGTGAGGATAAGACAATCGAATAAATCAGTTAGGAAAGTTTCAACTATATCCTGAGGCATTTTATCTAGGGCTTTTGATTTTAGGTACAAGAAAGATCCCTAATTTATTTAGATTATTTTCACCAGCTTAGTCCTGGTGATACGACAAGTTCACATATGCTCAAACTCTAAAACAAAACTTTATAATATGGGCATGTTTTATAAATGTGAGTTAGAAAAGGAATTTGGATGTTTCATGTGTATTTTAAATTATGAGTTTTACTTTTCTCCCCAGAGAACCCAAGATTGATCAATATTTTCCCTTAGAAATACATCTGGGTAAAAAGTTCTAATTATGACCTAAACAAGCTAACATTAAACCTTTGGAATAGAAAGCAAGGTTTATTTATAAATTTTCTAATTCTGTGCTATGCAAATTAACATTATTCCTTAGATGTTATGTTACACATCTGCTCTTCTTTCTATCAGCTTCCTCAAGTTGGTACGGATAACCACAAGTTAGTTTGACTGTTGAGCAATGTTAGCATCAAGTTCTGAGAGTATCCAGGGGCTAGCAGCCAATAAACCTTGGTTCTGAACTACTGACCAGCTACGTCAGCTTGACAAAGTTCTTTGTCCTCTCTGTGTCTATGTTTTACTCCTGTAAGGGATACTTACCCTGCCCATTTTCCAGGGTTATTGGGATAATTAAGTAAGATAATACACATAGAAGTACTTGGAAAGATTACTAACATGTGTAATTGTAAGTTGTTGCTGCAGTATCATTGCAAAGGCCTTTTGCCTACATTGAGCCTGAATGTGTTCCTTGTCTTCCTCAGGATGTGAAGTAGGGAGAGAAAAAATACCATCTCCATTCTTGCACACTCGTCAGTCTGCCTCCTCAACCTCACATAGCTCTAATTGTACCTAATGAAAGTAACATTTTTAGGTCCCAGTTGCAGGAAATATTTTAAATAGAACCAGCCTGGGGCATTTTTCAAAATAAAATCTAAATAATGCAAGATTGTTAGCACGAACTGTGCCAGGGCTGGATTACACAACTAATAAAAATCAACCTGAGTTTCAGACTGTCAGGCAGCATTGATTATACCTCCCCCAGGTCACCTGAGGTGATAGCAGGACTCACATCAGACCTTGTCTTTAAGTTCTAGGGACCTCGGTCATCCTCAACGACTTCATACTAGGACTTGTTCATGAGTTAACAAAGCAGTTTGTCAGCATCTATTCACATGTCAGCATCTATTCACATGTCAGTGACCACAATGAGAGTGTATACATACTGGGCCCTGGCTTAAAGTTGTTTGTGGCTAAGGATTAGGAAGGACACACTTCCTCCTTCAACTCATCAGCCATCTCCAGGGTGGCTTCCTTGCCTTTAACACCACCCCAAATCAATACAAATGCTGCTGACACCATCTACGTTGTTTATACTTTGGAGAGGTCAGGGAACGAACACATGAATGGCTCTTGTCTTGTGCCTGGAAACCTGGCTTTGAGGTCTCTGGGCTTTGTTATAGAAGGCATTTGTCTAAGAAGCTCCCAGAAGTAAATTTTTTGTTTGTTTGTTTGTTTGTTTTTTTGAGACAGAGTCTCACTCTGTCACCCAGGCTGGAGTGCAGTGGCACGATCTCAGCTCACTGCAACCTCTGCCTCCTGGGTTCAAGCGATTTTCCTGCCTCAGCCTCTGGAGTAGCTGGGACCACAGGCGCGTGCCACCACGCCTGGCTAATTTTTTGTATTTTTAGTAGAGACGGGGTTTCATTGTGTCAGGCAGGCTGGTCTCAATCTCCTGACCTCGTGATCCACCCGCCTAGGCCTCCCAAAGTGCTGGGATTACAGGCGTGAGCCACCATGCCCGGCCAGAAGTAAACCTTTTTAAGTGGAGCTTTTACTACCTCTTTGACCTCCAAGGTTCTAGCCTCTGCCTAGTAGTTAGTACTCAGAGTGCCTGGAAGTTCCTTCCTGCCTTAGCTGCTTTCTCTTGATACACTTCTTTTTGTGCCTAAGTCAATGTATCTTTTTGATCCTCTCAGACCTACATGGCTCTCTGGTATTAGACCTTTTGCCCAACTGACCTCTTCCAGACTGTTTCCTGTCAAGTAGCACTTCTAACCCAGCAGACTGTTTTAACCCACTGCTGCCAGTGTGTTGTTTTTATATTGCTCATGATTATTATATCACATGTAAATTATAAGTATTATATATTAGATATGTATATTATACATATATGCATATTAGTTATATATGTATACATATATATTAATTATACATATATATAATTATTATATATATCTTTTAATATATTTAACAATGCTGGCAATACCTACAATTCTAATTAGAGATACAATTGTTTGAATACCTACTTTTTGATAGATCCTGTATTAGGTATTTTACATACATTATTTTATTTAATACTTACAGTGATCTGAACAGGTCAGGTATAAAAATGTAAACCTGTTTTTACTCATAGTTTTATAATGAAAGGAAATCCTTCCTCCCACCTTCAATGGAGCCACCATAAACAGCTTCTTATCCTCATGTTTCAGGTGAAGAAACTGAGACTCAGAGAGGTTAAACAATTTGTCCAAGGTCACAGAACTAGTTGAGTCTAGTGAGGCTTAGTTTAAAGATGATGCTTTGTTAAGAAACCACTATATCAGATTGGTCCTCTACTTTAGTCTACCCTATTTTCTACCCAGGGATAAATACATCTGGGACAGTTAGCTTCTTTCAGAGCATTGAACATTTCACCTGCTTCTATTATTGAGATCTCTGGTCAACACTTCTCCTTCTGTGGAGGTATAACATAATAATTGAAAATTTTTTAACAAGTATGTCTCTTTCACCTGTATGAGTGAACACCATGGAGCAGATATGATCAAAGTCAGTAACATCAAGAACTGTTCAGAACACTTTGGATATCCAGCAGAGATGATTACCTTTCTTCTGTGTTAGATACTTTTTAAATAACTGTGACCATTTAGCTTCCCTCTATCCCCTGCCCCTGCCGGTCATTCTTGTCTTTCAGATGTAGCCAATATTTTTAATTCTTTGCCAATATGCTGCTGCACAAAACTTGGCTAATCTTCCTCCTAGTGGCTATCCACAAATACCTGCAAATTATCCGGGTCATACTTATACAAGGAATGTGATATTTGACAAGCCATATACCTTCATCTGAAGGAATGTGATATTTGACAAGCCATATACCTTCATCTGAAGAAAGGGGGATATATACCATATGGGACTGATACAAAAATGGAAAAAAAATAACATGTCTCTCAAATAGATACCTTTTGATGCCCATTCATTTAATCAACTAACGTTTACTAAGCATCTACTATCTATTCATTTAGATCCCAGGGATGGTGTAATTAACAAGAGCAACAAATTCCTTGCCCTTTTTAGTGCATACTTTAACAAATAAACAAATATTAGAAGATCAGATAAGAGCAAGTACAAAGGCCTATTGTTTGAATAGGCTTAGTGTGTTCAATGAACAGAGAAAATGCCAGTGTGGCTGCACCCTAATGAGTAAAGGAGAGAATGTTATGTTGAGCTAGATCATGTATGGCCTTGTATCAAGCAAGGAGACTTGGAAATATTTAACACTGAAGTGTTTAAAAAATGGTGAAAAAGAGCTCAATTGATTGAGCTAAATTGATTTACCCTTCTTCTCTGAGATTACTACTGTTGTGGCTTTAGCTTCATGGCATTTAAAGAGGCTGTCCAATGTCTGACAAGAACATAAATGTTTCTTTCACTTAATCCCCAGTGGGCATATCTTATGACCTTTGTGTTCCAGGAACCCATGTAGAGGAAGAAAGAAAAGCAAATCCCACAGTCTACATAGTGTGATGGGGTTGCATCTAAACATCAGAATTGGAGTGCTTTGATAGTTTCCTTCTCAGATGACACAGGCCTGGGCATAGTCAGGGGTGCTTGCCAGAAATTAACTTTACCAGAAGCCTAAGTAGGAGTCATTCTTATTAACTTAGTTTGTAAACCCAAGAGGCATCGCCATCTGGATTCCTGTGTTTTGCATGATGTCGGGGATATAAAATTTCAATGAGTGACTACTAAGCAGTATGAACAGTGCCGATCATTTGGTACTGTCTGAAAATTATTGGTTGGCATGCTAATCCCATCTGTTAGGATTGTTATTACTCAGTTATAAAGCACTTGGTTTGAATTGCCACCCTTGGCAATTTTAGTTTTGACAGCACGTATCCCTTGATGTTTAAAACAGATATGGTCCTGAAATGTCTTCCATAAAGTAAAATTGAATACTCCAAGATTTACAGCTGATCTTCATAGTGTTATCAGGCTGCTTCTGATTTCTTCCTCACACTTTTCCATTTTCTTTTGTGTTTGACATCTTCTGGAATCCAGATAAGGTAGGGTAGAGAAAGGTCATGGATTATACATAGAAAAATAAAGGCAGAATTTGTATTTATTTATATTTATTGTAGTTAGTTAGATTAATTAAATATGTTTATTGAACTCACATTATTGAGAAAGTGTTAACCAAAGTACAAGAAGACAGAATTTTTGTTCAATAAATACCCTTCTGTAATGTGTTAGCCAATTAATGCCCAATTTCTAAAGTGGCCTTATGATAACATTCTGTGTTGAGAATTCTTTATAATGCTAGTGCTGGTTGATACAATTAATCCCAACTGACCAGACTCTAGTAGGATTTCTTCTTTATAAAAGCCCAAAATTCAACACCTGGCACATCTTAGTGAGTACCTTAAAAAGCTGAATAGTTGGCCAGGCGCCGTGGCTCATGCCTGTAATCACTTTGGGAGGCCGAGGCGGGCGGATCACGAGGTCAGCAGATCCAGACCATCCTGGCTAACAGGGTGAAACCCCGTCTCTACTAAAAATACAAAAAAATTAGCCGGGCGTGGTGGCGGGTGCCTGTAGTTCCAGCTACTCGGGAAGCTGAGGCAGGAGAATGGCTTGAACCCGGGAAGCAGAGCTTACAGTGAGCAGAGATAGCGCCACTGCACTCCAGCCTGGGCGACAGAGCGAGGCGCCGTCTCAAAAAAAATCTGAATAGTTAACAGGTAAATTAACCTGTAAGCTAACAGATATCCTCTGTATGTTGATCTGGTTTTTAGTATATATTCTGTATCAGGAAATATTGGCTGAGAAACCAATAGTAAAATTAAACTATCCCTGTAGTAACTGTTAAAGGACTGGCCACAGGGACAGAGCAAAAATGGCTACAGCTCCAGTTATAGAGAGACTTTCTCACAGGTTTTTATTATCAGATTTTCAACATAGCAATATTTATTGCTGGGAAAGAAGTCAGACTATCTTACAGTTTGGAAGATGGGTATAGCTTCTCTATGTAGCTCTGTGGCTACCTCATGGCCACAAATATCCACATTAGCAATTAGTTTCATATCTTCTAGTCAGTTGCAGCATAAAACTGCTCTGTGTTGCTTTGATGTTTTTTTCTGATTTCTAGGCAAGGTCCTAAATGGAAAAGCCAATACTCTTGAAATATATAGAGCACAAACAAAGTTGTAAACACCCAATAAAGCCATTTTGTTATTTCTCTGTTCCTACAGAAACTCAACATATTGCATGAAGGTGTCAATGTCCTTGACTGTTGCAGAGAATGAATCAGGCCTGTGCTACAACAGCAGGATCCGCTATTTAGAAAAATCTGAAGTCACTAAAAGAAAGGAGATCTCCTGTCCAGACATGGATGACTTTAAAAAGTCCGATCAGGAGCCTGATGTTGTGTGGTATAAGGTAACTCAGCATGGTGTCAAATTCATATTTTACCTCAGTCAATAGCAGTCTTGGGGATGAGGAAAGGGAGATTTTTTTACTAGTTTTTGGTATTAGATATTTCACTGAGAAGAATCAACAGATCCATAACTAAATAATTCAGAGCTGTGACTCTTATGTATCACTGGTTTTTAATGCAGGTGTTAGAAGCAATACGCCTTTCTCCAACTGCTAAAAGTAGAATCTCCCTCCAGCCTGACAGCATATAAGAACTAATGGGAAGAAGGGTAAACATTTAAATAACACTTGAAAGAAATTATTTGGGGGACACAGAAATATTATTTACTGGTGGGAACAAAGGCCTGCCATTACAAGTAGTAGTACTTATAAAGAATAACAACTATCATAATGGTCTACTCTGTGAAAGCCACAACAGTGAATGCAGAGGAGAGAAATGGGCCCAGTACAGGATGTATAAACACTGCTAAGGTTAAGTTTAGCTGGAAATAAACCACACTCAAAGGTTGAACAGAAGAGAATTGTGGCCAGGTGCAGTGGCTCATGCCTGTAATCCCAGCATTTTGGGAGGCTGAGGCGGGCAGTTCACCTGAGGTCAGGAGTTCGAGACCAGCCTGGCCAATATGGTGAAACCTCATCTCTACTAAAATATAAAAATTAGCTGGGCATTGCAGCACACACCTGTAATCCCAGCAACTTGGAAGGCTGAGGCAGGAGAACCACTTGAACATGGGAGGCAGAGGTTGCAGTGAGCCGAGATCATGTCACTGTACTCCAGCCTGGGCAACAGAGCGAGACTCCATCTAAAAAAAAAAAAAAAAAGAAGAGAGTTGAATGAAAGGATTATTTACAAAGGTTTGGGCAGGCTTGAAGAAATCAATAAAGGAGCAAGCTGTTGATTATCACCCCTAGACCTGCAGTGTCAAGGGGAAGGAGCAGTGTCACTGGAACCTGGCAAGAGTGGAGGAAGCTGCCAAGAGATACAGCCTTAAAGGAACATATGAGGGTGGCAGATAGGAAGGGAGTGGGTAGGATAAATACCCTAACCATTTATAACTCCTGCTCTCTGTTTATTTGCTAGTTGCTTCCCTCTCCTGCCACCCTCATTCAAACTGAAACAGAAGCCAGGGGGCAGAGGCAGGAGATAGAATCAATAGTGTTCTGCTTTTCTGAGCATAGAGTAGAGCAGACAAGCGTGGATAATTGGATCTAGGGGAAGAAGCAGATAATAACCACACAACCTTCCAGCTATGATATTCTAGCAGCTAACCTGGGGCCCACGGTCTTGTAACAGAACTAAGTCAACTCTCTTCTGTCAGCTCTGAACCACAGCAATTGACACACTGAAGTTTTATGATGTGATGGTAGATGACCAGGAAGGTTTTCTGCACAGATGCTGTGTGTACTGTTGGAACCAAACACACATAAAAGGTGGAGCAGGTTGTTTCTATAGGATCTGACAGACCCTCAGTTCCTAGGGAAGCTTAATCCCTAACTCCCACAGCTGTCATATGCCTTTACATTTGGAAGCCTCTCCATTTTCACACCTAGGGAAACTTACCAATAGACACCAAGAACATACTCTGTACTAGAACGTCCAGGTCTCAATGGGAATTATCTTAATGAAGACAATATTGTGACAGATAAAAAGGAACATAATGTTTATTATGCACAAACATATAGACTACAGGTAATTTGGTGGGTTTATGCCATCATCAACCTCATTTGTATTTATTAAGCACTTATTGTGTGCCATTCATTGTAGCTAAACTTGATTTCAACATTATCTTGTTTAAATCTCAGTGCAACTCTGTGTGATAGGTGCTATTATCCTAATTTAATGGAGAACAAAACCACTGAGGCTGAGAGAGATGTGACCTATCCAAAGTTACACAGTGAACAAAGCCTGATTTTCTATTCAAGGCAGTGTGACTCCAGAATTCATTTTCTTAATCACTACCCTCTCCGGCAATGGGCCTGGGACTAAACCCAGCCTTGGTCATATCTTGGGAACTTTTGTAAGATGCCATGCTGGTGCAGTGGAGCCTGGCCAAAGAAAGAAAAAGAAAGTTTTATTTTAATTTTATGGTTGAGGAAGGGAAGGTGACCTGCCCAAAGAGTTAGCAGCTGGGAGTGAAATCCAGATAATCAACTTTCCCTTATAAGAGTAATTCTACTATCTCATCTTACTTTCTGCTAACTTCTTTCTTCTCCTTTTCTCATATCTCTAGACATCACTATCATCCTTACATACTCAAGCAATTTACTGCTTGGCAAATGCCACTTCTCACTCTTCCTTAGAAATGGACCAACAATGGTGAAGCAACAGGCCTTTCCAGCTCTGCCTGGATAATATTTAATATTTCTATAATATTTTACAGTTGATAAATGATCATCATAATGTTAGCTAACATTTCCTAAGTACTTACTGTATGGCAAGCTGTGTTTTAGGTGCATGAGATAGATTAATGCAATTCTTAGAACTACCATATAAGGTAATATTATCTCTATTTTATAGAAGAAGTGACTGGAGACTCAGACAAGCTAAGTGGGTTAGCAAAAGTCAACAGTAGTTTGTGACTTGCAGTTTGGCTACTAGCCCCACTCTTAGCCCCTACAGTATACTAACGGATTAGGATAAAATACTAGAATCAGAAGTTAAAGAGTACCTGAAGCTCAGGAATGTATTGCTAACTCTTGGTTCTCATACAAGGTTTCAAGTAAATACCTGAAGAAAATGTACCAACATATTAGGAAAATATTTCTTTTTCAGTCAGTATTTGGATAGTCTGCCTTGCCTACTTTATAGCCCATGTATTTTCTTTTTTTATTTATTTTTTAAATTTTATTTTTTATTATTATACTTTAAGTTGTAGGGTACATGTGCACAATGTGCAGGTTTGTTACATATGTATACATGTGCCATGTTGGTGTGCTGCACCCATTAACTCATCATTTACATTAGGTGTATCTCCTAATGCTATCCCTCCCCCATCCCCCCACCGCACAGCAGGACCCAGTGTGTGATGTCCACCTTCCTGTGTCCAAGTGTTCTCATTGTTCAATTCCCACCTATGAGTGAGAACATGCAGTGTTTGGTTTTTTTGTCCTTGCAATAGTTTGCTGAGAATGATGGTTTCCAGCTTCATCCATGTCCCTACAAAAGACATGAACTCATCATTTTTTATGGCTGCATAGTATTCCATGGTGTATACCCACATTTTCTTAATCCAGTCTATCATTGTTGGACATTTGGGTTGGTTCCAGGTCTTTTCTATTGTGAATAGTGCTGCAATAAACATACGGTGTGCATGTGTCTTTATAGCTGCATGATATATAATCCTTTGGGTATATACCCAGTAATGGGATGGCTGGGTCAAATGGTATTTCTAGTTCTAGATCCCTGAGGAATCGCCACACTGTCTTCCACAATGATTGAACCAGTTTACAGTCCCACCAACAGTGTAAAAGTGTTCCTTTTTCTCCACATTCTCTCCAGCACCTGTTGTTTCCTGACTTTTTAATGATTGCCATTCTAACTGGTGTGAGATGGTATCTCATTGTGGTTTTGATTTGCATTTCTCTGATGGCCAGTGATGATGAGCATTTTTTCATGTCTTTTGGCTGCATAAATGTCTTCTTTTGAGAAGTGTGTGTTCATATCCTTCGCCCACTTGTTGATGGGGTTGTTTTTTTCGTGTAAATTTGTTTGAGTTCTTTGTAGATTCTAGATATTAGCCCTTTGTCAGATAAGTGGATTGCAAAAATTTTCTCCCATTCTGTAGGTTGCCTGTTGACTCTGATGGTGGTTTCTTTTGCTGTGCAGAAGCTGTATTTTCTACCAGGCTGAGCAAGTTTTGCTCTGTCTATAGCAATATAAAGAAGAGGATACATTTGTCCAGAGTTTATTCTGGTGCTCATTCAAAGTTAGAAATGTCCAGTGTGTTAAAAGAAAAATTTCAGCCAAATTAAATTTAAAAGATTAATTGAGCAAAGAGTGATTCACAAATCAGGCAGTCTTCTGAGCCAGAGTAAGCTCAGAGACTCCAGTGCAGCCAAGTGGTAGAAGAATATTTATGGACAGAAAAAGGAAAGTGATGTACAGAAAATGGAAGTGAGGAACACAAACAGCTGGATTGGTTATAGCTCTGTGCCTTATTTGAACACGGTTCAAACAGTTGGCCACATTTGATTGGTCAAAACTTAGTAATTGGCACAAGAGTAGGCTATGGTCTATTTACACCTCCACTTGTTATAGTTGACAGTGTACAGAGAAACCTTTAGGCCTAACTTAAAATATGTAAGAAAGCAGCTTTAGGCTAAACATGATTTAACAATTTCCCCCTTTTATTCATCCTCTCATTTTGAGAGATTGACCAAAACTTTAGTCATTGATGTCACTATCACCATCATAAATGTACTTATTTGGCCTTGAAACCCACTGAAAAATAGCAGAACAGTGGGTTGTGTAAGGTGTGAACAAGGACTTCAGGTCATTTTTTTTTTTTGTAAGGGTTAGAGTAGAGGATAACTTCTTAGTCTGGAACATCCTGTTTACAGGAGAAAAAGACAAAACCCAGTCTGTTCTAGGATATATGTGTTTCCTTAAAGTCTTAGTTTGATTATGTTACATTTAGCACAAGTGAGTCCCTTTTGGTTTTGTCTGGTCTGTTGGGGCCTAGTGCATGACATGAGCTGAGTCCAAAACAATGGCCTCCCATAATTTTGTTTAAAAATTCCCCCCTTTTTGTCAGGTTCTCACTTAGGTGAGAGTGTGCCACTCTCAGTTACCGTCATTTTGGGTTTCCAGGTCTCAGCAATTCATTCATAGGTTATGATGCCCTCATGGTCACACATTTCCTTCAGCTATTGGCATTCCAATTGAATAGACAACATTTGCCATTCTTGAGATGGCTGAATGCAAACGTTTAAAACTTTTGAGAGAATACAGTACACCAAGGGGACTACTATTATGATTGTCAGGAGGATAATACCAAGAGTTTGGAGTATGCCCCTTACCTAGGGTCACCAGGAACCAAACCAACTAAAATCAAATAGATCAAAGAATGAGCTAAAGAGTCTACTCACTTTAACTAAGCAGTCTCTTCATTAATCTCCTACACTGAATCTCTATAATACCTGATGGGATATATTTCTCCACAGGCCACAAGCACCAGCAGTTGCACAGATACTTCTGATACTTCTCTGTTTAGCCAGTAAGTAATCTAGAGCAATTCTATTATTTAGCATAATTTTCACAAGAGAATTTAAAATCTGTTGTGTAACCATAGCCTTTACAGTAGAATCAGTTATAGAGCCTATCATAAGGGATACATTTCTAATTATTCCATCTTTTACTCCACACCATGGAAAAAAGCACTTAACAAATGATGCCTTTCTAGAAGAATGAAGGACTCCCGGCAATGTTGTCTTTAACCCATGATGTAGATTAAAAGGAGTGAACCAACATTCTGTTTCTGACTATCAGGCAACGTATGTACCATTAAAGTTATTCACCTACATTGGGCCTTCATTTTTCATCTATCAAGGCATACGGTTATCCATGTATAAGGCTGGTTATCCATGTATAAGGCTGGCCATTTTTTTTTCTGGGGAGAAACTTCCCTGGGTAGCTTTACCTTAAGGGTTCTAACGGGTGTATAGTTCCATAAGTGTGGAGCAACCCTCCCTCAGTTGTGAGATTATAAGCCCAAGGTTCAATGTCCCTTAGCTTTGCTGCAGTGTGGATGGCAAAGGAAGTCCTTCTCTGATGTTCTCGGAAGATCCAGTCTTTGAGTTCTAGATTGTGAAGGGGTTGATTGTCTTCAGTTAGTGAACCGTAAAAATCTTTTATTCCTGGTGAAAATACATTGTGACGTAATAATCTGTTATAACATCACCCTTCTCGCAAGGAAAAGCTTTGATACAACCAGAAAACATACATTGAAAATGACAATTGAATGAAATCCCTCTATAAATGTTTAAATGACCCATCAGGTAGCTGAATGTATCTGAAGATTTGAGTGTCTTCCCAGGAATACGGGTTTGACAAATTAAACATTGGTTATAAACTATTTTAGCAATGTACAAGTCACCACAACAATATATATTTAATTTGGATTATTTTATCTTTTTCATGAGTCATGGAATGCAGAACTTTTAATAACAAAAACTTTAAGGACTCAGGAAGGACAAGGCAGCTGCCCTGGTTCTCCATGAGTCCATACTTAACATTGGTCTTATGTCCTCTTGAATACCAATTGTTTCTCCAATTTAGGTGCGTAGCACTGATAACTGATGGGTTATCATAGGTCATTTGACTTAGACCATGGAGTTCATTCAAATTGTGTATCTATACAATTTTGGTATTGGCTGATTTAGCATGATAATCTGGCAAAGTGTCTTCTTGGTATTCAATTAATTTTTGTTCTACTTGGGTTAGCAGTTATATAAACCAGTCTTTTCATTGAAGTTCCAGGAATTCTTACCCAGTCCAAATGATATGACTCTAAAGTTATGAGAAACCCGTATTCAAGAGTGCTTTTCAGGGTCCTTTCCAACCTTCTAAAAGACACCATATTTCTAGGATTTTGCATGCTTGTGAATTTTTCAGAAACTGCATCAGAATTAAGCAATTAACTAGCAATGACTTCAAGTAAAGACACAGTTGACAAGGAAATTTGGTTATTTCTGTGGTCTACAATAAATTAACATAATAACCATAATTATAATTGATATCATATACTCAGACAGTAGAATTTTAGAAATCCCATAACATTTTGGAACATATATTAATGAAATTCATTAAAATATAACCTAAAGAAGGTTAATGATTATTTCTGGCTGGGCGTGGTAGCTAACGCCTGTCATCCCAACACTTTGGGAGGCTGAGGCAGGCGGATCTTTTGAGGTCAGGAGTTTTAGACCAGAGGCTGAGGCATGAGAATGGCTTGAACACAAGGGGAGGGTGGGGAAAGGTTGCAGTGAGTGAGCTGAGAGCGCACCACTGCACTACGCTCCAGCCTGGGTGACAGAGTGAGACTGTCTCAAAACAAACAAATAAACAAACAAAAATTTCTTATTTTGACGGTGCTTCCCATGTAACTTAATATATCAAATAATCCTGTTTACCTCTCTTTTGGATGCTTCAGGGGCCCTCTGTAGCATCCTAAAGTTAGTGGTCAAAAGAGACTTAATTTCGAAATTGGAATTTGACTTGGGGAAGCCTGTCAAATATGTTAAATGTTTAAAACATTTGATATTATGAAATAGAATTCCATGTCACCATAAATCATTCATTTTGCCAAAATAATGACTCAAAAATTTTAAAGATGTAAAAACCTTTACTCATTGATAGAGGAAAGACTTAGCTTTCCAAACAATCTGTCTCTTGTCTTTCCCTTCTTTCTCCTGTAGTTTATTCAAAAGGCAAACAAAAATCTTTCATTATTCTTTAATATTACATGAAAATCTCATTCAAGAAAGAAAGCCAAATTTCATCCTTGCATTAGTATACTGTTAATGTCAACCCCAATTTTTAATAAAACCTAGTAGACAAATCTATCTAATCTTAATCAGTTTTACCATAAGGTGAGATTCACATAAATCTTTTATAACCCATTACAAATTTTCATTAAATAGTAGATCAGTGCTCTAAGAAAACCCTTTTGTGCTTTTATTTCAATGTTCAATTTACAAAAAAACTGAACAATACCCCCTTTAAATTTAGCCAATATGTTCACATGTAGAATTTCTCTTACAAGTTTAATTTTTCACAATCTTCCACAACTTGCTCAACTTTCAGCTTTATCCTATCTAACCTAAATCGTCATTTAACCCTTTAATCTAGGCACAAAAATCCACATTCCCATGCCTTCTTATAATCTTTTACCAAAAGCCTACTTCACTTTCCTCACACATTTTGCATGTAAAACTCTTTCTTCAGTAGTCTCAATTACATGTTAGAATCTCAACTCTTAGCAATTTTTATTTTTAGTGAAAAACCCGGTAAGGAAGTGATTTTAATTATGTACTAGGTGTGGGGCCTAGGACAACAGACTGAAGTGCAGGTAAAGTCCAACTCTTTCCATCATAGCTAGGGGCATGGTTAACTCCATGTGTCCCTAGGCCTTATCTAGAATCTAATGGCTCTAAAGCAGGTAAGTCTAACAATTTTCAAAAGTCAAAGGAGCAGTTTATGACATCAAAGCATTTAGCAAACCTAATATCCGACCTGCCTAATTTAGACCAAATGTCTTTATTTTACCAATAATCTTATAAAACTGTGTTTATTTCCCAAAGATTACTAAAGTCATGTGAACTAAAAGACATTACAGTTTTTATTTTTCTGACAAAATATTTGATTTAAGCACTTATTCCTTTTAAACCAATTAATCAGAGCTTTTTCGTATAAACATCACTCACACAACACATACAGACAGAAGAAAATCCATTACTTGTAAGAATTTTCATTTGTCAGTTTTAAAATAGCTTTTCTTTCTCCCGTTCAGTCTATCAATCTTCCAATTACTGGTTTCACTGAACTAAGCAATTGTTGACTAGGCAACAAATTTGTATTTCTAAAGGGACAACTGTTAGGTGGAACCACAAAAAATAAAAATTTATATCTCATAAGCAGAGAGCAAGATTTTGGTCTAAAAATTATATTATTGTTTGCTCAAACCAGGGGCAAAACAAAAACAAAAACAAAGACAAAAACAAAACAAAAAAAACAGTGCTCTCATGAAAGTTCCATCAAGAGAAGATGGCCAGAAAAGCATCTCAACCAAAAGTATGATTTATTATGTAAATTTAAAGGAATGGGCCGGGTGCTCAAGCCTATAATCTCAGCACTTTGGGAGACCAAGGCGGGCGGATCACATGAGGTCAGGAGTTCGAGACCAGCCTGGCCAACATGTGAAACTCCGTCTCTACTAAAAATACAAAAATTAGCTGGGCGTGATGGTGCATGCCTGTAATCTCAGCTACTTGGGAGGCTGAGGCAGGAGGATCACTTGAACCTGGGAGGCAGAGGTTGCAGTGAGCTGAGATTGTGCCACTGCATTCCAGTCTGGGTGACAGAGGGAGACTTCATCTCAAAAAAAAAATAATAATGGTGATATGATTTGGCTCTGTATCCCCACCCAAATCTCATCAGGAATTGTAATCCCCACATGTCAAGGGAGGGACCTGGTGGAAGGTGATTGAATCATGGAGATGGTTTCCCTCATGGTATTCTCATGATAGTGAGTGAGTTCTCACAAGAGCTGATGGTTTTAAAGTGTGGCACTTCCTTGCTCTCTCTCTCTCTTTCCTGTTACCTTGTGAAGACGTGCCTTGTTTCCCCTTCATCTTCTGCCGTGATTATAAGTTTCCTGGGGCCTCCCCAGCCATCCAGAACTGTGAATCAATTAAACCTACTTTCTTTATAAATTACCCAGTCTCAGGTATTTATGGCAGTGTGAAAACAGACTAATACAAATGGTAAGTTTCTAATGTACATAAGCAGATATCCCTACAAATGGAGATTTCATATATATATGTGTGTATATATATATATATGTGTGTATATATATATATATATGTGTATATATATATATATATATTTTTTTTTTACAAAAGAGTTTTAAGATAGTCAATTAAATTCCAGAAAGATGTATTTTAGTTCAATAGGGTTTTCTTTTTAACATAGCTACTGTTTCTTAGCTAAAATTACTGAGTTCAGGGTAATGGGTGGAGCCCACTAAAGAATAGGGCCAACAAAGCATGCATTGTATGCCTAGACTCAGCATGGATAGATCTGTAAAAAGAAGCATGCCTATTTTACCTGAGGGCCTAACTTTTATAAACATCTTATCTAGGATAACTTTCTTTCCACCTTTTGGGTGGGAAAATAACTAAGCCAAAAGGTTAGCAGACTTAATTTTTAAAAATCAGTTAGTTGCTTAAGATTTGTATTTGCCTTTTATAAAGTCTTTAGATAAAAATATTGAAATATTTTTAGAAGCTTCTGCATGTCAATAGGCATCCCTAGGTGAGACTAATTTGGGAGCCCTCAATCAAATGCACTTCAGTGCATTGCCATTCATTTGGAACGTTCCACTCTAACTTATCTTTAGTGAGATTTTGCGATTTCAATAAGACTTTGCTGCTTGAGGGGCCTCATACTTGTGCGTGTATAAGCCAGAAGGAACTCAGTTCTTCAGAAATTAAGGATCCCATTTTTACCTCAAATATTGTCTTTTTTCTCAGATTCCCTTGATCAACTTAGCCAGTGTTTGTTTTTTCCTACTTAAGCATGCAAGAAAAATAAAACAAAGGGGTAGAACACAAAAATCTCTGTGAATTTCCAAAAGCCAAATTTTATACCCCCTGCAATATTGCCATTTACTACTAGGTTCTTTCTGACCCAATCAGATATAAGAGGCCTCTAACTGGATCCAAGCCAGTTAATTACCAGATCCAATCTGATCCTGGACCTAGTCCGCTTTCTGCCATGACTTCCAAACCTAGTTTGGATCAGAAATTTGCTCAAAGAAACTCAGAGAGCTCAAAACAGAAAACCATGGAGCTTTGGAATCCAAGAGAGAACTTAACCACGATCCCCAGTTGTTCCAAGAGAGTAATGGACACAGTGGGTCTGGTGGGTACCTCACTTGGTCATTCAATACTCCTTGGGGTCATTAGAAGCTCTACTTTGGATCCCACTTCTGGTGCCATCTGTTAAAAGAAAATCTTCAGCTGAATTAAATTTAAAATACTTTAATTGAGCAAAGAATGATTTGCAAATCAGTCAGCCTCTTGAGCCAGAGTAGGTTCAGAGACTCCAGTGCAGCCGTGTGTTAGAAGAAGATTTATGGACAGAAAAAGTAAAGTGATGAACAGAAAATGGAAGTGAGGTCCAGAAACAGCTGGATTGGTTACAGCTCAGCATTTGTCTTATTTGAACACATTTTGAAGTTGGCCACATTTGATTGGTCAAAACCCAGTGATTGGCACAAGAGTATGCTATGGCCTGTTTACACCACCACTTGTTATACTTGAAGATGTACAGAGAAACCTTTAGGTCATACTTAAAATATGTAAGGAGGCAGTTTAGGCTAAACTTGATTTAACTAACGTCTTAACTCCAGGGCTTTAATGGTGAAAACTATTGCTTTGCATGATCCGTTTTCCAGGTGTCTTTTCAAATATACAGAATCTTTAAATTCCTTTCGTTTCCATCAGTCTCTGTGTTTTACTTAATTAACTAATTATATTGTATCACTCTCATAGTCCGTTTTGAGTTTCCTGGGCTGTTTGAAATATGCTATGGTAGGCCTTTAAGGACTATCATTCTGTGCCTGCACGTAATCACAGCTGGATGGGAAGCTAGAGGTGAATCAGGTGGTACTGGAGGCATGTTCATAAAGATGCCTGAGTAAGCCAATCCAGCCTGTCTGAGGAATACAAAGGATATGTGTAAGAGGACTGTATATTCTCTATCTGAACTGCATCAGTTATCAAATTGAGATAAGGAGAGGGGCTACACTTTTAGAAGGTTCTTCTGACACTATATAAATAGGATTTAGACATTAGAGCAGAATATTCAATAATGTTAGTGTTTTTAAAACGTTTTACAAATGAGAGATAAGGATTCTTTTTTAAATTGAACCAAGAAGAACACTAAACCTACTTAATTATTCACTGAGCACCCTGTTGTCACAGAAATGTGGAGTCATTTTATCCCATTTCTAAATGTCCTAATTTTGATAGGATATTGGCAAGAAAAATGCAAATACACACTTTGGAGTGAAACACTCATCTATGTGATTAGTTACCTCAGTTGGTAAAAGTCTGGTGTTAATAAGGTCAAGGCTATCACTTTGAATTCTCCTTTTTCTTGTCACAACTATCTCAATTTTAGATGTTTGACATTGGTTATAAATGGAATTGGTTGGGAATGATGGATGGTTCAGTACAAACTTATTTGTACAACTGATCATTCATTCAGCACATATGTATTGGGTGCCTACCTGTGCAAGGCACTATGCTAGGAACTGGGAATACTGAACTGACCAAAATAAACACATTTCTCTTTTCTCATGAAGGGAGATAGATGAGTAAATAGCTCTTTCTCAACACTCCAGGAAGGAACTACATCAATTGAAATATCTAAAAGAACAGCTCCTACTTGTAATCAATAGTGTCTTTGTCTTGAGTAAAGGGCAGCAGACATACCTGTTTTTAATCACAGACATGAATCTCTGCAAAGGAAAATTACAAAACTAAATAAGATCAGCTAATATTTTCATGGTACATAATAGTCAGGAGCAATCTTTTGTTACCTAAACATCAAGGGTTTACTTTCAGTCCTGCAGCTTGCTGCACAGAAAGCCAATCACTGAGACAATGAGTATTGCCAGGGAAGAAGGCTTTAATTGGGTGTTGCAGCTGAGGAAATGGGAAATCAATATCAAATCCATCTCCCTGATGGACTAAAATCAGGGGTTTATATAGCAGGGAACAAATGTAACTAAATGCAAGTAAACAGAAATTAGGGAGAGGTAAGGAATAGGAGTTGGCTAACAGGAAGCAGGTAGTTGCTTAGACAATCATGATGGATAAGGGGTTGAATTTCTCCTTGTCTGGATGTAGTGATATGTTAAGTTTTGGTTCCTTGATATCATTTGGGAGTCCTGATGGTTGGTTTCCTGAGAAAAGAACTCAGATAAGACAAATGTGACTTTCTCAAGTTTTAAGACTAAGGGGGCAGTTTCTACATTTATTCAAAAGAAACCATAAACATCAGTTATATAGGACAACTGGGTCGATTTAAATTTTACAAATCTTTTTATGTAACAGCACACATAGAAAGTGATAATATGGCACATCAAAGTGAGTGGAAGACTGGCCTTGAGAGCTTCAGGTGCTCTCAGCCCTCCTGACTGATTTGGGGCTGAACAACACAAAATCAATGTGCCCATATACTGGTAGCCCTCACATAGCACTCCAGAGTGCTGTGACCCACTGGTTTGGAAGCTCTGGTTTACCTTTTCATAAAATGTAATATATATATTTTTTATCTAAAGATGACTGAGTAATTTAATCTTGATTGTCCTGGGAATGCAAGGGATATGTGGGAGAGAGTTGTATCTCCTCTATCTGAACTCTATCTGTTAGCAAAAGGAGGTGAGTCTGCTTATTGGTGGTTGTTATCTTCTTTTTACAGATGAGGAAACTGAAATAACTCACAGAGGGTCACTTATCCAACATGTGGCCAATTAGATTCAAACGCTGAAATTCTGACATCTAGTGTTCTCATAATCTCACTATGATTGCTCCACTACATGAATATGTTATGCACTTAATCACTCACATCACTGATATAAACAGAATTCTCTATCAAAATTGTTACTCCAGAAACAAATCCTGTAATGCTTTCTAAGGACTCTTTAATGACTCTGAGTGTTGAAAGGGACTCAAATGAGGAAACTGAAGCCCAAAGAGGTTAAGTGACTTGCTTAAGTCTAATGAAACCCATGTCTTTCTTTTTTTACATTCATTAAATTTTACAAAAAGAGACCACTAAATAGAATAGAAGTGTGTGTGTATATATATATATGTGTGTGTGTGTGTGTGTGTGTGTGTGTGTGTGTGTGTGTCTGTATTTAAAAGCTGATTGTTTTGACAAATCGAACAGTGAAGAGGTATATTAATATAAAGTTAGTTTCATCCTCTCTTCCATTCCATTTCAGCCACCAAAATAACTAATGCTAACTGTTAAATACTTCCTCACTTTCCTCTATGCTAACATTTTCTTCCTCTCTCTCTCCCCACCTTCTCTCTTTGTGTGTATATATGTGTATGTGTGCATACATATATAAAACACATTATTTACTTACTTTCATATATACACATATATGCAAATATTTTCCCTTCTCTAATTTTTTTTTATAAAAAAGAGAACATGCTATGCATATCATGCTTCAGCTTTCCCCATCACACACAACCGTATGAGAAACATCCTTCCACGTCTTCTACAGGTCTAATTCATTTTGCTGCATAATAGTTGACAGGACAGAACTACCTTATTTTATTCAATCAGTTCTTCTACTAATGGATATTTATGCATTTTTTTTCTATTTTTGTTTTTAATAACCACAGTGTTGGAACATCCTTGTAAACATACATGCTTCCTTACATCCATGACATACAAGATGGAAATGCTCTCTGTCACTATTATAGTTTTGTAGGTTCTAGCTGATGCAATAAGAAAATGAAATGAAATATGCTATATAAATATTGGAAAAGAAGAGACAAAATAATCTTAATTTTCAGATTATATGATTGCATACCTAGAAAACCCAAAGGATGCAACTACGACAACAACAAAAAATAGAACTAATGAGAAACTTCAGTATGGTAGCTTCCTAAAAATGTACAAAAATTCAACAGCTTTTGTTTTTGCAAACAATAACCAGTTAGACATGTAAAGGTGAAAAATGAAGTGATCTTGTTTAAACAATGACACTATAAAACACATTAGAATACATTTAACAAGGATGCAAAGGGGCTTATATGAAAATAAGATTAGCATTTGCAAACCATCAATCGGACAAGGGATTAATCACCAGAATATATAAGGATCTCAAATAATTTTGTAGGAAAAAAACCTAATCTAATTTGAAAAATGAGCAAAATATTTAAATAGACATTTCTCAAAAGAAGACATACAGATGGGAAACAGACATATGAAAAGGTGCTCAATATCATTGATCATCAGAGAAATGCAAATCAAAACTACAATGAGATATCATTTCACTCCAGTTACAGTGACTTATATCCAAAATGCAGACAATAACAAACGCTACTGAGGATTCGAAGAAAAGGGAACCCTTGTACACTGTTGGTAGGAATGTAAATTACTACAACCCCTATGGAGAACAGTTTGGAGGTTCCTCAAAAAACTAGAAATTGAGCTACCATATGATCTAGCAATCCCACAGCTGGGTATATACCCAAAAGAAAGTAAATCAGTATATCAAAGATATATCTGAACTTCCATGTTTATTGCAGCACTATGCACAATAGCCACAATTTGGAAGCAACCTAAGTGTCCATCAACAGATGAATGGATAAAGAAAATGTGGTACATATACACAATGGAATACTATTCAGCCATAAAAAAAGAGATTCTGTCATTTGCAACAACATGGATGGAACCAGAGGTCATTATGTTAAATGAAATAGGCCAGGTACTGAAAGACAAACACCACATATTCTCACTTATTTGTGGGATCTAAAAATCAAAACAATGGAACTCCTAGACACAGATAGCAGAAGGATTGTTACCAGAGGCTGGGAAGGGTATGGAGGGGTTGCAGAGAGGTGGGGATGGTTAATGGATACAAAAAAATAGTTAGGAAAAATGAATAATACTTAGTATTTGCTAGCACAACAGTGAGTCTATAGTCAAAAATAATTTAATTTTCCATTTTAAAATAAAAAGTACAGTTGGATTGTTTGTAACACAAAAGATAGATGCTTGAGGGAATGGAAACCCCATTTTCTATGATGTGATTATTACACATTGGATGTCTGTATCAAAATAACTCATGTCATCATAAATATATAACCTACTATATACCCATGAAAATAAAATACCATTGAGGTACTATTATGTAATAGAAAAGCTAAAATCGAAAACACAGATGACACCCAATGCTAACAAGGATGTGTAGCAACAGGAAGAATTATTCATTGCAAATGGGAATGCAAAACAATACAGCCACTTTTAAAAAACAGTTTGGCAGTTCATTACAAAGTTCAAAGTAAGCTTACCATAACATCCAACAACTGTGCTTGTAGGCAGTTACCAAAATTAGTTGAAAAGTTTCATCCACACAAAAACCTACACACAAATGTTTATAGCATCTTTATTTACAGTTGCCAATAATTGTATGCAACCAGCAAGTCCTTCTTCCTTTGTGAATGGCTAAACAAACTGTGGTACATTCATATAATAAAATATTATTCAGATATGAGAAAAAATGATATATCAAATCATAAAAAGACATGGAGAAACCTTAAATGTGAAACCATAAGTGAAATAAGCCAGTCTGAAAAGGGTACGTACTGTATGCTTAGAACTATATGACATTCTGGAAAAGGTAGTACTATAGAGAGAATAAAAAGATCAGTGGTTGCCAAGGTGTTGTGGAGGAAAGATGAAGGAAGGAATCAATATATGGATCACAGAATATTTTTAGGGTGGGAAACAATTTTTAGGATGGCAAACAATTCTGTATGATGCTGTAATGATGGATGTATGAAATTATTCATTTGTCAAAACCAATTGGACTGTACAAAACACAGAGTGCACCCTCATGTTAACTGTGGACCTCCTTTAATAACAATCTATAAATATTCGTTCATCAATTAGACCAAATTTATCACATTAATGCAAAATGTTAATAATATGTAGAAAACTTGATGTGAGAGTTTGGAGGGTATGTGGAAACCCTGTACTTTCTGCACAATTTTTTCTATAAACCTAAAACTAAAAATAAAGCCTATTAATTAAGAAAAAAAACAAAATTTATTATAGGACATAAAATATGATCCAAATTAATGAAGAGACAACATGTTTCTGCATGGGAAGATACCAAAGAATAAAAGATACGCTTTTCTGAAAATGTATAAGTAATGCAATTTGATAGAATATAAATTATTTGAAACTGGACAACATAATTACACAGTTAATATAAATGAATATGCCAGAATTGCCAAGAAAATATTGGAAAAAAGCATTCATGAGAGGGGACATATTCTATGAGTTGCTATCATTTACTACAAAACAACATCAATTGAAACAGTAAGCTAAGGAAAAGATAATTGACCTGTAGAATAGAGAATCCAGAAACAGATAAAAATACTTATGTATGAGAATGTAGAATATAATAAAGGTAACATTTCATTTTAATGTAGGTGGAGGGAGAATGATGGTTTATTTAAATATGGTGTGGACATAATTGAATATCTACTTAGAAAAAAATTAGATCTCTGACTCTTGTACCCTGTTTAAGAAAAATTCTAAATGAATTGTAAAGAGTTAATTTCATCTACAAAAATAGTGGTTTAGGAATGACCATTTCTAAATGCTACCACTTATTTCAATAAGTTAAGTTTTTAAAGAAAAGAGCTTTACATTGATTTATCTTGTTATACATTCTGACTGTTTTTCTAAAGGTGGAAAAAATGTCATTAGAAACCTCATAATACCGCAGCCTGAATGATCAACACTTGCTTGCTAAAAAAAAAAAAATGGTTTCCCAAAATGCTTGGAGATTTTGAATCCCTTTAGGAAGTGTAATAAAATTAATCTGTGCCTTCTGTCATAACCATAAAATTGTATGCAACCCTTGAATTTTTAATCTTGTAACAAGAATTTTCAAAGACATATTTATCCAGAAGGAATGAGTTGCAAAGCTCATGAAGGCTTCAGTTTGGTGTGCCCTGAAACCATAGTCAGCAATACAAAATTTAAGATCCATTTGTACTTCTTTTTGTTCCTAGATATGGCATTAGAAGTGGGGAGGTTTTTTTTTTTTTAACTGTTTGTAAATTATAAAATAGGTGGGCTAATACAATAGGAATGGGTATTTGGCATGTATAAGAAGCACTGGGCTCCATGTTTGAGGACTTGGATTCTGATCACCATACTACCATTAACATGGATAAGTAATTAAATATCACTGGACCTCAATTTCCCCACATATAAAATATATGTAATTAATAGCTGTTATATACCCTAGACATGTTATAAAAGTTTAATGATTAAAGTCTTTACTTGAGATTTGCTACAACTATAGAAATGGAAAAGTTATGTGGAAGCCAGAAATATAGTTACCTAAGACATCTCAGATTCTAATTTAAGGCTGAGGTTTTTTTAAAGGTCAAATTATTATGTATAATTTACAAATAGCAAAATTCATCCCTTTTACATGTACAATTTGATTTGATGTGTTTTGACAAATGTATACACCATAGTCAAGATATGGAACAGTTCTGTCACTCCAAGTTCTTCTGTGTCCTTTTGTATTCAATCCTCTCGTCCCAGCCTTAGTCTTTGGTAAAAATTCCTTTGTTTCTATTCCTATAATTTTCCATTTTCCAGAATGTAATATAAATGGAATAATATGATATGTAGCTTTTTTGTCTGTCTTCCTTTACTTAGTATAATGCATTTAAGACCCATCTATGTTATGACATATATCAATAATTCATTTCTTTTTATGCTGAGTAGTATTCCACTGTATAGATGTACCACTGTTTAACCATTCACTAATTGATGACCATTTGGATTGTTGCCATTTTTTGATTAGGAATAAAACTGTTACAAGCATTGGGTTTTGACGTTATATTTTCTTGCTTTATCAACATGATTTGTTTTTGTCAACTTTGTAATCTTTTAACAGGCATGCCTTTTTAAAATTTAACAAGAGATTGCTCTTGATCTTTCCCAAATTGTTCTAAGAATCTAGGCTTAGAAGGTCCTTGAGTATATCTTTAATGGCATCCCAGGGATACAAACAGTTCAAAGCAAACTAAAGCTTCTTAAGCAATGTCTTTCCTACAGTATATCTTCAATGTATCCAGCAGAATGATCTTTTAGAAATACATATCTGATCATAGGATGCTACTTCTTAGTGAACTCTAATGATTCTATAAAATCATTTAGATGACAGCTCCTTTTTACTGAGTGTTTGCAGGGCCTAACATTGTGCCAAATATGTTCATGCATTACATGACTCAATCATTAGTGAAGCCTTATGAGATAGGCTACACGGTGGCAGAGCTGAATTTGAACCCTGACGGTGTGCAAATATCTTAGAATGGAATTTAAGGCTCTTTACATTTGAATCCAGCCACTCTCAAAAGAGCAAAATTATTTGGAACTTTTTTGTCTACTTCAAGTGTTTTCACATCTGTGTGCTTCTACACATGTTGTTCCTTCTGTCTTCTACACCCTGCCTGCCTTTTATATGTTGTTCAAACTCAGCTCAGATGCTCATAGTAGCCCACCTGCATACCATCCCCTTGCCCAGACCCAGTCTGCTCCAATACATGAATGACTCAGCATTGAAATTTAAACATTTCTTCTTTTTCTTTCTCTATTTCTTCTTGTTCTAGTATTCCCATTATGCCTATTTTACACCTTTTGTAGTTCCACAGTTCTTGGATATTCTGTTCCACTTTTTTTCCATTCTTCTCTCTCCTTCCTTTTCTTGTTGGGAAGTTTCTATTGACATTATATTCAAACTCATTGGTTCTTTCCTCAGCTATGTAGTCTATTAATAAGCCCATCAGAGGCATTATTTTATTTCTGTTGCAGTGTGTTGATTCCTAGCATTTCCTTGAGATTATTTTTAAGAGCTTCCATCTCTCTGCTTACATTACCCATCTACTCTTACATGATGTCTACTTTTTCCATCAGAATTATTAACATTTTAATCATACTTATTTTAAGTTCCCAATCTGGGAAATATAAAATTTCTGCCATATCTGAGTCTGTTTTTTTTTAACTTTTATTTTAGGTTCAGGGGTACATGTGAAGGTTTGTTACATAGGTAAACACGTGTCACAGGGGTTTGTTTTACAGATTATTTCATCACCTAGGTATTAAGCCCAGTATCCAATAGTTATCTTTTCTGCTCCTCTCCTTCCACCTTCAAGTAGACCCCAGTGTCTGTTGTTTTCTTCTTTGTGTTCATATGTTCTTATCAGTTAGCTACCACTTATAAGTGAGAACATGTGGTATGTGGTTTTCATTCCCTGCATTAGTTTGCTAAGGACAATAGCCTCCAGCTCCATCCATGTTCCCATAAAAGACTTGATGTCATTCTTTTTTATGTCTGCATAGTGTTCCATGGTGATATGTACCACATTTTCTTTATCCAATCTGTCATTGATGGGCATTTAGGTTGATTCCGTGTCTTTGCTATTGTGAATAGTGCTGCAGTGAACATTTGTATGTATGTGTCTTTATGGTAGAATTAATGATTTATATTCCTCTGGGTATATACCCAGTAATAGTATTGCTGGGTCAAATGGTATTTCTGTTTTGCTCTTTGAGGAATCGCCATACTGCTTTCCACAATGGTTGAACTAATTTACATTCCCACCAACAGTGTATAAGTGTTCCTTTTTCTCCACAACCTCACCAGCATCTGTTATTTTTTGACTTTTTAGTAATAGCTATCCGACTAGTATGAGATAGTATTTCATTGTGGCTTTGATTTGCATTTCTCTAATGATCAGTGATGTCGAGCATTTTTTTCATATGTTTATTGGCCACATGTATGTCTTCTTTTGAAAAGTGTATGTTCATGTCCTTTGCCCACTTTTTAATGGGGTTGTTTATTTTTCTCTTGGAGATTTGTTTAAGTTCCTTATAGATGCTGGATATTAGACCTTTGTCATATGCATAATTTGCAAAATTTTTCTCCCATTCTGTAGATTGCCTGTTTATATTGTTGAAAGTTTCTTTTGCTATGCAGAAGTTCTTAAGTTTAATTAGACCCTACTTGTCAATTTTTGCTTTTGTTGTGATTGCTTTTGGTGTCTTTGTCATGAAAGTTTTGCCTGTGTCTATGTCCTGAATGCTGTTGCCTAGGTTATCTTCCAGAGTTTTTATAGTTTGGGGTTCTACATTTAATTCATTAAACCATTTTGAGTTAATTTTTGTATATGATGTAAGGAAGGGGTTCACCTTCAATCTTCTGCATATGACTAGCCAGTTGTCCCAGCATCATTTATTGAAAAGGGAGTCTTTTCCCCATTGCTTGTTTTTGGCAGCTTTGTCGAAGATCAGATGGTTATAGATGTGTTGTCTTATTTCTGGCTCTCTATTCTTTTCCATTAGTCTATGTGCCTGTTTTTGTGCTAGCACCCTGCTATTTTAGTTGCTGTACCCCTGTAGTATAGTTTCAAGTCATTTAACGTGATGCCTACAGTTTTGTTCTGTTTGCTCAGAATTGCCTTGTCTATTTGGGCTGGGCTCTTTTTTGGTTCCTTATGAATTTCAAGTCCTGTGAAGAATATCATTGGTAATTTGATAGGAATAGCATTGAATCTATAAATTGCTTTGGGTAGTAGGGCTATAATAATATTGATTCTTCCTATCCATAAGCATGGGATGTTTTTCCATTTTTTTGCATCTTCTCTGATTTATTTGAGGAGTGTTTTGTAATTCTTATTGTAAAGATCTTTCACCTCTCTGGTTAGCTATACACCTAGGTATTTTATTATTTTTGTGACAATTGTTAATGGGACTGCTTTTACAATTTGGCTCTCAGTTTGCCTGTTGTTGGTGTATGTGAATGCTGGTGATTTTATACATTGATTTAACATTTTTCTCATATTTTCAACTTTTTGATGTCTGCCTTAATTTCATACCATTCAACCCAGCAATCCCATTACTGGGTATATTCCAGAGGAATATAAAAGTGTATAAATCAAACTTTGCTGAAACTTTGCTGAAGTTGTTTATCAGCTGAAGGAGCTTTTGGGCTGAGACAATGGGGTTTTCTAGATATAGAATCATGTTGTCTGCAAACAGAGATAGTTTGACTTCTTCTCTTCCTATTTGGATGCCCTTTATTTCTTTATCTTGCCTGATTGCCCTGGCCAGAACTTCCAATACTACATTGAATAGGAGTGGTGACAGAGAGCATCCTTGTCTTGTGCCAGTTTTCAAGGGGGATGCTTCCAGCTTTTTCCCATTCAGTATGATGTTGGCTGTGGGTTTGCCGTAGATGGTTCTTATTATTTTCAGATATGTTCTTCAATACCTGGGGTATTGATAGTTTTTAACATGAAGGGGTGTTGAATTTTACCAAAAGCCTTTGCTTTGTCTATTGAGATAATCATGTGGTTTTTGTCTTTAGTTCTGTTTATGTGATGAATCACATTTATTGATTTGCATATGTTGAACCAACCTTGCATCTCAGGGATGAAGCCTACTTGATCATGGTATATTAACTTTAGATGTGCTGCTGGATTTTGTTTGCAAGTATTTTGTTGAGGATTTCTGCATTGAAGTACATCAAGGATATCAGCCTGAAGTTTGTTGTTGTGTCTCTGTCAGGTTTTATTATTAGAACAATGCTGGTTTCATAGAATGAGTTGGGGAGGAGTCCCTCCTCCTCAATTTTTTGGAATAGTTTCTGTAGGAATGGTACCAGCTCTTATTGGTATGTCTGGTAGAATTTCGCTATGAATCCATCAAGTCCTGGGCCTTTGTTTTTCTTTTTGGTGGATAGGCTATTTATTATTGACACAATTTTTTTTCTTTTTTTTTTTTGAGACGGAGTCTCTCTCAGTCACCCAGGCTGGAGAGCAATGGTGTGATCTCAGCTCGCTTCAACCTCCGCCTCCTGGATTCAAGCAATTCTCCTATCTCAGCCTCCAGGGTAGCTGGGATTACAGGTGCCTGCCACCGCACCCAGCTAATTTTTTGTATTTTAGTAGAGATGGGGCTTCACCATGTTGCCCAGACTGTTCTCGAACTCCTGAGCTCAGGCAATCCACCTGCCTCAGCCTCCCAAAGTGCTAGGATTACAGGCGTGAGCGACCGTGCCTGGCCTATTGATTCAATTTCAAAGCTTATTATTAGTTTGTCCAGGGATTCAATTTCTTCCTGGCTCAGTCATGGAAGGTTGTATGTGTCTAGGAAGTTACCCATCACTTCTAGGTTTTCTAATTTGTGTACATATAGGTGTTTCTAGTAGTTTCTGATGGGGGTTTTTATTTCTGTGGGGTCAGCAGTAACATTTCCTTCATCCAATTGTGTTTATTTGGATCTTCTCTCTTCTTCTTTATTAGTCTAGCTAGTGGGCTATCTATCTTATTAATGTTTTCAAAAAACTTTTGAATGGTTTTTTGTGTCTCAATTTCCTTCAGTTCAGCTGTAATTTTTGTTATTTCTTGTCTTCTGCTAGTGTTGGAGTTGATTTGTTCTTGCTTCTCACTTTCAGTTTTGATGTTAGGTTGTTAATTTGAAATCTTTCTAACTATTTGATGTAGGCATTGAGTGCTGTGAATCTCCCCTTAACACTGCTCTAGCTGTGTCCCAGAGATTCTGGTATATTGTATCTTTGTTCTCATTATTTTCAAGGAACTTGTTAATTTCTGCCTTTATTTCATAAATTACCCACGAGTCATTCCAGAGCATGTTGTTTAATTTCCATGTAATTGCATGGTTTTAAGTGATTTTTCATAGTCTTAACTTCTATTTTTATTACACTGATCTGAGAGTGTGTTTGGTATGATTTTGGTTCTTTTACATTTGTTGAGGATTGTTTTATGTCCAATTATGTGGTTGGCTTTAGAGTATGTGCCATGTACCAATGAGAAGAATATATATTCTGTTGTTTTCAGGTGGAGAGGTCTGTAAAGGTCTATGAGATCCATTTGGTCCAATGTTAAGTTCGGGTCTTGAATATCTTTGTTAATTTTCTGCTTCGATGATCTGTCTAATACTCAGTGGGGTGTTGAAGTCTCCCACTATTATTGTGTTGGAGTCTATGTATCTTTGTAGGTCTCTAAGAACTTGCTTTATGAATCTGGGTTCCCCCGTGGTGGGCGCATATATATTTAGGATAGTTAGGTCTTGTTAAATTAAACCCATCATCATTATGTAATACCCTTTTCTATATTTTAATCTTTGTTGGTTTGAAATCTGCTTTGTCTGAAATTAGAATTGCAACCCCTGCTTTTTTTCTGTTTTCCATTTGCTTGGTAGATTTTCCTTCACCTTTATTTTGAGCCTATGAATATCATTACATGTGAGATGGGTCTTTTGAAGACAGCATACAATTGGGTCTTGCGTTTTTATCCAGCTTGCCACTCTGTGCCTTTTAAGTAAGGCATTTAGCTCTTCTACATTCAAGATTAGTATTAATACGTTTGGATTTGATCCCGTCATTGTGCTGTTGGCTGGTTATTATGTTGGCTTGTTTATCTGGTTGCTTTACAGTGACACTGGTCTGTGTGTTTAAGTGTGTTTTTGTATTAGCTGGCAGTGGTCTTTTCTTTCTATATTTATTGTTATTTTCAAGATCTCCTGTAAGGCAGTTCTGGTGGTAATGAATTCCCTAAACATTTGCTTATCTGAAAAGGATCTTATTTCTCCTTCATTTAGGAAGCTTCATTTGGTTGGGTATGAAATTCTTGGTTGAAGATTTTTTTTCTTTAAGAATGTTGAATATAGGCCCCCAATCTCTTCTGGCTTGTAGAGTTTCAGCTGGGAGGTCTGCTGTTAGCCTGATGGTGTTCCCTTTGTAGGTGACCTGCCCTTTCTCTCTAGCTGCCTTTAACATTCTTTCTTTCACTTTGACCTTGGAAAATCTGACAATTATGTATCTTGGGGATGATCTTCTTGTGTAGAATCTTGCAAGAGTTTTCTGTATTTCCTGAATTTGATTCTTGGCCTCTTTAGCAAAGTTGGGGAAGTTTTCATGAACGATATCCTGAAATACGTTTTCCAAGTTGTTTGCTTTCTCCTCTCTTCTTTCAGGGATGCCAGTGATTCATAGATTTGGCCTCTTTACATAATCCCATATTTCTTGCATGTTTTGTTCATTCCTTTTTATTCTCTTTATTTTTGTCTGACTGTCTTAATTCAGAGAATCAGTCTTCAAGTTCTGAGATTCTTTCCTCAGCTTGCTTTATTCTGCTATTAATACTTGTGATTACATTATGAAATTCTTGTATTGTGTTATTTAGCTCTCTCATACCTGTTAGGTTCATTCTTATACCAGCTATTTTGTCCTTCAGCTCCTGTATCGTTTTATTGTGATTTTTTCCCTTGGATTGGGTTTTTTCATCCTCCTCAATCTCAATGATCTTTGTTCCTATCCATATTCTGAATTCTATTTCTGTCATTCCTGCCAGTTCAGCCTGGTTAAGAACTCTTATGGGAGAACTCATGCATTTGTTTGTAGGACATACAACACTCTGACCATTTGAGTTACTGGAGTTCTTGCGTTGGTTCTTTCTCATCTCTGCCTGTGGATGTTCCTTTAACTGCAGTGTAGATTGAGTACAGTCAATAGGTGTTTCTGGATGTTTTCACTGGGCTGAGGCTTTGTGCATGGTCTTTATTTGAAGCTTACTTCCTGTCTCTGGTTTCAGAGGGGGGGTATGTTAATGAAGTATTTTTAATGTTGAAGATTTAGGGTGTGATCCAGCAGGTGGCACATAGGCTTATTGGTCAGTTGGTACACTCTTGCTCAGTTGTGTGGCTTTCCTATGTTTCCTCACATTTGGAGCCCTGTTCCCTCTCAATGCTCTGAAGGTGTGGCTTCCTCTCTCCTTTGAGTGCTGGCTGTAGATTGCAACTTGGCACTACTGGGCTTCTCATAGTAGCTCTGGGGTGATCTCAGTGTTTTATGTTTTTTCCCCAACTTGGAAGCAGCAGAGGAAGGGACCTTAGTAGTGGTTGTGGCCAAGGATCATTTGCTTGTCTCCTGGGAGCTCCACTCGAGAGAGGTGCAGGTCAGCAATGGCTTAGTGCAATCAGCCCAGGATGAAGGGCCTGTGCTGTGGGTCCAAGCCAAGACTTCCATGTCTGGTGACAAGTTGTAGGGGATGTGTGGGACCTGTGGGAGATGGACTGGCCTCCTCTCCTTGGGTCAACTGCAGCTTGCTGGTGGTGTGGTTAAGGTACTTAGGATATTTCCTCCGTAGTCTGAGGGTAGCAAGGGCCGTTCCACTACAGAGGTAGTGGCACAGAGGTTTTCAGTTGTCCTTGGAGACTCTGTCCAGGAAGTTGCTAAGTTGCCTGGAGGACCTGCCCGGTAAGGAGATATGGGAATAGGCACCCACATAACAGTCTGGTCAGTTTTTCTTAGGGCTGCTGTAGTATGCTGGAGGCCTGCTTTAGTCAGTAGTCACCTTGAATTTTCTAGTACCTGGAGGTATCACTAGTGGAGGCTACAAAACAGCAAAGATGGCAGCCTGCCTCTCCCTCCGGGAGCTTCATCCCCGGGAGATATGGACCTGTTGCTAGCCCAAAGTCACCTGAAGGAGGTGGGTGGAGACCCTGGTTGGAAGGTCCCACTCAGTGAGGAGGAATGGGATTGGGGACCTGCTTAAAAAAGAAGACTGGCTACATTTTGGTAGAGCAGCTCTGCTGTGCTGGGGGTCTGTTCTAGCCCCTGGTTGCCTTGGGCACTCCAAAGCCCCAAAGTTGGAACAGCTAAGTTTCCCAAACAGCAAGGATGACGGCCCAGCCCTCCTTCTGAGAGCTTCATCCCAGGGAGGTTAAAAATCTCTGTTAGCCAGAGAACACCAACAGGGGTGGCTGGAGGCCCAGTTTGGGAGGTCCCGCCCAGTGAGTAGGAAAGGGATTGGGGACTCACTGAAAGAAGCAGTCTCGCCACATTTTAGTAGAGCAGCTGTTTTTTGCTGGGGAATCCCTTCTGCCCCTGGTCAGCTCAGACTCTCCAAAGCCTGAAGGTTGAAATGGCTAGGTCACCCAAACAGCAACGATGGTGGCCCACCCCTCCCTCTTGGATCTCCTTCCTGGGAAAGTTACAAATCTCTGTTGGTTGGAAAATACCAGCAGGGGTGGCTGCAGGCCCAGTCTGGGAGGTCCCGTCCAGTGAGGAGGAGTAGGATCGGGGATCCACTTAAAGAAGCAGTCTAGCCACGTTTTGGTAGAGCAGCTGTGCTGTGCTGGGAGATCCCTTCCACCACTGGTCAGCTTAGACTCTCCAAAGCCTGAAGGCTGGAATGGCTAAGTCACCCAAACAGCAAAGATTCCCCCTGCCCCCGGCCCTGGGAGCTCCTTTTTAGGGAGGTGCAATGCCCCTACCGGTGGCTAGCTGGAATTCCAAGTCTTGTTCTGTTAGGTGCTGTGGACATGGGGCCTGAAGGCTATTGCTGCTCAGCCCCCTGGGTTCAGCCTCTTTCCTAGGGGTATGTTTGGAGGTCTAACCTTCCACTTTGCCAGAGCTGCAGCTACCCTTTCTGGAAAGCCCAAGTATATAAGACTCCAGGGTCTCCTCACATGCTTGAGTGGCTGCTCTGCCAAGGCTCCACATAGCTCTGTCTGTTAGACTGAAGGCCCTGGTGGAGTGGGTTCATATGGAGATCTGCTGATCTGAGGGTTGCAAAGATCCGTGGGAGAAGGTGGTTTCCTGTGGTCACACATTCACTCACCACTTCTCTGCACAGGGGAGGTTCTCCTGGCTCCATGTTGCTTCCAGGTGGGCCGTCATCCTGTCTTGCTTTTCTTCATTCTCCACAGGTCAAGTTGTTTTCTTGATTAGTCCCAATGTGAGTACCTGGATGTTTCAGTTGAAGGTATTGTATTTACTCGCCCCTTCTTTTCCTCTATGGGCCACACATGCTAGCTGCTTCTAGTCAGCCATCCTGGCCACTTCATATCTTAGTCTATTTCTGATGCTTGCTCTCTCTTCAGGCTGTTTTTTTGTTTGTTTGTTTGTTTGTTTGTTTGTTTTGTTTTTTGAGTTGGTGTACCTTGTAATTTTTCGTTGAAACCCAGACATGATGTACTGACTGGGTAAAAAGGAACTGAGATAAATAGGCCTTTAGTGTGAGGTTTTTAGATTTTTCTGGCTAAGAGTAAGGCTGTTTTTACTGTTTTCTATAACTGTTGGTGTTAGAGGCTACAGTTCTTTCTGGTGTCCTTGTTTTTCACTCTTCTATTGTCTTTGGGTTTCCCTAGAGACTTCTTAAATAAGATGTGAGTTGTGCAGTTCTTTAAACTGTGATGCCCTATTATTAGACAGGAGTCCTAATTGATGTGTTGGTAAGATACAGGGTGAGAGTAAGTGCTATATAATATTATGACTAGGTCTCAGTGTTTTAGTGAACCTTGTCTCTGAACTGTGACCACAAGTGCTTCTCAGCTTCTCTCCCACCCACTACTTGAGACAGGAAGGCTAGAAGGGCTAGAGCTGGCTTTTTTTCTTCTTCCACTTCAAAGGCTAAAAGGAGCTAGAGTTGGATAGTTTCCTTCTCCATGTCAAAAGCTAGAAAAGGGTAAAGAGTTCATACCAGTTGCTGGCTCGTGCAGCTGCTTCTGCTCCCAGTGAGCTGTGATTCTCTATATTCTCCTGTCTCTCCAGTTTTTGGGGTAGTAGTTTTCTTTGTGACCTCAGTTATCTGATGGATCTGAAAATGGTTATTGATGTTCAGTTTGTTTGGCTTTTTTCTTGTTGTGAGGATAGTATTGATGACTTCTAAGCCCTTTACATGTCAGACTAGAAACCAGAAGTTAATCTCAGCCTTAGAATGATAACTTTAGGTTAAAGTGTTGTCTCTAGACTGCTATAGAAAATTGAGTCACATTAACTCCTGATGATCATTAATATATCATAACACATGTATAACCTGAAAGCAAAGTACTAAAAGTAATAAAAATAATAGACTAATAGTTAATATTTATTGAGTAGTTTTAGCATGTGATGCCCTATATTACAGGGCATTTACATATATCACCTCAGTTAATCTTTATAATCACCCCAATTGGTAAATATTATCACCACCTGTTTTTTTTAAATAGGTGAAGCAACTGAAGCTTAGATTGATTTAGTAGCATGCTCAAAAACATACTACTTGGAATTCTAATCAAAGTGTTTAGTCTAGAACTTATATTCTTAACCACTGTGGGCTACCAATATCAACATTAATACTGTGAAGATAGAAAGTTGGAGAAACAGAGCTTGGAAGGGAAGGGCTCCTTGTAGTTGGTTATCCTAGGCCTTTGGAGTAGAGATAGGCTGAAAAGGACAAGGTTCATACCTAATTTGCAATCGTACTCCTAATTGTCTCTTCCATCTTTAAACTGCAGACAGTTCAGTTTCCCTAAAGATTTTTTTTTTTCTTTTGAGATGGAGTTTCGCTCTTGTTGCCCAGGCTGGAGTGCAATGGTGCAATCTTGGCTCATTGCAACCTCTGCCTCCTGGGTTCAAGCGATTCTCCTGCCTCAGCCTCCCGAGTAGCTGGGTTTACAGGCATGCACCACCACGCCCAGGTAATTTTGTATTTTTAGTAGAGACGGTGTTTCTCCATGTTGATCAGGCTGGTCTCGAACTCCTGACCTCATGTGATCCACCCGCCTCGGCCTCCCAAAGTGCTAGGATTACAGGCATGAGTCACTGCGCCTGGCCCCCTAAAGATTTTTAAGCAGATGTTTAGATGCCCTGTGGGAGAATACAGTCTCCAGGGGAAAGGAGAAAAGTTGCCTAAGGGGTGGATGTTGGGTATTCAAACAAAGGTGTTTGAGGACTAGAGGTTACATGGTTAGTTTATGGTCGCATAGCTGCTTTGTGCTTAAACCTCAGAATCAGAAGAAATATTGAAATCAATCTTCCTGATGTTCTTGCCATGAAGAATGAATCATGTGCTCTGAATGGCACTAAAGTAACCACAACCACCAAATCAAATGGATTTAAAAAACACCTGTAGGTATGATGATGATATCTCAGAAGTAGACTATGAATACAGTGGTAAATATTTCAGGTTGGAAACTCCAAGATCCAAATGTAGCTGGCAACAGGTTACTTTAGGGTTCTTAGTAAACAGATATCTCAGTTGTGCATTCTGGGCTTTCAACCCAGCAACTACTGGCACGGGACATTTGCCACCTAGGAAGGTGGGGAGGGAGAGGAAAAAAGCTGGGCTTTAAGTGTTGACATTATGTTGACTGGGTAAGGATGTCCTGCAACAAACTACTCTATGAGGGGATAGCAAGGCCACAAAACGGATCTGATTGTTGAACTTAAGCAACTCTAGCAAGACGGGCTCTCAGCAAAATTTTCAAGTTGTTCAGGTTTAATAGTCCCAGGGACAATAAATAGTAGGGGGATTACACAGTGAGTTCAGTATTAGGGAACTGCTCAAATTTGAGCCTTTGGTGGTTTGTCCTGGCCTCAGACAACCATCTTGAGACTTGACCTATGCACTTCAAATTCTTTGCCTAGTATGTTGCTATAATTAAACACAGCTGGAGCAGTGGGGTATGGTGATATTCTTTGGCTGTGTCTGTACTCAGATCTCATCTTGAATTGTAGTTCCCATAATCCCCATGTGTCATGGGAGGGACCAGGTGGAGATAATTGAATCATGGGGATGGTTTCCCCCATCCTGTTCTCATGATAGTGAGTGAGTTCTCAGGAGATCTGATGGTTTTATAAGGGGCTTCTCCTTTTGCTGGGCACTCATTCTCTCTCCTGCCACCCTGTGAAGAGGTGCCTTCCTCCATGATTGTAAGTTTCCTGAAGCATCCCCAGCCATGCAGAACTGTGAGTCAATTAAGCCTCTTTTCTTTATTAATTACCCAGTCTTGGGTATTTCTTCATAGCAGCATGAGAACAGACTAATACATATGGCAATACTGTCTGTTCATTAGGAAGTTAGTGAGCAGGAGAGAAGTAATGACAGCAGTAAGCCTAGCAGCCAGCAGCTTACTGGGAGAAAGAGTGCCAATAATGGAACCAAGAGCCTGGAAGACTTCTGAGAGTCTATATAGGCATCCAGACTGAGGTAGAATAGCCAACAAAGTAACTTTGCAAAAGGCGTATTAGTGGAGGCAGGATGGGAACCTTTAGAAATTGTCTGTGTTGTATGACCACTCCTTATGGTGCTGCCCAACAAGAATGTAATGAATAAACCTGCAAGCCTCTGGATTCTGGCTGCTCACATGGTAGTGAATATTATTCCCATAAGCAAATTTGCTGAAGATGACAGAACTTGGGGGAGCCCCACATTTTAACCTAGAGATGTCTTACCCTAAAGCCAGTTTGCCTTTTCATCTACACTACATTGTCTCTAGAGGGATGTTGGTGACCTGAAGACAACATTTTCTTATGCCACAGTTAAAAAAAAATAAAGATCCTCTATTGGATACAAAGAACCTTTTATAAGGCTAGATGGCAGCTTGGAAAACACATAGGGCTATCTCGATCATTCCCAAAGAACATATAAAGATTCCAAGCTGTTCTTCATCAGGAGTTATTTTATAATTCCTATACACTCTTTAGTTTTTACTTCCTGGGGAAAAAAAGCAAAACAGTGAGCAGAGAAAATGAAAATTGTTAGAATTAATTGCATATGGACTTTCCCTAAAATGACATAAGAAAATGACACCATTTGTCTTTGAATGAGTGTGTGGGCTTATTTGCCCACCCCCACCACTGTTGTGTGAAAGCGCAGCAGCTCAGTTTTCATTTTCCTTTCCTCTCAAAATGCCCAGAGGGACCATATTTTTGTTTAATGACCTTCAGAATGATTCTTTAGAAATCTGAGGCTATCAGAGTTGGAAACAATGCGAAAATAATTGTGGATTATTATTGTATGACGGCAGTGGCAGCTGGGCTGTTTCTTTTTCTCTGTGTTCAGACTTTCTTCTTCATTTTCCCAGAAACCTTATATCCCAAGGTTTAACTCAGAAGCAAATCTCAGATAGGTGATAAACCTTGCCAGACATGGTATGTAATATAATTTCAGACAGGCCCTTAACTGTTCTTCAGGAAGACCCTAGGGAGTGAAGCAGCCTTATATCTACATGCTCTCAATAGTATTACTTTTATTTACTCTCTGACAATGTGTGTGGGTAGTTGTATTGAACATAAAGCAAGCATATCTCTTAAATATTATACTTGTGAATTAAAGCACCAGTTTGTGTGTTTTGTTGTCAAAATTCCTGCTAACATGAAAGAAAAAAAATGTTATGAAAAAAATGGGTACTCGCTGTCTCAGATCACTTACACACACACACACGTACACACACATACACATGAACACAAACACACAAGCACTCACAGCTGGGGATTGAGAGTCAGCACAGATTCTAACTTTACATGAATGTTTAAGATATGCGTATGGAGGCAGGGGTGAGGAGTGGTAGATGCAGATGTTGTATACACCATAGTGGGGAAAGTAAAAAGTGCTCTCAACTATTGTTCACATCATCTACCTCAAAATCAATTTATTTATTGCCTTAACTGACAGAATTTACATGATAAAATACTTTTTTTTTTTTTGAGACAGAGTCTCATTCTTGTCACCCAGAATAGAGTGCAGTGGCGTGATCTCGGCTCACTGCAAACTCTGCCTCCTGGATTCAAGAGATTCTTCTGCCTCAGCCTCTCAAGTAGCTGGGATTACAGGCACATGACACCACGCCCAGCTAATTTTTGTATTTTTAGTAGAGACAGGGTTTTACCATGTTGGCCAGGCTGGTCTCAAACTCCTGACCTCAAGTGATCCGCCTGCCTCAGCCTCCCAAAGTGCTGGGATTACAGGCGTGAGCCACCGTGCCTGGCAATAAAATATTTTTTGCCTTGAATATTCAGCACTCCCTAACAGCTATCCCCTACGCCTTGACTGATGTTTGTACAGCATTCGGCTACCACTTTGGTAGAACATTTGAGGCGAATGATAGCCAGAATGGGGCAATATCTAATAAGTAGTCTGAAAAAAAATTCCTAAAAGACAAAGATAATTGCCTGAATATTCTTACATACTTGGATATTGTTATATCCTTGTCACTTTCTGGAAAAGTATTAAACATTCCTTTCTAGAGAAGTCCAATCTTGGTAGCAAGATTCCCTCACATTCCTATCAGGAGAGTAAGATAATTGGCTTCAAAACCCAAAACTTGTTCTGTGGTTATATATCACTGAACTCAGAAAGTAAGTGGATGATTTCTCCAGGCTGTTACTATAACAAAGCGTGTCCTCATTTTACCTAGCTATGTTTCTAGAGAAGTCCTTAATTTTTTATATTCCTTCCCTCTCTACCCCCACATGGATTTCTTGATTACAAGAAGGGAGATTCTGGAGTACTAGTATTAGTTTTTATAATAAGGAGTAATTAATGAAACAATTGTAAACTTCATTGCCAATATAAAATCCTATTATGAAAGATTAATAATGCCTAAGACTCCCCTGGAGTATACTAAGTGGCTAAGTGAACCATGTCCTCTTAGGACTCTTAGGAAATATCCTTGTCAAATAGAAGGAACCAGGACATTATAATAATATTTAGTGACTGTTAAGGTTCTGCTATACCTCTCTTGTAATTGGGGAGCCTCTATGCTATTCTATTTATTTTTTTCAGAATGCCTCTAAAGACTTCTTGCTCTTGGGGTCAGGCCTTTGAAGTGGTTTGTAGTGCAGTAGTTGTGATATTAGAATTGGATACAATAGGACACATTTGTGATTTTTCTTGGTCATTGACTTAACTCCTTAGTTACATATTTTGAAAACGAAAGAGAATAATACAAAAAAGTAAAAGTACTAACTTGCTGGTACTGAGATGTAGTCTGTGAAATTCTATTTTTTGCTTACTTGCAAATATTTTATCTGCAGGAATGCAAGCCAAAAATGTGGAGAAGCATAATAATACAGAAAGGAAATGCTCTTCTGATCCAAGAAGTTCAAGAAGAAGATGGAGGAAATTACACATGTGAACTTAAATATGAAGGAAAACTTGTAAGACGAACAACTGAATTGAAAGTTACAGGTAGGAATCAGTTCTACAAAATTACGGCAAATGAGATTTTAAGTATAATTTGGTTTGGGAAGCAAGAGTTTTGTTCAAAGAGTCAACTTTCTGTGAATTTAGAATTGCCTGCAAATCAAATAGTTGAGAAACTTGCTATTAATAAGTTGTACTGAGTAAAAGCAATATATGGAATATGAAAAAAGAGTTTAGAGAACAAGGGCCTAGTTGCTGTGTGTCTGTTCTCTGTCTTTATGAAAGGTTCTGAACTCTTCAAGGTATCATTATTACTAAACATCTCAGAAAATATATAGTGGAGCCAATCTAGAATGTTGACTTAACCCATTTGTGGAATCTCCTTGTAGGTGAAGGCTGATTTTAGAATGAGAATCTGTTAGATTTTTGGAATGAAATCTTCTTAGACTGCATCCAAAATATCATTTATACAAAATTCTCCATAAGTGAGTGATGTTATTGTGAGCTTCTAGTGATTCTTAGAGCAACTCCAAATGAAGAACATGCATGTGTGTTTTAAATCTGAAGTACAAACAAAATGTAAACTAGTGGAAGGATAAACTCAGAATATTCTTACTTGTTAGAGAATTTTAGGAAGTAATTTTCAGAGACATAAGACAGAATCTAATACCAAAAAGATATCCCTTACAATGAATGTGATGGAACCTGAGAAACTGTATGACAAAAAAATCTACTTACTATTGCTCACAAACAAATCTTGACTAATTTTCCTATTATTATATCTGTCATGTGTATTTTAATCTCATATATGGAACCTAAAAAAAAGTTGAATGTGTTGCAAAAGAGAGTAGAAAAATGGATACGGGACAGAGAGTGGGGAATAAGGAGTGTAGGTCAAAAGGTGCATACAAAGTTGCAGTTATATAGGATGAATAAGTCTAGTGATTTAATGTACAGCATGTAGTTAATAATGTTGTATGCTGAGGCCAGCGCAGTGGTTCATGCCTGTAATCAATCCCAGCACTTTGGGAGGCCAAGGCAGGTGGATCACTTGAGGTCAGGAGTTTGAGACCAGCCTGACCAACATGGGGAAACCCTGTCTCTACTAAAAAAAAAAAAAAAATTAGCCAGGCGTGGTGGCATGTGCCGATAATCCCAGCTACTAGGGAGGCTGAGACAGGAGAGTTGCTTGACACAGGAGGCAGAGTTTGCAGTGAGCTGAAATCACGCCACTTCACTCCAGCCTAGGCAACAGAGCAAGACTCTGTCTCAAAAATGAAAAATAAATATAATATTGCATGTTGAAAATTTGCTAAGAGATAAATTTTAGGTGCTCTTACCACAAAAATAAACATATGAGGAGATTGATATGCTAATTTGTTTGACTGTGGTAATCAGTTTGCTATGTATATGTATAAACAAAAAACATCTTGTTGTATAACCTTAAATATAAACAATTAAAAAAGTATGTGTGTGTGTGTTTGTATGTATACACATACATATTTCTATTGTGGATAATATCCAAGCCATGATAAACTTCAAAATTACCTAGACAATTGCAATATTGATTGCATTAATTGACTTATGATTAATGTACTTGGGCATTACTTGTTTAACCATCTAATGCCAACATCAGCCAGTTGGTTAATTTATAACATACTCTTTCTAATGTTAGCAATACATTTTTTCTTCTATTTTATTTTTGTTTAAAAAGGTTCAAAAAGGTCTGGATGACCTTTTTGAGATAGTGTTAAAATCAGTCAACTAATTAATACTTGCTGAGTTAAGTTGATTGCTACAACCCATATATTTAATTTGGTTTTTGATCCTTGAGATTCATTGTTTTTGTCTTTTTCAAAATTCTAAATGTTAGCACAGGGAACACAAAATATATATTTTTAATAAACTAATATATAATATACATATATATTACTTCACTCTCTGTACTAATAAATGATAGTTTTACTTCTTAGTTTGATTTTGTAGAGTGCCTTCTATGAAAGTTTAAAAATTCTTTTGATTAGAATTGCATGTTCTTTTCCCTATGAGCTTTCAAAATAACTACCATATTGGGCCAATTCCAAATAGCAAAGATCTGCTTTTGATTAGTTTCTGATTTCTTCAACATGAACTAGACTTCCCTGCCTCATTTATGGCAGAAAATTCAATCATGGGCAGTTGTACATTATTAATAAGTGACCTGACCATGCACAAAGCGTCGCAGCATCATCACTTTGGCCACAGTCACTAATCCTTATGAGAGGCTTGCAGAGCACTTCCATTTTGGATCATTTGCTGAATCTTGTAACATTATAGTATTTGGCTTGAGTTTCAAGTTGAACCAGAATAAAGTAAATACGAAACCTCCTTTTCACTCACATCAAATGGGTTCTGTTGACAACGCATTTGCTTCTTTCATTTCATTTTAGATTCTGGAAAAGAGAGCTAGAGCTACTTATTTTGTATATTTTATAAGATGTTAGTTTACTTGTTTTAACTACAGATCTAAAATTTCACTTGAATACCTCGCAGAGGATCTCAAAATTTAATGTGCATCAGAATCATGTAAAGGGACCCAGATAGGATGAAGATGAAGATCTCTAAATACAGATCCTCAGATTTCTCCCTTAGATTCTAATTTAGTACATCAGTAAGACTAGGAATTTACCTTTTTGTCCAGGTGATTCTGTTTTATGCTTTCCAAGGATCATGTTTTTGAGAGACACTAGAGAAGAGAATGGTGCTAACAAGTCAAAGTCATAGGTTTGATTATTTTGTGAGTATGTTAGTTCACACATGCACACACACACACTGATTTTTATAGGCCCCAATTTGTTTCCTTTAAATTTCTAGGAACTGCCATGAAAATAGAGATCATGGTAACCAAGGAAAATGTGTCAAGGTAGTGTGTGGGTAAAAGCGACTTCAACTAGGGAAAGCAATCATTTATTCACTTACCACTTAAATAAATATTTACTGAGTACATGTTACATGCCAGGCAACAAGCTAGGAGCTGGAAAAGATAATTCAGAATTTGTTTATGATTATCCTTGGGTCAGTGGTCGTCATTCATATAAGAAAGTATCATATTTGTGTATTTATTCACACAGTTCAAATGTTATGCTTGATGTAGAAACAAAATGGCTACTTGGTATGGAAGTTCAAGAGTTTGCTCTGTGAAGGTTTATTCTTTTTTGGAACATTATATAACTTATACCATGCTTTGTATGCTCAATAATATGAAAACAATTAACAAGCAGATTGTCTTCTCATAATTCAAAATATAAGGCTAGGATTATTTAAAGAGTAACCACTCATACTTGTTTTGGGTTTAGCATGGGATAAGAATTTCAATATGACATGAATAGAGGTGGTTAATTACAAAATTATGTAAATAGAGGTTCTTTAAATGGTGTATTTCCCTTATGCAAATTTTGAAAGATTGTCAAATTTCTAAAGCTTATTTTCTGACTATTCTTTTTAAATTTATGATTCTGAGAAATATAACTTCAGTAAAACAAGTGTTTCTTAAAGGTACATAGGTGCTATTTGCTTTAAGAAGGTCAAATATAAAAAGATCCAGATATTCAAAACTGATAAACTAGAAGGTTATCATTTGCTTTAATGAAATAATTTCTCCATATATGTCATAGTATTTCTTTAGATAGTTAGCTTTCTTTCTGCATTAAAACAGGATTTGATTTAAATGCAACTTTTCTGGAACACTTTTATTATATAAATCGTAGCAGACTTTTGTTATATTATTGTGGAAATTTCTTTTTATTCCTTCAAAGGCTGCAGATGCATAGGGAAGGGTTTAACAACAAATAGACGTGCACAGTAGCATGTTTAGGTCATTTGCTAATGATGCCTACAGCGACAGTTTTATTTCCCACAGCATATTTTAGGTGACTATATGCTATTTTAAAGTTTTTTTCTTTATTCTCATGTTGAATTTGTGCGGAGGGTTAATTGAAGTGAAAAAGTAAGACAGGAGAGTTGGTTATAAGAAGGTGAGAACTGTAGTACAGGTGATAATGGAAAAAGAAGAGGAGTAGGAGAGAGTGAGCAACATAATGGGATAGAGTCTCTAGGGATAAGAAGAGAAAGTCTGCCTTAAGAAGGTCAAAGGCAGTATGGCCATTTTCACGATATTGATTCTTCCTACCCATGAGCATGGAATGTTCTTCCATTTGTTTGTATCCTCTTTTATTTCCTCGAGCAGTGGTTTGTAGTTCTCCTTGAAGAGGTCCTTCACATCCCTTGTAAGTTGGATTCCTAGGTATTTTATTCCCTTTGAAGCAATTGTGAATGGGAGTTCACTCATGATTTGGCTCTCTGTTTGTCTGTTGTTGGTGTATAAGAATGCTTGTGATTTTTGTACATTGATTTTGTATCCTGAGACTTTGCTGAAGTTGCTTATCAGCTTAAGGAGATTTTGGGCTGAGACAATGGGGTTTTCTAGATATACAATCATGTCGTCTGCAAACAGGGATGAAATTGGAAATCATCATTCTCAGTAAACTATCGCAAGAACAAAAAACCAAACACCGCATATTCTCACTCATAGGTGGGAATTGAACAATGAGATCACATGGACACAGGAAGGGGAATATCACACTCTGGGGACTGTGGTGGGGTGGGGGGAGGGGGGACTGATAGCATTGGGAGATATACCTAATGCTAGATGACGAGTTAGTGGGTGCAGCGCACCAGCATGGCACATGTATACATATGTAACTAACCTGCACAATGTGCACATGTACCCTAAAACTTAAAGTATAATAAAAAAAAAAGAAGGTCAAAGGCAGACATTACTTATAGGGATTCTTCAAAATGGACACAAGAAGGAAGCCAGAACTAATTATCTTTATTTGGAAGGCAATTCACCATTCACCTGGCAAATCATTCAGAAATACATGCTTTTATGCAGCTTTTTAGACATGAGCATTAGCTACTTAGAAGAAACCACTAACCTGTTTCCTGGTGAATATGCAAACAACACCTCTCCTCCTGATTATTGTAGACAGCTCTAGAGTCCCTGGTTGGAGACTTTTCACACATTAGGGGTAATCTCTTAACCCATTGGCATTTGAATATGATGGCAAGAAGGATTTATTCCTTGAAAATACTTCAAAGATTTGCTGCTAGATTACTATTCAGCAATAGTAGCAAAGCAATCTGGATATAAAGCTTGGGGTAAAACTACCAAGTAGGATTTGGGATCAGTCTTTGGTGAATATGTTCAAACGCATGGCTTTAGCAAATGCTTTTAATTCCACTTTGCAAAGTTTAATTGTAGTGCCTTGTTGCAGGTGTCATTTAGATTACATAGCTTGTTAGAAAAACTTTCCTCTGGTGTGGAAAATGGCAGCTATTTACACACAGAGGAAGCAATTTCACATTCAGGCTGGAAAACACACTTTTTGTGGTCCTGGCTCTTAGTTTATTTATCCTTCTACTGTTAATGCTGAGATTTTGCAGGGGAGGGTGAGTTTAGAAAAAAACAGTGGAACATAGCAATATGGTGGAGAGTTGGTGAAATAAATAGTAGCGGGGATTTTGACTGAATAAAGATAATATAACAGATGTAATCTCTAAGCCAGCAACTCCATAATAATCATAAAAAGGGCTCCCAGAGAGCTTTTATCTATTGAGAGCTCACTGTGCAACATACATTGCGTTTAGAGATTTTCATTCATTTTCTCATTTAGTCCTCACAACCAACATATGAGGGTGGTGTTGGGGCTCAGAAAACAATACTTCAAAATGAAGGACTCATAAGCAAGTTTGTCTTTGACCTTTTCCTGCCCTCCTGTCTCTCAGTCCCATTCTCCCCACCCTCCCCGGAGGCTAGCCATAGAAACTGGAATCCCTCTTCCCCAAAGCAGGTCATAGAAACCAGAACCCCTTTCCTGCAAAGCCAGCCATAAAACCTAAAAATATTACTCTAACTTTCTCTCCACTTCTCTGTGTGAAAACTGGCCACAAAGAAGTTATTTGACCTACCTTGTTTAACTATAGGTCATAAGGTCCCCATTCCAGAGAGGGTCCTGGAAGGAATGTGTGCTCAGAGAAGCCCAGAAGAATCTAGACAGACAGGCCTTGCTGGTTTTCCCCACTCAGCTCATTAGCATTAGATCATAGTCTTTTTATCAAATCATATGCCTACATGGCTGTCCATTCTTTGCTGAACCTAAGCATAAAAATGGGCAATTTTCCCTGTATCTTTGGGTCTTCATTCTGAAGGCTCCTGTGTATACAGTGTATACATGTTAGATAAATGTATATGCTTTTCTCCAATTATTCTGCTTTTGTGAGTTGATTTTTCAGCAAATCTTCAGAGGGCCAAGGGGAATTTTCTGCCTGGGCCCCTATGGTGGTTACTATTATTGTCCCAATTTATAGAGAAATAAACTAAAACTTAGGTGAAATGATGTACCCAAAGTCACATACTCAGGAAATGGCAGAACACAGATATAAACCTAGGTCTTTCCAATTCTCAGATGTAGCTTTTTAATCACCACCAGGCAAAAAACTGCATGATTTCACTCACCAAATGTGTATTGCATACCTAGAGAACATAAACCAAAATATTGGACACGATGTCTATCATTCCACTATAATATCCTTTTTGGACATTCACAATTTGGTCTTCAATAATTCCCTATTAGAATTTAGATATCCATAAAAAAAGCACACTTGGCATTTTGAACTTAGTCCTTAGCTCTTAGCACTTTAGTTAAGATCGTTAGGAGTAGGGCCAATAATTGAATCTGCATGTGGTATGGTGCCAGGAAAAAAGCAAGGAAAAGTGAGGCTCCAGAAAAATTAAGAATGCATGAAACATGGTAAATTGTTACTGAATTTTGTGTTTTGATGCCATATGGCCCTACTAGTATGATAATTTATATTGAGAATATTCCAATGATGTTCATTGCAGTTATGACTATGATTTCAAGCTAGTGGAAGTGAAGCAATGGATGAATGTCTAGTTAAACAATGTTGGCTCAGTTGGTAAAGATCAATCAACACATAAATCAGTGCCTACTGTGTACAGTAAGAAGTTCAGGATCCAAGTTTGTAATGTTGTTCTGAAAGCAGACAGGTAGGGACAGAAGTGTGTTCTCCTTTGGAACCTGTGAAAAGAGAGTTATTCACTAGAATAGTGCTTCTCAAATTGTATTTTGTGGAACCCTGATTCTAAGAAATGTTAAGAGAGAGATTTCCAAGAGAGAAAGAAGAGGAAAGGAGAGGAGAGGAAGAAAGGAGAGGAAGAGAGAAGAGTGGGGAAGGGAGAAGAGAGTTTCTGTAGTTATTTGTGTATCTGCCAGGTCAAAGTTAAACAGTCATCTTTTTTGCAGGGTATCTCAGGGCACCTTAGTGCCCATAATATCTAATGTGTACTCTAATTTTCTAAAAGGGGGTTGGAGCCCAGGTGTGGTGGCTCATGCCAGTAATCCTAGAACTTTGAGAGGCTGAGGTGGGTGGATTGCTTGAGGTCAGGAGTTCAAGACTAGCCTGACCAACATGATGAAACCCCATCTCTACTAAAAATACAAAAATTAGCTGGCTGTGGTGGTGTGCACCTGTAGTCCCAGCTACTTGGGAGGCAGAGGCAAGAGAAAAACTTGAACTCGGGAGGTGGAGGTTACAGGGAACTGAGATCAGGCCACTGCACTCTAGCCTGGGTTACAGAGTGAGACTCCATCTCAAAAAAAAAAAGCGGTGGGGGAATGGGATATATTTTTAGGACATTTCCTAAACTTGTATGAACACATAATATTCCCAGCCCCCAAAGCATCTGAGGATGTTAAGTTTCCACAGAACAAACTTTAGGAAAGCTAAGTGAATAATTGAGTGAGTATCTGGCTCTATTGGCCTCCTGCTAATGCCTATAACATCAACAGTTGAAATAAAATACTTATTTGGCATTTAGGTTATGATTAGTATCACTTATTTTTTCCATTGTTTATTTTTTCAACCATCCTGTAAGCTCCTTAAGGGAATGGATTTGTTGACTAATTAATATCTACATCTATAAGTGCTGAGTATATGATAGGTATTCAAAAATTATTTGTAGCTTGCTTTGGCTGAGTGCTTATTTGATTGGTAAGTGTTTTGATTGGGTACAAATAAGACAACTTTGTGTTTGTAGAGCATCTTATAATTTCAAAGCACTTTCACTTCTGGGATCTCATTCTGTTACAAGAACTTTATGGAATTGTCAGCAAATGTAGTATTATTATTATTAATCTTGGCTGAGAGAGTTTAAAACAATGACCCTAGGATATAAGCTGGTGAATTGCACAGCTAGGACTAGAATCCCCATCTTATAAGTCCTAGTTACACTTTTCCTACTCTGCCCCACTGTTACTCTGTTTGCTGTCCCTTAATCCTGGGTACTAGGCCAGAAGAAGAGATGCAACTCAAGGAGGATTCCAAAGTTGGTGACTCCAGAGCTCAGGCCTAAGAATCTCTGAAATAACCTTTTATTTAAAATGTTGGTATACCAATCCATTGTTTTGTCTTTTGGAATAACTATTTCTGATTCTAAAAGGAAAACGATTTACTACTGATGTCTGAAACCAAATCAGCAGAGGTAGCCGCTAACAATACTCAAATGCGGCCAGGCACGGTGGCTCACGCCTGTAATCCCACCACTTTGGGAGACCGGGATGGGCGGATCACCTGAGGTTGGGAGTTTGAGACCAGCCTGACCAACATGGAGAAACCCCATCTCTACTAAGAAAAATATAAAATTAGCCAGGCGTGGTGGCGAATGCCTGTGGTCCCAGCTACTTGGGAGGCTGAGGCAGGAGAATTGCTTGAACCTGGGAGTTGGAGGTTGTGGTGAGCCGAGATTGTGCCATTGCACTCCAGCCTGGGCAACAAGAGAGTAACTCCAACTCAAACAAAACAAAACAAAAATAATACTCAAATGCTTCCAGCAGCCAGGCAGGTCATGTCCACAGTGTGAGGTGGACCAGGTGTGTGAAGCAACAACTGAAGGAAAAATTGGAGAGTACTAGCTGTACTGACTCAACCCTAGCTGATTGCTGCCATGTGAGATTGAGAATCCAATATTACTAGGCCCTCTGATTTATAAGAGACACCTGAAGTCTGGATTTTTGTGTGGAAATCCGTAAATTGTAAAGCACTCTGTAGACCAAATAAAACAGCCTGTATGCTAAATTCAACATGGGGACTGCATGTTTGTGGCTTTTGCCTTTGAAGATTTGGTTCAGTAGGACTTTTATTAAACAAGCGACTGACTGTGTGACTGACTCAGACTCTGTTCCACTATTTCCATCTCTAGCAGTGAGTGGAAAAAAATTTAAAGAAAGAAAACCTGAAGTGGCCTGGAGAGCAGTTAAAAGACAAACTGGGAACAGCATTCAGAAGCCATCCTAATCACACCATCCAGTAGACTAGTCGATCCAACAAGAGTGAAAGGGGCACAATTTATGGATGTAATACTATGGGACGGGTATTGACAAATGGATCACCTTAGAAAAGTGAGTGATTTAGATGATGAAGCAAGTTGGTGTCCAGTATTACAGATAAAGGAAGAGCCCTGGGGATGAAGCACCCGCCTTAAAGCTGCCCTGAAGCGGTGTGATGTGAAGCACTGAAGGGAACAAATCATTGGCATATGTTCTCTCTCCTCCATGTTCACTATGAGCAGGCAGTTAACATGATCTGAATGTACGTGTCCTGATTATCACATGAACATGTACCTCATTTGTACCTTTTGTGTGACCTAATAAGGAACAACCACAGCAGTCAATAGTTCTTGGATGCATTAAGGGAACATTCACATGACTGACTGTGCATTTCATAATTGACTGTTCTTTTGCACAGTGCAGAAATCTCATGACCAGCTTGCAGCAGTTTCTTTGTCTTTCCTCCTAGGCTTTATTCTCCTTTTCTGGATGACCCTGGCCTTTCCTAGCCTACCCAGCCCACCCTGGATGACATCTTTGTCTCTTATCTGCCTCTTTTAAATGTTTCAATGACCTGTTTTCTCTGCAGCTCATCTCCTCAGATCCTTGCTTTCTCCTGGGGTTAATCTAATGTCTCAATGAGCTAAAAAATTCATGACTGATAAAGACCAAAAATGCTTCTCTTCTCAGCTAACATATTTGCAATTTAATAGATATTTCAATTCTGTAACTCATAGGCATAACTAATGGTGGGAATTTCTGGGGACTTTGCAGGGCCTGTGGGGGGCATTTCCCAGAGTGTCACAATCTACCCTGCAGGTGGCTGCTTGTTCCTTCTAGAAACAAGGTCAACAATATTCATGACCTTGGGGAACTAGAAGAAAAAAAATCCTACTGAGGATCACTGAAAAAAAAAGGGCCTTGGATGTCAGTCCATAGAGTGACTTTTTTCCTTCTTCTGCATTTTTATTTTGTCTCTCCTTTCTTTCCCTTATTTCCTTCATTCTGCCTCAACCTATGACACAGGGCTATCTATTAACCCTATTGATGACAACCATGGAGAGATTGCCAGTCTTTGTCCCAGGAAAGTTTTTGTATCATGTTTCTATGCCCTACAGGGAGATGAACAAATACTATTAACTTTCCCATAAGAAGAAAGACAGTCTTATTTTTCTGTAGAGTCAGGGGCTGTGAGAGCATTCATTCCTGTGGGCTTATTTTGCAAGCAACTGTGCAGGAGACCAGTTTGGATAGCTGGGGTTGAACAAGTTAGAGCACATGACAGCAGTATATGGCAAACGTGTGCAATCCAGGCCAGTTCTACTCCAATGGCTCTCGTCCATCACCTAAGGTGACCATTGACTCCTTGGCTGCCTTCTCTGACACCAAGTTAGTGCTGGGGGAAGGGATTCTTAGGAAGGGGTTACACTGTGACTCCTAGCTATGTAGTTTCCTGAGATCCATGGGAGCAGATTTTCCTAGGTCCATTATGTATATTCTTGGGAGTCTCAGTTACCTTGTTCTCTCCCAGCCTGAAAGCAGTGGTTTGAGCAAGCTGAGAATATTCTATCAAGGCACCCTTCCATAGGAATGAAAACTAGGAGCTTGGTACAGAGGGAGACCAGCCATGAACTAGATCCAATAGAGTAGAGCAGATGCTCAGAGAACTATCATTTATTAGGTCAAGGATTATACTTTATAATCAGTCAAAGCTTCTCACAACCTCAAAAGGCTGGTGATTATTTCCTATATTTTATAAGGGAAGAAATGAACAGTCAGAGAAGCTAAGTTACTTGTTATGATCACACACCATAGTAAGTGATGGAGCTAGGATTTGAATCCACGTTTATTTCAAAACATTACTCTTAAAGCACCCTGTTACAAATTACCTGAATGGGTCCTGCTCAATACATGTCACTAGTTCTATTCCTTCCTGCTTGCCTGCCTGCTTCATGCTTTTTCCACTCCTCTTTGCTACTACATGTTTTACATTTCCGTAATTTCCTCGTGAAGCCATCACAGACTAACCTCATCTTATAATCGCCTATTTTTTCTCCTGAATTCCCTCAATAATTTTGCAAAAGTTTTCACCACATTGCCTGATACTAATTTATAGTAATAATTTATGAGAGATCTTCTTTGTGTAGATCTTGTAGCACCAATTACATTAGGGCTCTTCAAGATCTGCTGCTCCCTATACAAAGCTTTGCCTTACTATTTAGATACAACATAAAATTATGGAACTAGGAGCTAGGCTCTGTGTTTCATAAATATCATCTCATTTGATCAGCTCAGAATCCTGTAAGGTATGTCATTTTAGCCCTGCTTTATAGATGTGGAAATTGAAATTTGGGGAATTTAAGTAATTTTTTTCTCAATGTTCTACAGCAACTAAATGATAATGGTGGAATAAAGCCTCAGGTGGTTGTTTTTCCAAAGCCTGAGCCCCTCCCACTAGTAAATGCTTATAAAATTATCTGCTGCACACATTACTATGATATGGTTTGACTGGAACAATTTTTTTATTATTTTTTGTTTGTTTGTTTTGTTTTGTTTGAGATGGAGTGTCGCTCTGTCACCAGGCTGGAGTGCAGTGGTGCGATCTCGGCTCACTGCAACCTCCGCCTCCTGGGTTCAAAAAACTCTCCTGCCTCAGCCTCCCGAGTAGCTGGGACTACAGGCGTGCACCACCATGCCCAGCTAATTTTTGTATTTTTAGTAAAGATGGGGTTTCACCATGTTGACCAGGATGGTCTCGATCTCTTGACCTCCTGATCCTCCCGCCTTGGCCTCCCAAAGTGCTGGGATTACAGGCGTGAGCCACCACGCCTGGCCCATCTTAGTTATTTCTTGTCTTTTGCCATGCTCATGGATAGGAAGAATCAATATCATGAAAATGGCCATACTGCCCGAAGTAATTTATAGATTCAAGGCTATTCCCATCAAGCTACCACTGACTTTCTTCAAGGAATTGGAAAAAAACTAATTTAAACTTCATGTGGAACCAAAAAAGAGCCTGCATAGCCAAGACAATCCTGGGTGAGAAGAACAAAGCTGGAGGCATCATGCTACCTGACTTCAAACTCTACTACAAGGCTACAGTAACAAAAACAGCATGGTACTGGTGCCAAAACAGATATATAGACCAATGGAACAGAACGGTGGCCTCAGAAATAACACCACACATCTACAATCATCTGATCATTGACAAACCTGATGCAAACAAGCAATGGGGAAAAGATTCCCTATTTAATAAATGGTGTTGGGAAAACTGCCTAGCCACATGCAGAAAACTGAAACTGGACTCCTTCCTTACACCTTATACAAAAATCAACTCAAGATGGATCAAAGACTTAAATGTAAGACCTAGGACCATAAAAGTCCTAGAAGCAAACATGGGCAATACCATTCAGGACATAGACATGGGCAAAGACTTCATGTCTAAAACACCAAAAGCAATTGCAACAAAAGCCAAAATAGACAAATGGAATCTAATTAAACTAAAGAGCTTCTGCACAGCAAAAGAAGCTATCATCAGAGTGAACAGGCAACCTACGGAATGGGAGAAAATTTTTGCAATCTATCCATCTGACAAAGGGCTAATATCCAGAATCTACAAATAACTTAAACAAATTTACAAGAAAAAAAAAACGCATCAAAAAGTTGGCAAAGGATATGAACAGACACTTCTCAAAAGAAGACACTTATGCAGCCAACAGACATATGAAGAAATGTTCATCGTCACTGGTCATTAGAGAAATGCAAATCAAAACCACAATGAGATACCATCTCACACCAGTTAGAATGGTGATCATTAAAAAGTCAGGAAACAACAGATGCTGGAGAGGATGCAGAGAAATAGGAATGCTTTTACACTCTTGGTGGGAGTGTAAATTAGTTCAACCATTGTGGAAGACAGTGTGGTGATTCTGCAAGGATCTAGAACTAGAAATACCATTTGACCCAGCCATCCCATTACTGGGTATATACCCAAAGGATTATAAATCATTCTACTATAAAGGCACATGCGCCCATGTTTATTGCAGCACTCTTCACAATAGCAAATACTTGGAACTAACCCAAATGTCCAGCAATGATAGACTGGATAAAGAAAATGTGGCACATGTACACCATGGAATACTGTGCAGCCATAAAAAAGGATGAGTTCATGTCCTTTGCAGGGACATGGATGAAGCTGGAAACCATCATTCTCAGCAAATTATCACAAGAATAGAAAACCAAACACCGCATGTTCTCACTCATAAGTGGGAGTTGAACAATGAGAACACATGGACATAGGGAGGGGAACATCACACACCGGGGACTTTTGGGGAGTAGGGGTCTAGGGGAGGGATAGCATTAGGAGAAATACCTAATGTAGGTAACGGGTTGATGGGTGTGGCAAACCACCATGCCAGGTGTATACCTATGTAACAAAACTGCCCGTTCTGCACATGTACCCCAGAACTTAAAGTATAATCATAAAAAAATACTTAGTATGATGATTGAGAAATAGTAGGTACTTAATACATCATATTAATTGCAGTCATGCATGCATAATGATATTTTTGTCAATGATGGACTGTATATAAAACGGTGGTCCCATAAGATTATAATACTGTATTTTTACTGTACCTTTTCTATGTTTAGTTATATTTAGATACACAAATCCTTACCATTGTGTTACAATTGTCTGTAGTATTCAGTACACTAACATGCTGTACAGGTTTGTAGCCTAGGAGCAATAGGCTATATCATATAGCCTAAGTGTGTAGGAGGCTATACCATCTAGGTTTGGTAAGGACAATCTATGATACTTATACCATGATGAAATCACCTAATGACACATTTCTCAAAATGTATTCCCATTGTTAAGCAATTCATGACTATATTATAATTAGTATTATTATCATCATCATTATTATTACAGGAAAGTTTTCAAAGGTGAGTTCATGGCCATTTCATGACAAGAAAGCAGTCTGACAAATGGTCTAAGACAAATTGCTGTTGTTAATAGGGTGCTTCATTTACAGAGCTTGAATGGAAAAAAAATAGAAAGTTAACTAGGGGGCTATTAAAAAGCAAAGAGCCATATAAATAGGTATTAATATTTCAGGCAGAAATATTTTATTCAAGGAGATGCAATCATGTGGAATAATTTGTCAATTAAGGTGGTCAGGGCAAGTATTGTTGTCTGTATAAATGAGTTTTTGCAGCCAGCAAGAATTTTAAGGGATGTATGAGCCAAGAGCAAAAGCTGCTAAGACAAAGCTGAGGTGGAAATGAGTCCGGAGGACAAGCATGTTGAGGAAACTGGACTTTTCCTGTCTAGCATTTCCTTATGTCATTATGATTAATCCCTGGTGGTTTATAAAGGCAGTTAAATGGCCTCCTTTGGCATCAAATAGGAAAATAATTCATCAGTTCAAGTCTGTAAATCATTTCTTGGTACTGGAAGTACTTTATATAGTTAGAAATGTCTCCATGATTTGTCACTGGGCTCCAGTGGGGATCCTGAAGAGCAACTGGCAACCACCAGATGCAGAGGCCTATGTGATGAGTCTCATGGGCATGGGTCTGCAGGGAAAGAAGATTGGTTCCTTTCTGGGGTACATTGCCTTGATCCTCTCTGACTGGCCTGGAGGAATAACCACTTCTGTGTCTGTCATATAGTAGTCACTTAGTATGTTTGTTGAATGAATGAATTTACATATTTTGTGTGTTTTGAGTCCTTTGCATTGGAGCTCATCTTACAGTGTCTGATAACTCTCTCTAGCTATATTCTGGGAAAATGAGATAGAAGGGCAGTAATAATGATGTTTTGAAGCTACTGGGTCAGTACCCTAGTTATTTGCTTAATGTTGATGGTCAAGACATCATAGTCTCACCATAAACTGTAGCATAATAGTTGAATGAAAAATAATTGTGCTGTAATTTTTTATGATAAAAGGCATTTTAAATCACAGTTTAATTACCCAATCCCCCTTGCTCTTAAAATCAACATTTTTTGATTTTGTTATCCTTACATTTTGTGCTAGTAAAATTATCTTCATGATGCTATTTAATTTACCTCCTGGCGAGCATATGAGGTGAAAGGTAAAAAGGACATTTTGGGACAAGTGAAAAAATATCTAATGAAGTGGAAACCGTTATTCACCCTCACTCCACATGTAATACATTTGATATTCTTTTAACATTCATCAAATACTCATTGTTCTGGGTAAATAGATAAACTAAAAAAGGTATGATGTCTGTCCTGAGTGAGCTTGAAGTATAATGAGAGGGGGGAGAATAGACAGAGATTAAGTGAATAAACATATGGATACATGTATAATTATATATTGCAATATATCATTATAAGGAAAATAACAAAGACTAATTGAGATTGGGGATGGCCTACTTGAACAAAATAAAGTTGAGGCTGGACCCTGATGGTTAAGAAAAAGCCATCTAGATGAAGAGCGGGTGAAAAATATTTTAGAGGGAACAGCATGTGTCAGCTATAAAAGAAAGATGATGGTGGCTTGGGTCAGAAGGGTAGTAATAGAGGTAGTAAAAAGTAGACAGATTTAAGAGATATTATAGAGATAGAATGACTATACTTCCTCATGATGATTCCTGGGTTTTTGGTTTTACTAATAGGGTAGACAGTAGTGCTATTTCCTGAAATGAGGAAGACTGAGGGAGGTCAGATTTTGTGAGGGGTTACAAAAGTTCTGTTTTGGCCATGTTTTAGAAATACTTATTATATACTCTAGAGGGGATGTAGAGTAGACAGTTAAATATATGAATCTGGCATTCAGGGAAAAGTTTGAACTAGATATATAAAATTTGGAGCTGTCTGTATGGTATATAGGATGAGCTGCAATAAAGTACTAAATTGTGTGGGGCAATTGATGATTACTATAGGAGATCAATGCAAACTGCAGCTCCTAGGCCCTATGTTACATATTTTCTCCAGAATTGTGAACAGTATAAGAAAGCTACTTGTCATGATTTTTTGAAACCTCATCAAATTGTTAAATATTAAGCATGATAATTGTACCTATATTTTTTCTGCTATATGGGGATGATATCTTGTATTTAGCTGACATTTGAATCCTTCAGAGCTAGAAGAATATAACTAATGCCACACTAAATACAGTCACTATTTATGATATGTGCTGGGTGCCATATTAATCATTTTACACACATTATTGCTAATCTTTACCACAGTACTGAATAGTACAGGCCCCAATTTATAGATAAAGGAACTCAAACTTGAGAAGTTACACAACTTGCCCAAGGCAACAAAGCAAGTTTTGGGGGGTCTTTTCCCCATTCCATTTCCACACATTAGGAAAAGTGACTCTACATTTCCTTTTGGATTCTTCCAATTTCCAAAGTCTCTTACAACCCAAGGAACAGAAAGAAATATTGAGATATGCACATTTGCTGCTAGATTTCCTTGCTATTGAATAAAAGCCTGTCTGTAAGTGTCTGGTGCACATGCACAGCCTGCTGTTGGGATACCCATCACTTGTTAACTGCCTGCCTGGACTAGCAACTGTCTTCAAACCCTCTGTATACCATACTGAATTCTTAGTTGGAGGTCTGCCACCAACAGGAGGGCAACTCCCTGTGTGTGGTACAATGAAGGGAGAATAAAGCCTGGTACATAGTTGGCTCTCAATAAATGATAGCTAATATTATTATAATTTTCTTTATCTTATGCAATGACGACTTCTCAAAGTCCCTATGAAATATGTATTATTATCTTACTGGTGAGGAAATCAAGACTCAGCAAGGTTAAGTAACTTGCCCGGGTCACACAGCTAATGAGGAACTGAGTTGGGATTTGAAGGCCACTCTCTGATTCTGAAACTTAAGATTCATGCATTTCTCAAGTTTAATGACTGAGTGAAGCCAGGGGTGTCATTGGAGAATATCAAGAGATAACGTTAGATAGAGAAAGTAGGTCTAATTACTGGAGGGCCTTGAATGTCAGGAAGAATAATTCATATACTTAGCCTATTTGGGTATATGTGCCACAAAAGAGCTATGATTTTTCCTCACTGATAAAGAAGTTCGAGTTTTTGGACATCAGGTACCTGTTTCCAAGCTGAATGCCCTAACAGCTGTGAGTAACACCTGCTCCTTGCACCTGTGCAAACTCAGAGACTTACCTTCTCTGGTGCTGATTCGCATAACATTCTTTCTCCTATTTTCTCATTTTAACTCAACTCAATGAAGATCTTCTGAGTATCTTTTCTCTGCCAAGGCACTATGCTAGTTGCTGCTTCACTGGTTGTTGGGAGCATGCAGTTAAATGTAATCACACCAACTGGCCTGTATAGGTTTGTGAGGTGGAAAAGTCTAGGAAGAAAGATACTTGAGAAATAGCCAATGTCTTTTTTTGGAGCCCCTGCAAGAGAAAGCATAAGTTTATCCTGTCCTATTAACCAAATAATCTCTAATGATTGGAGATGTCTTTTTAAATTAATTAATTAATTTCTACTTGCTGGGAATTCTAGCTACACAGACTTTTGATTTAGCCAGTAATATTTTCAAACTATAAGTAGCTTAAAATGTGGATTAGAACTAGAAGGGACTTTGAATAGCATACAGTCTGATTCCCCTCATTCTGTAGATGAGGTAGCAGAAGCCTGGAGAGATTAATTTATGTGCCCCCAAAGACACAGCTTGGCAGTAACTAAGTTGATACTTTCTCCAATACAATGGTGCTTTCTGCCACTTTCTAATACTCCACAGTGTCTTTCTGACTTAGTCCTGAGCCTTGCCTAGGAGGCTTTTTTATGCCAAATTTAATCAATGTTCCATTTTAATTGAAATATTTAAGTCAGATTAATGTAAAGCCTTCAGAGAGTTCTGCTAATCTGGTTTATAAAAGTCACTCAGGCAAAACTGTGAAAGTATATAGGATTTCTGACATTTTCCAGAAGCCATTAGCTTATGTTCTTCAATAACTCTTAGAATATATGTCAAAGGAGGACAATTTTCCAACTAACCTTGGCACACTCCATATGTATTCCTTTTTGGTTGGTTCATAAATCAGTTTTCTAATTCAAAGATGTTTTAATCCTCAAAACATGCACTCTTCCTTAATGATTGTATGCATTACAATATTACCCCACAAACTAGTTTATGAATATTAAAGTTTATTAGTAGGGAGATACCAGGAAGCAGAACTGAGAAAATAACTCCAGCAGTCTCCCTTGCTTGAAAGGAAATACGATGGAATGAAAAGGGCACAGGCTTTAAAGTCAGAAAGACATGGTTTCAAATTCTTTTCTTACCATTTACCCCCTGGATGACCTTGGGGAGATTATTGAACCCCTTTGAGCCTCTACTTCCTCATCTGTTTGTATATCTTTGCTTACAGAGCTGTTGGGAGAATTTGAGATGACAGAGTAGATGATAGCTATTTCCACTTTGCTATTGTCATTATGACTGTTATTTACTGTTCCTACTACTAGTACTATTAGAACTACTGCTACTACTACCACCATTAATCTGCTTTGCAGCCTCAAAAAAAAAAAAACGAAGATGCTTTATACTACTACTATCACCATTAATCTACTTTGTATCCTGCAAAAAAAATGAGAATCAGCTGAAGAGCAGAAAAAACTTAAGACAGAGTAAGACAACGATAGAACAAAACAGCCTTTTTTTTTTTTAAAAAAACAACTTCTATTAACACATTGCCAGCCAGAAAGTTCAAACAACCTACTGAATAAAGATAGTACCTTAGTCAAGTTATGGAAAATATATTTTTACAAATGAAATTGTTAAGATAATAACCCTTTCATTAAACCACTCTGTATATTCCATCAGGACAGGAATCATATCTATTTTGCCCTTTTGTATTCCTATCACTTTAGTAAGGTCTTGACATAGAGTTGGAGATGAAAGAATATTTGTTGAATGAACAAATAAAATCCCTAAAGGTAAAAATAAGTATTATTCAGCTGCTATTGTTTCTTCATTAGTGTATTCATTAACCTATTGAAAAATATCTGTGCTCCTATTATATGATAAGCGTTGTGCTAAGCCCTGGGAATGAAGTGGTAAAGAAAATCACGCACAGTTCTTGTCTTTAAGAGCTTAAAATCTAGTGGAGAAAACAGCCCTTAAACCATCACACAAATAAGTATGAAGTTTTAATTGTGAAATTGCTATGGCGGAAAGAAATGCATGGACTAAAATAACATGTGTTAGGGGAATTTGACCTAATCAGTGAGATCAGGAAAGGCTTCTTGGAGGAAGTAAATCTTAAGCAGAGATATAAAGAGTAAGTGAGCATTAACTAGGAAAGACAGGGAAGGAGAGGCTTTTGGGACAAAAGGGTCAGCATGTGCAAGCGTGCCCTGTAGAGGGATCATGGTGAATACCAGGAGCTAAAATAAGGCCAACTACAGCTGGCTGGAGTGAAGTGAGGAAGCAAGAAACTAGAATAAGCTTAGGCTAGAGGGGTAGGTAAGGGACAGACAGTGCAGAGCCTTTGCCACATTCAAGATTTTCTCTTCATCTTAACAGTAAGAGGAAGACATAAAAGTGATTTTAAGGAAGGGTGTGGGTGTGACATCATCAAATAGTTTCAGTGTGGAGAATGAATTGAAGAGAAGCCTGAATAGTTATGCTTGCACTAGTCCAGGCTAGAGGTGATAGTAACTTGGACTAGGGTGGAAGTTGTGACTATAGAGAAAAGTAGATGCATTTTAGGGCTAGTTAGAAGGTAAAATCAACAAGACTTGGTGATGGCTTAGATGTGGAGTATCAGATAAATAGATGAGTGTCTCTTAAGTGATGATTAGGTTTCTTGCTTGTCTAATTGGAAGGATTGTGGTACCTTTTAGTGACAGGTCCGGGTATGACAAGGTTCATTCAATCACAAATCTTTATATGTGCTACTATGTATCAGGCACCATGTTAGGTGTTAGAAATTCAGGAATTTCTAAATTATGGTTCTTATCTACAAGAAGCCCACAGTCTAGTAGGGAAGGGAGTACAGAAAATCAACAAGTAGTTACAGTGCAACAATGAGCTAGCTTGATAGAGGAATGCCAAGAGTGCTATGGAAGCCCAGAGGAGGAGAATCACCTAGCAAATGGGCAGAGTTGCAGAACTGTGGGGAAAGCCAAAAAAGTGGAGTTGGGTTATTTTGGACTTGGTATGCAATAATTTGTCAGACCTGTTCACTAGACATTAAATTTTGAAAGAGAAAGAGTCCTTTTTTTTCCTTCCTCATCTCCTGCTTAGTGTAATAAGCAACCTGGTTGTATATTCCATGGCTGAGAGTGGAGACAATTCCTGATGTCACTGGCTGATTTCAAAATCTTTGCAGAACTATTCATATGTTCCTCTTCCTTTACAAGATATAATAGGCTTCAGAAAAGTGGTGTGTAAATCATATTGGGGTAAATTAAATCCTACTTTAAATGAACTGAGTCATTTGCTATCTACTTTTGAAAAAAAAAAACAGCATTCTCTAATTTTTTCACATATATTTCCATTTAATTCTTCAAGTTTCTTTAAGGCAATAAGGGATCCAGTTTCAGCTTTCTGCATATGGCTAGCCAGTTTTCTTTAAGGCAGTGCCCATTTTTTTATTGTTTTATTTATATAACTTCTAAATATATTTTACACATACTTTATTTTAAATCAACTTTATTGAGGTATAATTTACATTCAATAAAAATGTACCCATTAATGAGTTTTGATGTATAATATGTACCCTAAAAATATGTGTAGCCCTAAAAAGTTGCAGTAAATCTCCTTCACCCCAGTCCCAGGCAACCACCTATCTGCTTTTTGACATTAAATTTGTCTTGGTGGGGCTCACATTTAATGGCCTCCAGTGAATATTGTCGTGAGCACATATTAGGGGAAAGCCACTTTCTTTTATTTCAATTAGAATTCTTATATCCCAACCTTAATGCTATAAAGAAAATACTGATCTTATCATGCTTGTTTTAGTATGCTTTTTGGGGTTGTTTTGGTGGTGGTTTCACAGAGAGAATTCTTGAAAAGATAATCTGTGGGGGCTACAAAATTATGGGCCTTGATTTACAGGCAGTCAGTCATTTCCTCACTAACTACGTTACCATTATGTATTGATACTCTCTTTTTTTTGTTAAAACTGTCAATTTTTTTAACTTTCGTAAGTCAGTGATAGTATATAGGAATGGGCTCAGGATTTGCCATGTAGACCAGAGTTCAGACTTTAAGGAACAACCAGGAGGCTGGAGTGGTTGGGGCAGAGAGAGTAGTGGAGAGAAAATTAGGAGATGAGGTCAGAAAGATGGTGATGGTGGGGGATCAGATCATGTAGGGCTATGCAGGCCATTGTAAAGAGTTTGGCTTTCACTCTTAGATGGAAAGCCATTGAAGGGTTTTGAACAGAGGCTTGGCATGGCCAGGTTTATTTTACAAGGAGAACTCTGGATATTGGATAGAACATAGACTGAAGGGGGCAAGGACTGGAGCAGGGAGAGCAATCAGGAGGCTATTGCTATAGTCCAGAGGGAAGATGATTATGGCTTAAACCAGGGTTTAGCAGTGAAAGGAATTAAAAGTTGTAGAGTTCCAGTTATATTTTGAAGATAGAACCAACAAGTTTTCTGATATATTGAACATGGGGTACTAGAATAAGTAATAAGTCACAGGCAAATCCAGATTTTTTGGCCTGTATAACTAGAAGTGTAGAGTTGTTGATTAATGAGATGGGGAAGATGGAATCAGGAGTTTGGTTTTGGACATTTGAGATGCCTCTTAGACATCTAAGTAGAAATGTTGGATGGGCAGTTGGATATGTGAGTTCAAGGGAGAAGTCTACCATGGAGAAATAAATATGGGAGCGAACAGCATGTAAGTTGTAAGCAAATCTATGATATCACTGAAGAATGTAGATAGAATAGGTTCAAGCTCTGAGCTGTGGGTACATGCCAGCATTAGAGGCTGGGGAGATAAGAGAGAAACAGTAAGGAAGATTGAGGAGGAGTATTCAATCAGGCAAAGGGGAAAACTAATAGGAAGTAAGTAAAGATAGTGCTCTCAAGAGGATGGGAGTGAAGGACTGTGTTGAAGCTGTTGATTGGTCATGTTATTTAGAAACGTGGTAGTTGCTAATTGACAGGATCTTGATCTGACAGGATCCAATCTGGGTTCCTTTCATTATACTGCATTCCTTGTTCAGGTTCTTGTCCTTAAGAGTATCTCTTCACTCCTTTACATAGAATTTACTAACAGCCTGTTGTGTGCCAGGCATTGTCCTAGACACTAAAACCCAAAGATAAATAAGATATGGTCTCTGCCTTTAGGGGATCCATGGTCTAGTAGAGAGATGAGATGCATTAACAATGATAATACAGCATGTATAGTGCTATAGTAGAGACACATACAAAATATTATGGGAACCCAGAACTCATCTTGGGTGTAGGTAGGAGGTGGTGGGAGAAGGCTTTTCAAAGGAGATGACTGGACAGGGATTTCAGTAATGAGTAAAGGTCCACTAAACAAAAGTGCAACTTATCCAGAAATACTCACAGAGCTGAAACATCTGAACATTATCTTGAAAGGTGGATTGTAATTTATCAAGTGGACAAGTTGAAGAAGGACTAGAGAGAAAGTCAAGGGCCAGATAATAATTCAGGGTCTTCTGTATTGGAGGAGTTGATGGTGACAAATTGGGAAGGGGGAAGAGAAAAGAAGGAGTGAAGCAAATAACTTCTTTATTTTCTGCTTGGATGATTGTGTTGGTAGTTATGCTAAAGTCTCCTAGGTTATCAAAGTTACAGTATTGAGTCTTTCAGAAGGAGTACAGGTCTCTTCCTCAAATTTGTTTTGAGTTGAGTGTCCTGACACTAGACAGGTGATTACTAAATAACTAGGTGCCTCACTTACACTTGATGGAGATAGATTTTCTTTTAAGTGAACCAAGTTCATGGAATTTCACTTTTCTAATAGGAACATTTCTCTTTTGCTAAGGCAAAAATGGGTCAAGTGCTGAGACACATGGCTCTGAAGGGCCATCAAATGAGATCCACAGCTGGGCCCTTAGCCCCTCATAAAGGCCATTTCTGCCTATTTAAAGCCTCCTCTAGGCTTGATCAAAATCAAAACCATTTCAAAATGTAATAAATTATTACATTTTGTGCTGAATTGCTACTTCTCAAAATCTCTTACATAGAACAGGATGTTTGAGAATTGAGTTTGTTGGAAGTTTTGTAAAACATTTTGTGCTTTGTAAAACAGAAATGAAAATATTACAGGACAGATATATTAGAGATATATCTTTTTAATGACAAAAGTCTTTTGTACTGTCTTTAAATACTTGTTTACTGTTAATCAACTATTTGAGAGAAAGGGAGGGGAAGCAAAAGTGAAATTTCAGTGTGAAATTTGTGTTTCACAATTTGTCTCAGAAACTAAATTGTAATGTTTTTTAAGCAATCATAATGGATTTGTGGCATTTATGAAATGATCACAAAAGTCATCAGGAATATGATAACCAATTCTCAAAGTTTGTTATTTTGTTCAGAGTTAAGTTTTTTTGTTTTGTTAAGAATTATTGATGAAGTCACTTAGCTTTATTAAGGAAGTGAAAAGAAAATTTATGTCAGTCTTTATTTGTTTTTGAATATGTAATACCCACACCCAGTAGAAGATCCAAACAATAAAAATATGTACATTGAAAAAATCTCCTTTCTGCCTCCAACTCCTTACCTAGATATAATCATTTTTTTCAGTTTCATGGATATCCTTCCATAAATATTCTGTTGGATGTAATAGTGATTCTAAAAGTGTAGCCCAAGGACTCCTAGGGCCTCAAAGACCTTTTCATGGGTTCTACAAGTTCAAAGCTATTTTCCTAATAATACAGTTGACCCTCAAAAAACACAATTTTGAACTGCACAGGTCCAGGTACATATGGATTTTTTTCAACCAAACATGAATAGAAAATACAGTATTAGTGGAATATGAAACTCACTTATATGGAGCACCAACTTTTCTAATAAGCTGGTTCCTCAGGGCTAACTGTGGGACTTGAATATGTGTGGATTTTGGCATATGCAGGGCGAGATAGGGGACAGTCCTGGAATGAATTCCCTGCATATACTGAGGGACAACTGTACTAATGAAATTAATAATGATATTAATATATATGATGTTTTGATATTGAGGTATCATAAAATGTATCAACATTTAGAACATCCATATAACTCAATGAAGTAGTATTTTCCAGATAACCAATGTATGTTGTTATGAAATTATGCATGTATAAAAGATCCATTCAAAGAGCAATATGGGTCAGTGGATTTTAATGTAGCAAGGTATACAAAGTTAATTGATATGATTTCACACTTGGTCTTAGCCAAAAGGCCAAGATGCAATAATTGATATGATTTCAGATTCCACACTTCAGCTAATCCTTAAGAAACTGCCACTTGTTGTGTTTGGTATAGTATCGAAGAAGATCATCCACACTTTTTTGAAAAGGCTGTTAAAATACTTCCTTATTTTCCGACTACTTATCTTTGTGGGACTAGATTTTCTTCATATATTTCAAATAAAATGATATATCACAACAGGTTGAATGTAGAATCAGATATGATAATTTAGTTGTCTTCTGATAAGCCAGGCATTAAACAGATTTTCAAAAATATAAAAACAATAACACTCTTCTCATGGCCTTTTTGCTTTTGCAAAATATAGTTTCTGTGATAAATATGTTATGTAATAAAATCATATAATTATAATTCATTATTTTAAGTAAATTATTAAATATTTTAAATCCCTCAGTTTTAATTTTTAATATAGTAAATACATAACCTATATAAACAAAAGCTTCTTAGTATTCTCTTTAATTTTTAAGAGTGAAAGCAGTCCTGGCCGGGTGCAGTGGCTCACACCTGTAATCCCAGCACTTTGGGAGGCCAAGGCAGGCGGATCACAAGGTCAGGAGTTCAAGACCAGCCTGGCCAATATGGTGAAACTCCATCTCTACTAAAAATACAAAAATTATCCGGGCATTGTGGCAGGCGCCTGTAGTCCCAGCTACTCGGGAGACTGAGGCAGGAGAATCGCTTGAACCCAGGAGGCGGAGGTTGCAGTTGCAGTAAGCCAAGATCATGCCACTGCACTCCAGCCTAGGCGACAGAGCACGACTCTGTCCAAAAAAAAAAAAAAAAAAAGAGTGAAAGCAGTCCTGAGACCAAAATGTTGGCCAACTGCTGATATATTTTAAAAAGTGTACATTTGGTTATTTTCTCTATCATTCTATTTGTGTTTATGTGTCTATATTTATTTTTATACACATAGGCAGTGTTCGTGCAACTGTCCTGTGACTTGGTTTTTGGGATTTAATATTGTTTGAGCATCATTTCATATCAGTAATGATAGATATTTCACTTTTATGTGACTGCATAGTATCCCATGGTATACACATACAGAATTCCTGAAAGGAGAATTGCTGGATCAAAGGTTATATGCTTTTTAAATTTGATAAGACTGCCAATTTGTCCTACAATTTATGCTCCCACCAGCAGTGACTGAGAATACCCGTTTCCCCAAATCTTTGTCAGCAGTTTTCCCTCAAATCTTTTGCTGCTTCCTGAGCATATAGGGAAAAAATTATATCTCATTATAGGTTTATTTGGTTTATCTTATTATGATTGGTGTTAAGCATGTTTTCATATAATTCAATATGGTTATGTTTTACTTTTTTGTAAACCATATGTTTTCACTTCTTTAAAGAGAACCCTCGCACCTTGGTACAGATAATCTTTCAATTTCTAAATATAATTCTGAAAAAAAAATAATGTGAACCTTCAACTTTGAATGGAATGACCTTGAGCTAAGTCCCTCAAGCTCTAAGGACCCTTTAAGCTGTGACATTAAGTCTCAAAACAATAACAGATACATTTGAGCTATACAAGAAGTTAGCTTAGCATGTTTACAACATAGTAATTGAATTGTTTGTAATATGATTTAACTAAAAGCAGAAAGTTGAGCAAAAGCAATTTGCAAACAATAGATGATAATGTAATAAGAAACATTTATTTCTATATGTAAATGATGTGCTGTTTCCTTTACCTGTCCTTTGTGAAAAACAATGAGGAACGTTATTTCTGTATCTGTCACCATTTCCCACAGTTCAGTGGACAAAGTTCCTCAAGATCTTCCAGTTTCCATTTACTAGAGCTCTGCTTTTTTTGGAGCTGAGGCAAGGGGAAATTTCCTTATACTTTTATCAAAAACCTTGAGGTTAATAATCGGAGTGATTTCAGAAATAAGCCTGTTCTGTAAGAGAATGGGAGTGTATTAGAGTTACTATCATGCTTAATATAATGGGACTTCCCATTCAACATAGATGTGAAGATTTTATAAAAATAGCCACAGCCACAGAATTGACATTTGTGTTTTGAGTCCCTTGTTGCAATTTAGTCAGCAGAGAAAAATACAACAAATGAAATTTTAAGGGTAGAGGAAGAGTCACAGCAACACATAAGATGGTCAGGGAAGAGCACTGCCTTTCATGGTCTGTTTGCTGTGGAACCTCCCATAACTAATTTCTGAAAAGTAAGCCAAATGAAAAAGTAAATGGTTTAACCTTTGTCTCTGGTTGACCTGTTTAGCTGACTGTGTTTGATGACTGGGAAAATTTTATTTATTTGAATACAATAGTGGAGAAGAGTGAATTGATTAATCAGTAAATCAATCAGATTTTACTAAGTGCGTACTATGTACTCAACCCTATGTTAGATGTTGTATAAGATGTAATACCTTTTTCCAGGGAAAGAACATGCAGTGGTAAGTAGTTGTTGAGCACATTTCAGGCACTATTCTAGGTCCTTTACACATGTTATTGCATGTAATGTTCACAGTAACCTTGTGAAGAAGGTGTAGAGTCAGTACTGTTATTCACACTTAAGGTCAAACACCCTATAGTTCTGTGTGTGGGTGTTGACATGATTCAGAGTGAAGCCAAGTAATTAGCAGCAGATACCTCATGGGGTAGATGGGCTAGAGTAGGTATTTTTCGATTGGTGAAGAAAAAGAAAAATTGGTCAAGACAAAGGCAACAATATGAGCTCATTATAGAGGAAGGGATAAGCAGTATATGTTTGTAGAATTAATCTAACAAGAACAAGTGTGTTAAGGAGTTTTGGAAAATGAGATTGGATAGGAAGGGTGAAGCTAAGTTATGAAGGACCTTGAAAGCCAGGACATATAATTTGGGCATTTTGGACTAGGCAGTACGGAACCATGAAAGGTTTCTGAGCAGAAAAGGAGTAACATATGGAAAATGTTTGTAGGCAGATTACTCTGGAAGTGGTAAATTTGGTGGCAGGGTGACTAGACCTGAGATTATTGAAATAGTTTGATGTGAGGTAGGTGAGTATCTTTTTAAATAAAAGCATTTAAAAGAAACAGGCTACTAAAAGCATACTTTCTCTAGGCTTTGAATTATTTGCTTTGGGTCGAATTGATTAGCTCTTGGTAGATGATTAGACAGGTGTAAAGTGAATCCTGTGACCTAGACATCCCAATCACTTAGACTAAATCTACGGCAATATTTTTCAAGCCATGAGTTACATGACCCATTAGTAGGTTATAAATCAGTGTTGAAATTTGCAAATAGTGTTTTTTAAGTGAAATAGAAAATTGAATAGAGTAGAAACTTTCAATGTGCCTATAGAGTGATAAGAAAAAGTGTGTTTGTGAAAAATTATTTCAGTCATTTGTGTTACATCTGTGCATACATGCACATTGGCTCATGATATAAAATATATTTATTACTATGGCTTGTGGTAAAAAAAATAAGTCTCTGATCTAGAGTATAGCACTGAATTACTTAATCCTTTTTCCTGCCATGTAAATTGTCAAAGCTTGCATGATTGATTTGAACATTAAGATAAAAACCCCACCACCTAGTTCAGGATGTCTTTACCTTTTTCCTGGCCCATTTCTAACCACCCAAAGTGATCTGTTTACCTTCAGTCTTTCCATACCAATTCATCTTATACCCAGCTGCCAGATCAGTCTTTCTAAGAGTATTTCTCACATCATGTCATTACCTTTGTCCAGAAAATACACTGGTCCTCAATCCATTTATTTAATATTAATTTAGCAAATCTCAGTTAAGCACCTAAGAAATGAAGTCCACAATCTTTGTTTAGTCACATATGAAAATTCCTTTTAATTCTTACCTCAAACTGTATTTCCAACTATGTTAGCACCACAGAGACCCCATAGATCAGCTTAATTGTACTACTTACTCTTCCTAGAATATATGCATTTTTCACTCTACTATACCTTTGTTCATGCTAATCCCCACTTATTGCCCTTGTCATCCTTTAAGGCCATGACTTTTATAATCATCTCAGCTGGACATAATTAGTTCCTCCTCTGGACCCACATAATACTTTTTGTCATTCATGTGAGACTCATCACATTCTGTCTTGCATTATATTAGTTGGGTTTATTCCCTTTTCTAGATTATAAACTCTTGAGAGTAAGGGTCACTTCTTGTTTATGCCTGCAATGTTAACAGTGCTTTGCAAAAGGTAGATGGTCACTATGCAGCTGCCAAATCAGTGAAAATGCTGAATTCATGACACAGTTCTGTCTTTTTCTTTCATTTAAGCAGAATGACATTATATAGTTCAGCAAACAATTTTCCCAATATTTTTCTTAGTATGACTGACAGCATTAGACAGAATGGAACAGAGCAAAGAGCACTGGGCTAGGAATCAGAAGACGTTGACACTAGTCTTGGCTCTGTCACCAAAAAATTCTGTCACCTTTAATATGCCATTTGATCTCTCTGGTTATTTTAGCATAAGGCACTCCTCCTTTAAAAATACGGGACTGAAATGATTAACTTAAGGTTTTTTCTAACTCTAAAAACATTCATCTTAGATTATTTACTGTGCCAGTTGCATTCACTCAGCAGATACTTATTGAGTCCTTACTGGGGATATAGCAATGATCAAAACTAACTATATGCTTTCATGGACCTGACATTAAGGTAGTGGAGACAAATAATAAATAAATGAAATGTAATATATAATGTAAAATAGTGGTAAGTGCTAAAATAAAAATAAAACAGGGAAAAGGGATGGAGATTGGCAAGGAAGGTCTCTCTGAAGAGGTGACATTTGGGCAGAGATCTGTATGAGGTGAAAGATTTGGGGAGAAGAGCATACCAGGCAGAGGGAGCTGCTATGCAAAAGCCCTGAGGTCAGAATGTGCTTTGCACTTTGGGGGAACAAATAAAAGTCAGTGTGCTTGAGTCATAGACAGCAAGAGGTTGAGTAATAAAAGATGAGGCCAGAAAAGTAGTAAAGGACTAGATCATATGAAACCTTTTCAACGGAGTAAAGAGAATGTTATTCTAAGCACAGTGAAAAGCCACTGGAAGATTTTAAGCGGGGTGTTTTAGTCCGTTTTCACACTGCTATAAAGATACTACCAAGGACTGGGTAATTTATAATGAAAAGAGGTTTAATTGACTCAGAGTTCTGCATGGCTGGGGGGTGCCTCAGGAAACTACAGTCATGGCAGGGAGGCGAAGGGGAGGCAGGCACCTTTCTTCACAAAGCAGCAAGAGAGCAAGTGAGAGTGGGGAGAAGCGCCAGACACTTATCAAACAACCAGATCTCATGAGAACTCCTTCACTATCACAAGAACAGGGTGGGGGAAACTGCCCCAATGACCCAATTACCTTCCACCTGGTTCCTCCCTCCACACCTGGGGATTATAATTCCAGATGAGATTTGGGTAATTACAATTCCAAATGAGATTTGGGTAGGGACACAGAGCCAAACCATATCATAGGGTAGTGATATGATCTACCTACTTTGCATTTAAAAATGATCGCTCTGGCTGTTGTGTAGAGAATAGATGGCAAGAGTGGAGGCCAGGAGACTAATTAGGAAGCTGCTAAAATATTCCCTTTAAGAGATTATCATTTTCTCTATGTGTGTGTGTTTCTAAATAGATTTTTGTCTTTTCTTTTTAAAATTTTTTAAAATTTTATTTTTAATTGACAAAACTTGTATGTATTTTTGGTATAAACATGTTTATATATATGTGTGTGTATCTACACACACACACATACATTGTGGAATGATAAAATCAAGCCAATTAACATATCCATCACCTCATATCCTTATCATTTTTTGTTATGAGAACATTTAAAATCTATTATTTTAGCAATTTTCAAGTATATAATACATTATTACTAACTATAACCACCATGCTGTACGATAGATCTCTGGAACTTAGTTCTCTTATCTAACTGAAACTTTGTACCCTTTAACGAGCAAGGAGATGTTGAATGATTAGACTAAAATGGTGACAGTGAAGATGGAGTGAAGTGAATAGATTGGGAATATAATGTGGAGGGAGAATGGACAAGATTTGTTAATGAATTGAATATGGCAGAGGTGTAGGAAAAGCGGGAATTAGAGATGACTCTTATGTTTGTCACCTAATCAACTGAGGGAGATGGTGATACCATATACTAAGACGGGGAGAATGAGGAGGAATAAGCTTGAGGGTTGAGGCTGGAGATTTAAACAAGAGTTCAGTTTGTGATATAAGTTTAAAATGTCTATTTCAGTTTTAAATGAAGAAATAAAAGATATATATGAATATGGAGTTTGGAGAGAAGTCAGGAGTGGATATGCAATCTTGAGGGCTTTTACTATTTAAATGACACTTAAAGCCATGCTACTAGATGAGATAACCTCAGAAATCATTCAACATTTTCAGACTGGGTAGGAAAAGAGTCAACAAAAGAGAATGAGAAAGAGTCGCCAATTAGGTGAAAGAAATACCAGGAGTATGGGTGTCACTGAAGCCAAAAGAAGATACTGTTTTGAGTTGAAGGAAGTGATCAACTCTAGCAAATGCTGCTGAGTTTGAATAAGTGGAAGACTAGGAATAGATCATTGCATTTGGCAACATGTAGGTCATTGGGCACCTTGACACAAGTTAATTTTGATGTGGTAGAAAAAATAGGCTAACAGAAGCAGGTTGTAAAGAGATGGGGAAAATGAGGAAAAGGGGACAATGAATCTATAATGAGAAATTTTTCTGTGATGGAGAAATCGAGGAGTTAGCTAAATGAAGATATGGGGAATCAAATAAGCTTTTTTGTTGTTATAATACATATAAGATCTCTAAAAATATGTTAGATCTGTTTTTAAGCTCTACTGAGGTTTAATTGACATAGAAAAAATTGCATGTATTTAATGTAGACATTTTGATGAGTTTGGACATATGCATGCTTCTACTGTGATACTGTTCCTATAACCATAATAGTTTTATTGCCTGATGCACACAGCAAGTCAGTACACTGAAACATCAGGTTGTAGCAGAGAAAGAGGTTTCATCATAGGGTCACTGAATGGGGAAATGGAAAGGAACCTCAAATTAATCTCCCCAAGGAGTTTGGAGCTAGGATTTTTAAGTGTCTCGGAGTGGGCTGAAGTGTGGAGATCATTGATTGGTCAAAGAGTACAGGGTGAAGCCATGGGACAGCAAGATGAGGAAGCTGTATTCTCATGCTAATCTTGTTCCTCTGTGGGGGTCTTCAAACTGGTTGCTGGAATTTGAGGTTTGAAAAACATCTTAAGCCATCCTCAAACAAAAGCCTTAAAATTCTAATGTCAGAGATCCTGTCTATAGGAACAATGGGGATACAAATCAATTTTTAATTTCCTATGACCCTAATGCCAGAAATCCTACCTATAGGAACAATGGGGTGCAAATGGTCAGTTATCTAATGCTACATGACTTTTAGCAACAAGGAAATGAGCAAGAGGGCAGCCTGATAAATGCTTAACTCTAACTATATTTCTGTTTGGAACGCGGCATGCAATTCTTGTCAACCCTGTAGGAATGATTTCAGTTCTGCTTTGTCTTGTTAATCCTCTATCCTGAGCTGTGATCAATAAGGAGGGAATTGGGTGATGACTTCTCTGGCTGTGTCTTGCTGACAAGGGGCACAGATAGGGACCATAATCAGGATTTGAGGAATAAAACTGCTTTGCAGTGGCCTGTAAATGGTCTTGAGTGCCAAGTCTAGAGTTTTGACTCTGCATGGCAAAAATGTCAGTTCTTGTTACTAGTCCTTGTTGTCTGTGGGAAATAGAAAAGAAATACAACAATAATTATAATAAAAAGAATTTGTAAGGAGGCCTGTATTAGGGCATTCTCACATTACTATAAAGAAATACCTGGGGGAAAAATACGTGAGACTAGATAATGTATAAAAAAAGTTTTAATTTGCTCATGATTCTGCAGGCTATACAGGAAGCATAATGGGTTTTGCTTTTGGGAAGGCCTCAGGAAGCTTCCAATCATGTCAGAAGGCAAAGTGGAGCAGGTGTCTTATATGACAGGAGCAGGAGCAAGAGAGAGGGAGGAGGTGCTACATATTTCTAAATAGCCAGATCTTGCAAAAACTCACTCACTATCATGAGACCAGCACGAAGAGGATGGTGCTAAACCATTCATGAGAAATTCACCCCAATGATCCAATTACCTCCTACCAGGCCCCAACTCCAACACTGGGGATTATATTTCAGTATGATTTTGGGCAGGGACACAGATCTGAACCATAAAAGGGACCAAAACCAGTTTCCCATTCCCATAAGAAGCCAGCTAAAGGATCATTAAGAGGGTTTGTGACATACATCTCTTGCCAAAATGCCATATTTGGGGGTATAGGTTTCTGAGCCCCGACATCCCCTGTCTGAAACTTCCCTAGAAGTTTCACACATTAAAAGCTGAGTTGGTGGAAAAATTTAGTAAGTAGCTGAGTGGCAAAGGATCCTAGTAAACCAGTCTCCCATTCCTGGAATAGGCCAGTTCCATTAAACAGCTGTATCTCATTTCAGGAGATGGCATTGCAGGCAAACTATAGTTTGTGTATCACAAAGTATGCTTGCAGTTACTCAGGAAAACAGTAGTAGCAATTTAATTGAGTATAAGTCAGAGAAATGGAATAAAAATTTGGTAATATAAGTTTGGAGACATGCTTAGAAAAGAATTCAGGATTCAAACTAAACTGTAGACAAATAAGAAAAACTCAAAATAATGGACACAGTATACTAATAAAAGGTGTACTGTAGTTTCTTTTGAAACATAATTTTTCTCTCTTCAGTGCCTCATTTCTACCAAATAAAAATCAGTAGGACCAACTTATTGGCAAAATAAGTTTGAGTCTTATTATATTTGGTTTGATTATTTGCATAGAGTGCAGCAAGAGTAATTATTGGTGATGTAGGCTTTTTAAATTATTTTTAATTTTTATTTTTTGTAGGTACATGGTAGGTATATACATTTCTGCAGTATATGAGATATTTTGACACAGGCATGCAATTCATAATAACCACATCATGGGAAATTGGGTATCCATCCCTTCAAGCATTTATCCTTTGTGTTACAAACAATCCAGTTATACTATTTTTGTTATTTTAAAATGTAAAATTATTGACTACAGTACCCCTGTTGTGCTGTCAATACTAGGTCTGTTAACCATCCCCATCTTCCCCCCGCCCTCCCACTATCTTTCCAAGACTCTAGTAACCATCCTTCTATTCTCTATCTCCATGAGTTCAGTTGTTTTGAAGTTTAGATCCCAACAATAAATGAGAACATGCCACATTCGTCTTTCTGTGCCTGGCTTATTTCACTTAACATGATGACCTCCCGTTCCATCCATGTTGTTGCAATTGACTAGATCTCATTCTTTTTTTATGGCTGAATAGTACTCCATTGTGTATATGTACCACATTTTTAAAAATCCATTAATCTGTTGATGGACACTTGGTTGCTTCCAAATCTTGGCTATCATGAATAGCATTGCAGTAAACATCAGAGTGCAGATATATTTTCCATAAACAGATTTCCTTTATTTTGGGTAGTGGGATTGCTGGATCATATGGTAGCTCTAGATTTGTCCTTTCAAGGAACCTCTAAACTGTTCTCCGTAGTGGTTGTACTAATTTACATTTCCACCAACAGTGGATGAGGGTTCTGTTTTCTCCACATCCTTGCCAGCATTTGTTATTGCTTGTCTTTTGAATATAAGCCATTTTATCTGGGGTGAGATGATATCTCCTTGTAGTTTTGATCTGCATTTCTCTGATGATCAGTGATGTTGAGTACCTCTTCATATGCTTCTTTGCCATTTGTATGTCTTCTTTTGAGAAATGTCTGTTGAGATCTTTTGCCCATTTTAAAATCAGATTATTAGGTTTTTTTCTATAGAGTTATTTGTGTTCCTTATATATCCTGGTTATTAATCCCTTGTCAGATGGATGGTTTGCAAATATCTTCTCCGATTCTGTGGGCTAGCTTTTCAGTTTGTTGATTATTTCCTTTGCTGTGCAGACACTTCTTAACTTAATGTGAACCCATTTGTCCAAGGCCTGCAGTGAGTCTTGCCTGGCTAACACTGCTGATTACTCAGGGCCCAAAGACTCTTTAGTCAGCAAGTGATGAATCCTGCCAGGACTTGGTTCTTCCCTTCAAGGAAGCTGATTCTTTCATGGTGCACAGTGTGTTTAGCAATGTCATCTGTGTGCTAGGGCATGGAATGGGGGCCTCAGGACTCTGCCTGGTACCCTGTTCTACTGTGACTGAGCTGATATTCAAGTTGTAAGACAAAGTCATCTTAATGTCCCCTCTCTTCTGAAGCAGAGGGAAGCAGTCCCTCCCAGAGCTGCAAGCTATGCTGTCTGGGTTTGGCAGAGGGGTGACACAAGCACTCCCTTGGGCGCTCTCACTAGATTGTCTCACTACCTTAAGTACCTTAAGTCCACTGGCTGTAAGCTCAGCACAGAACCAGGACTTGCCCAGGAATTGCAGTCCTTGTGGCCTAAACTGGTTTTAAAGTTTATTTTGTACCCCAGAGCACTTTAGCCCATGGTGACAGGGCTTGTTGAGACTTAGCTTCTGACCGCTGGGTTGGATGATTTGCCCCTGGCTAGGGCTTGTCTAAATGCCCCTTCCATGGGTACTGAGTTCTGCCCTATATTGCTTTCTGCCGTGACAGGGCATCACTGAATTCCAATGCAAAGTCCACAATCACTGCACTCTCCTCCCCAAACCACTTGATTCTCTCTCCATTTGACATGGTTGCTGCCAGGGCATGGAGGAGGGTTGGTGATTCAGGACTGTCTTTCATACCCTCTTTAGTGCCTTTTCCCTTAATATGATCTTAAAACCAGGTACTGTAATTGCGCCCGCAAATTAAAACCTTTCAGAGGAGACAATGATTTTTACTGTCCATTCAACTGGATTCCGCACAAAAAGAGAGGCCAGGAGGCCAACTGGGAAGGAATTCTTACCCTTTTACTGGCTTTTTGGGTTCCTGAATTCCTTCAACTGCAGCTTCCAGAAGAGCAGAGTTTTGACCACCCTGATCGCTAATTACTAAGGAAAACCATTTTCATTATTTTCATGGGTTCATAGGTGAAAGCCACTCAATTTTATAAGACACAAGGGATCCAATTAACATTCCCCATATCAGCAGAGACAAAATTACAAGATACACATAACAGAGACACAAACACCCGTTATTCTACTCAGTTTCCAAGTTTTAGCCAGGCAAAACAGACAAAACACCAAAATGGTTACTCCCAGTCAGGCCTGCTGATATTCTGCTAGTGATTCCTTCCAGCTTGCCCACACACAAATGGGGCAAGACAAAAACAAACACAAGGCCTCACAAGTCAAAATTCTGAAACCAGATTTCAGAACTGTGACCAGAAGGGTCCTGGCGTACTTCCCTCTAACAGTGTGCCTTTCGTTCTCCTTCCAATTGGGGAAAATCCCCTTAAACAGGGCCCTTCCTATAGGTTAGGGAAGGTCAACAGGATCTCCGAAGAGGTCACAAGACCTCTGAAGAGGCCAACAGATCAGAAGAATGGAAAGGAGATGTCAGTTGCACTTGGAAGTACTCACCAGATTCAGAAGACATCTTTCAGATTCAGAAACCATTTCTCTGCTGCAAGCAAATGTATGCAATGCCCTGCCAGCAAGTGAGGCTCCAGGGACAGCCCCTGGTTTAAAGAAGCCAGGCATCCACTTGGGCTTTCCTCTGGGCCACAGAAATGGGTGAGGGAGCACCAAGCCACAGCCACATAACCATGAGGGGTGTCCCTTTGTGGGGTTGCCACTAAATAGCAGCCAGAATATGTTCATTGCCCAATGCACACAGCAAGTCAATACACTGAGACACCAGATTGCAGCAGAGAAAGAGCTTTAATTGTAGGGTCACTGAATGAGGAGATGGGAGGGAACCTCCAATCCATCTCTCCAAGGAGTTTGGAGCTAGGATTTTTTAAGTGTCCTTGGAGTAAGCCAAAGTGTGGAGATCATTGATTAGCTGAAGAGTGAAGAGTGAAGTCATGGGACAGGGAAATGAGGAAATTGCATTCTCATGTTAGTCCTATTACTCTGTGGGGATCTTCAAACTGCTGGAATTTGAGGTCTGAAAAACATCTTAAGTAATAGTTAAACAAAAGTCTTAAAACTCTTGTGTCAGATTCTGTCTATAGGAACAATGGGGATACAAATCAGTTCCTAAACAGTCTTATGACCCTAATGTCAGAAATCCTACCTATAGAAACAAGGGCAATACAAATGATCAGTGTCCAGTGCTACATGACTTTTAGCAGCAATGAAGTGGGCCAGAAGGCAGCCTGGTAAATGCTTAATTATAACTATATTTCTGTCCAGAACGTGACATGCAATTCTTGTCAACCTTATGGGGAGGGTTTCATTACCACATCAAGGTACTAAATATATCCATTACCTACAAAAATGTACTTGTTTTGCTCAATGGATATTGTGTTAGTCTGTTGTTACACTGCTATAAAGAAATACTTGAGACTGAGTAATCTATAAAGTAAAGCAGTTTAATTGGCTCACGGTTCTGCTGGCTGTACAGGAAGCATGATGGCTTCTGGGGAGGCCTCAGGAAACTTTCGATCATGGCAGAAGGGGAAGCAGATATGTCTTACATGGCCAGAGCAGGAGGAAAGGGGGAGGGAAGGTGCTACACACTTTTAAATGACCAGATCTCATGAAAACTTTATCAGGAGAACAGCAGTAGAAAGATGGTGTTAAACCATTAGAAGCCACCCCCATGTTCCAATCACCTCCTTCCAGGCCCACCTCTAGCATTGAGTATTACATCTTAACATGAGATTTCAGTGGGGACTCAAATCCAAACCATATCAGGTATAAAGTCTGGGTTATGTGAGATGAATAAGTTCTAGAGATCTGCAGTACAACACAGTACTCATAGTTAACAGTACAGTATTGTGCACTTTGAAATATGCTAAGAGGATAGATCTCATCTTAGGTGTTCTTCACACACATACACACACACACGCACGGATCTATTTTTCAATATACTTTATGCCTTAAGCATTGTCAATGACACTTTCATCTTTAAAATATCTTTTTTCATTTTTCTTTTCCTTTTTTCTCTCTATGTCCCTTCATTCCTCTTCCTCCCCACTCCTTTCTCTGTCTCCCCATCTCTCTCTTCCTTCCCTCCCCCAACTTTCTCTCTTTCGCTCTACAGTAGAAAAGCCAAAATTCCCATTTGAAAAGTTTTTGCTATTTTTTTCGAATGCTTAGCATTCCCTCCTGAAGGGGAATTCTTCCCAAATATTTGTGAAGGCACCAAATTTATGAGAAAACACAAACTGTAAACTACTCTTGCTGGATAATAAGGTTGAGCCTTTACTATGTCTAATATTCCACACTGGAGGGTAAATAATTTAATTTATAAAATTTAGAAATATTTTATAAGAGCTTAGGATACAAAATTAAATGGTGGACCTGTAAGGGACATCTGCTCGGGGCAGAGAACTATTCTTTTTCCCCTTTCTCCCCGTCATTATTGTATTTATCAAGAACGATGGGAAAATAATTTTTCAAAATCCAGGGTTTTTTAAAATTTTAAATATTTTTCCATTTATGTCTAAGGAATTGGATGATATTCCTTATTATTATGCAGGTTCAATTCTTATACTTCATTTTATAACTACTTCATTTTGTGTTGAAAGGTTTAAAGCATGATACAAGAAACACCTAAATACCATTCATGAAGATTCACAAATTTTATTGCAGAGGTTCACAATTTTAAAAAATATTTTGCCCTATTTGCTTTTTTATTTACCTATTTTAGATAGATAGGTATAGATAGACATCTAATTTGTAACATATATATTAATAACATATACTACATAATGTGTATTTTTTTCAGAAAAATCTTAAAGTTGGAGATATCATGCCCCTTTCATCATATAGACTTCAGTGTGTATTTCCCAAGAAAAGGAGAGTATTCTCATACAAAGACTCCAGTATAGTTTACAAAATCTAAAGATTTAACAGTGATATGTTACTTTCAACTAATCTGAAGTCTTTTTAAATTTGTGTAATTTTCTTAATCATGTCTTTTATAGATAGTTTTTATCTCAGTAAAGGATAAAATTTAGTATCACACATTTCTTAGGTACCATGTCTCTTTAGTTTTCTTTAATCTGGAATGGTTTTTGAGACTGTGTTCCTTGATATTGAAATTTTTGGAAAGTATAGATCAACTATTTTATAGAATGTCCTTCAATTTGATTGCCTCATGTTTCCTCCTAATTAGATTCAGGTCATACATCTTTGAGAGTAACACAATTTAAACGAAGATTGTGTTCTAAAAAGTGCATCTTATTAAGAGGCATATATAAAGTGGGTTTGTCTGAACGTTGGTGTGGTTAGATTGGGTGTGGTGGCTCACACCTGTAATCCTAGTGCTTTAGGAGGCTGAAGTGGGAGGATCATTTGAGGCTAGACATTGTAGACCAGGCTGGACAACTCTATTAGTTCATTTTCACGCTGCTATAAAGAAATTTTTGACACTGGTTAACTTATAAAGGAAAGTAGTTTAATTAACTCACAGTTCCGCATGGCTGGGAACGCCTCAGGAAACTTACAATAATGTCAGAAGCGGAAGCAGGCACATCTTACACGGTGGCAGGCGTGCGTGCACATGCAAGAGAGAGAGGGTGAGCGCGAGTGTGAGTGTAAGTGTGCAGAAAAAAAACTACAATTTATAAAACCATCAGATCTCATGAGAATTCATTCACTATCACAAGAACAGCATGGGAGAAACTGTCCCCATAATCCAATCACTTCCCTCCCTCAACACGTGAGGATTACAATTGTCAATGAGATTTGGGTCGGGACACAGAATCAAACTGCATTGGCAACATAGTGAGACCACATCTCTCCCAAAAAAAAAATTTTTTTTTAAATTAGCTAGGCATGGTTACACATGCCTATAGTCCCAACTACTTGGGAAGCTGAGGAGGGAGGATTGCTTGAGTCCAGGAGTTCAAGGCTGCAATGAGCCACAACTGCACCACTGTACTCCAGCCTGGATGATCCAGGATGACCCTCTCTCTAAATATGTGTATATATATTTTATATTATATATATTATATATAATATATATATTTTATATTATATATATTATATATAATATATATATTTTATATTATATATATTATATATAATATATATTTTCTATTATATATATTATATATAATATATATTTTCTATTATATATATTATATATAATATATATTTTCTATTATATATATTATATATAATATATATTTTCTATTATATATATTATATACAGTACACATATATAATATATATGATATTGTTTGATTACTTGATGAAGGTAGTATCCACCAGTGTACTGTAACTCTTTTTTATTCAGTGAGTTACAATCCTTTATAATGCTTTTCTTGATGTGCAAATTATCTCAGAATTGGCCAGGACGAATGCTGTCAAACTGGCTCCTGTGCCCTTTTAACATGCCTCTATTCCTTGAGCACTTCTTTACTTTATGATGCAACAAGCTGTTCAAAGCTCATTTTATGCTTTCTCTGCTCTGAACATGAAATCAGCCATTTCCTCATGGAACTTTTGTTCATTTCAATAAGGAATAGTTTAGAAACTAGGATCTGGGCACTAGATGTCTGCATTCCAACAAGCTTCATCATGGTGACTAGGTCTTCTCAGTGAACAGGGTGAAATTTATCTGTTGATATATTAAAAACCATGAGTTTATACTCATACCTCCAGTTTCAATCCACCACCACTGAAAACATTCTAGTCTTTCCCCTTTCCCTTTCCATATTCATAACATTTTTCCTAAAATAGGAAAACATGGCTCCCATTATTCTCAATACATTTACTCATTTGTTTAAGACTAAAATATGCAGAAACCTGTTTTAGAATTGCTAATCCATTCCTCCATGATAAGGTAGCCCAATGAGTAGAATTCAATATGTGTTTACAGTTTATTTTTATTGAGGTAAAATGTACATGCCTTGAAATTGTTAAATCTTAAGTATACGACTCAATGAATTTTGTCAAATAAATATACCTATGTAACCCACACCCCTGTTAAAATTTAGAACATTTCAATCACTCCAGAAAGTTCTCTTGTGTCATTTCCAAGTCAATCCTTCTCTCCTTTCCAGAGGCACACATTATTCTGAATTTTTCCCCACGGATTGTTTTTGCCTATTCTAGAAGTTAATAAAATGGAATAATATACTATGTTTTTGTTTGTGTGTCTGTGAGATCCATTCATGTTATTGCATGTGTCATTCTCCTTTATTACTAAAGATCCGTCGTCCTGTTGATGAACATTTAGATTGTTTCTAATTTTGGATAATTATGAGTAAAGCTGCTATAAACACTCTTGCACAAGTCTTTTTATGAAAATATATTTTCCTTTCTCTTGAATAAATACCAAGACATTGAATTGTTGGGACAAAAAGTAGGTGCATGTGTAACTTAAACTGTCAAATATTTTGCCAAAGTTCTTGTATTATTTTATATCCCACCAGCAATGTATGAGAGTTCCAGTCACTCTATATCATTCCCACATTGGGTGTTCTTAGTCTTTCCCATCCATCTATTTTACATTCTAGTGGGGGAAAGAGGGTATCTCATTCTGTTTTAATTTAATTAAATTAATTAATTAATTAATTAATTTTTGAGATGGAGTTTTGCCCTTGTCGCCCAGGCTGGAGTGCAGTGGCACAATCTCTGCTCACTGCAACCTCCGCCTCTCGGGTTCAAGTGATTCTCTTGCCTCAGCCTCCCAAGTAGCTAGGATCATAAGTATGCACCACCACGCCTGGTTAATTTTTTTGTATTTCTAGTAGAGATGGGGTTTCACCATGTTGGCCAGGCTGGTCTCAAACTCCTGACCTCAAGTAATCTGCCTGCCTTGGCCTCCCAAAGTGCTAGGATTACAGGCATGAGCCATCGTGCCTGGCCACATTATGTTTTTAATTTATATTTCCCTGATAACTAGTAATATTAAATGTTTTATGCTTACTGGTTATTCATAGATCTTCTTTTGTGAATATCTTTTAAAATTTTCTGGTTTTGGCTGGGCGTGGTGGCTCACGTCTGTAATTCCAGCACTTTGGGAGGCCAAGGTGGGCAGATTACCTGAGGTCAGGAGTTTGAGACCAGCCTGGCCAACATGGTGAAACCCCATCTCTACTAAAAATACAAAAATTAGTTGGGCGTGGTGGCACACGCCTGTAATCCCAGCTACTCGGGAGGCTGAGGCAGGAGAATTGCTTGAGCCTGGGAGGTGGATGTTTCAGTGAGCTGAGATCCTGCCACTGCACTCCAGCCTGGCCAACAGGGCGAGACTCTGTCTCAAAAAAAAAAAAAATCTGTTTTTAAAATTTTGGGGGTTTGTATATTATTGGATTGCAAGAAATCTAAAAAATATACATTCTAGGTAAAAGTCTATATCTAGGTCAGAAATATTATGCAAATATTTTCTGTTTTCAAGTATACATATGTGTATGTGTGCATATTTATATATAAAGGCCTTTTGCATCTCTATTAATGAGCCATATGATTTGTAGTTTTCTGCTAGTATCTTTAACTAGTTTGAGTATCATGATTATGATGGTTTTACAAGACAAGTTAGGAAGTGATCCCTCCAACTCTTTTATCTGAAACATTGCTATTACTTCTTAAGACATTTGATGAAACTCACAGTGAAACCATCTGGGCCTGGATATACTTTTTTATGAGCAGGTTTTTGGAGAGGAATTGAATTTTTTTTATAGATTTAGGGCTAGTCAGAGTTTCTATTTCATATTGTTGCAGTTTCAGTGACTATTTTTTAAATCATTTATTTTATCTAAGTTTTCAAACTGGCACAAAGTTGTTTATAATATTGCCTTAATATTCTTATTATATCTATAGGATTTATAGTGCTATCCTGTCTTTCTTTCTGGTATTGGTAATTTGTGTTTTTACATCTTTCTTTTTTGAGATAAGTCTTGCTACAGCATTATCAATTTTAATGATCTTTTCGGATAGTCAACTGCTGGACTGAATTGATTTTTCCTAGTGTTTGCCTACCTGCAATTTTATTTATGTATGCTCTTGTCTTTATTACTTCCTTTTTTCTGCCTACTTTGGGTTTAATTTACTTGTCTTTTAAAATCTTCTTAAGGTTAGAAACTTATATAATCTATTTTAAACATTTTTTAGCATAAACATTTGTATTATACAATTTTTTCCAACTCCCTTAGCCACATCCCACAAATTTTTATGTGCTGTATTTTCATCATTATTTAGTTGAAATAATTTTCCAGTTACCATTACGATTTATTATTTGGTATATGGTATATTTAGAAATGTGTTAATTTCCATATGTTAGTGCTTTTTAAACATAATTTATTGTTGTTCATTTCTAACTTAATTCCACTGTGATCAAAGAACATGCATACTCTGTAACAGCTCACATTGTGTAATTTATTGGGACATATTTTATGTCTTATTTTTAATCTAATCATTCTACCAATGCAGAAAAAGGAATGTAAAAATCTCTGACTTCTCACTTTTATTATGGCTTAGTGTATTTCTTTGTTCTGTCAGGGTTTGCTTATGTATTTTGAAGATTTTTTATTAGGTGTAGATACATTTATAGTTGTTTATGTCTCCTGGATGAATTGACCCCTTTGCCATTACAAAATGTCCTTCTTTATCTTTGGGAATACTCTTTGTTTTATAGTCTGTTCTGTTAATAGAGCAACTCCATCTTTCTTTCTTAGCTTTTTCCATTCTTTTATTCTCAACCTGTGTTTTGTATTTAAAAATGTATCTCTTATAGACAACATATAGATGTTCCTTGCTTTTTATCCAATTTGACAATTGTAGCCTTTTAATTGAACTATTTATTCCCTTTACATTCAATATATATATGATATGCTTAAGTTTATGCCTTCTATTTGCTGTGTATTTTCAATTTGTCCCATCTGGTTTTTTTTTCTGCTCTGTTTTTCCCTTCATGCTTTCTTCTGGGTTAATCAAATATTTTTTAGTCCTTCATTTTAATCTCTTTATGGTCATTTAAGTACTGTACATTCATTTTAGGGGTGTTATTAGGGATTATAATATGTATATTTATTCCAATCTACTTAGAGTTAGTTTTTCTACTTATAAAATATGGAAACTTTGCTTTGCAACAGTTTGTTTTCATTTATCCCCCATCACTCTTTGTGGATGATTATACATACATACACACACACACACACACACACACACACACATATATATATATATATACACACAGACACACATATATATAATTTATATACATTGTATTTATACTTATTTGTATTTATATTTTATTTTTATCCATGGTAGTCCCAAAACAATGTTATAATGTTTAAACTTTAAAAAAGTAAGACCAGGAGGCAGCTCCAAGTGAGTGTAGAGGCATCATTAAAAAATGATGACTAATAAACTTAGGTGAAAAATGTGTTCCTTGCTAATTTAATAATTCATGAGTTGCTGTCAGTGTATGCATATATGTACAAGCACATTTATATAGAGACAGTATTTGTGTTCAGATTCATTTGTGTGACATTGTTTACAAGAAAATTGGCGAAAGGAGTTACCAATTCAGACATCTCTTCCACTTGTGGTGATGGTTAAGTTAGGTAAGTGACCTCTTTTTTGAACACATCATTTAAATGACTTTCTAGTAAAATGACTACCTGAATCTTAGTTATTCCCTTAATACCTGGGCAGAGTGTGAAACAAAAGCAGTATTTCAGGTTAGGATAAGAAAATTTGACCCAACATGGAAAGGATGGATTATGGAATGGATGGAAAGAAAGGATTATGATACTCCCTCTAATAAAACATGAAATAAAAATCCACAATTAGCTGAAGCAGCAAGATGCAGCCTATTCTCTTTTATTGGAAGTGTACATCATCTAATTCAGTATCTAGAGGCTTTAGAGTCAGTTAAAGATACCTGTGAATTATTTGTTGTTACGGCAGTAATGTCAATTCCTCAAAATAGTTCCATTATGGAAACAGGCCTTTAATTTTCAATCCCAAGTGATACAGTCAGATAACTTATGTCCTACCATTGTTCCTGAGACAACTTGCTCTTTTTTCTTTTTGTTGGGAAATCTGTTTAGATACAGAAATAGTTGGTATGACATTTTTCCTGAAGTTGTATAGCAATATACATGAGGAAAGCTCAGGAATTATATGGAATCTTTGCATTTTTTAAAAGGATATTTAGGACTTTAAGACTTGTACATATACTGTCATACTTTTATATACATTGTAAATAGTTAAGATAAAAGTCAACTTTGCATAACCTTATATAGTTTTTTTTTGTGGTGAGAACACTTAAAATCTCTGTAAGGTAATGCACATGTTAATTAGCTTGGGTTAGGAATTCTACTATGTATATACATTTTGAAACATCATGTTGTACATGATAGATATATATAACTTTATTTGTCAATTTAAAAAAATGAAACACTTTTAAAAAGGCAACTTTGGACATTTGTTCTTTCTCCATATGCCCAAGATATTTTTCATAGATTTAAACCACAGTTAATTCCCAATTAAATGAACAAGAGGTATAAAATAATGGGAAAGTAGAATGCTGAGAGACCACCACATCCAACAAACTACTCAACTTTGAAATTTGTGTTCATTCAAATACACTGACATTGTCAGAATTTATGCTGTGGGCATTCCAAAAGTTCAGCATACAGTGATACAATTCCCCATTCCGACCCAGTACACAGTACTCCTGGGAATGGAATAGCTCATTCTTTCTCTTTTTTTGCTATCTCCCAAAACCAGCCTATAGTGATGTGCCTGAACTCAAATGGGAAGATTTCAAAGATCTTGCTTAGAATTTGTAAAAGTTAGGGTTATTACTGATGTGAAATTTTAACAGATAAAGTAATTGAACAGAGTACAGTAGGTATTCTCTGTCAATAATTGTGAAACCTAGTGATCAGAAATGATTTTAGGTCACAGAATGACTTCAACAGAAACAGGGACAAACATCAGGACTCGATCCTTTCCATCTTTTAGCCACATTTCTTCTCCTAGTAGAAAGCAGAGAAAAATTAGAGTTGTAAGGTCTATTGATGCATCTTGGTAAGAACATTTGCAGTTAAACCATTGAGCTCCTAAAGAGATGCATCTCACTGTTACACTTTGTGCCCCCCTCCATTTGTTTATTCTTCCATGTCATGCACAGGGCAACTAGAGGTACCTACCAGTAATATTACATTTTGGTTAACTATTCTTTACACACAAAAAAGATCTTTCACAATAGTCTCAATAACCTCCTTTTGCAGTGATTTTTTTACAGATTTTGTTTAGGACATGTGAATGTAGATGATTTACTGTACAGTTTAATAACATAACTGCTTTGTTACTCACCAAAGTTTAGGTAAATAAATTTATGGCATGAGGGAGTGCGGGAATGGAGGGGTGGGGAAACACAGAGCTCACCATACACTCACATTTTTAATGCCATACTTCTTATCAAAGAGAGGTTACTTTAGAAAACCCTATGGCAGTGGACTTTTGTTCTTATGGCATCAGCAAGGATTATGTAGCAATTCATTTGCAGATGTAGATTTTAGCCCAAGTAAATTATAATCAAAATCTATCTGACACATTGTGCTTCCTTTATCTAAATTGCCCTGTTAATGAGTTTTCTGAATACACTAAATCATAATCTTTTATGAATCATTTCAGTTTAAAAGCCTTCAGAATCTCAATTAGATTATCTTAGATGAAGAGAAAAGTAAATGTTACAATGAATGTCTCTAACTGTGGCAAAGTGGAATGTTATCTCTTAAACCACTGTCTCCTTTAGTGGCTTCTTCCAAGACCAGGACCTACAATTTGTTCCCATTTGCTTGAAAAAAAAAAATCACTAATATTGGTGGTATTTGGTAGTGAACTTACCCTCTAGTCGATCTTGCTGTTTTCAAGGATGATGCTCAGCATGACATACTCTGGGCTTTTAAAAGAGCCTTTCTTTGTATGTATCAACACGGTAGTTTCTGTAGCTGCGGACAATCAAGCAGACCAAACAGGCTAAGCCAGACTGTGTCGGATCACACCACAAATTAGAGGCAGATGCACTTTTTTCAATCTGGCGTTCTCCTTTGACTTACTATATCATTCTCCATTTTTTCCTTCTATTATGTTATACCACACCTAATTTCCCAAAAGGCTGAGTCATTTTATGAAAATACATAAAATATGTGGAAATGGGTGAAAAGGAAACTAAGGGTGAGTAAGCTAAGATGGAGCCAGGATAAGGTCAGTAAGCCAATGCAAATCATGCTGCTATATGATTCAGCTGCAGGTACAGAAGAGCCTCTTTAAACATAGCCTGTAGCAACTGGGGTCAGGATGGAGTGAGATGGGAGGGCATGAAAGTATCTAATGTTTACAACATTTCAGTGGCCATCTTATTCTAGTTCTCTAGGGAAGAATATCAGTCCCTCTGGAAAAGGGAGGGAAAGGATGAGAAGCTGAAAGACTGCAATCATTTTTTAAATTGTCAAATGAGTCCATTTGTTGGAACAGAAATAATTTAGTAGAAAATAGGCAATCAAGTTGAAGTTTTCTTCTCCTCACTATTTAATCTTGATATATTGAGAGGCTCTTAACATATTAAAAATGGACAATGACCAAAATGAGAATTGGAATTTCAGCCAAAAGTATATGTGCTTTCATCCACTTGTGGAAATACAAGTTCTAAATGATAATTAATGTTAGTCCCCCATCCAGAGTGATATCCTTATTCTGTGTAGCTTTGGCCGTACAAACCAGCCTGGTCCATCAACAGGGAACAACTTGACCTCTGATGAGGAACACTTTTACCCTGACAGAAAGTGGTAATGTTTTCTTAGCTTCTGTAGTCTGACTTAATGTCAGGCAAAGGCAACTTTGAAGAGACAGTCCTTCAAATAATACTATTGGCACATAATATTTATTACCTTTTTTTAAAAAAAAATGAGATGAAAGTCACATAATTTAGAATTAATCATTTTAAAGTGTATGATTCAGTGGCCTTTAGTACATTCACAATATTGTGCAACTATAACCCGTATCTAATTCCAAAACATTTTCATCATCACAAAAGAAAACCCCATACCTGTTTTATTAGTCAGGGTTCCCTAGAGGGACAGAACTAATGGATGTATATATATATATATATATATATGGTTTTATTAAGTATTAACTTACAAGATCACAAGGTCCCACAGTAGGCTGTCTGCAAGCTTGAGGAGCAAGGAGAGCCAGCCCGAGTCTCAAAATTGAAGAATTTGGAGTCTGATGTTTGAGGGCAGGAAGCATCCAGCATGAGAGAAAGATGTAGGCTGGGAGGCTATGCCAGTCTCTCCTTTTCACTAATTTGTGATTGAAGGATGCAAAGTTAAGCAGTTACTCTCCATCTCCCTCTCTCCCTAGCCCCTGGCAACCATTAATTTGTTTTCTGTTGTGCATTCCTTGTTGACTATATGCTTTTTGATGAGGCTGGTGAAAAACAGATGGAACTAACACTGGGCAAATTAGTCTGCTGTAATAAGAAGGGTATTAAAAAATAAATATAGGCCAGGCGCAGTGGCTCACACCTGTAATCCCAGCACTTTTGGAGGCCAAGGACGGCGGATCACCTGAGGTCAGGAGTTCAAGACCAGCCTGGCCAACATGGTGAAACCCCATCTCTACTAAAAATACAAAAATTAGCCAGGTGTGATGGTGCATGCCTGTAATCTCAGCTGCTCAGGAGACTGAGGCAAGAGAATCACTTGAACCTGGAAGGCAGAGGTTGCAGTGAGCTGAGATCAAGTCACTGAACTCCAGCCTGGGTGACAGAGCAAGACTCCGTCTCAAAAAATAAAAATAAATAAATTGATAAATAAATATAGCTGGTGATGGGCCATTATAAAAAAATCTGCTTGCTAATCAATGAAAAAAGGCATGAAATGAGTGATGGCCAAGACTGTGTACTCGTTAGTTATCTAGATTTAACCAGAAAAATGAAGCAACAATATATGAACAATTTAGTTAAAATAAAGACATTGCAAAAACAGTTATTGATGAAACCAGGCAGAGAAAGAGCAGGGTCAGGAAATTTGAGTACATGTGTAGGCTTTCCATCTTAAGGAGAAAAAAAATTGGATACCATCTGGTACAAGCACTACTCTCCCATGTAACATGAAAACTTGATGAAAACAAAATCAAATAAACCTTGAATGAAGAATCTTACTCATAAGAAAGTTCAACTTCATCCATGTGCAAATGTTTGGGCATGTTGGGAGGCAGAGATTAATAGGAGTGACAATGGGTATAAACTGAAGGAGCTGTTAAATCCAATTTTGCCTTCACTGTGTAATGACACAATTCACCTTCTACCATTCAGTGCCTCCTGAAACCAGATGCACTTGAAATACTGATGGGGAGCGGGGGAACATTGTTTAAACATTCAGTTTTAACCCATGACTCAAGGTTGAAGGTCTCCAGTAATTTTTTTTTTTTGAGGTAAAAAGCCCAATATCTGTAAAGCCAAACTTGAGATAGCTAAATTAGGAATCACTAAAGGCCCTAATCCAGGGTTCAGTAGTAATCACTTTGGTGACCTTAGGCTAGTAATTTACCCATTCTAATCCTATTTTCTCATCTCACTCTGCCTAGCTCATAATAATTTTTTTAAAGTAGAACTAGGCTGTATGTTTAAAAACACTTTGAAATAGAACTCAGCAACTTTTTAGTTTGAATATTTACAAATATCTGTTTATTGGACCTGTAAAAATAAGGGAAAAACCCTTTCTGTGTGACACAAATATTTATTAAGGGCTTAATCACTAGCATTGAATTCCTCTATAAAGTATAGTCACTAATACTTCACACTGGTTTTTGATGAGGTTTGCAAATATGAAACAGTGTTGACAGTGATGATCCATTTGCATGGGGTTTTCGCTTTTTCTCCTCTCAGCTTCTTAGTTTATCTTAAAGCCCTCAGAAGCTTCTTGTATTTCTTCAACCTAAACCACAATATTTTATCTGTATGTCTTGAGATTTTGGAGGAACCAAGGCATTTTCGAGGAATTATAAGTCATTTCTTGTTGTTGAAATTCACACTTGGGAGAAGAGTGTCCTTATAAAAGATTATTCTGGAGAGCTAAACATAATCCAGATCATGAAGGATCGTTCATGATAGATATGAACCAGGTTAAGAAGCTCCTTTTTTAGACCCTTATTTAAGGTCAGAAATCCTGTTTGGTGGCCAGTCAGTCTTCAACAGCCTTCTTTACTGAACAAAGACTCAAAGACTCTCTGAAGTGGCATTTTTCTTTTTTCCCCCCTGAGAACAAAAAGCATTAATATAACTTAGGTGGAAAAAGTGAAATATGAGAACAGGACAGAGCTACTTCTGTGAGGTAGCTACCATTATTTCCACTTCACAAATGAGGAAACTGAGGCTTAGTACAGTTAAATAATTTGCCTATATTCACACAGGTAGCATTAGAGTTGGGATTCAAAGTTCATACATTTTACCACTAAGAAGTAATTATTTTCTTTCTTTCTTCTTCTTTTTTTTTTTTTTAAAGACGAAGTCTCGCTCTGTCGCCCAGGCTGGAGTGCAGTGGCGCGATCTCGGCTCACTGCAAGCTCCGCCTCCCGGGTTCACGCCATTCTCCTGCCTCAGCCTCCCGAGTAGCTGGGACTACAGGCGCCCGCCACCACGCCTGGCTAATTTTTTCTATTTTTTAGTAGAGACGGGGTTTCACCACGTTAGCCAGGATGGTCTGGATCTGCTGACCTCGTGATCCGCCCACCTCGGCCTCCCAAAGTGGTGGGATTACAGGCGTGAGCCACCGCGCCAGGCAGAAGTAAGTATTTTCTAAATTACTGTGTGCTGAGAACACTTAGGCACTCCTCTAGGAGTTTTATGTTAGAGAACTATGCAAGATCGTGTAGAAGCAAGGGCCAAGTTATATGGTACATCCAATAGGTGCTATAGAAATAAATAAAAGGAAGACATTACTGGGATTTGTTCAGTCAGAGAAAAAAAATTTTTTTGGAGGAGTTGGAACCTGAGCTAGCTCTCAGAGAAAAATATAAGAAGTAGATCAATTAAAGTTGGAGGCAGGAGCATGGGTTATTCCAAACAGAGACAAGAATAAGGTGAAGGCACAGAGAGAGAAATGAACAGAGTGTGTATTGAAAGGACTCTGACTTGGTACAATACTAGAGTCATGGTGGGGAGTAGTGAAGTGAAGCCTGGTGTGGCAGGGTAAGCTATGTAGAAGGCCTTGAATGCCAACCACAGGGCTTTCTCTCTGCCTTAGAACTGTTTATTGAATAAGCAAATTTCTGCCTGTCTCAGGTACTCTCACTATTGTTATCCATCAAGCAGAACATGAGTTGCATTTGCTTTCCAAAGTGCTGTTATATTTTATGTTTATGAGGAGAAATGTGACAATACAGGTCCAGGTGTCCAAAGGGAATTATAGCTATCGCCTTCAATGCAATACAAAACTCCATGGCTGCTGGGATTTTCATGCCCACTGGCAGCCCAGAGATACATTATTTATTTCAAATTATACCTTTTCCCCTAATGGGCCTGTGTTTCTTTCAATGTTCTGCTAGTTCTAGCAGCTTCAGCTGTTGCTGTCATACTTAATAAGGACTTTGTGGAGCTTAGATATTGTGCGGCTGCACTATCTTTCCCACAGCCCAGTAAAGGAGCTTTGAGATGAGCTTTTTCTTTCTGTGTTGGCTATGTTTAGATTTCAACCTGAAAAATATTCCAGGTTGACCCACAGCTTATTCTGCTATCAGTGAGAGGGTAGGAATCAGTAAGATTAGCTTCCTCTAATGCCACAGCAAGGTCACCCACGAAGCCCGTAGCTTGTCGAATTGCATGAAGTGATCCAAGCTAGTTCAAAACTCCCAATGTATTAAATGTCGGTGCCCACTTTTGCAAATTCAGGCATCCAAATTGTGCCTGGTATGAAGCATTAGGCAGTGGGTCTAGGAAATTGAGCTCAAGGGCAGGAACATCATAACTTTGGAATTATTGGCGTTGACATGGCTATTTTCACTCATTGTGATAGGAATATGTTCCTGAAAGAAGCAAGATGATTCTAAAAAGTACCGTGCAATTATAAAATAGTGGGAAATTAAAGAAGGGTGCTTTTGTGCTTGCTTTCTTGCCACTGATTTTGCATTCCCTATTTTACTTCATGGTAGTCTATATGTCACTCAAATCAAATATAATTGGTGCTGTTTAGTATTTGGTAATTTTACTGCTGCTTGTACAACATACGCAAATATTCTAAAATGTGTTAATGATGTCAGTACATCACAAATAAAATGCACGTGAAATGGAAATAACGCTGTGCACACTCATACACCCACAAGTGCATGGGAGTCTGATCTTGATAGATTCAGAAGAACCCTTAGCTGGCAGTTTTAATAGGCGATCATAGAAAAGAATGCCAGCAAAAATGACAGAGCTCATATTTCTACTGACAAAATACCAAAATGACTTACGAGTTATTTTCTCAAAAATGGAAGGGGGCAGAACTGAAGAGTCAGTGTGTGTGTGTATATGTGTGTGTGTGTGTGTATGTGTGTACAGACTTATATAAGGTCAGTGGTAGATTGGCGAGATAGACTAATATGTGAGTAAAGTTATGGAGTTTAATAACATAATCATGGTTAACTAACAGGATCTGAAACTGTAAAAAATATAGGGAAGCATCAGTATTTGATGAGGAAGATTGGGGGTACTGGGCTGGGCAGCTACGATAGAACTGGGAACAGAACTCTTACATTGAACTGACATTTAGCCCTTGACTTTATGAATGTGTGTTGAGGTTGCAACTACAAAGTAACTACATTTCTTAAGTGTCAGAATAGTGAATTCTAACCACTTGGCAACCACGTTTCAGAGGGAGGATTGTAGTTACTTCACTAACTGGGTCTAGGGGCAATAAGGAGAAGAAATGGCTGCCTACTAGGCAACTGCACACATTCAGTAAGGTGGGGGGAGGAGGAAGACTATTGGTAACACTCACAGAAAAGTGGGGCCTGCCTGCCCAGAGACAGAGAATTACAGTTGAGAAAGGCCTGTCTGCCTGGAAGTGTGTGTGAGTATATTGTGTGAGTATATGTGTACGTGTATATGTGCAGGTATGTGTATGTGTGTTTGTGTGTGTGAGGATATGTGAGTGTGGGTATGTGTACATGTGAATGTGTGTATGTGTATGCATATGTGTGAGCATGTTGTATAAGTGTGTATGTGTTTATGTGTGAGTGTATATATTTGAGTGTCTTATGCATGTGTGTATGTGTGAATGTGTAGATGTATGAGTGTATAAGCCTGTGAGTGAAGTTTACACTGATGCAGAAGAGGGCTGGAGCCCATGGAGAGAGGTGATCAGTTTGAACCAGGCCTGATTTGAACCCTGCCCCATGCCTGGTGAGCCCATGCTCTGCACCAGTGTTTCATCCCTAGCTTTGCACATAAACACCATCTCTCTCTGGAAAATCTTTCCAGTCTCTGACTGGGTAATGTAATGTAGCCCCATCCCTCAAGGACCAGCTCAGGTGCAGCCTCCTCCATGAAGCCTTCCATGATTTCATTTCCCCTATCTCCAACAGATGTGACCTCTCCTGTGGCTATGGGTTTGGGGTGGGGCATCTGTGCTGGGGTGTAGAGGAGTGTTGGAACACTGAGATGGGAGCAAACTGACAGGAAGAATCAGAGGTATACATTTAGAATTTGTAGTTTGTATTAATAACAAGCACCCTTGGTGATCCTCATTATCAGGTAAGTTTGGGAAACACTGGCCCAGTCTTATCCCCTCATTTTTTAGAAGAGACAACTGAAGCTCAGAGAGGGGAAATTTACTGGCCTAGGATCACACAATCCTTTAGTGACAGAACCAAGACCAGCATGCAGATATCCCACTATCTTTCCAGTCCAGTTATGTTTCCCTTTGTATTATATTACCGTAACAAGACTGGCTACATAATTTGCATGGCCCAGTGTAAAATTAAAATGCAAGGCTCTTTGTTCAAAAATTATTAGAAATGTCAAGACAGCAAAAGCAGAGCATTAAACCAAGCACAGGGCCCTTTTACATGCAGAGCCCTGTGCATCTGCACAGATCATACACCTGTGAAGCTGACGCTGTCCCACAAAGAGTGTTTACTATATCTTGCATGTGGTAGGTCGTTCTATAAATACTTGTCGGATGAATTTATGGATTGAATTAACACCTCCCATTTGCCAGGAATCTATGAAAGTGAGACACTAGATAAATATGTTTTGATGGAAGTGTAGGAAAGAAGAGAAGAAAAATAGGTCTGGAACATGATACATAGGGTTACTGACATTTGTGTTTGGATTTTTTATGTGAGTTTTTGCACACAAATTGAGATTGCTACAAAGGCTATCCAGTATAAGCAATTGCTGAGTAACCAACACAGGGTCTCTGACTGGTAATAACAATGGATTTTAAACACTTAGCAACCATGACTGGGGAGGAGGCTTTGCAGCCCTAGCAGGCCAAGGGGCTGGGAGGAAAAGAAAAATAAAATTGGCTGCCTACTGGACAACTGTGCATATTTAACAAGAAATAGTTTGGGGTGCAAATAAATCATCTGAGTTGATTAAATCCAGTCTGTTTAGGGAATTGGTATGTAGCTTGCTCCCTTGGTGAAGGTTTGACCTAAGGAATAATCAAAGCTTTTCTGAAATGTCTGTAATCACTATTTGGAATCCTTATGTTGCCATAAGACTTCTAAAAGCCACATCTGCTATACAATATTGTCTGGTGATCCATATAAACTCTTTAGGCCACAGGTTTTTAATTTGTTTGTATTAGTTTTCTATTGCTGTGTAATTCATTGCCACAAACTTAATGGCTATTAAGCCATTTATTTATTTTCCCAGTTTCTTTAGGTCAGAAGTGCAGGTACAGTGTAGCTGGTTTCTCTGATCAGGGTGTCACATAGTTGAAATCAAGTTGTTGTTTGGGTTGTGTTCCCATCTGGAGCTTGGGATCCTTTTCCAAACTCATTTAGATTCTTGGCAGAATTGAGTCCTTTGTGGTTATGAGGTATCCATTTACTTGCTGTCACCTGGAGGTCATTCTCAACTCCTAGAGGATGCTCTCATGTCCCAGTTACATGTCTCTCTCCATCAGCAGCTCCTAACATAATCATTTGCTTTCCTCCAAGTCAACAGAATAGCATCTCTGCCACTTAGAATCTTTCTGACTTCTCCAGTTTTTTAAGGTTTCGCCTCATTGGGTCAGGCTAAACTTGGGTAGTCTCTTTTTTTGGTAACTTAAAGTCAACTGATTAGGAACCTTAATTTCATCTGCAAAATTCTTTCACCTTTGCAGTATAGCATAACTTAATTACAGGAGTGAGAACCTATCAGATTCACAGAAGGGATTATACAAGGTATGTATGTACAACAGTGGTCAAGATTATTGGAGGCCATCTTAAAATTCTGCCTACCATAATATTAATGAATGAACTTTAGGGACATATTCAAAACTCTAACATTTTATGCAAAAATTTTTGTGACTGTTCATTTTTTCCGGGAGCCAGTTGGCAGCATTCATCAAGAGAGGTCTGTGACCCAAATCCTATTAAGAACCACTGATGGACCAGATAATACACACTGGCAAGAAGTGATCTAGAACCAAATACTTATTTCTGAAAGAATTTAACCAGTGTCTTTTCAAGGAACTAAAGAAATCTCATGTGGTGTTTATTGAGATGAGGTGGCTCAAGTTTTATTCAAAATATATCTTTTAGTGTGTGATTTTCTTTTAAATCAATGAATAATTGGTATTTCCAAACAGATTTTGTTATCAAAGTGTTCGTTTCTTTTTAAATTTACCATTGTTACTTTATTTTTCACATTTGTGTAACTGTGCCTCCACCGTCCTTCCCCATCTGGCTGCCTATAACATTTCCACCAATGGCAAGGAGCGGTTAAGTCAGATAAAATTTGGATATTAGTTGGGGACAGACAATCATCAGTGCTGTGCGCATTATATTCCATACAGGAATATAATTAAATTTTGGACCTTCTGGCTAGGTTGTAAGCAACTTGAGAGACAGGAATCAGATCTTGTGTTATATTCTATATAGCACTATATTGGGTCAAAAATAAGCTCTCAGCCAGGCGCGGTGGCTCATGCCTATAATCCCAGCACTTTGGGAGGCCAAGGGGTAGATCACCTGAAGTCAGGAGGTTGAGACCAGCCTGGTGTCAACCAGGTGAAACTCTGTCTCTACTAAAAATACAAAAATTAGCTGGGCGTGGTGGTGGGTACCTGTAATCCCAGCTACTCAGGAGGCTGAGGCAGGAGAATCACTTGCGCTCAGGAGGTGGAGGTTGCAGCGAGCTGAGATTGCACCACTGCACTCCAGTCTGGGCAACAGAGTGAGACTCTGTCACACACACACACACACACACACAGACACACACACACACACACAGCCCTCAATAAATATTGGGTGAATTCACTTTGATTCAGAAAATAATTTTTAGAGGGTATTGTGTGTAGGAACTGTAACAAAAAATAGGACAAAATTCTGTGCCTCAAGTTTACAATCTAAGGATTATCAGATAATCACAACCCAAAGATTGTAACGTGATACAAAGTTAGGAGAATGCCAAATGAGAGGTATGAGCAGTGTGGTCAGATCAGATTACATGTAGCATCTAATGGGAGTGTGGGTGGGGCTGGGCAAGGTAATGAGTCAGAGAAGAGCACAGCAGAGGAGTTGAAATTTGCAGTGTGTGAATAGAAATGGAGTACAGAGGGAGGAAGGCTTTAGGATGTCAGAAGTGGTAAGGAAGCAAGAAAGCCATACTTCAGGTAAATAGATGTACTGCACATTCTCCATGTGTGGTCCAGCCTTCCCCTGCTTTTTCTGATTGGATTCCCTTAACCTATTGACTCAAATGCAAATATCTGTCATGGCCCAGTTTAAATGTCAGCATCCCCATGAAACCTTTTTGTTCACTCAGACCAAAAAGAATCTCTCGTTCCTCTGAAATCCTGTAGCATGCTATCTACATGTCTCACAAGTCACTTTCTGTTGTTTAGCATAGTTATATATATATATGCATGTTTTTTCTTCTCTATCACCACTGATTTAAAAATTCCCTTACTTTATATTGTAATTTCTGTTTAAAAAGCAATTTCACATACATTGTTCTAGTGTTCTCTTGGTTGCAGATGAAAAGACCAAGGCTCACAAAGCCCCAAGCTTTACTGCTAGTAAGTAACAAAGAAAGGGCCTGAGTCTAGGTTTTCAGAATTCACACCTAATACATCTTTTTTATTTTGTTTTCACCAGATTATTGTTTGTGTGTATAGGTACGTAAAATGTCTGTGAAGGTGACAGAAATAAAATCTGCTGATATTTAAAATGTTACTAGTCTTGGCCACTTCACTTCAGATGTCCAGTGAAAATGCTGTTTAGCTTATCTGATAGATCAACCTGTGTAAATAATCTTTCTCATAAGTAAATTATGGGAAAATGTGAGTCTGAGTTTCATATCCCTATATTTCTTCTAACATGGATGTTTGATGCACGTTTTTAACAGCTTTATTGCTATATGATTCAAATACCATAACATTTGTTTCAAGTGTACAGTTCAGTGGGTTTTTGTAAATTTTGTAAATTTACAAAGTTATGGAACTGTTATTACCACAGCCCAATTTTAGCATATTTCCTTCATCCCAAAAAGATCCCTCATATCCATTTGCAGTAACTCACATTTTTTCAGCCCCAGGCTACCACTAATCTCTTTTCTGTCTCTATACATTAGCCTTTTCTGGAAATTTTATATAAAAGGAATCATACAATATGAGTTCTTTTGTGCCTGGCTTCTTTTACTTTGTACAGTGTTTTCAAGGTTCATCTATGCTGTAGCATGTATCGGTATTGCATTTTTATTGCAAAGTATAGATATACTATATTTTATTTTCCCATTCACCAATTGATGGACATTTGCATTATTTACACTTTAGGGCTCTTATAAATAATATTGCTGTGAACATTCGTGTATAAGTTCTTGAATAAACATGTTTTCATTTTATCTCTCTTGGTTTTATATATATATATATATATATATATATATATATATACACATATGTATATATGTATGTGGAAATGCTAGGTAATATGACAGCTCTATGTTCAACTTTTTGAGGAACTGTCAGACTGTTTCCAAAGTGACTGCACCATTTTACATTTGCACTAACAATGTATGAGGGTTCCTGTTTCTCCATATCATCACCAGCATTTGTCATTATGTCTTTTTAATTATAACCATTCTAGTAATTGTGGAGAGGTATCTCATTGTGCTTTTGATTTGCATTTCCCTGATGACTAAATGATGTTGGGCATCTTTTCATATGCTTATTGGCCATTTGAATGTCTTCTCTGAAGAAATGACTGTTCAGGTCCTTTGACCATTTTTTAAAATCAGGTTATTTGTCTTTTTATTATTTGAGTTATGACTTTTTATATATTTAAGGTGAATGTTTTTTACCGAATGTATGATTTGGAAATATTTTCTCCCAGTCTGTGATTCATGTTAATTTTCCTTATTTTATGTTTTATTTTATTAGTTTTTTAGATACAGGATCTCACTCTGTTGCCCAGGCTGGAGTACAGTGGTGCAGTCATAGCTCACTGCAGCCTCCAACTCTTGGGCTCAAACAATTCTCCCACCTCAGCCTGCAGATAGCTGGGACTACAGGTGTGCACCACCACATCTGGCTAATTTTTAAAATTTTTTTTTGATAGAGACAGAGTCTCACTATGTTGTCCAGGCTAGTCTGGAACTTCTGGCCTCAAGCAATCCTCCTGCCTCTGACTCCCAAAATGGTGAGATTATAGGCATGAGCCATGGTACTTGGCCTGTCTTCTTTTTTTTTAATGGTAACTTTCGAAGCACAACAATTTTTGAAAATTTTTTACGAAGTCCAATTGACCTAATTTTTATCTTGTTGCTTGCGTGTTGTTGTCTTACCTACAAAATCTTTGTCTAACCCAATATTACAAAGATTTGCTCCAATGTTTTCTACTAAGAGTTTTACACTTTTAGCTCTTACATGTAGGTCTTTGGTCCATTTTGAGTAAAGACTTGTGTATGGTATCAGGTAGAAGTTAGAATTAATCTTTTTGCATTGTTCTAGCACCATCTAAAAACTATTTTTTATCCCATTGAAATGCCTTTGTACCTATGTAAAAAATATTAATAATAAATGTAGGGTTTTTTTTATTCCATTGATCTATACGTCTATCCTTATGCCAATACAAGACTGTCTTAATTACTGTAACTTTATAGTACTTTTTGAACTTGGCAAGTGTAAGTTCTTTGTTCTTTACCAAGATTGTTCTGGCTGTTCTTGAACATTTGCCTTCTCATACAGATTTTAGGAGTAGCTTGTCAATTTTTGCCAAAAAAAGCCTACTAAGATTTTGATAGGCGAATGTCTGTGTGAGAAAAAATGGAAAAGGATCTAGAAAAGACTGTGAGAGTCATCATAACATAAAGCCAATCTGACACCAAGTGAGAGAGATGAAAGGGAAGTTGGGTAGAATTGTCCTAGACTTCCATCAGTCTAAAGAAGGTTTAACAGGAGAGTTTGGCTGATAATCTTTAAGCCAAAGTCAACCAACAAATTGTTTTCTGTTTCCCAAGAATGGACCTGCCTTTGTGTCCCTGCCATGCTCAGTCATTGGCTGGGGGAAGCCTGTGGGACACACGGGCTCAATACCAGTGTGGTGATGGATTTTAGTGCACAGAAGCTAGAGCCTTTCGTCAGTTACATTCCTTGTAGTTGGAGGTCTGTGAGTTGGATTCTCATAGTTGCTACAATACATGACCAAGAAACATTCTTCTTTCTCCAGGAGAACTTCAGAAGAAGGATCTGATCATTCTGGCCCAGAATCAATTTTCCTTGAAGTTCAGTCTTATAATGTCTGTAATACTATGCAATATAGATTCTCCTACATTCAGACTGTCACTGTGTTCATGTGCTTGGCTGAATCATGGTTGTTTCTAGAGGAAGTAGCCAAGATGATGTGACTTGACCTCAACAATACTGATTATTTAAATTCTAGCAGTAAGTTCTGCTATGGAACTATCCATGTATATTTTGTATAAGATTCCTTCTAGATATCTGTGTGCATCCTCCTTTCATACCATGGGAGTTTACTGAGTGGGAAGTCCATAGGGGCTGGTAGGAAGGCTTCATTTCAGATATGGACTTTGTACCCATTGAGATGAATGTCATAGAAAGGGTTAGTTTAAAGAAGTAGATGAGAAACATTACCTTGGAAACAGCATGTAGGTAGAGTAGGGGGCTACTGAAAAGATGTATTCCCTATATAGGCACTTCAGTGGCATTTTACCTTTTTTATGTAAGTAGTAATTATACATTTAAATCAGCAAACCTTGGGAGAGCATACTTTCTCAGCAATGTTTTCATTTTTTCATATCTCTAAAAATTAATCTTCTGTTGGGAGTGACTTACCAATGATCCCCACGCTATCATGTGATTTCAGCATTCTTTCCATTATGATGTCTTTTCAGCCTCCAGCAGAGGTAAGAGATAAGTTGTGAAGTAGAAAGTTCTTAAATCAGGAAAATGAAAAAAGGAAATCAATGTTACAACTATGAAAGAAGCAAGAGTACTTTCCAGGGCAAAGAATTTGGTGTAATCTAGATAGTATATCTGATCCCTTTGTCAAATTCTTTTCTGAACCTAGGAGGAAGTTGTAACAGTCCTCACATTGCCTTGTACCCTCCAAGAAAGTCATTAACATTTCAAAAATATTATCAGTTTTTTTTGAAAGCCATGGGAGAACCTTACCATTTTAAAGTAAAATTATGCTTTGCTTTGTATGATTTCAACTGCTCTGATTCCATTTTAGTTAAGGGTAGCTTAATTCTCATGGCTCTAACCCATCCCAGTATATTTGCCTGAAGCTCTATTAAGTAGATTGTATTAAGTAAAATTTTACCAACTTGAAATTAAGAAGAGGTTTTAACCTGTTAAGGTTTTGCCATGAGAATGGATGTAGTCATAGTAGTCATACCTTCTATGCCTTCTTGGTTTCTATCTGCTTGCTTCATTTTGGCTTTGGCATTGCGTTTACCTGCAGCAAAACCCTACAGAATTCACCTGAGGGGTTAGACACTAATTATGATAGATTTACAGTCATGTGCTGCATAACAACATTTTGGACAAGGATGGACTACGTGTATGATGGTGGTCCCATAAGATTATAATACGATATTTTTACTGGACTTCTTCTATGTTTAGATACACAAATATTTACCACTGTGTTTCATTTTCCCACAGTATTCAACATAGTAACATGCTGTATAGGTTTGTAGCCTAGGAGTAGTAATAGGCTATGCCATGTAGTCTAATTATGTAGTAGGCTATGCAGTCTAGGTTTGTGTAAGTACACTATATGTTGTTTACACAATGACAGAATTTCCTGACACATTTCTTAGAATGTATCCTCATTGTTAAGCAATGCATGGCTGTGCTGACTGGTGTTTATCACAACTCTATATCTGGCAGGTCACTGCTGCCATAGCAAAGGCTATTTATTTTTCTTTGTTGATTTAATATAGTTTCAGTCATTAGAAAATATTTTTCTGTGGATTCTGATTCAAAGTTCATTAATCAACAGAACTGATACATTGTTGAGATGACCCAGGACCTGGAAGTGTAGGGATGTGCCCATTTGTTACATGAAGTGTTGACTTGTAATTAGAATGTACTCATGATGCATAGTGTTAAATACAAATGAGTAGAACATGAGAATTGGGAGAAATCTTAGAGATTATCTGGTCCAACCCCCTACATTTTACTATGGAGGAAACTTTGTGTGGCCCAAGTCACATAACAAATAAATAGAGGCAGAACTCTTTTGGGCCTGAATTTGTATCTCTAGATTCCTATTCCAGTGATTATTCTATTTCCTGTTCTGTTTCTTAAGTGTCTTAGTCTAAAGTGAATTTATCATATATTGGGTAGCTTACATGGAAATTAAAAGTAAACATTGAGCTAAGCAACTGTTTAATTTCATATTGAAAACTAAGAACAATTGGCTATGAACAGGTGGGATAAAAACTTTCAAATGCATTGTGAAGAATTAAGGTCTATTTTTATGAGGATGACAGTGATCATTGATTCAAGACATCTAATGCAGAACTATCTGGGCTTGCACTGTACTGCATATACGGCTTTTAAGCACTTGAAATGTGCCTAGTCCAAACTGAGATAGATGTTGTAAGTGTAAACTAGACACTGTATTTCAAAGAGTTAGTACCAAAAAAGAATGTAAAATATTTCACTAATACTGTAAATATTATACATAATGAAATTATGTTATTTGGATATATTGGGTTAATTATATACATATTATTAAATTAGTTTTACCAATTTATTTTTACTTTTTAATGTGACTACTAGAAAATTTAAAATTACAGGTGTGGCTCACATTGTATTTCTATTGAATAGCACCTGTCCAGAGTGTTGCTACCAAATGTATGGTCCATGAACCAGCAGCATTGGCATCTCCTGAGTGCTTGAAATTAATGCAGAATTTTATGACTCAAGCTAAACTGACTGAATCTGAATCTGCATTTTAACAAGATTCCCAGGGTAATTTACATGGACATTAAAGTTTGATATATACTGAGCAAGCATGTGCACACCTTGTTCAGATACTTCCTAGTTCTCCACACAGAACTTGTTGGATCCCTTCTGATTGATATGTGACATTTAGAGCCAGGTCAACCCACGACATTCTGGCTTTAAGCTTTGGTAGATTTTTAAACTGCTTTTATGTGCAGTGGTTTTCTGATCTCAAAAAGCTCTACCCTCCTCGTATACCAACATGTTTTTACTAATAAATCAGACAGCAGTGATGAAGGTGGGAACTCCAGTAGGCCAAATATGAAAGTTACAAATGCTGTTAATACCCCAATCTCCCTTCTGCTCAGATATCTCTCCTGGTTCTACATCAGTACAGCCAACTGTCTGTTTTATATTTACCTCTGTTATTCTACTAGAATCTCAATGCAAAGTGTCCAGAACAAAATTCACCATGTTACCTAAAAAATATGATTATTTTTATATTTCATGTCCTGATGGGTATCAGTACCATCTACCTATACATCCAAGTGTGACCTGGAAGTTATAATTAATAATCCTTCTTTCACGTCTTCACACAAACCTGAAATCCAATTAGCCCCTTAAGTAGTCAACTCTGCCTCACATCTCTCTCTGGAATATATTCTTACTTTCCACTTATACTGCTCTAATTCTGAGTTTTCATTAAATCTTTCCTGAATTATTATAGTAGCCTCCTATCTAGTCTTCTATCCCTGTACTATCTCCCCTTTCTAAACATTCTTCCACATTGCAACCAGAAATACCTTTCTCAAATACAAATCTGATCACGCCTAAAATCCTTTGGTGGCTTCTGAGTAGCTCAGTCTCCTTGTTAAATGGGGCTAATAATAGCACCTATGTCAAAGGCTTTTTGTAATAATTAAATAAATTAATGTATATAAAGTGTTTAGAATAGTGCCTGGTACAATGTAAGTGATATGTAGGTATTAGCTTATATTATGTTTATTATTCAAGGCTCTTTACAGCATGTGACCTCAACCTATTTTGTTAGTGAAACCAATGTCCTATCAATTTCTTACAACACACAGAACATTTTATGGCTTATGCATGGTCTGTCACACTGTTTGTGCTGCCTAGAATACTCTTTATTTTTGTGCCAGAAAAAAACCCCACTTCACATTTTTCCCCAAGTTGGTTCCTGGCCTTCATGGCTCCTTTTTGATGGCAAAAATTTACCTATATTCCATGCTTGCTTATTAAAATACATTCCTAAACTATGATTATCTAATGCTGGAAGCTTACATATTCCATTTGGTAAATGGATGATGCTGCCCAAATGGAATGTATGGCAACATTTCAGATTTCGTTACCATGAACATTTAAACCAAAGTAACCAAAGCTTTCCCAGATGGTGAAATGAACAGCTAATTTTTGTAAACAGAACAGCAGGTGGTCTCCTAATTTATCTAAACTCAAAGGAAAAAAAACTTGTTTGTGACCTTCAGACAGATACTGACTACTGGGGAAAAATGATTTTTGTCAGCTTGTTTATATAAAGTTTTAAATCACTGGTGCTTGGTGTTTTCCTCCTGTTTTAATTGAAATAATTAATTCCAATTAGAATAACAGGCATAACTGTCTTTATAAAATATTTCCATTCTAGAAGAGATATAGTTCAACAGCATTTCTTCAAATAAAATACTACCAAAATGTCATTGGACAAAGTAGGAATTTATAGAAATCTGATAGTGAATTCTACTAGGATATCACCTCCTAACTTAAGGTTTCCTTAAGTGTGCATTCTGAAAAGCTGCATCAGCTTCCCTTGCTGGAACCTATCACACTTCCAAATTTCTTGCCGCTGTCTCTTCAAGAAGTGACAATGGCAAGATAGACAGGCAGAAGAACCAGCACAAGTGACAACAAGTAGGCAGGAAGGATCAATGCGTATTCACAGAATCACCAGAACAATCCAAATGAATAATAGCAGAAGGTTCCTGTTGGGGACCAGAAGCAAATGCAGGTATCGCAGACATATAAAACAGAATCTCAGGGAATAGGTCCAAAAAAAATTTTTTAACAAGTACCCTGCCACCCCAAATAATACAGATGCTCATAAATATTTCAAAACCACTGGGCTAAGTCTTCAATTTGGTTCACCTGCATTTGTTGCTGGTCCCCAACAGGGACCTTCTGCTATAATTCATTTGGATTGCTATGGTGATTCTGTGAACATGCATTGCTCCTTCCTGTCTACTTGTCACTTGTGCTGGTTCTTTTGCCTATCTTGCTGTTGTCTCTTCTTTTCATCTTTCATTATTTTATTTGCTTCTCAAATGTTCTGTACTCAATGATACTTTTCTGAAGGATGCCAACTTTCACCACTGTTACTCAACATAGTACTGGAAGTCCTAGCTAGAGCAATCAGACAAGAGAAACATATAAAGGGCATCCAAACTGGAAAGGAAGAAGTAAAACTCTCCCTGTTTGCAGATGATATAATCTTATATTTGGAAAAACCTAAAGACACCACCAAAAACTATTAGAACTAATAAACAAATTCAGTTAAGTTGAGGGATACAAAATCAACACACAAAAATCAGTAGCATTTCTAATGTCAACAGTTTACAAACTGGAAAATAAATTTTAAAAAGTAGTAGTCCAATTTACAATAGCCATTAATAAAATCAAATACCTAGGAATTAACCAAATAAGTAGAAGTTCTCCGTAATGAAAACTGCAAAACGCTGATGAAAGAAATTGAAGAGGACACCAAAAATTGGACAAATATTCCATGTTCATGGATTAGAAGAATCAATATTGTTAGAATGTCCATACTACTCAAAGCAATCTACAGATTCAATGTAATCCTATCAAAATACCAATGATATTCTTCACAGAAATAGAAAAAAAGTACCCTAAAATTTATATGGAACCACAAAAGACCCAGAATATCCAAAGCTATCTTAAGCAAAAACAACAAAACTGGAGGATTCACACTACCTGACTTCAAATTATACTACAGCGCTATAGTAACCAAAATGGCATGGTACTGGCATAAGAACAGATACATAGGCCAATGGAACAGAATAAAGAACCCAGAAACAATTCCACACGCCTACAGTGAACTTATTTTCAACAAAACTGTCAAGAACATAGACTGGGGAAAGACCATCTTTTCAATAAATGGTGCTGGGAAAACTGGATATCCATATGCAGAAGAATGAAACAAGACCCCTATCTCTTGCCATACATAAAATCAAATCAAAATAGATTAAGAGGTTAAATCTAAGACCTCAAAATTGTAAACTACTACAAGAAAACGTTGGGAAAACTCTCCAGGACATCAGCCTGGGCAAAGATTTTCTGAGTAATACCCCACAAGCACAGGCAACCAATGCAAAAATGGACAAATGGAATCATATCAAGTTAAAAAGTTTCTGCATGGCAAAGGAAACAACCAACAAAGTGAAGAGACAACCCACAGAATGGGAGGAAATATTTGCAAACAAGCCATTTGACAAGGGGTTAATAACCAGAATATATAACAAGTTCAAACAACTCTAAAGGAAAAAATCTACTCATCTGATTAAAAAATGGGCAAAAATATTGGAATAGACATTTCTCAAAAAAAGACATACAAATGGGAAACAGACATGAAAAGGTGCTCAACATCATTGATCAACAGAGGAATGCAACTCAAAACTATAATGAGATATCCTCTCACCCCAGTTAAAATGGCAAATGGCTTTCATCCAAAAGACAGGCAATAGCAAATGCTGGAAAGAATATAGAGCAAAGGGAACCCTCGTCCACTGTTGGTAGGAATGTAAATTAGTACAACCACTATGGAGTCCAATTTGGAAGCTCCTATAAAAAACTAAAAATTGAGCTACCATATGATCCAGCAATCCCACTGCTGGTATATATCCAAAAGAAAGGAAATCAGTATATCAAAGAGATATCTACACTCCAGTGTTTGTTGCAGCACTGTTCACAATACCTAAGAATTAGAAACAGTATCTATCAACAGATGAATGGATAAAGAAAATTTAGTACATATACAAAATGGAGTACAATTCAGCCATAAACAAGAATGAAATCCTATTATTTGCAGCCACATAGATGGAACAGGAGGACACTCAGTAAAATAAGCCAGGCACAAAAAGACAGCATTGCATGTTCTCACTTATCTGTGGGATCTAAAAATCAAAACAGTTGAATTCATGGACATAGAGAGTAGAAGGATGGTTACCAGAGGCTTGGAATGGTAGTGGGGTGTGGAGGCAGGGATGGTTAATGGGTACAAAAATAATATAGTTATAAGGAATGAATAAGGCCTAGTATTTGATAACACAACAGGGAGACTATAGTCAATAATAATTTAATTGTACATTTTAAGATAACTAAGAGTATAATTGGATTGTAACACAAAAGATAAACGCTTGAAAGGATGGATATCCCATGCTCCATGATGTGATTATTATGCATTGTATACCTGTGTCAAAATATCTCATGTATCCCATGAATATATACACCTACTATGTACCCACAAACATTAAAAATAAAAATTTAAAAAATGCTCTCCTGGACCCTGTTTTTGGGAGAAATCTCTCTCTCTTACTAAACTGTGTTTTCACACATATTGAATTGGGAGCTTTGTATGCAAATTATCATCTTAGTCTTCTCTCTTCTAGGATGAATCTCGGTGTTTTACTCACTACTGAAATCCTGTACGTACTTGTGTGCACAACATATACCATCCTTCACACATAAAAAACATGCAACAAAACTTGAAAACTAGTTATTTGGAAGAAATAAATATATATTTTATATAGAGGTTTTTTTTTAAAGGAAAGTATTGGCATATTTCAGCAAGGTAACTTGATGTGCTAAGATGAATTCTTGAGACAAAGATATGACTTGGTACAGCTTGGTAGAGTAAAGCCTAAAGGTACAATCTTCTAAACCTGTGACTGCTCAGGCTTCCCTTCTGCTCAGACCCTTTTTTCTCTACCTCCCATATTCCAAGGACTTCTATGTGGCTGCCCTCATTTTGGTTACCTTATATTGATGTCTTTGCCATGAATTTGGCCCTTGATGCCCTTGTCCTTTATCTTGGCTTTTAACTCTTACCCAGATTAGGTACACCATAGCTGTTCAGTGGGTAGGGCCAGATACCTTCCCTTAACACATATACATTCGTATGTAAGAGGGTACTTTCTGCCAACTGATGATTAAGTTAACTCAGTGCTAACTGGTGCCATAATATAGCATAGAGCTGTGTCACATAGACCCAGTCCTCAGTGGGTCTCTCTGATGCAAAGGAAAAAGTGAGTCCTCGGTTCAGATGACTTTTTTCTTCTCCTAGCAGCCACAATATTGCTTTAGCTCCTAGCTCTTGGCCTACTCATTTCAAACTTAGAAAAAAAGCTATGGTATTGAACTGGGACATAGTTCAGGCCCAGGACAGAGATTTTAAATTAATGTCTGGGGTATCCAAGCATGTGAAGGCATAGACACATACATATGAAACCCATTTATACTGGATACAAAAACTTAGCTGAAAATCTTTCCAGTCGACCACCTCAAATAGTTGGATCCATTTTTAATAAAAGTAGGGCTGATTTGGTGCAACTACCTTTCAGTTAGGATCACAAGGGGTAGATGGTGGTGAAAGGGCTGAAAATAGAGGATTCCACCTAGAAAGCACAAACTAAGCTTTAATATTGTCTTTCTTGAGTAAATTTTACATTGTGAATTCTGGTCTCACTACCCAACAAAAACCATGGGTGAGAGAAATTAATGTCCTTAGCTTTCCTCTGGAGACATCTTTTTGTTCTAACACAGAGAAATGTTTGCCAATAAAAATTCATACCCAAATGAGTACAGTTATTGGTTAAGATGAAATGTTTCTCATTTGAAACTTTCATGGTTGTTATAAAGAAAATTTCTGCATCCCTTCATAAACGTTGAGACTGACTGAAACTGACTGAGTTAAGTTATAGTGTCAATGAATAGCCACACATTTTCTACTTTAAAAATATAAGTGATCAGAGAGCCATTCGGCTCAAAAGAAGATGATTGTCATCCAGTCAGGAGGTTTGTTGAACCTTATAGAATACATAAGATAAAGTTATAAAATGATAGCATCACTTACACACTGAAGAGTTATAATTGAGATGCCCAGTTGCTGATGGTAGCTAAGATGTTTGTGTTTTTCTGAAAAGGACTCAATGTGGCCTAATGTTCTTGCCTTCTATGCTATGAATCCTTCAAAGCATCACTCATGCATTCAATAAAACTTTATTGTATGCCTACTATGTGCCAAGCACTTTGATAGGCTCTCAAGTTTGTGCTATTCCTTAAAACTTTTTCCTGCTTTGTGTCTTAAGACATTGCATTTCCCTCGTTCTGCTCCTTAGTCATAGATGTAGCCTTTGCTTTCTCTTATTTACCTCTAAAATGTAGGTGTTTCCCAGGACTTTGTCCATGTTTTCTTCTCTTATTCTGTACTCCCCCTGGGTAGCATCTCTCAGCACAATCTCTACATTTATGTCTCCTAATTTCTACCTCTGGCTTCTCTCCTGAATTCAAAATACAAACTTCCAGATGCTCTGCTGGCAAAGTCATCATGGCTATTCTGTTGATACCTTCTTCATGATCCAAGTGATACATAATACCTTCTGCCTAATCGCCAACTCCACCTTCAAACCTGCTCCTTCTTCCTTATATCATTTATTGGTAAATGTCACTACTGTATTACCTGTCCTCCATGTTAGAAACCTAGGCATCTCTGATGCCTTTTTTCCTTCCTATCACATATATTGAGTCTGCTTTCATAGCCTACTAATTCTGCCTTTCCTGTGAGCTCTCTTTTTTCCATTTCCACCTCCAATACCTTATTTTAGACCAGTAATTACAAACTGACAGCCTGCAGGCCATATGTGTTTCTTTCAACAGCAGTGTTTATTTTTAAAAATGTAACATCCTCTAAAATGAACATATACTCTCGAGTTCACCATGTTTCTGCTGTATCTTCAATGGTGCTAAGCCAGTACCTTTTATATAATAGATAGTTAGGCAGTATCTTGAATTGAGTGACTTGTCCTCGGAAAGCTTATAACCTGGCTGGAAAACGTGAAATATGTATATGTAAAATGATTTAGTAACAACCCAAGGCAGACTATAAGAAGAATGTAAAAGAAAAGTGGAGCAGACAATTAGTTTTTCATGTGATGAGAGAAGGGAGAGATCATTTTGGGAGTAACCAGAGAATAATTCACAGAGGAAAAGGCATTTGATCAGAGCTTTAAAGAGTGGATAGAGATTATGAAATATTAAATAAAGTTGCTTTATTTTGATGTTTACATCCTAAGTAAGGACTTTGTTGCAAATACTGTGGATTAATGAGGGAGAATGGGTACTTATTTCCCTCAAACTCCAAACCATGGGACAAATGAAGGGGGGAGGGCCCGTGATGATTGAAAAGAGTAAATATAAAACTGATAGGCTGGGTGCAGTGGCTCACGCCTGTAATCCCAGCACTTTGGGAGGCTGAGGCGGGCGGATCACAAGGTCAGGAGATAGAGACCATCCTGGCTAACATGGTGAAACCCTGTCTCTACTAAAAATACAAAAAATTAGCCAGGTGTGGTGGCGGGCGCCTGTAGTCCCAGCTACTCGGGAGGCTAAGGCAGGAGAATGGTGTGAACCCAGGAGGCAGAGCTTGCAGTGAGCCGAGATCGCGCCACTGCACTCCAGACTGGGAGAGAGAGTGAGACTCCATCTCACACACACACACACACACACACACAAACTTGATAAATGGAGGTGTTACTCTAAAGGGTAAGAAGTACATTTCCAAAAGTATCAATAGCTTCAGATATATTTAGAACTTTCAACAAACTCATTTGATAAATTTATGAATGGCAAGACATGGGTTTTAAGAGAAACCACAAAGTTTGGGAAAAGATGCTTGGAAAGTAATCATGCCTTCCTATTATTTGCTTCTTTGTTATCTATTTAAAGATTAAATATAGGGCTGGGCTGTCCATGCTACAGGCAGGCCCAGAAGCCCTGTTTTGATGTTTTCATTACCTACATTCTCTCCTACAGTACAGTGATATATATTAGAGGACTTTGCCTTAGTTGATGTTACTGTCAGGATTGTAACTAGAATTACTCATATACTCTTTGCTGATGAAGAGGTAAGCCTGTAAACAGCTTAGCAGGAAAGACCATGCCTTACTTTTTTTATTAGACACAGCACCTAGAATAATGCAACAAACATAGAGGCTGTTCCTAAATTCCTTTTGATTTCCTCTGGCTGAATCTAAAGGCAATATTTGTTTCTTGGAGCCTGAATCTTCATCTAGCCTCAGACACAGGTTATACCTACTTCCTGCCTATCCCTCTTCCACTATTCTCTCCTCCTCAGAGCCTGTTGTACTCTGTTATTTTTGAAAGTCCTTGCAATTCCATTATCATAGCATTGCATATAGGCTAGTTCTATGGTGAGGCCAAGGGGAGTTAAATTGCAATTACCCTACTCCAGCTGGGCCTAGCAATACTGCATTTGAAAAGAGTCAGGCTTTTGAAGGATGACCTTTTTCATCCTTTTTTTCTTCTCCTTCAGCATCTTTTGCTGCCACCACCTCCTCCTACAACTGACCATCTGAAGCAGTTTAAATATCTGCTCATTTAAAACAGCAGCACAGGCTGGGCGCGATAGCTCATGACTATAATCTCAGCACTTTTGGAGGCTGAGGTGGATGGATCACCTGAGGTCAGGAGTTCGAGACCAGCCTGGCCAACGTGGTGAAACCCTGTGTCTTCTAAAAATACAAAAAAAATTAGCAAGATGTGGCGGTGTGCGCCTGTAATCCCAGCTACTCGGGAGGCTGAGGCAAGAGAATCACTTGAACCCAGGAGGCAGAGGTTGCAGTGAGCCAATATGGCACCACTGCACATCAGCCTGGGTGACAGAGCAAGACTCCATCTCAAACAAACAAACAAATAAATAAATAAATACAAACAAAACAGCAGTACAGCAAACTGACATGTGGCCCCAAACTGGGATGTTGTGCTAGTATCTAGCCCATCACTGTCAAACCCAGGAGTCTAGTGTTGTTTTTGATGGTTTCTCTTGGATGCTGTACTTTGTTATATGCCATGTAGGTTCCTTTTTGGAAAGTCTAGGATTTCCCCAAAACATATAGGGAATCGTGTATGAATAAAGTCTCCAAATTAATAGCTCATCTCAGATTTTAGTTGTTGGAATTCTCTCAGCAGATATATTTTCAGAATCTCATAGTTAATAATATATGGAGCATTTGGAAAGAAACTAAAGACAGGGAGATGATGGAGAAGTTGGGAAGATATATGAAACATATGGGTAGGAGGATAAGGGGAGATACATTTTAAACTAAAACATTAAAATGAAGGATCAATTTTAAAAAATCAAAACCCCTGATTTTTCTAATCACAATCTAATGTTATCCTTAGGAGGCCCTTATGCTTATACCAGGCTAAGCACAGAGCAGATATATCATCTCAGAAACTACCTGTCTGCTCAAAAGCGTAAAGGAAACTTAGTGAGGGAGGCTTCTAATTAGAATTAAGAGAAACTGAGGCAGATGATGATCAGATGTAATCAGGGTAGACAATATACATAGAACGAAAGCCAGGTTACTTAATTATATTTTAAACTAGATTATGCAACATATAATCAGTGGCATACTAAGGCTGGAGCCACGGAAGCAGTCCACTCTGGGCACAGGAAATAAAGGAGTGCATTGTCTGTAGAGATATAAAAGCAGTAATAAATGTGATTAATAATCAGTTTGACTTGGTGTGCACATTATTATCACTTTGGAGTGCCCAGGCTTAATCCTTGGATTTACCTTTCTTTTCTGTCTATATTTACTCTTTAAGTAACTTCTATATGCTGATGACTCTCAAATTAAAATATCTGTATCTATCCAACTAGTAACTCCACATCTACATAGTGGAAGTCTAATAAACACCTCAAATGTAACATTTCCAAAATTGAATTCCTAGTATCTCCATAAAACCTGCAGTCTTCCCCATCTCAGTTGATGGGGTCTTCATCCTTCTGATTGCTCACACCAAAATTCTTGGAGTCATCCTTGACTCATTCTTCTTTTCTCCCACAGCACAACCAATCTATCAGGAAATCATCTTGGCTCTAACTTTGAAATATTTCCAGAATCTGAGGACTCCTCACCACTCTCTCTGTTATCATCCTGGTCTGAGCCATCATCATCATCATGACTTGCCTGATTTACTGCAAAAATCTCCAGGCTGGTCTCCCTGCTAAACTGAGAATAAAAGCTTAGGCTCCTTTAGTGGCCCACAAGGCCATATATATCTGGTACTTGGATACCACTGTGACTTCGTCTCCTGTTCCTCTCTCCTTCACTCCCTTCACTTCAGCCACATTGGCCACCTTGATGTTCCTTAAACACACCTGAGCATCCTGGGGAAGTTTCTTCTGCCTGTGATGCTCTTCCACCCTGATAACTGCATGCTTTGTACTCCCTCGTCTCTAGGTCTTTGATCCAATATCACCTTCCCAGTGAGGTTTATCCTGCCCTGCCTGTTTAATATGCAACTTGTCCCCACTCCACTCCCACCTCCCCATACTCTCAATCCACCTTACTCTGATCTAGGCTTTTCTTTGATGCATATCATTTGTTACTTTCTAATTTTTCATGAAATTTGCTTATTAATTTTGCTTACTGTTTATTGTCTGTCTTCCCTCACTGGAATGTAAGTGTATATTTTTGCTCACACATTCCCAGTGTCTCAATAGTTCCTGCTTGGCATATAGTATGTATTCAATAAATTATTGTTGAATGAATACATGAATTGTATTTAACTATATATATCTATTAATTATGGAAGTAATTTAACTGACTGAAATTAGAGAAACCAGGCATGGGGCACATCTACACATCACAACCAGGCACTTCAACACAGACTTTTTTGTTCCCTGAAGCATTTGTGGATGTTTGTGTATTGTTTCCTTTAGATTACAACCTAATCCTTGACAGAAATTGTAAGTGCTTGTTCATACATACTTGCAATTGCTTACTTTCTGCCAGTCTAAATCAAGAATATATTATAAGAATTTCCCTGGTTTGATGAATGTCACTTACTGCAATTCCTTCTTACACATTTGCACATTTACTTTTTATTGTTTGTATTTTCTTTTCTTTTCTTTTTTTTTTACTGAAGATTGTTTAGAAAGTTCTATATAATATAGAACTTTTAAAAATAAGCATGATTGTTTACCTACCCTCTCATCCATCTAGATATTTCCAGTGAGAAAAAAAGGAAGGCAAAAAAGAGAAATCACCTGGAAGGTTACCAGAATTAACTCTTAACTGGCATTTAAAACCTTTAATCTCTAACTGCCCTGTAAACAAGATAGTACTTTCATACTTAACTTTCTGTATAAATCAAGCACCTTTTTTATACAACCTTATGAGAACTGCTAGCCATGTGACAAATATTAAGAATTGATGGCCAGGTGCAGTGGCTCATGCCTGTAATCCCAGCACTTTGGGAGGCCGAGGCAGGCGGATCACGAGGTCAGGAGATCGAGACTATCCTGGCTAACACGGTGAAACCCTGTCTCTACTAGAAATACAAAAAATTAGCCGAGCATGGGGGCGGGAGCCTGTAATCCCAGCTACTCCGGAGGCTGACCCAGGAGAATGGCATGAACCTGGGAGGCGGAGTTTGCTGTGAGCGGAAAGATCTCACCACTGCACTCCAGCCTGGGTGACAAAGTGAGACTCTGTGTCAAAAAAGAAAATGTGGCACATATACACCATGGAATACTATGCAGCCATAAAAAATGATGAGTTCATGTCCTTTGCAGGGACATGGATGAAGCTGGAAACCATCATTCTCGGTAAACTATCGCAAGGACAAAAAACCAAACACCACATGTTCTAACTCATAGGTGGGAATTGAACAACGAGATCACATGGACACAGGAGGGGGAACATCACACACTGGGGACTGTTGTGGGGTGGGGGGAGGGGGGAGGCATAGCATTAGGAGATATACCTAATGCTAAATGATGAGTTAATGGGTACAGCACAGCAACGTGGCACATGTATACATATGTAACAAACCTGCACGTTGTGCACATGTACCCTAAAACTTAAAGTATAATAATAATAAAAGAAAAGAAAAAATTATTATCTGTATCTTACAGGCAGGGAACATAATTTAGTAATTTCATAGAAAGGTCTATACTGAACTATTACAAATGTTTTTAAGTACCTGATTTTTCCCCATCATTAACTGTGGTTTTCTCTTCAAATTTCTTTTTCAACTTTCAACAAGAACATCCTGCTGAAGCTTGTGGCCACATCTAGTACAATTGTCCTCAAAGGCTTGTGCTGAGAAGAATGGAAGATCGCTAGATAGCTTCCTAGGGCAGTGTAGGATTGAAGGGAAGAGAGAACCTCAGAGCAAACTCAGTTAATTCTGATTTAATCATTAATGAACCAGACAACAGGCTATATTTACGAAACTGTTAATCAAAACAGACAGGATGTAAATTTCTGGGACAAAATGTTGAAAATATCAATTCTGTAGCAAGGTTAAACCTGTTTATTATTTATTTAATCTCAAGACACAGCAGACCATTTATTGATTAATGAGAAATAAGAAGCATGTTGCAATTAAATTTAACTTGTAAGTCAGGAGGCCCTGGCAATTTGGTCTGATACTATATGACTTTGGGGGATGAATTTTGAAAATTCCTACTCCAGGATAAGGAAGACCTCATTTATTTCTTTCCAAGGTCTCATATATCATGTTTTATCTTAAAAGGAAAACAGGGAAGGACAGCAATTGGCTGCATTCTGAAATCCAGGCAATAGATCTAACATAGCTATTCTATTAAAAAAAAAATGAGGAATCCTCGAACATAGAAAACATTCTACACAAGGTTGGTCAGGTAGCTATGTTGAAGAGGCAAAGTCCTTGGAAGGCCCATTTGTCCTCAGAAAATCATTAGACACAGCTAGTGAAATTCTGACTCTCCATCAAGCAAGGCAAGGCTAACTTTGTATGTAGGTAATATGTTCTTTGCAGTATTTCTTTATTTTATGTCTTTTAAATGAAAAACAATTAGGAAAGCTACATTGTAAATATTTGTAAAAATAGAATGAGTTTTAAAAGATTTACCCCACTGCTACCATTCCTATAAAACTTTTATTAATATTTTGATGTATTTCATTTCAGTCTTTTTTTCTATCCATAAAAGTTACATAGTTGTAATCATACTGTCCTTACAATTTTGTATGGTGCTTTTTAAAACTTAATATTATATCATAAGCTTTTCCAAACTGTTGTGAAATTCTCTTAATCATGATTTTAATGTCTGTAAAATGATCCATTGAATATACCATGATGGACATTTAAATTATTTCCAACTTGAACCATAGTAAATAACTATTTGGTGGCATGTACCCCCATAGTTATTTCTCCATAACTGGATTTTTTTCTTTAATGCAGAGACCCACAAATAAAATCATTGGGTCAAAGAACATAGCTCTTTTAGCGAATTATATTACAGTTTGATTTTGTTTTTACAAAAAGTATAGTGTGTGCCTGGAAAGATACATAGGTACTTAAAATTTAACAGTGATTATTTCTGCTGCTGGGTCTACAAATAAATACTAATGAATAGTTGCTTTTCTTTCTTTTTTACTTTTCGTTATTGTCAAAGTTTTCTTTTTTTTTTTTTCTTTCTTTTTTTCATGAGATGGAGTCTCACTCACTCTGTTTCCCAGGCTGGAGAGCAGTGGTGTGATCTTGGCTCACTGTAATCTCCATCTCCCAGGTTCAAGTGATTCCCCTGCCTCAGCCCCCTGAATAGCTGGGATTACAAGTGCATGCCACCACACCTGGCTAATTTTTCTATTTTCAGTAGAGACGGGGTTTTGCCATGTTGGCCAGGCTGGTCTTGAACCCCTGGCCTCAAGTGATCTACCCACCTCAGCCTCCCAAAGTGCTGGGATTACACATGTGAGCCACCGCTCCTGGCCTTTATTGTCAAAAATTTCTACAGTGAATATGTATTCCTTTTTAAGTTGAGAAATTATAATAGGACAAAGACAGAGTAAAGTGTAATGACTTAAACTCGGGCTTTAGAGGCAGACTCCTGGGTTTGAATTTCTGCTTAGCTAGTTACTAGCTCTGTGATCTTAGGCAAGTAACCTCTTTGGGACTCAGCTTTCCTGTCTGTAAATTAGGATAATGATGGTACATAAGCTGTTGACCTCATGTCTGTGTTGAGGATTAATAAATTAATCCACATGAAGTGCTGAAAACAATGTCTGGTATATAATAAACACCCCATAAATGTTCAATATCATTGTTATTTGGGACTGGACAGCAATTCAAAATTCCTATCCCTCATACAGATCATGCCACCCTCTCTGAAATTCTAATGTTGGCAATTCAATCCAGTATAGTTCATTCATAGGACAAGTATACTTGACTTTACTTAAGAATTGAAGTGATTAGAAGAGGGAGCATCTGAAACTCAGATCCTTCTGCCGTCTTATATGTATACGTTATTCTCTGTGCTCTCCAGAATAGTCTAATTGAAGAAAAAAATGAGGATATGCTGAGAGCCCTGGTTATATGCCATAAATAGCTCTGGTTTGAATGAGAGGGAAATACAAGGCAGACTTTTAAAGACAGTACCTTACAATTTTATCTGTGACAGGCACTGAACTTAAATATTATGCCATGAAGTATGACTATGAACATTTATAGAAGTAGATATGTCTTGGTACAAATCTCTGTCATTCAAAGATGGCTTTCCCCTCGAAGCAAAATTGATTGTTTTGCTTCATTGAACATTGCAAAATTGGATATCTTGTTTACTCTTCCATATACCAAAGATTTATAAGGTACAATCTATTAGTAAATATAAAAATGAGAACCGAGTTTCATTTTTAAAATACTTTTAGACGACTAATCTACCTAGAGACCTACATTTAATTCTGGAGAATAATCTATAAATTCTTGAATAGATATGTCAATGCCCTTTATCATAATCACCCTAGTTTAAAAATCATTTATCAGATGCCTACTCAATTATCTACGTCGTATCTTTTTATTTCCCAGTATAAACAAATACGCATACTAGGGAAGCTCACTGTGTGGGATCACCAGAGAAATTAGTTCATGCAGTGAATAATTATTATTTTTTCCATCGGATAGTTAAGCTCAGGATTTTCATCTGTGTAACTTATAATGTATTTCTACTATATAACATAGATGAGGTCGTGTTAATATGAAGCCCTCCTGCCCTTCTGAGACCCAGGACAGTGTTTGGCAGCCTTCTGATGCTTTAATACTTTGAAGAAAAGAAGTAAATATTCATCTAATTATCTGGAAAGTTTTTTTTTTCATTTCAGAGACTCAATAGCCTATGTAAAATGGACACCAAATCATTATTTCCCAATTAAACTTTTCTTGCTCTGAGCATGATAGTGGCATTTTTTTAGGCCATCCACCAAACAAAGTGTTGTTCCTCGTTCCTCCAGATGTTACCATCTTCTTTTCATGCCCAGGGATATACAACGGAATGTGTCCTCAGGAGGTAGTTAGAAATTTTGTTTGCCTACACTTCTAAGTCTCAAATTAAAAGACATCAACTACTGGTGTATGCCAGTCATTGCATAAGCACAGGAATAGACTTAAGCTATTTGTCTAAATTTCCATTCCAGGGAGCAACAAGAAAATCATACCAACAGTATAATAAAAAGGCATTTGAAGCTCAGGGCATATCTATTGTCTCCTTTATGGCAGGCTTGAGAGAGGAAGATATTATTTGGACGAGGAGTTTACCTAATATCTGCGACATCACTCAAGCCTACTCTAAGCTTTTCTTAAACTGTCCTTTACTTATGTAGTGCTGTAAAGTAAAAATAATTAAAAAAAAACAAGCATTGTCTTAAGTGGATACCACTGAGCGTAAAGCCTACAAGGTGTTTGAATGGGCTGTCTCTCACTTAAGCCTAATAAACTCTGATTGTATTAGGAAATGTAGTTTAATAACTCCTGTAAACCGGGAGTCAACAATTCTGTGTCCCAGAAAAATAAAATGAAATAAAAGAGTTGGAAATTATTGAGAGCTTTGAACACACAATGTAGTGGATGAACACAGGCATTTCACTTTTGATTTCTATGAGCAGTAATTTTTTTGTTATAAAAACAAGAAAAAAGAAAACTACTGTCATACTCAGATACTCACTTCCCTGTACTAGTATAACTCATGAGGAAACAAAAGCTCTCCCTATGAGTAAGCTCCAGAATCTATCAGAAAATAAATCACCTTAATTTTCATTGTTATTGGAAAGCCTTCTGCCAAATGGGGAAGTAGATGTTGTACTGACTGAAGCTTCATTTTGTGACAACAGCAACATAGGGTCTGACTTGGAAGGCCTTGAAGAAGGCTGTAAGGCCTTTGTAATACAGGTTTGCGGGGACAGGACTAACATCAGTAGACAAGCTAGCTGAGATAGAGCTGGCTTTGACTGATCGGGGCTATTATATTTCCAAGATGCAGCCTAGCCTCTGAGTATCAGAAGCAGCTTAAGTATTAAGGGGGTGGTGGTGCTACTGTAGTTTAAAAGCAGATTTTTAAAAAAAGACTTTATTGTGTAATAATTTAGCATTGAGAAAAATAGTAAATGTAGCTATTTTTTTCTCCAGGTAGAACTGTTGAAAGGGACAATTTTAAACAGCCTTCTTCACTTTTAGCAGATATAACACATAGATTGTCCTTGGTGAGAAAAAAGGCTTGATGTCAAGTCCAGAAGAAATGTGAATGTGGAATTGAGTTTGAAATAAACTGATTCCCAATGCTCCCATTCATAAAACTGCATACAGACCTGTGTGTTGAGTGATGTACAATCTTTTTGAAAATTCACTGATTTATATCAGTCATTTTATTCCTCAAACTCTTCTTCATAGCACCTTCCCCATGCACCCATACCTCCAGGTACCTGGAAAGGGTTTGTCTTTGTGTCCATTTCTTGCTTCTGACTCTTGAACCAACTGTATACCCTAAGCCAATTGCACACATACTATAGAGTATAATGGTCTCTGGAGTCAGGCAGAATTGGGCGTGATGCCTGATTGGATCACTTACAGTTATGTGATCCTGAACAATGTAATTAACTTTCTGAACCTAGTTTTCCACATATGTAAAGTGGAGCTAATAATAGCACCTACCCTTGAGGATTATTTTTTGCCTGGAGGATTAAGCAAGGTAATGTAATAAAGAGCTTTGCACAGTGCCTAGTAAACACTCAAAAATAGTGGATTCTGCTTTCATTTTTTGTTGGAGTATTGTAATTTATTCCTCCTCCCGCTCTTCCCTCTCTTCCTCCATCATCATCATCATCATCATCATCATCATCATCATCATCATCATCAGCCAACATCACCTATAGAGGCTACCTGGGCTACCTGGTTACGGTTGGTCATAGACTCATACCTCTAGGCCACAGTTTCTCAAATAGCAGCACTCTTGACATTTTGAGCCGGATAGTTCTTGGTTGGAGTGGGAAGAGGTTAGCCTGTGCCTTGTAGGATACTTACTGTAGGATGCTCATTTAACAGCATCCCTACCTTCTACATACTGGATGCCAGTAGCACACATACTCCACACCTTTGTCGTCAAGCTATGCAACCAAAAATGTCTCCAGACAATGTAAAATGTCCTCTGGGGAGCAAAATTGCTCCCAGTCGAGGACCACTACTCTAGGTATTCTTTGGCTTAAAAATATCCATGAAAAGTATCTACCATTCATGTATCTATTACTCTTCATTAGTTTGACTCATTTCATCCAGTAATCTTGGTCTTTATCTTAAATTCTCCTTTAGATTTTCAGAGTTCTCTGGTTTTTATCTTGATTTTTGAAACTAAATCTTATTTCTCTATTTTCCTTACTACAAACCAGCAATTCTTTGATAGCCGGTTCTGGGCCTTAATATATCTCTGAACTAACAACTTACTGTTTTTTGCTTTGAGCTACCAGCACTTATCTGCACACCCCTAGTGCTAGGTCACTGGTATCTAGCTAGAGCCTTTCCTTTAAATGTCTTTATAAAAGGCAGTTGAAATGAGGACTCTAGAGCCAGATATCCTGGGTTGGAATCCTGGCTCTTCCAATTAATAGCTTAGTGACTTTAACCTCTCCATTTTCCTCCATTTAAGAAATGAATACATTAACAGTCACTATTTCATAGAGCTGTTGTGGGACTTGGTGGTTTAAATAAATAAAAATTTACTTAGAACACTGTCTGGCATATGGTAAATACCATGTAAGTGTAAACTATTATTATTACTATTCTCATAAAGACTCCCATGTGTCTTTACTAGCATAACATAAACTAAACTGCAAGCCCCATCTTAGTATGTTATGAAACGCCAGGGGTTCAGTGTAGCTCCCATTGCTCACTTCACAGAGAGCCAATCACTGAGACAATGTGTATTGCCAGGGAGGAAAGGCTTTATTCAGGTGCTGCAGCAAAGGAGACAGGAAATAAATCTCAAATCCGTGTCTCCAACAAACTAAAAGTGGGGGTTTATATAGCAGGGAAGGAGTGCAGCTATGTGCAAGAGAACAAGAATTAGGAGAAAGGAAGCAATCACGATGGGTGAGGGGTCTAGTGTCTTATTGTTTGAATGTGGTGATCTGGTAAGTTTCAGTTCCTTGATAGTATCAGGGAGGCCTGAAGATTGGTTTCCTGAGGAAGGAACTCAGATAAGACAAATGTGAGATTCAAGATTTAAGACTGTGAGGGTCAATTTCTGTGTTTATTCAAAAAGACTATAAACATCAGTTCTTTTGGACAATTGGACCAGTTTCAAGTGCTCTGGAAGACTACCAATGTTTTCACCTCATGGTACATATTGAAAATTTTAAATATGTATTCAGCAAATTGGAGTTAATCGTGGTGGCTCTGACCACTTGAGGACTGAGGTGATCAATATCTTAGCCATGTGTAACTGACTTGTGACATGCAGTTGTCCACAGCACTGTGGTTTGAAAACTTTGCACCAGGCTCATCAAAATTAAAGGGGAAAGGTTTTAAATTGTAATCCAGTTAGAAATTGTGATTTCCTTTTTGGATGTGTAAGATCCCAGCATCTTCTAGGTCCACAGGCCTTGTAAGGTCTATAGCTGCCCTTTAGTTTTCTTCCTTGAACAAGCTAAAATAAAACAAAGGCAATTTCTGGGGAATATCATGAGGTTTTAAACATGTGTACATGTTTCTCTCTAATAGTTCAGAATCTAGTAATTCCCACAAGTATAATGGTATGAGAATTTAACCCAACAATGTTAGAGAACAGCAGCTCTTCATTCAAATTTCACATGATGACCCACTCATTCTATTTTGTAATTTTCTTTTGAAAGGTTTGGGGCAGAAATAGCTCAGATATTTTAAAAAGAGCTATTTTCTCTGTTTTTCTGTTTGAGTCCTGTGGCTTTCATTTTATGGCATGAGAGGACTGTTTTTCATTTGTAACCTCTCCAAGTACTGATTTTAAGCAACTCATTAACATATGCTTCCTCTTCATAATCCATCACATTCAAACATTTGATTGGTCTCTTCAGCACAATATGAATAATAAACTATCTTCCTCCCAGAGACATTCAAAATTGTGGTTTAGATATGATGAACCAGAAAAAAATGTTGTTTTTTAGTCCACTTTTTGAAAAGTCTCTTAGATGAAAGGATACTACAAATGAACTTTCTAAGGTAAATCAGGGCTTTGGCTAAAAAAAGCCAAACATTTCAGTCAAGGTCTGACTTACAAAGCATGCTGTCAGCCCTACCAGAATATGTGGCACTGGACACAATATACTTCAATTTTTAATTTCTATTGTCAATGCCTTCGTTTATGCCTTTATTAGTTTATGCCTCAACTTTGGTGATAGCTACATATTGGACTGCTTTTTCTCTTCCAGGACCTCCCATATGAGTTCTTGAAACGTAGCTTTGATAGTATCATTTCACTCCACCAAAACCTTCAATGGCTCCCTAATGATTGATGAATAAATTCCTGGGAATCATAGAAATGCTAGAATGTCAGTGTTGGAATGAATCCTGAAGTATAATTCACCAGTTGCCAAACTATGGTCTCTGGACCACTGCCAGAAGTTTGCACTAGTCCTCAGTGGAAAGAGAAAAATAAGGACAATGAAGTCAGTGTTCCATAAAATGAAATTTACTTATTTTAAAAATTATTTAAAAGTATCTTGAGGTTGGGCATGGTGGCTCACGCCCGTAATCCCAGCACTTTGGGAGGTCGAGGCGGGTGGATCGTCTGAGGTTGGAAGTTCAAGAGCAGCCTGACCAACATAGAGAAACCCCGTCTCCACTAAAATTACAAAATTAGCCGGGCATGGTGGTGCACGCCTATAATCCCAGCTATCTGGGGAGGCTGAGGCAGGAGAATCGCTTGAACCCAGGAGGCAGAGGTTGCAGTGATCCAAGATCATGCCCTCGCACTCCAGCCTGGGCAACAAGAGCAAAACTCTTGTCTCATGACTAAAACACCAAAAGCAATGGCAACAAAAGCCAAAATTGACAAATGGGATCTAATTAAACTAAAGAACTTCTGCAGAGGAAAAGAAACTATCCTCAGAGTGAACAGGCAAACTACAGAATGGGAGAACATGTTTTGCAATCTATCCATCTGACAAAGGGCTAATATCCAGAATCTACAAAGAACTTAAACAAATTTAAATGAAAAAAAACAACCCCATCAAAAAGTTGCCGAAGGATATGAACAGGCACTTCTCAAAAGAAGACATTTATGCAGCCAACAAACATATGAAAAAAGCTCATCATCACTGGTCATTAGAGAAATGCAAATCAAAACCAAAATGAGATACCATCCCACGCCAGTTAGAATGGTCATCATTAAAAAGTCAGGAAACAACACATGCTAGAGAGGATGTGGAGAAACAGGAACACTTTTACACTGTTGGTGGGAGTGTAAATTACTTCGAACATTGTGGAAGACAGTGTGGCAATTCCTCAAGGACCTAGAACCAGAAATCCAGAAATACGATTTGACCCAGCAATCTCATTACTGGGTATATATCCAAAGGAATATAAATCATTCTACTATAAAGACACATGCACACATATATTTATTGTGACACTATTCACAATAGCAAAGACTCGGAACCAACCCAAATGCCCATAGTGATAGACTGGATAAAGAAAATGTGGCACATATACACCATGCAATGCTATGCAGCTGTATAAAAGGATGAGTTCATGTCCTTTGCAGGGACATGGATGAAGCTGGAAACCATCATTCTCAGCAAACTAACACAAGAACAGAAAACCAAACACCACACGTTCTCACTCTTAAGTGGGAGTTGAAAAATGAGAACACATGGACACAGGGAGGGGAACATCACACACTGGGGCCTGTCAGTGGGTGGGGGGCTAGGGGAGGGATAGCATTAAGAGAAATATGTAATGTAGATGACGGGTTGATGGGTGCAGCAAACCACCATGGCGCATGTATACCTATGTAACAAACCTGCACATTCTGCACTTGTACCCCAGAACTTAAAGTATAATAATAATAAAAAAAATCTTGAACTTTGTTTTGAAATATCTTTTATTTTATATAGTGACAGCATTAATAGATAATAATTTATTTGTTTATTGTTTTTAATGTCCATACTTGGCAAAATGAAGTTGGCAACCATTTGTTGCTTCACGTCCCCCATCCCCCACTTTTTATTTTTATTTTTTATTTTTTCTGAGACAGGGTCTGGCTCTGTTGTCCAGGCTGGACTGCAGTGGCATGAACTCAGCTCACTGCAACCTTCTTCCTCAGCCTCCCAAGTCACTTGGACTACAGGCTCATGCCACCACATCCAGCTAATTTAAAAAACAATTTTTTTTTCTAGAGACAGGGTTTTGCCATGTTGCCCAAGCTGGTCTCAAAATCCTGACCTCAAGAGATCTGCCTGCCTCAGCCTTACAAAGTACTGGGATTACAGGCGTGAGCCATGGCACCTAGCTGCCACCCCGAACTTTTTAAATTTTACAAATCCATGAAATCCAAAATCTGAAAGCTACTCATTTCATAAATGAGAAAATTTAAAAAAGAAAGATTAAATGACTTACCTAAGGCCATACTTATACTGGGAATGCTGTATTACAAATGTTAATATTAGCTTCAAGTCTTTACCATAAATTTCAAAGTCCTCTGTACTTAAATCCCAGTATGCATTTGCGTCTCTATTATCAGCATATCTTAAAAGAAAACCTAGTTCTAGATCCCTGAGGAATCACCACACTGACTTCCACAATGGTTGAACTAGTTTACAGTCCCACCAACAGTGTAAAAGTGTTCCTATTTCTCCACATCCTCTCCAGCACCTGTTGTTTCCTGACTTTTTAATGATCGCCATTCTAACTGGTGTGAGGTGGTATCTCATTGTGGTTTTGATTTGCATTTCTCTGATGGCCAGTGGTGATGAGCATTTTTTCATGTGTCTTTTGGCTGCATAAATGTCTTCTTTTGAGAAGTGTCTGTTCATATCCTTCGCCCACTTGTTGATGGGGTTGTTTGTTTCTTTCTTGTAAATTTGTTTGAGTTCATTGTAGATTCTGGATATTAGCCCTTTGTCAGATGAGTAGATTGCAAAAATTTTCTCCCATTCTGTAGGTTGCCTGTTCACTCTGATGGTAGTTTCTTTTGCTGTGCAGAAGCTCTTTAGTTTAATTAGATCCCATTTGTCAATTTTGGCTTTTGTTGCCATTGCTTTTGGTGTTTTTGTCATGAAGTCCTTGCCCATGCCTATGTCCTGAATGGTATTGCCTAGGTTTTCTTCTAGGGTTTTTATGGTTTTAGGTCTAACATTTAAGTCTTTAATCCATCTTGAATTAATTTTTGTATAAGGTGTAAGGAAGGGATCCAGTTTCAGCTTTCTACATGTGGCTAGCCAGTTTTCAAGCACCATTTATTAAATAGGGAATCCTTTCCCCATTTCTTGTTTTTGTCAGGTTTGTCAAAGATCAGATAGTTGTAGATACGCGGCATTATTTCTGAGGGCTCTGTTCTGTTCCATTGGTCTATATATCTGTTTAGGTACCAGTACCATGCTGTTTTGGTTACTGTAGGCTTGTAGTATAGTTTGAAGTCAGGTAGTGTGATGCCTCCAGCTTTGTTCTTTTGGCTTAGAATTGACTTGGCAACGCGGGCTCTTTTTTGGTTCCATATGAACTTTAAAGTAGTTTTTTTCCAATTCTGTGAAGAAAGTCATTGGAAGCTTGATGGGGATAGCATTGAATCTATAAATTACCTTGGGCAGTATGGCCATTTTCACGATATTGCTTCTTCCTATCCATGAGCATGGAATGTTCTTCCATTTGTTTGTATCCTCTTTTATTTCATTGAGCAGTGGTTTGTGGATCTCCTTGAAGAGGTCCTTCACATCCCTTGTAAGCTGGATTCCTAGGTATTTTATTCTCTTTGAAGCAATTGTGAATGGGAGTTCACTCATGATTTGGCTCTGTGTTTGTCTGTTATTGGTGTATAAGAATGCTTGTGATTTTTGCACATTGATTTTGTATCCTGAGACTTTACTGAAGTTGCCTATCAGCTTAAGGAGATTTTGGGCTGAGGCGATGGGGTTTTCTAGATACACAATCATGTCATCTGCAAACAGGGACAATTTGACTTCCTCTTTTCCTAATTGAATACTCTTTATTTCCTTCTCCTGCCTGATTGCCCTGGCCAGAACTTCCAACACTATGTTGAATAGGAGTGGTGAGAGAGGACATCCCTGTCTTGTGCCAGTTTTCAAAGGGAATGCTTCCAGTTTTTGCCCATTCAGTATGATATTGGCTGTGGGTTTGTCATAGATAGCTCTTATTATTTTGAGGTATGTCCCATCAATACCTAAAAATACCATTTGACCCAGCCATCCCATTACTGGGTATATACCCAAAGGATTATAAATCATGCTGCTATAAAGACACATGCACACGTATGTTTATTGCAGCAGTATTCACAATAGCAAAGACTTGGAACCAACCCAAATGTCCAACAATGATAGACTGGATTAAGAAAATGTGGCACATATACACCATGGAATACTATGCAGCCATAAAAAATGATGAGTTCATGTCCTTTGTAGGGACATGGATGAAGCTGGAAACCATCATTCTCAGCAAACTATCCCAAGGACAAAAAACCAAACACTGCATGTTCTCACTCATAGGTGGGAATTGAACAGTGAGAACACATGGACACAGGAAGGGGAACATCACACACCAGTGCCTGTTGTGGGGTGGGGGGAGGGGGAAGGATAGCATTAGGAGATATAGCTAATGTTAAATGACGAGTTGATGGGTGCAGCACACCAACACGGCACATGTGTACATATGTAACAAACCTGCACATTGTGCACATGTACCCTAAAACTTAAAGTATAATACAAAAAAAGAAAACCTATATTCTAAACAGTCATGATCATTTTCCATTCCTTAAATGTGCCTTGCAGTTGTTCTTTACCCTACCTATTCTCCTAAAATCCCACCCAGCTCAAGTGCTGACTCTATTACCATACCTCAATGTCAGAAGGGATCCTTTGCTTTTCTGTGCTTCCATATGTGGATGCTACTTATCAGCATATTATGTCTTGTTCAACCTGTCATCGTCTGTGGACTATTCCCCCTCCTATGCTCTCCATTTCAGTAAATGACATTACCCTCTACCCAATTGCTCAAGCTGGAGGCCTTGAAGTCATTCCTTTCTGTTCCCTATACCAATATTGAGTTAATCACAAAGCCCTGTCATCTTTAGCTCCCCAATTTATCCTGTATATGTCCACTTTAATTCTTCCACTGAACTGCTACACAGATCACCCTGTGTCTCCTTGTTCCACCATGCAATCCATTTTTTACCTACCGGCCGCTTTTAGATCTGGTACTGCTCCTTGTAAAATCCTTTGGTGGTTTTCCATAGCCCTCAGATTAAAGCCTAGAATGTCAACATGTTAATACAAGATATGTGGTACCCATGCCCACTTCTCCAGCCTCATCTCTTCCTACTTTTTAATTTGCGTCCTTTGCTTTAGCTGTACTGGATTTCAGTTCCTTGAATGCATCTGTCTCACTACTGCATGCTTTTGCTTGCCGATTTTAATTGCCTCTCACTTCTCTGGATCTTCACACATGCTATGGAGTGAAGCCTACACTGCCTGCAATACTCTTCCTTCTAGGAAACATACCTTAAGGCTCTAAGTTTCAGTTTGGGTGCGCCGTAGCAGAGTACCTTTCCTTTACCATAGCACTCACCACATTATATTGCAATTTCTTGTTTAACTGATTTCCTTTCTAACTAGACTATATGAACCATGAGGCCATGGATCATCTTTATGTTGCTCACCATTGCATTCAAACTGTCAGCTCTGGCACATAGTAGGTACTCAATAAATGTAATCTGTATGAATCAAAATATCATACTACATTTCCTCTTATACTGTTGAGACTTTCATATTTGTGGTATTTCCTTGATTCTATTACAAATTCCTATAAGTGGAAGGCAGTCTTTTATAATTACTACCATTTTATAGCACCACACACATAGGCTGCTGGTAAATATTTGATAAATAGATGAATAATCTATTTTTTTCTTACAGGGTCGCGGGTAAGAATTAGAGTGCATATTTGTAATAAACATAGAATGCAGCACAACAAAATAGGCTATACAATCTAAGAAGTTTGGACTAATACTAGTATTGATTGTTTATAGCCTAAAAGGTGCCCCCCACCACCGTAAAATACCTGCTTTAAATTGGGAAATACTCTATGGTTTCATCAAGGTTAAATACGATTTTACAAATAGGGATTCTGATACATTTCAAGGTAATAAAAAATGTAAAAATCTTAAAATGACTTGTGATGCCTTGACTGCTGTGGGGTGTGTGTGTATGTGTGTGTGTATGTGTGTGTGTGTGTGTGTGTGGTTTGTTTCTTGGGGGCTGAACTCAGCTGGAGTTTCCATGAAGTTATGGGTAGGGTGATAGATTTACATTGAAATATTTCACTTTATCCAAAAGTTAGTTCAGTTTTTCTTAATGGGAGATTTTTTCAATTGAGAATATATTTTTGCACTTCATGTTTATTGATTCTCTTTCCAACATCCAGAACATACAGCAATATCATCAGTCATAGATAGTTCATATTGCACATAATGGGCTCTAATATCAGTCTGTTTGTATATATCATAATACCTGAATTGTTCAACAAAATATCTCATAAGGCAGGAAGCTTCTTTTCTGTTTTCTGTTTTTGATAGACTCAACCTAAATGGATAATGTTCTTTGTAAAAGGTGAGCAAAACATCAGCACTGGTGATATTTATTTTACAGGATGTGCCACAAGCCTGGCTCACTCCTCTTACTTAGAAGGGCATTACCTGCTGAGACCATTTGGATTTGTTGAGTCCAGTGCAAACTGAAACAGTGACCTATGTGAATGACAGCCAGGTAAATGTCAGAGGACAATGCCAAAAAGACATATTAAGTTCAGGAGTTGAAATTGTGGTAAGCATTAGTGCCCATCCTCAAAGAAGTCTTCTCTGACTTTCCTGTGCAAGGCAGTTTCCTCTCTCCCCAATTTATGATGCTATATCAAACTCAACAAACCTTGGTAATGGATTGAATGATGTGGGTGAAGGAACAGAAGGAAGAATCAAGAATGTCTTGGCCCTAGGATTATTATCTGGCTCACGGTAAGCTCTAAATAAATATCTGTTGAAAGAAAAAATAGCTGGGAATAATACACATTTTGTCACCCTCAGCCACACTATGCAGACTATAAAATTGATGCTTGTTTACATCATTAGGTGGCCATATTTACATTAAAACCACAGTTTTAAGAGCCAAAAAATCCTGGGTTCAAATCCTGACTTCACCATTTGAGCTATGAGACATTAGGAGAGTTACTTAACTGAGTCTTTCTTTCTCTTCTTATAAAAAGGAAATCATCTCATACCACCCTCACAAGATGATGGTGAAGATTAGATGAGATAATACATTTATCGTACTTAGAAGAATACCTGGCAGAAAGTATTCGTAGAGGGTAGTTATCATTGTTGTCAGAATGTAATGTACTTAAGTGTCTTGAAAATAGTAAATATTCAATAATTGTTATCTAAAAGTATTATAATTATCACTACCATAATAGTTTTATAGTAAATTATTTTCAGTAGAATGCTTATGGTGACAAAAATTACACTTTTTCATATTATTGCACACAAATTTTTAGTCTTAATTTCAGTAATTGTTATTTCTTAAAATATTTGGTATAGACATGGGATATCTTTTTATTTAAATCAATAAAGGGAATGGTTGTTGCTCTTATAATTTATGCAAATTGTTCATAAATGAATAAATTAAAGCATTTATTTGTACTAACTCTGGTAGTTTGCTAAAAAAAAAATCAGGACAGGCTAAAAGAAGATATGGATATAACGGCTGCATTGTTTTTGCTTTTTTTGATAAACCATATTTCAAATTCATTCACAGACATTTTCGCTTTCATGAATCCAAGATATCTTCTCTAGTTTCTAAAAGTATATATACACATATACACACACAAGGTATACATATACTCACACATTCACAATATTAAAATGTTTGGGCTAGGTGTGGTGGCTCATACCTGTAATTCCAGTAATTTGGGAGGCCAAGGCATGAGGAGCTAGAGGAGGCTGAGTTGATAGGATTGCTTGAGCCCAAGAGTTTGAGGCTGCAGTGAGCTATGATTGTACCACTGCACTCCAGCACCTGGATGACAGAGCAATATCCTATTTCTAAAAAAAAAAAAAAAAAAAAAAAAAAAAAGTTTGCTGCCTGCTGCTGCCTAGGACCACAATGGAGAATGGAGAATAGTTGAAGAAAGTGCAGTACAGAGGTTTAGGCAAGTGGTAATTGTTGTTGGTATCCATAGATTGAGCCAATGCAAATTTGCAGGCTTTAGAAAGATACCTCTGCTGTTCTCCAGATTTATTTTCTAATTTCACCTTATATGTTTTTTTTCCTACACGTTTTTCCTTTACTGTCTCATAAATTTTATGTCAGTATGCTATGACTGGATATCTAGGAGGAAACAAAATTGCATTGTTAAAAAGTTCAGTCTTTTTTTTTTTTTTTTCTTGAAAATGAGCTGCTAACTGGGCACAGTGGCTCACGCCTGTAATCCCAGCACTCTGGAAGGCCGAGGCAGGCAGGTCACTTGAGCTCAGGAGTTCAAGACCAGCATGGTGAACATAGTAAAACCTTATCTCTACAAAAAATACAAAAATTAGCTTGGCATTTTCCCACATGCCTGTAGTCACAGCTACTCAAGACGATGAGGTGGAAGGACTGCTTGAGCTGGGTGGTCGAGGCTGCAGTGAGCTGTGTTCACACCACTGCACTCCAGCCTGGGCAATAGAGTGAGACCCTGTCTCAAAAAAAAAAAACACAACAACAACAAACAAAAAAAAAAAAAGAAAAAGAAAATGGGTTACTTTTTAATGCTATGGTTAGTGGTTAGCAAACCAATAGCATCAATCCAGAATCTTCATCGAATAACTATGGTGTGTCGCATTCTAAGGGAGTAAATGGAGTAAGTATGAGACTTTGGCTCTGTAAGGAAGTAAGAAAAGTGAAAGACAAAATTGAGCAGAAGTAGAAGCTGACCGATAATGTAGTTGCCTACGGCCTCAGCAGATCTTACAGGGAGATCTGGAGTTAGGATGGGTCTCTGGATGATTATCCCAAATTGAAACAAGGGGGCTAGGCTTTTGAATTCCTTCATCAGGCAGTCTTTGGCCATACGCCACTCCCTGCTAAGGTGTTACCTTTGGGCATACAGCTCCTTATAGCCAAGGACAATTCCCATTGTTGTGGCTCTAGCTGCAAGGATTGGTAACTTGATATTCTCAACAGTTGTGGGATAGGTGCATTGGCCCTAAAGAACCTACCCTTGACCAAGCACCAGAGCATTTACTATAAGGCATTGCAACTTGAACTGCCCTTTAAAGGCTGGATAGAATTTAAGTAGATGTAGAGGAGAATTGACATATATGCATTCCTGGGTGGGGAATGGTATGGGAAAGGACAGGCTGTACTGGAGACAGCAAATAAATCAGATTTTAATTCAGCTTATATTTATTGAATTACTACTTTGTAAAGGTACTATGTTGTGCTGGGAATTTTCATAATGTGGTACCTCATTTAATTGTTATAACCCTTTGATTTAAATATTATTTCCATTTTATATATGAGGAAAATGTATCTCAGCATGGTTATGAATTGCCCAAAGTCACCCATGAAAACAGTATTAGAGCTGGCACTCAAATCCAAGTTTCCTAGCTCTAAAGACTCTGCTTTTTCTGCTACACCATGTTCATATGTCTAAAAATGGAAAATTACACTTGCAAATGGTGGCAGTAGATTATGGAGAGTCTATAGGATACATTCTGGTTCTTGGTCCCATACTTTATTGTTTTGGTCTCTAGTTGTCTCAGAAATTAACTGTAATTTAATAATAATAATAATACATTTAGTAATAGTAGTAGTTTTAATTACCATTGGTTATCGTTCACCAATACTATGTTAAATTTACTCACTCTTTCTCTGTGGATTATTGCATTGAGTCTTTACTGTAAATCTGAAAAAGGTAGTATTGTTTTTATTTTATGTATGAGGTAACTGAAACTTAGAAATTGTCCACGATCACATAGCAAGAATGTGACAGAGCTGACATTAGAACCCAGGTCTCTCTGACTCCTAAAGTCCATGATTTTAAGCACTACATTTTAAGCCTACCTCTTTGTATGTTTTATAGTCCTTTATACATCACCGAGCACATGGTTGTGTGCTATTACTATACTTAACTATTACTTATCACCTTAGCAACTTGGGATAAGTAATTTTGTCTGTCTGCTTCAGTGTCTAAAATTTTTACTCAAGTGAAGCAATACCTACCCATGGCTAATGGGAATACTATATGAGACCAGAGAGTGAAGCAGTGAACTCAAAAAAATGGGCTTATACCTGATTTCTTTCAGGCTCTAGGCCTATGTCAATTGGATTGATTTTATTCATTGTTTCATGCCTACTCTTCATCCATCCTTTATTACAACAAATATTTATTGAGTCTTACTGTGTGCCTGTCACTGTTCTAGATGGTGAAAAAAAGGCAAAGTCCTGTCCTCATAGAGTGTACGTTCTAGAGAGTGAGACAGTTGATTCACTACTAAATATATAAATAAATAATAACTCAAGATAGTAATAGGTGCTCTGGAAAAAAATTAAAGCCTGGAAGAGAATGGGAAGTGGCATAGGGTGGGGAAGGGGGCTGATAATTTAGATAGGGTGGTCAGGAGAGGCTTTTTGATAAGATGATATAAAAGTAGAGACCTGTGGGAAGAAAAGTAAGCCATACAGATATTTTGAGGAATAGTGTTATAGGCAGAGAAAGTGAATAACAAGTGTGAAAGCCCAGGGGTAGGAGCTTGACTGGCATGTTTGAGAGCCACCAAGATCCAATTAATGATATGTTATTATAATATTTTGCCAAATGACTCACCAGTGATATAAAAGATTTAAAAGCCGTTTCCAAAGTATTTCCCTGTAGAGCAGATTTGGAATGTGATGAAAGAGGGAACAGGACCAATGGGAAAATATTAAAGTGTTTGAAGCCAACTCATCAGGATGAAATAAATGAGATGGGCTATTTAATGATTATCTATAGCAGTTCCATATAAGGTTTTTATAAAGAAGCAGTGGAATAGCCTTCTAAAGACTAAGCTCTTCCCTTTCTCTTAGGAGGTAGGTACGAATTAGAAAATTAATCAAGAGAGAATGTGGCCTCTGATGACATGAGAGTTGTTTGAAGGTGGCAGGAGGCAGGAGGGTGGTTGCATTCAGTCAATAGTTGAGCAATTTACAAAAATAAATAGAATTGAGCAAATTCAGAACAGATTTAATCTCCATTTTATTTTCAAGCTAAACAAAAGATGCTGATATAAGGGGGAAATTACTCCAAAAATCCAGCTTTACTGACATATTTTGAGTCATTTGCATGAATAAAATGGTCCTAGAGACAAGTGCGAACTTGACTTTAAAGTGAATAGGCCTGGAAGTGTTTTCTGACGGAGAATTAGTTTGGTGCATTCATTCAATATTTATTGATATAATATTTATATTCATGTTATTCCAAAAAAGAGTTGAAGCAGATTGCAAAGCTATGTATATAATCCACAATACAAAAACTAAGAGATGAAATCAGGAGGAAATAATAAGAATAGGAGAAATAAGATAAGGTCAAGTTTGGGTAAAATAAATGTCTAAACTGTATGTCGTAGTTAGAGACAGGCCACACACATTTAGCTCTGAGATTTCTAGAAACAACTGAAAGAGTCCTGGAAACTGAGATAATAGACTTGTATTGTGTTAAGCCACTAAACTCTCTTTCAAACCATTCCTTAGTTCTCAAGGGAAGACATGAGGATGGGATAAACCTCCAGGGGAATTGGGGTACTAACTTTCATAAAGATTTTTACTTCTTGAAGAGGACTTAATTTCAAGTCTATGTAGAAGCAGAATAAATGGGTTATGTGATTGTTTAAGGTTGCTGAAAGATCTTTCCTTATATGTAGAAACCTGTATTGGCTTTTGAGCTACTTGAATGTAGCAAACTAAATATTCTGGAATAGGATCTGTCATCCTCTACATGGGACGCTCTTTTGTATGATACCCATCCACTCTTTTGCACTTTGAACATTTCAGGCCTTTACTGAGTATGTAATTACTGACTGCTAAACAATTATGTCATTTGCTGAATTCCTTTATCACCAGACACATAATCATCAGTTCAAAAACAATTAGGCAAGATTCTCATTGATCTTCAGAATGTCCTTAAAGCTTTTCAACTTATAATTAACACATATACTTGTCTTCTTTCCTTTAGCACACGTGAAACAGAATAGTGTTCCTGCTGTAGGATTTTCATCATTTGCCAATCTTCACTGTAATCCTTGAAAATGTGAAGGTGGATGGATGCATTTTACTTTACAATTCAGTGTGATAAAACCCACAGCTGCTGTTCAAAGTTCTATTTAATTTAGAAGGGAAAGGACTACTTTTATCGTGCAGGAGATTGATTGAATTATATAATTCTCTCAAATAAGGTAGATAATAAAATTTTAAGATATATTTTACAATTTCACTATTATATACTACCTAGAAGGCTAGCTATTTTTATTCCTTCACAGCCTGAGGGGGTAGGAAGTTTTATAAACTCCACGCCCGCCCCCCAAAGACTACAGGTTCTATCCTCAACAATAAAGGACCCTACAGTGTTATCAGTGAGAGAAATTATTCTGACTAAGCAGGTCTGTTATTTCACTAAAATATCGCTTATGCCTTCTAATCTCAACATTCCAGAAAATGTATTTAAAAAACAGGCAGGCTATCAGTAAAAAAGAAAACCAAAAATAAATCTAAATATTTTGTTCAGTTAATGATCAGTGTGATTTATTTATTTTTATTGTATATATTTGTAGGGAATAATGTGATATTTTGATCTATGTGTATATTGTAGAAAGAGTCTATCAAGTTAACATATCCATTTTATGTTTTTGTGGTGAGAATGTTAACAATCTATTGTTTTAGTAACTTTAGAATATACATTATTATTAACTGTGGTTATCATGCAGTGCAATAGATCAATAAAACTTATCTTTCCAGTCTAACAGAAACTTTGTACCCTTTGAGCAACATCTCCCTTTGTCTTATCCCTTTTCCTCCCCTCTCCTTTACCCTCTGGTAACCACCTTTCTATTCTCTGTTTCTATGAGATTAGCTTTTTTAGATTTCACATATGAGTGAGGGCATGCAGTATTTGTCTTTTTGTGTCTGGCTTATTTCACTTAGAATAATACCCTCCAGATTAATCTATGTTGTCACAAATGACAGAATATCCTCATTTTTTAAGGCTGTATAGTATTGCATTATGTATATGTGTGTATAAATGTTATATACATGTGTTTATATATATGTGTGTATATATATATAATATATATATATATATATAATATATATATATATATATATATTCTTCATTCATTCATTGATGAACACTTAGGTTGCTTCCATATCATTGCTATTATAAATAATGCAGCAATGAACAAGGGAATGCAGATATCGCTTTGACATACTGATTACAATTTTTTTTGGAGGTATGCCCAGAAGTGAGATTGTTGTATCATATGGTAATTCTAGTTTAGTTTTTTGAGGAACCTCTATGCTACTTTCCAAAATGGCTGTAATAATTTACATTCCCACCAACAGTATAAAAGGGTTCTTTTTTCTCCATATCTTTGCCAACACTTGTTAGCATTCATCTTTTTGATAATAGCCATTCTAACAGTTGTGAAGTGATACCTCATTATGAATTTAATTTTTATTTCTCTGATAATTAGAAATTTTGAGCATATTTTTTATATATCTCTTGGCCATTCATATCTCTTCTTTTAAGAAATATATATTTAGATCCTTTGCCCAATTTTTTAAACCTGGTGATTTGTTTCCTTGCTATTGAGTTATTTGGGTTCCTTATATGTTTTTGATATTAGCCCCTTATCAGATGTATTGTTTGCAAATATTTTCTCCCAATCCATGGGTTATCACTTCACTCTGTTTCTTTTGCTGTGCAAATTCTTTTTAGTTTGATGCAATCTAATATATTTTTGCTCTTGTTGCCTATGCTTTTGTAGTTCTATTCAAGAAATCATTGGAGCTTTTCCCTGTGTTTTCTTATAGCGGCTTTACAGTTACAGGTCTTACGTTTAAGTCTTTTATCCATTTTGATTTGATTTTTGTTTATGATGGAAGATAGGGGTCCAATTTCGTTCTTCTACCTGTGGCTATTCAGTTTTCCCAACACAATTTATTGAAGAGACTATTCTTCCCCGTTGTATGTTCTTGGCACCTATATCAAAAATTAATTCACTATAAATACTTGATTTTATTTCTGTGCTTTCTGTCCTTTTCCATTGGTCAATGTATCTCTTTTTATGCCAGTACAATGCTGTTTTGATTACAATAGCTTTATAGTATATTTTGAAATCAGGCAGCATGATGCCTCCAGATTTTTTCTTTATGCTAGAGATTGCTTTGGCTCTTTGGGGTTTTTTTCTGGTTCCATATGAATTTTAGGATTGTTTTTTCTATTTTTGTGAAAAAATGATGTTAGAAATTTGATAGGGATTACACTGAATCTTTAGATCACTTTGGGTATTACAGGTGTTTTAATAATATTCCTTCAATCTGTACAGGGTATATTTTTCCATTTATTTGTGTCTCCCTCAATTTTTTAATCAATGTTTTACAATTTTCAGTGTGCAGATACTTCACCTCCTTGGATAAATTTACTCCTAATTACTTTTTTGATGTTCTTGTAAATGACGTTTTAAAAAAAATCAGATAGCTCATTGTTAATGTACAGAAATGCTACTTATTTTGTATGTTGATTTGGTTATATGCAACTTTACTGAATTTCTTTATTGATTCTAATAGTTTTTTGTGGAATCTTTAGGGTTTTTCTACGTATAACATCATGTCATCAGCAAACAGAGACAGTTTCACTTTTTCCTTACCTATATGGATGCATTTTATTTCTTTTTCTTGCCTAATTGCTTTAGCTAGGACTTCCAGTACTATGTAGAATATAAAAGGCAAGAGTGTACATCCTTGTCTTGTTCCTGCTCATCAAAGAAAAGATTTTAACCTTTCTTGTTGAGTATGATGTTAGCTATAGGCTTGACATATATGGCCTTTATTGTGTTGAGGTACATTCCTTCTATACCAATTTTTCTGAGGGTTTTTATTATGAACAGATGTTGAGTGTTATTGCAGGCTTTTTCTGCATCTATTGAGATGATCATGTGGTTTTTGTCCTTCATTTTGTTAATATAATATATCACATTTATTGATTTACATATGTTGATGTATCCTTGCATTCTTAGGATAGATCCTGCTTGATCATGGTGAGTGGTCTTTTTAATGTGCTGTTCAGTTCAATTTGCTACTACATTGTTCAGGCTTTTTGCTTCTATGTTCATTAGGAATATTGGCCTGTAGTTTTGTTTTCTTGTGTCCTTGTCTGGCTTTGAAATCAGGGTGATGGTGTTCTTATAAAATAACTTTGGGAGTATTCCCTCCTCTTAAATTTTTTTGGGGGAGAGTTTGAGAAAGATTGGTATTAGTTATCTAAATATTTGGTAGAATTCAGCAGCAAAACCAACAGACTCTTGGCTTTTCTTTAATGGGAGATTTTTTATTAGTGATTCAATATCCGTACTCAGTAATGATCTTTTTAGATATTCTGTTTCTTCTTGATATGGTCTTAGCAGGGTACATGATTCTAGGAAATCATCCAGTCTTTTTAGGTTATCTAATTTGTTGATGTATAGTTTGTCATAGTAGTTTATTATCTTCCTTTTTATTTTGTGGTATCAATTGTAATGTCTCCTCTTTTATTTAGGATTTTGTTTGTATTTTCTCTTTTTTAATTCTTTTTTGAGACAGTATTGCTCTGTCACCCAGGCTGGAGTGCAGTGGCATGATCTTGACTCATTGCAGTCTCTGCCTCCTGGGTTCAAGCGATTCTCGTGCTTCAGCCTCTTGAGTAGCTGGGACTACAGGTGCACACCACCAGACCTGGCTAATTTCTTTCTTTTTTTTTTTTTGAAACAGAGTTTCACTCTTGTTGCCCAGGCTGGAGTGCAATGGCACAGTCTCGCCTCACTGCAACCTCCACCTCCTGGGTTCAAGCAATCCGCCTGCCTCAGCTTCCTAAGTAACTGGGATTACAGGCGCCTGCCATCACGCCTGGCTAATTTTTGTATTTTTAGTGAGATGGGGTTTTATAATATTGTCCAGGCTGGTCTCGAACTCCTAACCTCAAGTGATCTGCCCACCTCAGCCTCCTAAAGTACAGGGATTACGGGCATGAGTCAGTGTGCCCGGCCTGTGTCTTCTCTTTTTTCTTTGTTAGTCTAGCTAAAGTTATGTCAGTTTTGTTTATCTTTTCAAAAACACAACTTTTAGTATTGTTGGTCTCTTTTTCTAGTTTCTTATTTTTTTTCCTTCTCTGATCTTTATTATTTTCTTCTTTCTGCTAAGTTTGGGCTTAGTGTATGATTTTTTCTAATTTCATAGGTTGTTTATTTAAAATTTTTATTTTTTTAAGTCAGGTTTTTGTCACTTTGAACTTCCCTCTTAAAACTGCTTTTGCTGCATTCCATAAAGCTTGCTGTGTTGTTTTCATTTTCTTTATCTCAAGATATTTTTTATTTTTATTTTTATTTCTTCTTCAACCCATTGGTTGTTCAGAAGTATGTTGTCTAATTTCCACATATGTGTGCATTTTCTAAGATTCATCCTTTTATTGATTTCTAGTTTTATGCCATTGTAGTCGGAAAAGATACTCAATATGATTTCAGTCTTCTTAAATTTGTTAAAATTTGTTTTATGGCCTAACAGATTATCTGTCCTGGAATGCTTCGTGTGTACTTGAGAGGAATGTGTATTTTGTTCCTGTTGGGTGAACTAGTCTGTAAATATCTATTAGGTGTTTTTGTCTAAAGTCTAGTTCAAATCCAATGTTTTCTTATTGATTATCTGTCTAGATGATCTGTCCAAAATTGAAACTGGGGTGCTTAAGTCTTCTGCTATTATTGAATTATAATTTATCTCTCCATTTAGTTCTATATTTGCTTGATTAGTTGCCCTGATGTTGGACATATATATACTTGCAATTGTTATGACTTCTTGATGAATTTACCCCTTTATTATTATTTAATGACCTTCTTTATCTCTTTTTACAGATTTTGACTTAACATCCACATTATCTAATATAAATATAGTTACCCTGCTCCCCTTTGCTTTTTATTTCTATGGAATATCTTTTCAGTACCTTCACTTTGAGTCTATATGTGTCTTTAGAGATAAAGTGAGTGTCTTGTAGGCAGCATGTAGTTAGTTCTTGTTTTTTATATCCATTCAGTCACATAGTGTCTTTTGATTGGAGAATTTAATTCATTTAAACTTAAGTCCTTACCTATCAATAATTACCTATTACTATTTACTTACCTATTGGCATTTGTTAATTGTTTTCTTGTTAATTTGCAGATCCTTTGTTCTTTTTTTCCTCTCTTGATATCTTCCTTTGTGGTTTAATGATTTTCTTTAATGGTTTACCTTGAATCATTTCTTTTTGCATTTTGTGTATCTACTAAGAATTTTTCATTATGGCTAACATGGGGCTTATATAAATAATCTTAAAACATGTTATACTAATAACAGAATATTTTAAGCTGGTGACAACTTAACTTTGAACACTTGCACACACTCTACGTTTTATGCCTTCCCACACTTTGTTTTTCATGACACATTTTGTATCTTTTATAGTTTATATCCCTTAACAAATGATTGTATCTATGGTTGTTTATAATAGTTTTATCTTTTAACTTTCATAGTAGATATAATTGATTTTCACACCATCATTTCAGTATAAGAATGTTCTTAGTTTGACTATGTATTTACTTTTACCAGTCAGTTTTATTTTTTCATATATTTTCATGTTGCTACTTAGCAACATTTTCCATTGGCTTGAAGGAATTCTTTTAGTATTTCTTATGAGGTGGTCTAGTGGTGATAAATTATCTTAGCTTTTGATTGTCTGAGAAAGTTTTTTTTTAATCTCCCCTTCATTTTTGAAGGACAAGATTGCAGGGTGCTATGGTTTGAGTTTGTCTCCTCTGAAACTTGTGTTGAAATTTGATCCCTAATGTGTTGGTGTTGAGAAATAAGGCCCAGTGGGAGGTTTTTGGGTCGTGGGGACACATCCCTCTTAAATAAATTAATGTCCTTCTCTGGCAGGAATTTCTCACTCTCATAGGAGTAGATTAGTTCCTAAGAGAGAAGGTTATTTAAAAAAATCTGGCTTCCTTGGTTTCTCTCTCTTGCATCCTGTCTTGCCATATGATCTCTTTGCATGTGTCTATTTTATTTCTGCTTTCTGCCATAAGTGGAAGCAGCCTGAGGCCCTTACCAAATTCAACAACCCAATTCTGGACTTCCTAAGCACCAAAATTGTGAACCAAATAAACTTACTTTCTTCATAAATTACCCAGTCTCAGGTTATAGCAACACTAAATAGATTAAGACACTGGGTATAGTATTGTTAGTTGGCATATTTTTTCTTTCAGCTTTATGAATATATCATTCTATTCCCTCTGGCCTGCAGGGGTTCTGTTGAAAAAATCTGCTGGTAATCTTAGAGAAGTTTCTCTGTATATAACAATTCACTTTTTCTTTGCAGCTTTCAATATTCTACCTTTGTCTTTAACCTTTGACAGTTTAATTATTAAGTGTTTTGGTGTGAGTTTCTTTGAATTCATCCTATTATAGATGACTGTTAAGCTTACTGAATCTGAATTTCTATTTTCTTCCTCACACTTGGGAAGTTTTCTGCCATGATTTCTTTGAATATATTTTTCTGTTCCTTTCTCTCCTCCTTCGGGTACACTGAAAATGTGTATCATATTCTGTATGATGGTGTCCCATAAATCCCTTGGGCTGTCTTTAATCTTTTTTATTCTTTTCCCTTTTTGCTTCTCAGATTGGATATTTACCAGTGACCTGTCTTCCTGTCTTCTTCTGCTTGATCAAGTCTGATGTTGAACCTCTTGTTGGATTGTTTCATTTAGTTAATATATTCTTTTGCTCAATTATTCATGTTTGATACTTTTTAATATTTTCTGTCACTTTGTTAAAGTTCTCAATTTGATCATGCATTGCTCTCCTTAATTCAGTGAGCATCTTTATGATGATCCTTTTGATTTTCCTGTCAGGTAAATCACATATCTCCATTTCATTAAGGTCTACTTTTGGAGATATATCTTGTTCATTAATTTGAAAAACATCTCTCTATTTCTTCATTTTACTTGACTCTCTGATACTTTCTGTGAATTAGATAAAAATTCTCCTCTCTCAGTCTTATTAGACTGGTCTCATGGAGGAGATATTTCTCACCAATCAGCCCACCCAGAGATTCTTAGTGCCTCTAAATTCCTTGTGCTTGTCCAACCTGCTGTTATTCTTCTTATTGGATTCCCCCAAATTAGACAGTGTCAAGTCATGTTATTGCCTTGAGTAAGGTGAGATTGAAGCCAGTCCTTTGAGATACAGCTGGAGAGGTTGGGGTGTTAGATGTGTGTTCCAGCTTTTCCTTTCCTTGCAGAGAAGCTGGGGGCTAGATTTTATCTCACATTTATTCTGCCGTAACCAAAGTGGAGGGTCTGAGACATATGACTGTATTCTTGATCAGACTGCTCATTTTGAACCTGGGGAGATAGCTGCTGAATGTTTGTAATTTTAAAAGTCATCTTTTTGTTTTCTGTAGTTTAGGAGACTCAGGACTGCACAGACCCAACAACTTCTAGAGCTATTTGATTTAGGAGTGAGTTGCTGGTAAGGGCTATAAAAGTTGAGATGCTCTATCTGTGCCAAATCTACTTCCATGGAGAGTCTGAAAACCTGGATTTATTGCTGGAGCAAGCCAGGGAAGAATGTGTGGGGCATGACCACTCTCCTGTTAGAGCAAGCAGAATATTCATTTCAAAAGTGGTAAACTGACCATATACAGGTCCATATATCTATTCTGTTTTAAAATTTTCACTAGTTGCCATCATTTAAGCAGCTAAGACTAACATAAAAATCTGTTTAGCTTCACTTTAATTCCCTTATACCAATAACATCTAGAACTGAGTAGCAACCATGCCTTTTCAAAAGGGAATATATTTTCCAGGTTATGCAAGTCACTACTCTTCCCTATTTTCTTACACCTTGGCCCATTCATTTAATTATATTGCCAGCCTGACTTCTATAGCAGATAAGTTGGGGAACTCTTGTTATTTTGCAAGAGATAAATATTTATTTTATCTTATTTTTTAGACTTTTAGGTTCAGGGGTGCACATGCAAATTTGTTACATAGGCAAATTGCATATCATGGGGGTTTGGTGTACAGATTATTTTGTCACCCAGGTTATGAGCATAGTACCCAATACGTACTTTTTCTATCCTAACCCTCCTCCCACCCTCCACCATCAAATAGGCCCTGGTGTCTATTGTTCCCTTTTTTTGTGTCCATGTGTACAAATTTTTAGCTCCATCTTGTAAGTGAGAACATGTGGTATTTGGTTTTCTTTTCTTGTATTAATTTACTTAGGATAATGGCCTCCAGCCCCATCCATGTTCCTGCAAATGACATGATATAATTCTTTTTTCATGGGTGCGTAGTATTCTATGGTGTATATGTAACACATTTTCTTTACCTAGTCTACCATTGATAGGTACTTAGGTTGATTCCATGTCTTTGCTCTTGTGAACAGTGCTGCAATGAACATATACATGCATGTGTCTTTATGGCAGAATGATTTATATTTCTTTAGGTATATACCCAATAATGGGATTGCTGGGTCAAATGGTAGTTCTCTTTTAAGTTATTTGAGAAATCACCAAACTGCTTTCCACATGGCTGAACATGGCTTTCCACGTGGGATTTACATTCCCACCAGCAGAGTATAAGTGTTCCCTCTTCACTGCAGCCTTGCAAGCACCTGTTGTTTTTTGACTTTTTAATAATAGTCATTCTGACTGGTGTGAGATGTTATCTTATTGTGGTTTTGATGTACATTTATCTAATGACTAGTGATATTGATCATCTTTTATGTTTGTTGGCTGCATGTATGTCTTCTTTTGAAAAATGTCTGTTCATGTCTTTTGCCCACTTTTTAATGGGCTTGTTTTTTGTTAATTTATTCAAGTTCTTTATAGATTCTGGACATTAGACCTTTGTCAGATGCACAGTTTGCAAATACTTCCTCCCATTATGTAGGTTGTCTCTTTATTGTATTGACAATTTCTTTTGCTGTGAAGAAGTTCTTTAGTTTAGTTAAGTCCCATTTGTCAAATTTTATCTTCATTGCAATTGCTTTTGATGTCTTCATCATGAAATCTTTGCAAGGGCTGATGTCCAGAATGGTATTTCCTAGGTTTTCTTCTATAGTTTTTATAGTTTTATGATGTTACATTTAAATCTTTAATCCATCTCGAGTTGATTTTTATATATCGTAAAAGGAATGGGTCCAGTTTCAATCCACTGCATAAGGCTAGCCAGTTATCCCTATTTTGAAAAAATTAGAAGACAAAAGTAAGGAACAAAAAATTACCATCTATAGACCTACCACTCAGAGTCAGCCAAACTTCATATTTGGTATATATTTTTCAGTTCATTCTTTCAGATAGATCAGTAGGTAGGTATGTAAACAGCCAGCCAACCAGATATGTTTAGAATATTTTTATGCTAATGATGATAGATCAATATTATTTATTATTTTTCTTATTTCAATGAAGACAGATTGTTCAGAGAATGAGGTTTTAAGTTACTTTTATAGTAAACTGAGAGATGAACACAAACACCATTTGTTTTAATGCTTTGCATGGAAAGATCCTTCAAATATGCCATTATAATTTTTGGTGCAATAAACCAGTGATGAAGATTCAAGTAGACTAGTCTAGACTAGGATATTTAAAATCCTTATGGTCCTTGATATCTGAGATGATATCCCGTTCAGGGAATGGAAGTAGTTGAGGAAGGTATAATAGATTGGTACTGAATTCAGGATGACCCCTAAATCTTGAAGCTTCACATAAATTCATTTCTCTTCATGCCTCCTGAGCTGGAATTCTCTCCATAGCATCATTTTCACAGGTTTTTAAGTTCATACTTGAATGCCTCTAACAACAGAAGACTTATTACCTCTTAAGCTACAACCTGTCCTTTTTAACCAACTATTAAAAAGGTCTTTTAGGTTAGGCACAGTGGCTCACGACTGTAATCCCAGCACTTTGGGAGGCCGAGGTGGGCAGATCACTTGAGTCCAGGAGTTTGGGACCAGCCTGGCCAACGTGGTGAAACCCCATCTCTACTAAAAATATAAAAATTAGCCAGGCATGGTGGTGCATGCCTGTAATCCCAGCTACTTTAGAGACCGAGGCAGGAGAATTGCTTGAACCCAGGAGGCGGAGGTTGCAGTGAGCCAAGATTGCACCACTGCACTCCAGCCTAGGCGACAGAGTGAGACCCTATCTCAAAAAAAAAAAAAAAGTCTTTTAATCAGCTTAAATGTGGGTTCCTAAAACTTTTTAATGTTTAAGTTCAGGGGTACATGTGCAGTTTTGTTAATAGGTAAACTTGTGTCATGGGGTTTGTTGTACGGATTATTTCTTCACCCAGGTATTAAGCCTAATATCCATTGGTCATTTTTCCTGATCCTTTCCATGCTCCCAACCTCCACCCTCCGGTAGGCCCCAGCATCTGTTGTTCCCCTCCACATGTCCATGTATTCTCATTATTTAGCTCCCACTTATAAGTGAGAACATGTGGTATTTGGTTTTCAGTTCCTGCATTAGTTTGCTAAGGATAATGGCCTCCAGCTCCATCCATGTTCCTGTAAAGCATGATTTCATTCTTTTTTATGGCTGCATAGTATTCCATGATATATATGTACCATAATATGGCTGCATAGTATTCCATGATATATATGTACCACATTTGCTTTATCCCTTCTACCATTGATGGGCATTTAGGTTTATTCCATTTCTGTGCTATTGCAAATAGTGCTGCAATTAACATATGTTTGCATGTGTCTTTATGATAGAACAATTTATATTCCTTTGGGTATATACCCAGTAATGGGATTGCTGCGATGAATGGTAGTTCTGTTTTTAGGTCTTTGAGTAAGTGTCACACTGTTTTCCACAACAGCTAAACTAATTTACATTCCCACCAATGGTGTATAAGCATTCCTTTTTCTTCATAATCTTGCCAGCATCTGTTATTTTTTGACTTTTTAATAGTAGACATTCTAACTGGTATGAGATGAAATCACATTGTGGTTTTGACCTGCATTTCTCTAATGATCAGTGATACTGAGCTTTTTTTTCATACAGTTGTTGGCTGCATGTATGTCTTTGGAGAAGTGTCTGTCCATGTCCTTTGCCCACTTTTTAATGGGGTTGCTTGTTTTTTTCTTGCAGATTTGTTTAAGTTCCTTATAGATGCTGGATATTAGCCTTTTCTTTGATACACAGTTTGCAAAAATTTTCTCCCATTCCTTAGGTTGTCTGTTTACTCTGTTGATAGTTTCTTTCACTGTGAAGAAGCTCTTTAGTTTAATTAGATCTCATTTGTCAATTTTTTCTTTTGGTGCAATTACTTTTGGCATCTTTGTCATGAAATCTTTGCTCGTTTCTGTGTCCAGAATGGTATTGCCTAAGTTGTCTTCCATGGTTTTCATAGTTTTAGGTTTTCTATTTAAGTCTTTAACCCATCTTGAGTTGATTTTTGTATATAGTATAAGGAAGGGGTCCAGTTTTAATATTCTGCATATGGCTTGCCGGTTATCCCAGCACCATTTGTCAACAATAAATGAGTAGGGAGTCCTTTCCCCATTGCTTGCTTTTGTCAGCTTTGTTAAAGAACAGATGGCTGGTCTGGGCGCAGTGGCTCACTCCTATAATCCCAGCACATTGGGAGGCTGAGGTGGGCAGATCACTTGAGGCCAGGAGTTCAAGACCAGCCTGGCCATCCTGGTGAAACCCCGTCTCTACTAAAAATAGAAAAATTAGCCAGGCATAGTAGCACACACCTGTAATCCCAGCTACTTGGGAGGCTGAGGTATGAGAATTGCTTGAACCCAGGAGGCAGAGGTTGCAGTTAACCAAGATCACACCACTGCACTTTAGACTGGGCAACAAGAGCAAGACTGTCAAAAAAAAAAAAAAAAAAAAAGAAAGAAAGAGCAGATGGCTGTAGGTGTGTGGCCTCTATTCTGTTTCACTGGTCTATGTGTCTCGTTTTGTACTAGTACCATGCTGTTTTGGTTACTGTAGTCCTGTAGTATAGTTTGAAGTCAAGTAGTGTGATGTCTCCAGCTTTGTTCTTTTTGTTTAGGATTTCCTTGGCTATTCGGGCCCTTTTTTGGTTTCGTATGAGTTTTAAAATAGTTTTTTTATTCTAATTCTGTGAAGAATATCATTGGTAGTTTGATAGAAATAGCATTGACTCTGTAGATTGCTTTGGGCAGGATGGCCATTTTAATGATATTGATTCTTCCTATCCGTGAACATGGAATGTTTTCCATTTTTTTTGTGTCATCCCTGATTTGTTTGAGTAGTATTTTGCAGTTCTCATTATAGAGATCTTACACCTCCCTGGATAGCTGTATCCCTAGGTATTTTATTCTTTTGAGGCAATTGTCAATGAGATTGTATTCCTGATTTGGCTTTTGGCTTGGTTGTTGTTGGAGTATAAGAATTCTAGGCCAGGCACGGTGGCTTATGCCTGTAATGCCAGCACTTTGGGAGGCCAAGGCGGGTGGATCACGAGGTCAGGAGATCGAGACCATCCTGGCTAACACGGTGAAACCCTGTCTCTACTAAAAATACAAAAAATTAGCCGGGCGCGGTGGTGGGCACCTGTAGTCCCAGCTACTTGGGAGGCTGAGGCAGGAGAATGGCGTGAACCCGGTAGACGGAGCTTGCAGCGAGCCTAGATGGCGCCACTGCACTCCAGCCTGGGTGACAGCGAGACTCCATCTCAAAAAAAAAAAAAAAAAAAAAGAATTCTAGTGATTTTTTACCCTGAGACTTCACTGAAGTTATCAGCCTAAGGAGCTTTTGGGCTAAGTGTATAAGGTTTTCTAGATATAAAATCATACCACCTGCAAACAGGGAGAGTTCAACTTCCTCTCTTCCTATTTGGATGCTCTTTATTTCTTTCTCTTGCCTAATTGCTCTGCCCTATAAAAGTACTCCATCTTGACAGAGTCAGAGTCCCTAGGCCAGTCAGACTTTTGCCAGGTATCCTAAAGAACAACAATCTGAGCTGGGCATGGTGGCTCATACCTGTAATCCCAGCACTTTGGGAGGCTGAGGCAGCTGGATCACGAGGTCAGGAGATCAAGACCAGCCTGGCCAACATGGTGAAACCCCGTCTCTACTAAAAACACAAAAAATTAGCTGGACGTGGTGGCACGTGCCTGTAGTCCCAGCTGCTCAGGAGGCTGAGGCAGGAGAATCACTTGAATCTGGGAGGCGGAGGTTGCAGTGAGCCGAGATTGCGCCACTGCACTCCAGCATGGGCGACAGAGCGAGACCTGTCTCAAAAACAAACAAACAAACAATCAACAACAACAAAAAAACCCTGTACCTGCTATATTTTTCAGGCTGTTTCAGAAAAAGGCAAAAGTAATAATTCATTACTTGAAACTAGACTTGACTTTCTGGGAATTGGTTAACTTGTTTGAAGAAAATATATTAAACATTTATTGCCTCATTGCTTGCTTTCAAGATATTTTTCTATGCCTTCATTTATGAGAAGCTGGCTCAGTTTGTTGAAATCCATCAATGATTTGAACTATAACATTCATAATGTTCTTTATAACCCAGAACTTGATTACATAATGGTATTTATTGTTCTCTAGTTTTTTCATGTGCACAAGTCTTGTCCTGCCAACTGTTTCGTAAGTTTTTCAAAACCAAAGCTCATGTCTTCTACTTATTTCATGGTTTTCCTTTCCTCACAATATCTAGTACAGTAAGCACTTAATAATTATTTCTTAACAAAACAAGATCTGCATGTGGGCTGTGTAGCTTGGCTCAATTCTTACATTCCAGTTTGTGCCATTAACCCCAACTAGCTTTCTAGGAAGACTTGTCACATGGGGCCTGGGCAACGAAGATTAGATGATTAAGAAAAGCCAGGCTTCATTGCTGCACAGAAAAACTGAAGGTCCTATGCTACTGCTCAGATGTGAGTATCTCAGTTCATACAGATGATATACTTATTGAGGCTAGTTGGTCCCAGTAAATTTAGAGTTCTGCATGTATCCTTAACATGCTCTTTGTGAACCATTGACAAGGCATTCACAAATTAGGCCAAGTGCTCCCCCAAGTCATGGTTTACATGTTTGCTTTGAGAGATTTACTTTTCCTTCTGGCAAGTATTCTTCCCTCTTCCTCCTGTAAGAAATATGAAACTTGTCTCTGGTCATGAAGGTTTTATATTAACCTATTTTTTAATACTTACTGGGGAAAATCCCTTTTTCTGCTGCTGCTGCTTTGATTGGCTGAAAAATGGCAGCTACCTTACTCTGGAGCTTCTAAGTCTGCTTCTCAGCATTTCTCAAATATCTGAGACTTTGTTGTTCTTCATAGTAAAAGATAAACCCTTAGACTCTTTTTTTATTTTTCAGAAATTATCACTATTCTAAAAGAGCCACTGAGTTCCTAGTCTGGATATTTTAAATAAATATGTATTTCTGTTATTCTTTTCCAAGTCATGTCAGCATAATAGGAGTAGGTGTATGCAAGGAAAACTAGTTATTGATTAAAGAGGATTTTGAAGTGGTCTAATTGTCCTTTTTAATGATATCAACCTATAGGAAATTCCTAAAGTGAAATTTGAAGTAATTTTGTCTTATTGAACAATCTGTATGTTGATTGTCAATCAGTGGACAAAATTACCAAATCAGCTATGCCATTCATCATTTGACACATTAATTTATTACTTTTTTCAGTTAAACAGCTTTATAAATTCAAAAACAAATGCATATATACAGTGAATAAAATGTTTGAGCAGCATAAACATTGCAGGTAACAAAAGTAATTCCATCTTCTGCCCCACACTGTCAGTCCTGCTTTGAGAGGCAACCACTCTTAACAGATTTTTTGTATAAACTTTCCCCAAATTTCTATAGTTACACAAGCTTAGAGGATGTGTCTGTGTTGTCTATACATTTTTTCTTTTACACAAATGGGGGCAAACTTGATATTAAGTTCTACATTTTGTGTTTTCTCCTCTTCGTAATGTGTTTTAGAGATTTCATATTAGCATAGATTGATCTAATCATTTCTTCAAATTGCTGCCTGTAATTTCATTACATGGGTATTCCATAATTTATTTTTGTCAGACCCTTCCCCAAATTGATGAATATTTAGGGGTATGTGTGCATGTGTGTGTGTCTGTGTGTGTGTGTGTGTGTGTGTGTATGTGTGTGTGTGAGAGAGAGAGAGAGATGAATACTGAGATAATCTTAAGTATTTAATTGCTCTATACCTAAATTTGCCAAACAGACTGGATTTCCTGTTTGTTAATCTGATCTTTTTCTTGGTATTTGAAAGTCATGCTAGTTAGAAAAAAAATCAGTAATTTTAATTCTGTACATATTTATGAAGGTTTATGCTGCATCCAGCACTTTGCTAGATACTATTGGATATAAGAAAGTTATAAGACAAAGTTTCTGCCCATACATATTTTTCTCTGTAGTTTAGAAGACCAGGTTTACTCATGTAAAATAATTAGTGAATCATATGAGATAGAGTACCATGAAAAAGAAACTCCAATGTGAACTTACTTAGGTACTCATTATAAATAGGCAGGCTCCCATCATAGCAGTAAACTGTGTGTGTAGGCCAGTTGAAGAATACCACACTTGGAAAATAGACTGCTTTGGGGAGATATTTGAGGTTTAACCTAAACTCAAACTTGAAGACCATTTGAAGACTATGAAAACGCTTTCCTCCCAGATAAATGACTATAAAAAGTAAGCAAATCTGGAATTAAAATCTTACAAATTGAAATAATATTTCTCTATAACAAGGCCATTTTGCCATCAAAAAATGGAATAACAGTCTCTCCAAAGTGTGCATATATGAGCTTATCTACACTGTATAGATACAGTAGCATAACTACTCTAATTAGTTTTCAAAAGGACATTCTCCTTGTTTCATGGAAACTATTGGATGATAACAAATAGTCTGTACTTCAGAGAAGCAAAGGAGAAAAAAATAGCAGAATAGGCTGATGTCAGTTAATTGTTAATATATGAGGTTTGAGGTAGAAGGTAGATTCTTGAAGTTTGAAATATTTTACATGAAAACTGAGAGGGTAAAAGTTTGAGAGACATAGATCACCATTTTCACTTTATGAAGAATGCTGTCTTTTATTTACGCCTTTCAGCTTATATTTCTAAGCTAGCAATTTAAGGACTTATGAAAGATGGAAGAGGTATAGATTAGAATCCAATATTTTGGTGGGTCATAGGCTTGTATGATTCTTCCTTGTGCTAATACAATCATTTAAGCAGAATGATATGGTGATAAAAGCTAATAAAATACATTTAGGGAAAAGCATGCTGTGTTGGATATTCAGAATTTGAGGAAATGTGTTGTGATAACAGAATGAGTGAGCAGCTTTCATAGAGTACATGCAGTTAAGATGAAAGCAGGGATTGAGAAAAAAATGTTTTTTCTGAAACAGATTTTGTACCTAAACTGAAAAACATTTAGTGACGTACACTTTTCCTTCCAAATAAATATTTCAGTCAGCCATTTACCTTCTATTCTCTGTAACATGTTCACTAACTAGGAGCATGTTCTCTCACATTTAATAAAGTAAAAAATGCATCAGCTTTTCAATGTTTTCCCCAACTTTCTATTCTATTTAACAAATATTTCTTGAATAGCTACTATGTGCGGAGCATCACAATAGACATTGTATGGGATGCAAAGTCAAGAGTGAGGCCACTGGTCTTAGAATCAGGAAACTTGCCTTCTAATCCTATTTTTGCCAGTTACTTGTATGACCTAGAGATTCACTTCTCATTTTAGAGCCAAAGTCCTGGATTTAATGATGTCTGAGGTCTTTTTCAGCTATATTGTAATCCAACCTAATGAGTAAAACCATTTGTTTCCCCTAAAACTTTACAGTATTCTATGGGGGGTCGAAACTATTACAGAAATAACTATGAAAGAAAGCAGAATGTTATCGGTAATTTCAAGAGAGAGTTACAAAGTGATGTAGGCCATTAATAGCTTCATGGAGGGAGTGACCTTGAGGGATTAGGTTTTGATAGGCAGAAATAGGGGTCATAAGAACAACTCTGTTCCTATTGTGGGCTTTCTCCATCCTGGATATTACTCAGAATTTGTCAGTGGCAAAACAAAAGTAGTAGAAAGTTAGCCTTTGAAGGATTTTTATCAGTCTGTTTCCGAACTAGCCAATGAGTGTAGATTGGAGCTGTAAGCAATGAAGTAAAAGTAAAAGAGATGAACATGAAACATAGGGAGGGGTCATAGAAATGGAATTTCTTCACAAATGCTAATAGCAACTATCCCTTACATTTGTATAATGGTTAAAAATCCAGGATATGAGGGTATGACAGAGCTGTTAAGAGCATGGCCGAATATGCTCCTAACATGGACTAAACCAGACCTGGGTTTCTATCCCTGCTCTGACATTTACCAGTGGTAGAACCTTGTACAGTCACTTAGCCTGTTGCACCTCAGTTTCATCATTTGTAAAGTGGAGATAACAACTACTCCATGAGATGGCTGTAAGATTAAAATAAGATTGTGTATTTAAAGCAGTTATCAAAAGGACTGACACATAGAACTTACTCAAAAAGGGTAGCTAGGAGGTAGTATGTCAGGTATTGTTCTTTCCTTTCAACAGAAAGTCAAAACTGGGGCTCTGAGATTCTGAATCATTTATTAGAATCCAGTATTCTTTCTATTACAAGAGTGACTCCTAACCTGAGTTTTCTGCCCACACCCTATCCCTGGGGGGCATCTGTGAAGGTAATAATGAGAATCTATGAGTTATTTTCAATATTTGAAAGAAGCCTAACAGAGAGCATTAATTTACTCGTGATAAATTACACAACCTGACTAATATGTCAAGTTTCTTTGCTTTTGCCTGAAATTATATCAACTCATTTTGGTAATACTGGCTATCTCATGCTGATGGGAAACTGATTGGCAGCTATATATGCCTTTGATGAATAGAAATGAGGAAAACGAATTTTATATCATAAATGCAGTTGATCTGGGAGATATTCTTTTCAGCTTGGGAGAACATAGAGAAAAATAAAATGCTCCTTTGTTGCTGAAACTATTGAGAAGCACTGTATTTTACACCATGCTTTCTGATTCAAGGGAAAAGGGGGTTTAAGGGGCTTAGAAAGATAGGCAGTTGTGGTCAGAGAGAATTTCAGACTTTGAGAGCTTATGGGTAAATTGTTTTCATATAACATACCTGATTGAAAGGAGGATATGACGTGTTTTTCTTCTGTGAGAAAGAGATGAGGCAACTGAGGCCTAAAGAGGGATAATGAATCAGCCAAGTTAAAAAAGCAGCTTGTAACAGAACCAATATTTCAACCCAGTCTTGTGACTCTGTTCCATAGCTCTCTCTACTCTGAATCAAAGAAATATAGTCATCTTGTCTTGATTTTGCCACAATGTCCAAAAAAACATTTTCTCAGGTCTGATTTTAATATTGACTTTTTCTAGTGAAAGAGAGAAAACACTGTTAGAAGATGAATGAAAATGAAGTTAGGGACTTACAGACAGCTGACATACAAAGGTCTCCTTTGTATTGATTGGCTTCTTTATTGATTTGACAATATAGATCAATATCTCTTCCTCTGAGGCTGTAGTGTTATAGTGTGAATTCTCTGGGTTCCATTTCACTCTGCAGAATTGATACAAATACAACAGGTGCAGAGGTAATAGGGGGATGAATTATCATATTAGCTATTATTTACTATGTGCCCACTATGGCCAGGAATGTTATTCAGGCATCTATATTTATTGAGTGCTTGCTGTGGGCGAAATGCTAGTCTAGGAAGTGACAGAGTAATGAACAAGACAGAGAAAAGTCCCTACCCCCATAGAGCTCATATTTTATCATTCTAAGTATTTTTGTATGGATTACCTTACAACAACCCTGTAAGTTTGGTACTGTTAGTACTCTCAATTTACAAATGAGAAAGTGGAGACAGAGTTAGTAAGTTACTTGCACAGGGTCACACAGCTAGGAATATTAAATTTGGAAGTTGATGTAAGATCTGTCTGACTCCTAAATGTACATTTTTCTATTATTCTTTTCAAGTTTTATTCCCCACTGTGCTACTTCATCAGACAGCTTCTTTCTGCCATTCTTCTCAACACTCTCTTCCTCTCGTATCTATCTTTCCTTTTGGTTATAATGCTGAAAACATGCAGTTATTAAACCAAAGACAGAGAGGCAAAATACATTCATGTGGATAAAGTAAAATGTACGTAGGCTTGCTCACACACTAAACAGAGAGGGCACTATGCAGAAGCTGTTTGCTTTGGGGAGATTAGATAGGAGATGTTATACGATAATAGACAAAATTTATTGACTGCTTATTATGTGTTAGCCAGTATACTTTTTCATATTTAATTTGTATGTGTATATAATAGCTGTACATATTTATGGGGTATAAGTGATATTTTGATACAAGTGTGTAATGATCAAATCAGAGGAATTGGGATATACATCATCTCAAATACTTATCATTTCTTTGTATTGGGAACATTCCAAATCCATTCTTCTGATTATTTTGAAATATACAACAATATATTGTTAACTATAGTTACCGCATATCTACAACCATCTGATCTTTGACAAACCTGACAAAAACAAGAAATGGGGAAAGGATTCCCTATTTAATAAATGGTGCTGGGAAAACTGGCTAGCCACATGTAGAAAGCTGAAACTGGATCCCTTCCTTACACCTTATACAAAAATTAATTCAAGATGGATTAAAGACTTAAATGTTAGACCTAAAACCATAAAAACCCTAGAAGAAAACTTAGGCAATACCATTCAGGACATAGGCATGGGCAAGGACTTCATGTCTAAAACACCAAAAGCAATGGCAACAAAAGCCAAAATTGACAAATGGGATCTAATTAAACTAAAGAGCTTCTGCACAGCAAAAGAAACTACCATCAGAGTGAACAGGCAACCTACAGAATGGGAGAAAATTTTTGCAATCTACTCATCTGACAAAGGGCTAATATCCAGAATCTACAATGAACTCAAACAAATTTACAAGAAAGAAACAAACAACCCCATCAACAAGTGGGCGAAGGATATGAACAGACACTTCTCAAAAGAAGACATTTATGCAGCCAAAAGACACGTGAAAAAATGCTCATCATCACTGGCCATCAGAGAAATGCAAATCAAAACCACAATGAGATACCACTTCACACCAGTTAGAATGGCGATCATTAAAAAGTCAGGAAACAACAGGTGCTGGAGAGGATGTGGAGAAATAGGAACACTTTTACACTGTTGGTGGGACTGTAAACTAGTTCAACCATTGTGGAAGTCAGTGTGGCGATTCCTCAGGGATCTAGAACTAGAAATACCATTTGACCCAGCCATCCCATTACTGGGTATATACCCAAAGGATTATAAATCATGCTGCTATAAAGACACATGCACACATATGTTTATTGCGGCACTATTCACAATAGCAAAGACTTGGAACCAACCCAAATGTCCAACAATGATAGACTGGATTAAGAAAATGTGCACATAAACACCATGGAATACTATGCAGCCATAAAAAATGATGAGTTCATGTCCTTTGTAGGGACATGGATGAAGCTGGAAACCATCATTCTCAGCAAACTATCGTAAGAACAAAAAACCAAACACCGCATGTTCTCACTCATAGGTGGGAATTGAACAATGAGAACACATGGGCACAGAAAGGGGAACATCACACACTGGGGCCTGTTGTGGGGTGGGGGGAGGGGGGAGGGATAGCATTTGAAGATACACCTAATGTTAAATGAAGAGTTCCTGGGTGCAGCACACGAACATGGCACATGTATACATATGTAACAAACCTGCACGTTGTGCACATGTACCCTTAAACTTAAAGTATAATAAAAAAAAAGAAAATCACATGAACGCAAAAATAAAAAAAAAAACTATAGTTACTCTATTTTTGTACCAAACACTAGATCTTATTCCTACTATCTAACTATATTTTTGTACCCATTAACCAACCCCTCTTTATTCTCCCCTCCCACTACCCTTCTGAGCCTCTGGTAACCATCATTCTATTCTCTATCTACATGAAATCATGTTTTAACCTCCATATATGAGTGAGAACGTACAATATTTGTCTTTCTTTTCCTGGCTTATTTCACTTCACATAATGTCTTCCAGTTCTATTCATTTTGTTACAAATGACAGAATCTCATTCATTTTATAGTTGAATAATATTCCATTTTGAATATATACCACATTATCTACTCATCTTCTATTCATCTGTTGATAGACACTTAGGTTGATTCCATAGCTTGGCTATTGAGAAAAGTGCTGCAATAAACATGGGAATATACAGGTATTTCTTTGATATGCTGATGTCCTTTCTTTTGAATATCTGCCCAGTAATGAGATTGCTAGATCATATGGTAGCTCTATTTTTAGTTTTTGCAGGAACTGCCGTACTGTTTTCCATAATGGCTGAACTAATTTACATTCCTACCAACAGTATAGAAGCGTTGCCCTTTCTCCACATTCTCACCAGCATCTATTATTGTCTTTTTTATAAAGCCCATTTTAACTGCAGTGAGATCATATCTCATTGTGGTTTTAATTTGCATTTATCTAATGATTGGTGATGTGGAAAATTTTTTTCATATACCCACTGGCCATTTATATGTCTTCTTTTGAAATATGTCTATTAGGATTTTTTTGCCCATTTATAGATTGGATTATTTGTGTTTTTTGCTATTGAGTTGCTCGAGTCCTTTATATAGTCTGATTATTAATTCCTATTCAGTTGAATAGTTTACATTTTTTTTCCATTTTGTAGGTTGTCTCTTTACATTGTCAATTGTTTCTTTTGCTGTGCAGAAGCTTCTTAGTGTAATATAATCTCATTCATCCATTTTTTGCTTTGGTTGCCTGTGTTTTTGAGGTCTTACTCAGGAATTCCTTTCCCAGACCAATGTCCTGAAGCATTTCCCCAAAGTTTTCTTCTAGCAGTTGTATAGTTTCAGGTCCCACATTTGTCTTTAATTTGTTTTTGATTTGGTTTTTGTATTTGGCTAGAGATAGGGACCTAGTTTTATTATTTTGCATATGGATATCCAGTTTTGCCAGCACCATTTTTTGAGTAGACGATCCTTTCCCCAATGTCTATTTTTGGTGCCTTTGTTTGAAATAAGTTGCCTGTAGCTGTGTCAATTTATTTCTGGTTTCCCTATTCTGTTATTTTAGTCTATGTGTCTATTTTTATGCCAGTAGCATGCTGTTTTGGTTACTATAGTTTTGTAGTATAATTTGAAGTCAAGGACTATGATACCTCTAGCTTTGCTCATTTTACTCAGGACTGCTTTGACTATTCTGGGTCTTTTGTGGTTCCATATAAATTTTAGGATTTTTTTTTCTATTTCTGTGAAGAATATCATTGGTAATTTGATAGAGATTATATTGAATCTGTAGACTGCTTTGGGTAGTATGGACACTTTAACACATTCATTCCTCTAATCCATGAACATGGGGTAGCTGTCCATTTTTTGTGTGTGCTTTTTAAATTTTTTATCAATTTTTCATAGCTTTCATTGTAAAGATCTTTCACTTCTTTGGTTAAATTTATTCTTAGGTAATTATTTTGTAGCTATTGTAAATAGGATTGCTTCCTTGGTTTATTTTTCAGATTGTTTACTGTTGGCATACAGAAATGCTACTGAATTTGTATGTTGATTTTGTTTCCCACAACTTTACTGAATTTGTTTATCAGTTCTAATAGATTTTTTGGTAGAGTCTTTAGGGATTTTTTTTAATATAAGGTCATATAATTTAAAAACAAGAATAATTTGACTTCTTCCTTTCAAATGTGAATGTCCTTTATTTCTTTCTATTTTCTAATTGGTCTGGCTTGGACTTCTATAGCTATGTTGAATAAAAGTGGTAAAAGTCTGCATCCTTATCGTATTCCAAATCTTAAAGGGAAGGCACTCAGTTTTCCCCCATTTAGTATGATTTAGTTAGCTGTGGGTTTGTTGTATATGGCCTGTATCATGTAGTCAGTATACTCTTTACGCATTCAATTCTTAGAACAACCTTATAAGATAGGCACTGTTATTATTATTGTCTTCATTATTTATATGGGAGAAACTAGGGTACAGAGTGGTTAATTAACTTGCCAAGAATCCTCTGTTTATAAGGGGCAGAACTGAGATTAAAGTTCAGGCAGACAGTATCCAGAGTTTGTTGTCATAATCACCAGGACAGTACTTACAACATAGTACATCATACCATAAGTAATTGATTATTTTTAAAAATCCAGGTATGAGAAAATAAATGTATAAACTATAGTAGTAACAATGAGAACAGAAAAAAGGCTATGAATGCAATAGGCATTTTAGAGAAAGGGGCAACAACATTTACTAAATCTCAGATTTGAATGACAAGGAAAGTGATTATAGCAGTGACATTAAAAAAAATCTAAAGAGATCAAAGTCTTGGGAGGGGAAATAGTTTGGTTTCTGACATTCTGATATTAAGTTGATGGTAAGATGTCCAAGTAGAGGAACTATTAAGTAAGTGAAATATGGGACTGAACTCAAATTTGAAGACAAATCCCTTCAGACTCTTTGTCCAGAGTCTGCAGGCCATAGAGAGGTATGAAGAGAGAGGATAGAACGTAGAAGGAGCAAAGGCTTTCACCACGTAGACATTTCCTCCTTTCTTTTTCCAGTAATATTATTATTGAAATACAATTCAACCTTAGTTTTAACTTTTTCCAGGCTAGGATGTTTCTTTGCTTCCTCATACTTTTCTCCACCAACATCAAAATATAATAGGATGCAGTCCATTCAGAAAAGAAACCAGTTAACAAATTATGCCTTCAAAGGAAGAAAATTTCCTGTGATCCCCGATTGTGGTCTAAATTATGTTTATTATACGTTTTATAAAATTCTGAACAGGTATTGAACTATTTTAAATTTCTTGGATTTATTGCTTTTATACAAAAACAAACTTACAAATGAAATATAAATAAAACCACAAAACTAATAAATCTAAAATTAATTTTAATTATATTTGTCTTACTGAAAAAAATCACTGTTTGGAATGTGACTATGTACTACTGAAAAGTGCAGGTTTGTTTGAGTTGTACATGGCTGGATTTCTGTGTGCTACGAGGTGCTTTTAAGTCTCCACCACTTAGATTGCAGTGTGCTATGATGTATTTTTGTTCTCATGTGACATGAAGGCATCATTTATATACATTTATATGTATACATTTATATACAGTACTACTTTGTGACAATATAATCATAAACGAATATGTAAAAGCTGGCACTTAAATAATGCAATAGTATCATCATGAGGTGATCACCTAGAATACCCAAAATCTATTTTCTTAATTTATTTTAATTCAAACATAAAGTTTGAAACATATACACACAAAAATATTATAGAAAAGTCCTACCCTCCCGAAACTCTAGTTTGAAAAATATTAATCTGAAGGCAGGAGATAAATATACTGTCTTGTTGTGGCTTTATAAATTTGTACATTTTCCTAGCATGACTAAATTTAATCCTGCCTATGTGTTCATATAATGAATGTGGGATTTAGGAGACATGAGATCTCAAACTGGCTCTGCCATTATTCTATTATAGAATCTCAAGGAAAGTGTTTTACCTCCCTGGACCTCATTTTTCTCGTGTATAAAATGGAAATTGGAGAGGAAGAAACAGGATGAACCACATGATCTCTAATTAGGACTCCTTGTGATTTTCAAGTCAACCATACATTTGAATTTCAGAATGGATGATACACATTTCACTATATATGTATATGCACTTATGTGCACTTACTGATATAATGTTTACTTAACACCATGGATATTAGTTCATTTGCCAAGGAAGAGTGTTACTCAAAATTCATGATAAAGAATTTTTTTTTTTTTGCTGCTCTTTTGGACCTGTAATAAGATATTGTTAACCTACATGTACTTCATAAAAACTTTCCCTATGTGCATTTTCTTTTTTTTTTTTTTTGAGACGGAGTCTTACTCTGTTGCCTAGGCTGGAGTGCAGTGGTGCAATCTCGACTCACTGCAACCTCCACCTCCCTGGTTCAAGTGATTCTCCTGCCTCAGCCTCCTGAGTAGCTGGGATTACAGGTGCACACCACCACGCCCGGCTAATTTTTGTATTTTTAGTAGAGACGGGGTTTCACCATGTTGGTCAGGCTGGTCTCGAACTCTTGACCTGGTGATCCACCCGCCTCGGCCTCCCAAAGTGCTGGGATTACAGGCATGAGCCACCGCGCCTGGCCTCCCTATGTGCATTTTCTAAAAAATGTATCTAACTTAATGATTATGAGTAGACAGTTCTGTTGAATTTTATTTATGCAATCACATGACCATTTCTTTACTATGAAACATATAAAATTGTACTGTAAGTGAAACAAGTAGTTCCATTGTGTAATTGTTTCATCATTACATATAATTTAATAAATACTTCTTTTCAAATTAGGGAATAACAGACTTGGCATTTATATACTTTAAACACTTAAGACTCCTTCAGCTTCTAAAGAATTTAGGTTAATTTACAAAACAGAAAGTGATTGGCTTACATTATGCTTTGCGTCTGTAGAAAATGGGTAATTGGGCCGGGCGCAGTGGCTCACACCTGTAATCCCAGCACTTTGGGAGACCGAGGCGGGTGGATCACCTGAGGTCAGGAGTTCGAGACCAGCGTGACCAACATGGAGAAACACCGTCTCTACTAAAAATACAAAATTAGCTGGGCATGGTGGCACATGCCTGTGATCCCAACTACTAGGGAGGCTGAGGCAGGAGAATTGCTTGAACCCAGAAGGCAGAGGTTGCAGTGAGCAGAGATCTCGCCATTGCACTCCAGCCTGGGCAACAAGAGCGAAACTCCATCTCAAAAAAAAAAAAAAAAAAAAAAAAAAAAAAAAAAAAAAAAGGATAATTGAATAAAATAAACCGTTCTATGAAAGTGTGAATTAGTAACTCTGACTATGTCGGCAGCCACAATTTTGCCTCCCTAAGCAAAGCATATAGAGTATACATGATCACATTAAGAAATACAGCAAGATGTTTTGGGTCAAACCAAATATTTTACCAAAGCAGATTTTTTTTTTTTTTTTTTTTTTTTTTTTTACTAATGATGATTCAACACTAATACCATGAACAAGACAAAATGAATTGTTGTGAGCACAAATTTTCTGCAAACATTATTTTAAAACTTGGCATATTTATGCCTATTAGTGAATACATCTTTATAATTTACAGCTTAACCTCTTCAGGTTTATAAGAACAAGCCAGTTTGACCATTGGAAAAGAAAAAGGAGAGACAGAGCAATAACCACAGTCTGTGAAGAGGCCTACTCAGTAACGGTCTAGTTTATGCTTAAAAATACTGGAAGGCTTGCATCCCTCAATCTCTCAGTCAATTACTTTAGTTCTTTGAAATCACCCCATTAATTAGGACAAATCCTGCGTTTTCTTATGTCTAGATTTATCAGGGGTTTTTTGCATCTCTCTCTTATCCACAGTTTAGTTTTATATAATACAACCTGATAGCATCTTGTTATCATTTTGCCTTGATTTGCTTTGTGTCTTATTACATAAAAGGGGTACTAATCTTTGGGAATTCACTCCTTATTAGAGTCAATTGAGATTTGTAACTTGAGATGCAAGCTTATATTTTTATTATAAATAATTGCCTACAAAGGAATTCCTAGCATGATATGTTATCAGCATAAATTACTATGTTTTAATTGTAATGTATTTTTTAAATATGCCCACAGGAAAGGTTTTTCTCCTACTTAGTTTTGTAGAAGATTATTTTGTGTCTTCCCACTTCATTCCTAGTATGGATTCCAAATATATCACTTGCTTGATGGTAGTATAATTTTATAATTATATTGTTATTGGCAATTCAGAAAATGATTTCTATAGTTTCTTTGACATAAAGTGGATAACCAGAATGAGTTGATTTTCATTTATCTTTGAAGCCAATTATAATTTTAGTACCAACCAACAGTTGGCACTTAATTTGCCTGGTCTACAGATAACCAAGAAAAGATATTGCCATTCATTGGTCTCCTCACTCTCTTCTATAACCAGAAGCTAGGCTGTAAATTGCCATTTTCTGTAAAAGTTGGCCCATTTGACTCCCTCTCTTAATTACCGAACGCTACTGGTTGTGATGGTTTTAACTTGATTATGTACAGTTGTTAGGCAAATGCCAGTTAGGAGTTGTGAATGTTTTAGAAACATTTCCTCAGAATAATTGTGCTCAGTTTTTAAGGATAGGAACTGGAGGCTAGTCAGATATACATTTGATAAACAACCAATTACTCATCTCATGTTGTTCTTTACTGGGGGTATTTCTGGTTTTCTAGGGTGGAATAAATACAGAGGATGGTTCACTTTGCTCTGTCTGGATGAGAAGCTTTGATCTCCAGGATAGTTCTTTTTTAAATGAGATGAATGAATTTTCACCTTTAAGTAGGGTGCTTATATAATTTATTATTCAAATGAGAAAACTTTTGAGAACAAAAGAGGTTATTGCTAACTGTTATGCTGGGAGAACTGGCATGAATTGGGGATTTATGCCAGGCAAACTGTATTACATGGTCTGTCACTTTGGGACAACATGGAGATTTGCCTCCCCACCACTTCTCCCAACCCTGTCCCTCTCCATCCACTCACACCCCAGCCTAAGAAAATGTTCTGTGAGACATATATAGCTCAGGGGATCTTTGAACATACTGATGTGTGTTCCTCTGCAGGGATTACTTAAAAAATAAAAATCCCCCTACTCATCTATCTTCAAATCAGTCAAAACAAGGTTTTTCATTATGTTTCCATGTCTCCCTCCTCTGCTGTTGTATCCCTTTAACAGTCAGACTCTCAGACAAAAGATAAGATACCATGCTCTTTCTAAAATGTAAATCTAATCATATCACTCTACTCTGTAACACACTTCAGTGGGTTTCCATTACTATGGACTTTGTGATCCAGCCCCTGCCTCAAATCCCACCATTCTCTACCTCCCTCCTATTGCCAATCGAGAATCTCTTTCTGTTCACAAAGTAGCATTCCAAAGACATAGAAATATTCATATTGTTATATCCTAGCTAGTAAGAAATGTACCTACACATGAAAATTGCCCCATCATCTAGCACGGTGCCTGACGTATAATTGGCATTTAATAAATGTTGAATAAAGGAATGAATGAAGAGTTAAATGCCCTGAGAGAAATTTTATTTAAGGCAATCTATTTAAAATATGAATGAGTATATAGCAGCAATTATCCTCTTGATCTGCTTAGTTAAGAGTTAACTATATTGTTGGGCTCTTTTTTTTTTAGGCAAAGCATAGAGATATTGCTTTATAACATAACATTCCCCCCACTGTCTTAAGGACCTTTAATATGCTTAAGGGAAGTTAATGTATTAATAATAGCCATTTCCTAGGGCCTAATTAGCCATATTTCAATCTTTGTAATTCCGTATGAGAAAAATATCCTCACAGAGTTCAAGTATCTGCGGCATACGTTTTGGCCTCTTATATATCTAGGGTGAAAAGCTAACCTGGTAAATATGCATTCCAGATGGCTTTCATCAGATAAATCTAGTGAATAAGAGGCCCACTGATAAAAATGGAAGTTATAAAAATTAATAAGAAAATGGATGTTGGAATAAAGACCTGGGATAACCATCACAGATCTCACAATGATGCTTTACATTATAGCATGCAAAACACTTTTACAGACATTTTCTTCATTTAATTCTTGGAATTGTGGGGAGAGACTCTGTAAAGTAGGTAAGGCAAGGTAGTTGTTTTTATCCATGTTTCGCATATGATGAAACTAGCTTATGATATTTTGTTCGTTTATTTCAGCCAGTGTAACTAGGCTTCACTTATTTATGAGACTTCAGAATGAATAATAATCATGTTATAGGGTGCCTGAAGAAATTAATGATATCTAAGGAATCGCAGTCCTTAGCATAACTTTGGTTTATTTAAAATGTGCTGATCTGTAAAACCAAACCACTAGGGTTTGAAGAAGACTGGCTGTATCTAAAGATTAGCAAGATAAAGATGAACAGACACTTCTCAAAAGAAGACATTTATGCAGCCAAAAAACACATGAAAAAATGCTCACCATCACTGGCCATCAGAGAAATGCAAATCAAAACCACAATGAGATACCATCTCACACCAGTTAGAATGGCAATCATTAAAAAGTCAGGAAACAACAGGTGCTGGAGAGGATGTGGAGAAATAGGAACACTTTTACACTGTTGGTGGGACTGTAAACTAGTTCAACCATTGTGGAAGTCAGTGTGGCGATTCCTCAGGGATCTAGAACTAGAAATGCCATTTGACCCAGCAATCCCATTACTGGGTATATACCCAAAGGACTATAAATCATGCTGCTATAAAGACACATGCACACGTATGTTTATTGCGGCACTATTCACAATAGCAAAGACTTGGAACCAACCCAAATGTCCAACAATGATAGACTGGATTAAGAAAATGTGGCACATATACACCATGGAATACTATGCAGCCATAAAAAATGATGAGTTCATGTCCTTTGTAGGGACATGGATGAAATTGGAAATCATCATTCTCAGTAAACTATCGCAAGAACAAAAAACCAAACACCGCATATTCTCACTCATAGGTGGGAATTGAACAATGAGAACACATGGACACAGGAAGGGGAACATCACACTCTGGGGACTGTTGTGGGGTGGGGGGAGGGGGAAGGGATAGCTTTAGGAGATATACCTAATGCTAAATGACGAGTTAATGGGTGCAGCACACCAGCATAGCACATGTATACATATGTAACTAACCTGCATGTTGTGCACATGTACCCTAAAACTTAAAGTATAATAATAATAAAATAAAAAAATAAAAAATAAAAAAAAAAGATTAGCCAGGTCCTGTTGGCAACTTATTCTGAATACTTAATAGGCTCAATTGGAAGCTAGTGAAGTTTTAATCAGTTGTCCATTTAGGACCCCTCATCAGCACCAGTTCATAGGGCCTGTCTGAAATATTCTTAGGTAGCAGAGGTTGTACAGAAAGATCTTTGTGTTACTCTTCCCTCCTAAGCACAAAACACCAAAATGAATAAATGAATAAATCAATAAATTATACACTCTAATCTTGACCTCAGTGCATAAAAGTTAAGTCGAGCTCTAGACCAGGTATAATCACCTGGCACTTCAACAGTATTTGAATTACTGAATTGTCACCAAAATATATATCAAGTATTTTTTCACGTTTAAGACATTGTACAACATGCCATAGAGCTCAGGAGAAGATGAGGAACTTTGACAGTGACATTTTTTTAAGGTGCAAGTGGCATATTTGTGAGTTATGAGCCTTATTCTCTGTAGTCCTAATAATACATTTATCCCTCATAGAAAAAGGGTTTCATAAATCAGCCATGGCAATGTGCAATATTCTCAAATTCAGGTATGGAGATATATGTATAAATTTAGTATTCTCACTGGTTGTGCTGAAGTGTTGTTGAATGTGTGAGTGTGTATGTGTGTTTTCTCCAGATTCTGACTTTGATACAAACATTCAAAATCTTTAATAGACCCCCTTTTCAGGGTTAGCAAATCTTAGTAAATGTCTGTTGGCTCTACTCTTTAAGTCTATGATTCTTTTTTGCATCCATTTTAAAATTGGGATAACTGCTAGAAAATAATTAGAACTAATGTACTAGCGTAATCAACCAATGAGTTCTTTCTGCCTGCTGCACAGACAAAATCAATTCACTAGGACTGCAGCAATGCAGTAAAGAAAGTTTAATTGACACAAGGCTGGCCACACGGGAGAAGAAGTTCTTGCTCAAATCAGTCCCCCTGAAGGCTCAGAGGTTAAGGTTTTTCAAGGATAATTTGGTGGGCAGGGAGCTAGGGAATGGGTGCTGCTGATTGGTTGGGAATGCAATCATAGGAGTGTGGAAAATGGTCCTCATGCACTGAGTCGTCTTCTGGGTGGGAGGCCACAAAAACAGTTGAGTCCTGAGTCATGATTCTACCTCTGGGTGGGATCAGTCATTTGCCAGAATGCAAAAGTCTGAAAAATATTTCAGAAGACCCATGATAGGTTCTACAAAAGTGATATTATCTACAGGAGTAATTGGGGAAGTTACAAATCTTGTGACCTTCAGAACAATGGCTTGTTGTTGTTTAACCACACCTATATCTTAGCAGAATTCAGGTCCCTCTTATAAGCCTAACCTGTGGCCTTTTGTTAGTTTTACAAAGGTGGTTTAGTTTTGGGAAGGGCTGTTATCATCCTTGCTTTAAGGTTAATCTATAAACTAAATTACTTTCAAAGTTAGCTTCATCTACACCCAGGAATAACCAAAAGCAGCTTGGACATTAGAAGCAAGATTGAGTAAACTATGTCATATTTCTCTTACTGTCATAATTTTGTAAAGATGGTTTCCCTAGTTAAGAGAAATTTTCTAAGATTCTGGTGATCCCATGAAGACCTCAAATCAATAAATACTTTTGAGTGTAAAAAAATACATATTACTATGCTAGGCACTTTGACATATCTCTTCTCATTTAATGTACATGACTACACTCCGAGGGCATTATCAGCCTCCCTATTTCATAAGTGAGGAAACTGAGGCACAGATAATTAAAATGACCTATCTTAATCAAAGGTCTTTAACAAGTCATTGAATAATTTTCTTCTTTCCTAGAAAGTAAGTATAACCAGATTCACAGTTGATCATTTTAGCAATTGAGATGATGTTTGTGAAATGGCTTTGGATACTCTGAACTGTCATGAGAAGTTTGTTTGTTGTCTAGTTTTACCAGTAGTGCTGGATTGCCTAATGGGCAGGCTAATCATGCATTTATGGCATTAGCAATGCAGCATATCTATAAGTCTTGGTGAATCTTTTTAAAGCATGAAAGTAGCCATTAGAAAAAGATCTTTTTGGATTTGCTAAAACTTATTTTATATTTTAGAGTTGTGTTTACTTTGAATTACCTGTTTGGGCATATGATCTTTTCAGAACTGAAGGCCTCTAAATGTCTTAATCTGGCTCCTTATTGCATTTTGAATGTTTGAGAACTCATTTATTCATTCAATCATTTACCATTTCTAAAATCTACAAAGAACTGACTTTTCCTTTCTTCTCATATTCTTAGAGAATCAGTCACCCTTCTTTGAGAGTCAACTGGCATTATATTAGTTTAGGCCCTCATTATCTCTTACTTGGGCCATTGTAGCAGCCTAGTAACTACTCTCCCATGTTCAGTCTTTCTCTTCTTCTAACCTATTTAATTGCTACTTATAAATTTACCTTACCAAAACTCTCCTTCTTTCATCAGGAACCTGTAAAGGATCTCTATTGTTTACCATATCAAGACCAACCCCTCTGCAGTATTTTCAAGATCTTCAAATACTGACTCCTATCCACCTATTTAGTCTCTTTTTCACTGTGTCCCTAGTCTTCTGTTCTGCTTAACCTGATTTTCTCATTGTTTTCTACAGAAGCTATGCTCATTCCTACATCCAAGATTTTGCTCTTGGTATTGCTCTGACATGTGATGTTTTTTCTCCTTTTCTCCATGTATCCAAATTTTCACCAACCACCAACATTCAGCTCAAGTTCTGAATCCTCTGTGAAGTCCTCTCTGCTACTTCAGGTGATGCTCAACTCTCCTTCCTCTGGTTACCCTATTATAATTGTGGCATATATTTTAGTAACTAATTGCCTTCTAATTATTTTATATGTGTTGGTTTTACCTCTGTAACCAAACTGTAACTCCCCAGAAAGTATAGCAGAATACTACCTAGTAAATACTAAATAAATAAATATTTTTATTGGTTTATTAGCCAAGTAGTATAGAGACTCTATGAATTTTAAATTACCTAATGTGACTAAATGGAATTAGGAATAGTGATTAGAATGCTTTGTGTCTTTTTAAAATTCATAAATATATATATAGGCTTTATTCAAACACTCAGAGTTTGAAACCGGAAACCACTTCTCAAACCAGTCTGCCCCCTCTGAGGCTGAAAGGGTTCTCACATATATCCTCATGGAGCCATCATAAAGAAAAAGAGATATTCTTAATTTTTTTTAATTAAAAAAAAAGAAAAGAAGAGATATTCTTAAACTCATTTTAGAGATGAGTAGAGGCTGAGAAGAGTATAATGAGGAAGAGATGATTTATTTCGTAAGAAAGAAAGGTGAGAAACAAAGACATTCCAGATGTATAGAGCCCTGGAAAAGAGACATCATATATCTTCAGTACATTCAGTGTTGTATAAATAGTACAATATGGCTGGAACCTCAAGTTGATTCAAGGCAAGTGAATGTAGGGAAATAAAAGATGTGGTTTGAAAAAAATCTCAGTGTGTCCGAAATTGAGCTCATCACATTTGTCATCCCCTTCCCAAATATTTTTATCTTCCTTCTCAGTGATTGTTCCACCACCCACCCAGTTTTTTAAGTCAAAAATTCAGATGTCATCCTTGACTTTCTCTTTTTTCTTCTCTTCTCTATACAGCCAAATGCTAGGTTCTGCTAAGTATGCATCTAAATTAACCTGGGAAATTGTTAGAAATGCAAATTCTAAAGTTCAACACCAGCTACTAAATCAGAAGCCCTGGGGTTGATGCCCAGCTCTCTGTTTTATCAAGTCCTCCAGGGGATTTTTTTGCATGAGAAAGTTTGAAAGCCATTGCTGCTGGCAATGAGGAGTCATTGAGAGGCTTGAAGCAGGAAAATGACCTAGTAGAATATGCATTTTAGAAAGGTCATTCTGGTATTTGTATGGAAGATAGATGGTAAGGGAGCAAAATTAAAGGTAACAGAACTAGTTAGTAGAATACAAAAAATAAGATAATAAAAGACATAGAGGAAAAGATAAATTTGTGAGGTATTAAAGAGCTAAAATTGATCAATTTATGTTACCATTCGGATGCACAGGGTAAAGAAGAGGGAGTGATAGGTGTCTGGTCTTGCACACTAAGTAAATATAATGATCAGGGTTTGGGGAACAATCATCAATGCCCCTTCCCTCCTTCCTTTTTTTAATAAAGTTGAGATGACTTTACGGTAATCAGGTATAAATATTTTTTTAAACAGTTGTCTCCTTGAGTCTGGACCTTGGGAGAGAGGTCAGGCTTATCGATAAGGATTTTGGAGTCAACAGTATACTAGCTGGTAATAGCTACTGTCTGAATGGATTAAATAACGTAAAAGACAAATCTTTTCCTCTATGTCTTTTATGTTATTTAATCCATTCAGACAGTAGCTATTACCAGCTAGTATACTGTTGACTCCAAAATCCTTATCTACAGGCCTGACCTCTCTCCCAAGGAAGGAAGCATTTCAGGGTGAGAAGAGAACCAAGGATGAAGTCCTTGATAAGACCAATACTTAAGGGAGGTCTCCAGGGAATCCTGAGTAATGGTTAAAGAGTAAGGGAGAGAACCAGAAAATTGATATCATGCTGGTAGAGGAGGATAGAATTTCAATGAGACTAATAGTGTTGAATGCCGTAGATAGGTCAAGTAAGATAGCTAATTAGTTATATTAGTTAGTACATAAGTTCCAAACCCCTGGGTCATGTACCAGTATCAGAACCAGGCCACACAACAGGAGGTGAGTGACAGGTGAGTGAGCGAAGCTTCATCTGTATTTACAGCTGCTCCCCATCACTCATGTTACTGCCTGAACTCTGCCTCCTGTCAGATCAGCAGCAGCATTAGATTTTCGTAGCAGCACAAACCCTATTGTGAACTGTACATGTGAGGGATCTAGGTTGCATGCTCCTTATGAGAATCTAATGCCTGATGATCTGTCACTGTCTCCCATCACCCCCAGATGGGACCATCTACTTGCAGGAAAATAAGCTCAGGGATTCCACTGATTCTACATTATGATGGGTTGTGTAATTATTTCATTACATATTATAATGTAATAATAATAGAAATAAACTACCTAATAAATGTAATACACTTGAGTCATTCTGAAACCTGCCACCTCCCCAGTCCATAGAAAAACTGGCTTCCATGAAACCAGTTCCTTGTGCCAAAAAGGTTGGGGTCATTGAGTTAGGGGATCACTGTCTTTAGCAATTACAACTTCAAGGAAGTTTTGAGAACAGAAGGTGGCAGTACATTAAGGAGTAAATTGGAATAAATAAATGGAATTTTTAGCTATTACTAGTTTATGAAAGGAAGGAAAGAAAGAGGGAGTGACAGCTAGATTGAGACAAAACATCAATGGAATTTTCTTTTATTGACCAAGATAATTGTGTATGTTTACAATCTGAAAGAAAAAGTGAATTGGGAAGAAAAATTTGAAGATACATAGAGAAACAGAGAACTTGATGGAATAAGATCTCAAAGAATAAGTGAGGGGATAAGATCCACAGCAGAGTAGGAGGTATTTGCTTTAAATATTGTATTTTTATTGTCTCTTAATGCATTGGCCTCTCCCAAGTAAATTGAGAACCCCTCAAATGAATAGACACAGTCTTTTTCAGTCCCTAGTTTAGGGCTCAAAAAATTTTTTGCTGAATGAATTAAGATCATTTCTTGATTTACTTTGATGCTTCTTCTCTCCCCCACTTACTCTTTTTTTTTCCCCAATTTTCCATCCTTAGCTCTCTTCTCTTGTCACTGTATTCAGTTGCTCCAGGAGATCTCAAAAATGCCTAAAGTTTCTTTTTCTGAGACAGGAGAGGTTGAGATGTGACTAGACCTTTTATACTCAGAGTAATGCTGAATCATTAATTATACCGTCCCTTCCTGTTTGCCTTCCCATGGAGCCACACTAAGTAGAATTGGATTGGATTTGAGGGTTGTTTTCCAACATGCTGCAGACACTTGATATACAACCTTTTATTTTTTTATTTTTATTTTTGGCAGGCCCCTTCTTAACCCTACAACCTCAGAAACTTTCCATTTTTGTACCTGCTCAGTTCTTCCAGTAGAAAGTAACCCTTGATGCATAGCTTCTTGGACTGGGAAGGTCATTAGAGTTTTTTGATGATGATTCCAAATGCAACAGAGTAGCTTGCCTGTTTCAATAGATTTTCCTTTGTTTTGACTTTGTTGACCTATCATTTGCTGAATGATATAAGCAGCTTCACAATAAAAGAGGGTATATTATACACAGGTTGAAGCAGGGTAAGTATTTTTGTCCTGAGAGAAAAATCCGATCTAAAGATATATTTGATTTTTTTGTGTGTGTGTGTATGTAATTAGGAATGACCATTTGAAGTAGAAGCAGAGATGTCTGAGAGCCCAATTTTCAAAGTAATAATTTGCTATATTTATTTCAAAGTAAGGCTCTATGGCTAATTTTAGGAAAGGCCTTGGAAATGAACCAACATGCTTTAGGAAGATTCAGATGTTTAGTTTTAAACCTTTCCATACATGCTTTAAAACATTCTAATAGTTATCTGTGAAAGAAATGCATTTTAAATATAAGAAAAAAATGCTATTTCCTTTTCAGTGCCTTTCTACAGCAACTGAAAGTTAAATTAGAATGCCAGCTGTTATAAGGAGCATGTTAATCTTCCTCTAGGGCAAGACTGTTCTTCTGATCTTCTCCTGTTTTCTCTACAGTGCCCAACACAGTGCAGAGAAACCAGCGGAAACTTAGTCCATACTTGTTGACTTGACAGTTTACAGAAACATTTTGTCCTCTACAACCTCCTTCAGACTATCCCTGTCGACCCTATATTTAGAAAATGGGTTCTTGTCTAAGTCTGGAGACAAGGTTATATCTGTGGAACAGATGCTCATTATAGTTCACATGCATATTGAACAAAAATTCAGAAAAGCAATGAGGTGAATTTTATAATCTTCAGAAATCCCCTTGAAAGGGCCACAAGAATAGGAAGCTGGTGCATATCATCCTCATAATTTGTCTGCTCTCTAATTGGCACCACCAATGTTTTGGGTTCCAATTCATTGACCCATTTTTTTATTCCTCTGCTTTTTCAAAAAAGTATATAAACTTTAAAAGACACTCTGTTACTATTTACTAATGCCACTTGACTGGTTACTTTTTGTACTTGTCCTTATAAGCAGTGTATAGGTCAAAATCAATGTAAACATTACCTATACCTCTCAAGCAGTCTCTCCCCTTACCATCCCTATCCTTCTTAGAGGTCGCTTCCTTAATACTCCAAACATATGCTTCTCTCTATCATAGAACTGATCACCCTATATTGTAATTGCCTATTATGTTTGTCTGTGTCCCCCATATTGAACCACAGGCAGAAACTATCTTCCATTTTTGTATCTCCTGTACCTGACACAAAGTCTGGCATATAATAAAATATTCAATATATATTTGTTGGATGAATGAATGTATGATGCTCCAATATAGGCAAATTTGCCAGTCTACTTTTAAGGCCTTCATTAATCTGATGCTATTTTAATTTTTCAACTTCATTTATTTATGAGCACCTATTATGTTCCAAGCACTGTAGATATAATGGTAAAAAAATAGAAATTATCCCTACTTCTATAAAACTAATAGTTCAGTGGAGGAGGCAGACATATTATCACACAAATAAGTATAAAATTACACCTGTGGTGTCTTGAATGAGAGGTACACAGTGCTGTAAAGGCTAATAATGGGGCAGGGTGGGAAGTTTTCCTAATTTAGGAGGAAGTGATACTTAATCTGGGATCTGAAAGACAATTAGCATTAGTTAAGTAGAAATCAAAAGAAAATATTCTGGGAAGTGAGAACAGTCTCCTGTGCAGTAGAATCCCAGGCAGCAGAAGGGAGAGATGAAGCTGGAGAAGTAAGCAGGTGCTAAATCGTGTATTACCTTACAAACCATGTTAATGAGCTTTTGTCTTTATTCTAAAAGCAACAGAAAACATATCCTACAACATTCTTGGTCTTTCTGTTCTTTTTCAAAACCACAAATCTTAGTCTTTGTACTTCTAATCATACTATCCTCTACTTGTATTATAGTCACCACCCTTTTCCACTGATTCAAATCTTGTTTTTTGTTCAGGTATAGTTCAAGTCTTATGTCCTTCAAGATGACTCCTTTATTAGTTCAGTCTAGACAGAATAACCTTTCATATTGTATAGCACAAATTTATACTGTTTATATACTTATTGTGCGGGCTCTTATATCATCCTACCTTATACTTTTATGATGATTTCATACATGGCTTTTCACTCAAGAGACTGTGTAATATTTGTTTTCTGAATCCCTCTTAAATATCCATAGCCCAGTACTTGATTCACACTGGATTCCCAAGATATACTGAGCCATGAAACTTGATATAAACCAAATCTTAGAATATATTAAGGGAAATACTTTGATCCTAATGCTGTTGGTGATGACACAAGTGCATGCATTTGAAAAATAAAAAATGCAGTTATATTACCTGGTTTTATTGGCTACATCATAGCAACTACTTCACTAAGTTAACTTGTCTTTTCACTGCACTTATCAATCTGCATTTTACTCATTCAATAAAAATATACTGAATGTAGATTTTGAAGCAGCTACCGTGTAAGTAAGGACTGGGAATTAAAAACTGAATACAATATGGTCTTGACTATTATCTTACTCTGTTTTGTGCTGCTATAACAGAATATCTGAGACTGGGCAATTTATAATGAACAGAAATGTATTGGCTCACAATTCTGGAGGCTGGAAATCTGATACTGAGGTACCACCAGGTTTGGTAATTCTGATTCCAACATGGTGCCTTCAGCACTGTGTCCTCCAGAGGGGAGGAACAATTAATATTCACATGGCAGAAGGCAGAAGATCAAAGAGATAAGAAGAGGACAAACTCATTCCTTTATAATGGCGTTAATCTCACTCATGAGGGTGAAACCTTCATAGCCTAATCACATCTTGAAGGTCCCACACTTTCATATTGTTAAAATTGTAATTACATTCCAGTATGAGTTTTGGAGGGGCTGAACATTCAAAATATAGCAATCATCACAGAGCTAAAAATATGGTGTCCAAAGCTATTAAAAATCACATTTCTATTGCCAAAAGGTTATATGAGATTGGTTGACACTCAGGATCCTTAAGCAGAGTACAAATGATATATTTCATTTTCACAGGAAATGTAGCCTCACCATAAGTTTATGGATACAAAGTCTGGATATTGTGGAATGTGCTCAGCATTAAAGTAATACAACAAAAATAATTTCCTCTGTGAGTATTATAGTCTTTGATATTGAACCTTTAGGCACTGTACAGGTAATGCTCTGTGAAAAGCAGAGTTTTATAGGGATAACAATTCATCTATACTTTTCAGTAAGGCTAGGTAAAATTTCTTCCAACTGGGAGGCAGTCCAGAGCTAGGACTCCCTTAGGTTGGTGATTTTCTTTATGAAGCCATTAAGAAGTTATGAAGGTATCTAGAGATAGAGATCATCAATCAGTGATTGATTATTAGCTTTTTTAAAAGAAAGACTTTGGCCAAGTATATGAAATTCTGATTATTTACTCTAATTCTTATGAAATCTTAGGGTAACTGTTAATATAAAGTAATTGACATTAAAACATTAATATAAATTCTTAATAATTTAGTTAACTCTTTGAGTTAACCAAAACCTGACTAAAATCTTTGTCCTATTAGAGGAGACACAGAAAACTACTTATTCTATTAATTAGCATACATTTTAAAGTATCCTGAAGGTAACTAGCAAAGTTTAGGTGCTTGAAAAAAATTGTCACTTTCCTAATCTGCCATTTGAAGAAAAATGCTCCTAAAATTAAACTATTACTATGTTTTGTTCATGGGACATGTTACATCAGGGGATGTTTCCTAAAGGTTTCATAGAGGAGTAGTCAATACAACTTTCAAAAATGAAAATAAAATTTAAAAATAACCTAATATTAATTTTGACTCCTTTTTTAAAATCTTCAGTTATTTCATCTGAAGTAATACAGAGTTGCAAGGCATTATCACTCAATCATAAGGATCTTTCAAAAATTATACCACCCTGCTATGAAAGACTCAATTTCAAAATATTAATGATTACAAGCCAGAGCTTCTGTAAACATACATCTCAACTTTGAATACTGGCAACACTTTCAGCAAGATAAGGATGACAAGAAAATGTACTTTCCTAGCCTGTTTTCAAAGCACATACACATTTTTAAAAGGTCAAGGGGAGGGACTTTGTAAGAATGTATTATTATAGCTTTTTACTGAACTGATTTGTTTTAGGTATCTTTTTGTTCATATCTTTTATGTCTCCATCATAGTAATTGTATTCTTATATGATGAAAATAGGATGAAACAAAACCACTGAGAATACACACACTGTCTTTGTTCCTGAAGGACAAACGGTGACCCAAGTCATGGGCTGCTTTGGCTTTGATTAAAATTAAAATCTTGTACAGATTCCAGTTCTGAACATATGTCTCATACTCTATGTGCTCACATTAGGGTGCGTTAAAAATATTTTATGCTAACAGATTACAGTAGGTAACAGTATGCCTTTGTTTCCTACAAAAGAATGAGTCAGTAAATTGTTCTACTTAATGGATAAAAGACTAGCTCAAGATGCAAATATATCCCAATAGCTCTAAATCCCACTGTAATTCTTCCTAATTTAAGGCATTTATTAACTCATAACAGAGGCTCAAGCTATTCATATTTCTAGCTTATTTTATTTATCTTTCTCTTATTACCTGTTCTACTCTAAGCTTTGCAAATCTTGAAAATCCTAAAAATGTCAAAGGAGAGACTTCACCAATTAAAGTGTGCTGCAACATAGTGGAGAGAATGGAACCATTGTGTGGTTCATATTGAACTGCATGATTTATATGAGTTTTCTTTCCTTCCCATGATTTGTTGTAGCAACCAACTTCACATAGTCATGTAAAAATTAGAGGGTTCTAAGTTCTTCCAATTGGCTCTGTATTTCAAAGTACCTGTTGAACTAGGCAAACAGAATAGCATCATTTTTTTTAATAATCAGTGATTTGGTGAAACAGGTGGAAGATACATTTTTGTTTCCAAATGCTTTCTAAGAATGACTATAAATGCACAGTTTATTAAAGAGATTCAACAATGCCATTTCCCTGGTGCTTCTCTACCAAGTAAATGACATTTTGAAATATTATTTTTTTTCTAAAGTATAAAAGACCCACCCAGCCATTATATAAAATGAGGGAACACTTCTTGTTGTGTTAACATCTTGAATCTAGTCTCAGGGAAGCTGTTTTATGAGATTTACTGGTGCAATTTGGTTGCAGATGCTCATGATTTATAGAAAAGCTCATGGAAACAGACAGAATCTGTATAAAGAACCAAAATAAAAACAAAAACATTAGGTAACTCACATGAGGTGGATGTCACATTAATCATGTTTTTGTCATTTTGGTTTAATGTTCATGTCTTGGGGAGTATTTGAGAGTGATGCTATGTGACCTTCAGATCCCTGTAGAGTGGTTCAGGTTCAAACTCCTGGAAGGCTCACATGTGATAAGGTTTGGGCTACTACCTTTCTCAGCCTGTGAAATTTGAGACTTTCCCCACATTTTCCCCTAACCAATTTATCCAAACCTCCACACCTCCAAACGGCCATTAAATTTTGAACTCCTACTGCTCTTATTCTCTTTCTTCCCTCTTTTGTTAACGTAATAATTTATCAACCAGTTTTTCTTTAGGAAACAAAAATGTATTGCTGCCTACTCTGATGTTTGCACAGTGTTTTAGAAGGCAAACTTCTTATAGATGGTATACAGCCTGGTGCTTCTCCCTTCCAAAGTGCCTTATACAGTGCTAGTTATAAAGTTGATGTTCATCATTGGCTTATTAATTGATTGATCCTTGTGTCCTGTCCCTCAACTAGTCTTAGACATTGTGTTTAGAAGATAAATAGAGCAGGGAATTTTTCATCTGGCCTCATTGTTCCTCCAACCACAGAGATGTGAGCCCACCTAGTGACAAAGTACTAGAAAAGAGAGCAAACTGTCAGCTTCATCCTTGTCTGTCAGAGCATGAGACTGGTTTAGATGACTTTGCCTAGTTGATGTTAAGCACATTCTCATTTCCCATGTTAAGCCTTACAGATCAACTAGACTAGAGTAGTGCTGTGATATGTTCTCACCTCTTTTCCCAGCCCCTAGGTTACCTCATCACACCACCATGGATTAGACTGTTAGTATTTGTTGCTTTTATTACAGATGATTTCTAATATGTAATTCATTTTCATTAAAGGATGATGCTTTATTCTTCCTTGAAATTTTCTGTTCTCCCTCCCCTTTTTTTCCTATTCTGTTCAGGGACAGGAGGGATGAGGCACATTTATTCCCAAAAAGGAGAGCAGATGTAGTGGTTGGTAGGGATGGCAGGTTCTCCTGAACTTACAATTCCATATTTTGCATATTTATATTCAAATGGTTCAACAAATATATAGGAAAGGATCCTGCAGGACCCTACAGTTTCCAGAACTGATGATTTGTCATCTGAAAAGGTATTTTTCTTCATAGCTTGAGAAGAAGTTAAAGCAAGGCTCTTAGTATACATTCAATCTAAAATTCAACAAAAGATTCTTCTCATTTACAGAATGAAATAAATGCATATTATTTCGCCATACTTTCACAAGATTTTATTTGCTACTACATAGACACCTAGGTTATATGCTACCCTAACCAATAAATATTCTATGACCAAGTTTATGTATTTCCTATACAGGCAGATTTTTTGTATGTTTTGAAACATTCTAAGACAGTAGTGTTTATTCTCACATATGGTTATATACATATATATAGAGAGAGAGACTTGTTTTTGATAAGTGATGTATGGTTCATGTAAGTGTCTTTACAATGTATTATATTTAAGGTTTGATTTTGTAGACATGTTTAGTTTGATTTTTGGAGTTTCAAAGCTTATGAAAATCATTTTGGTTCAGAATAATAAAATAAGTTAGATAATGAAATTTATATGCATTTTCATATGTCTGTACAGAACTTGATATAAATACTCAAACATTCTTCCTTTATATACCTTTAGGTTTAACTTTGATTTGATTTGGTAACATAAGATTAACAGTGATATAAATTTTGGTTCCTCTAGAGAAAGAAATACTTGAGACCACTAAAATTAAAAATCTTGCATTAACATCCTATAATTGTATGAAAATTTAATAAGCTTCAGAAAATATAATATATTTGGAGCCTTTTATAACATAGTGTAGCATTTGCTTGGAACATGGAATGAAAATTAAGAGTGAATCCCAGGTTTTAGCCAAGGGCAGGAAGGTGGCAAAGGGAGGCGAATCCGAGTGGGTGGAGGGAGGGGAAGGGCGAGAGGAGAAAAAGGTGGGAGGAGGACCAGGTGGGAGGGTGGCGGCTCCCTCAGGACCCAGCGGGGGCAGCGCGATGAGGCGGGTGACCCTGTTCCTGAAAGGCAGCCCTAAGAACGGAAAGAGTAAGAGACTTAAATGAATATGACTGATTGTCACACAAAAGTGTGTCCTACTTCAACACTCAGCATTCAAGAAATATTTATCAAAGACCTGCTGTAAGCCAGGTGGTTGCTGTATATGGAACTTTATCTGATTTGCTTTCTGTGGCCAGCAGTAAACTCGGCATAAAAGCCACCAGTGTGTATAATGGGAAAGGTGGACTGATTGATGATATTGCTTTGATCAGGGATGATGATGTTTTGTTTGTTTGTGAAGGAGAATCATTTATTGATCCTCAGACAGATTCTAAGCCTCCTGAGGGATTGTTAGGATTCCACACAGACTGGCTGACATTAAATGTTGGAGGGCGGTACTTTACAACTACACGCATTACTCCTACCAGGTTGTAGCATGCATCTTTTTGAGAGAGCAGCTGGGATCGAGTATACTCTTGACTTAAATGTGTTTGTTTATAAAGACAAATGGAGAAATCAATTTGTTTCCCTGAATTCTAAGGAGCACTTTAGTGAATAAAGAACCTGACAGTATGCTGGCCCACATGTTTAAGGACAAAAGTGTCTGGGGAAATAAGCAATATCATAGAGGCGCTTTCTTAATTGACCGAAGTCCTGAGTACTTTGAACCCATTTTGAACTCCTTGCGTCATGGACAGCTCATTGTAAATGATGGCATTAATTTATTGGGTGTGTTAGAAGAAGCAAGATTTTTTGGTATTGTCTCATTGATCTAACACCTGGAAGTGGCAATAAAGAATTCTCAACCACCGGAGGATCATTCACCAATATCCCGAAAGGAATTTGTCCGATTTTTTGCTAGCAACTCCAACCAAGTCAGAACTGCGATGCCAGGATTTGAACTTCAGTGGTGCTGATCTTTCTCGTTTGGACCTTCGATACATTAACTTCAAAATGGCCAATTTAAGCCGCTGTAATCTTGCACAGGCAAATCTTTGCTGTGCAAATCTTGAATGAGCTGATCTCTGGATCAGTACTTAACTGTGCAAATCTCCAGGGAGTCAAGATGCTCTGTTCTAATGCAGAAGGAGCATCCCTGAAACTGTGTAATTTTGAGGATCCTTCTGGTCTTAAAGCCAATTTAGAAGGTGCTAATCTGAAAGGTGTGGATATGGAAGGAAGTCAGATGACAGGAATTAACCTGAGAGTGGCTACCTTAAAAGATGCAAAGTTGAAGAACTGTAACCTCAGAGGAGCAACTCTGGCAGGAACTGATTTAGAGAATTGTGATCTATCTGGGTGCGATCTTCAAGAAGCCAACCTGAGAGGGTCCAACGTGAAGGGAGCTGTGTTTGAAGAGATGCTGACACCACTACACATGTCACAAAGTGTCAGATGAGAATTTTAGAGGCTGGAGGAAGATGTACAAGATGAAAATGTTTTCCTTATCACTTTTCTTTCTCCACTCACTCAGTTGTCTAGAAGAAATAACACTGTAAGGAAATTAAAAAAAAAAAAACACATTTAGAGGATTATGCTTGTTCTGAGCGGTGCATAAGGGAAAAAACTGACTTTTTTTCCATATTCTGATTTTTAACAGAAAAGCACTCATTTAATAGATGTAGGGAAACTAGATATTGCTGCCTTTTGAACGGGGTAGGGGGGTTTACCTGGTTTTATGACCAGGAATAGTATCTATTATATTTGCTTTTAAATAGGAATGATGTGGAAATACCATCTTGGTTTGAGATGCATTTGAGGATTTTAATTTATGGAAAGTACAACATATGCAATTATATTTATTGAATACCTAGATGCAGTATGGATATTTAAATTGTTAAAACTTTATGAAAACTTGGAAAAGGTTGTTCAGGTTTATAAATAGCTTTAGTGACGCCTCCCCTCTTTAAATACCTGTCATACCATATGAATATGGTGAGATTAGACTCCCTAAGACTCTTTTCAGGTTCATTTTTATAATGTTTACTTTTTAGGTTAGGACAAAACAGTAGCTAAATTAAAGTAATATCCAGTTCTTACTGATTGAGACAGAGTGGAAAGAAAGACATCGTTGTACTTCACTGTCATTCCAAAGGTACAGTGGAACTCCGGATGGAGGAATAACTTACCTATCACTACAACACTTATAAATGAGAATTTCTCAGAATTTCATTCTAGGCAAGTTCCACTCAACACCAGACCAAGCAATTCTATCTATTTACACTATTAGCTTAGTTTTCTCATACAATCATCACAAGCATAGGAAGATACTTCAAAACCAAAAAACCAAGGTGCATCATTAATATTCATTTAATTCAAATACCAAATAGTTTACATAGGGCCAGCTTAGAAATAGATACTAAATCCAGAGCTACTGCAATCAAAGCTTATATGAGTGAATATGGTAGAGTTGCCTGCTAAAAGGCAATGTAATATAATTGCAGCTAGAACCCTACAGTGGAGAATGAGGAATTTTAAACACACATTTTATTATAGCCACCAAAAAACAGATGTAAAGTAAAAATAAAGGCATTTGGCTGGTCCAAGATGTAATACCAATCAGTCAGCACCTGTGATTCTTTTACTTATATTTTTTGTGTTTTTTTAAACAAATTTTAGCCCAATTTTCTTGAGTCATTATCTCTCTGCAGCAGCAGAGGAAGGGCCTGTACCTCCCTACCAATGACCTGGTGTCCTTATTTTCTACCCCAAGAGCAGGGATATTAGCTGTGTCCAAATGGGTTCTGAATTCTACAGACTCATCAACATGAGGCAAGGAATCATTGAAAACCACCTGTGTCTCCTTTGGGAGAATGACATATCTTTAGTATTTACGTAGCTTATTCTTCTATATCTACATATGCAAAGCTTTCCTTAACAGTAAAGGGTACATATGCATAGTGGGAGGAGATCAGACCTTTACAAGTGAAGGAAAGCAACTTCAGAAATGAATTATTTTCTTTGCTTTGTTATTTTTACCAAGACAGAGAAGTATTGTATTGAGAGATAATCTATTTTCATAATCAATATATGCCTAAATTATATTTAAATCATTTCACTCTGTACTATATTTTCAGGAATTATAGAATGTGTTATTCATTCACTTAAAGGTACCTCTGTAGAAATAACCTAAAACTGCAGAAGGATCTGAAAGATCTAAACATGGTGTGCTTAGAAACTGCAGATTTTAGATCTAATGTATACAGCATTAATAAATGATATAAAGTGTTGAAAAAAAAAAAAGAGTGAAACCCAGGTTTTAGATATACCTCTACCAGTTACTTGCTATATGATTTTGGGAAAACTATTTTTTTGTCTCTGAGCTTTAATGCCATTATCTGTAAAATGCAGTGTTACAATAGATCATTGTAAGTTATAGCCAATATCAAAATTTTTCTTATGGCTGATAGGAGGTTTATTTCCCAAATCTCTCTCTTTAGAAATGCTTAGGTATGTCTACAAGCATATAGCTTAATATTTCAAACAAAACATTGATGTTTACCTTTATTAAATTTTTTCACAGCTTTAATTTTTGAGTACCTATGCCTCCAAACCAGTCAAATCAATTTTTCCAAACCTATGCCTCCAAACCAGTCAAAATAACTTCTATATATTGAAGTTTTTGAAAGCACATGTAAAATTCAGGATAAATTACCATTGCCATGAAAAATGCTATAGGTTAGGTGTTCTTTAAAAAAATTATATACATCTAACAATTATTTATTGGAGACACTACTATGTTCTAGGCATTGTCTTAGAAGCAGGTGATACAAAAGTGACAGATAGCATCTCTGCTCTCACAAAGATTATACTCTTTTGGGAGAGAGAAAGTGAAGAAGAAAACAAAACATACAAAAATTATCAGCTAGTGGTAAGTGCCACCCAGATGAACAACATATGTGATGTGGTAGAAATTGAGGAGATGGAATGGACCAGGTAGTAAGGGAAAGCAGAGATCTGAATGCCATGAAGGAGCCAACCACATGAAGATGAGTGGGGAAAAAATTCCAGGCTCATATTATGTGAAGGCCCAAAGCAAAAATGAACTCAGCATGTTTAAGAAATTGAAAGATTAGTGAGACTGAAGCTTAGTGGGAGAAGTAGAGAATGGTAGGAAATGAGGTCAGAAAGGTAGGCAGGGACCAAATTGGCTTTGATTTATAGATAGATAGATAGATAGATAGATAGATAGATAGATAGACAGACAGACAGACAGACAGATAGATAGAGTGTGGGGGGGGGGTTGGAAAACATATTTTAAACAAACAGTATAGATTTGGGGTATGCTTAAGATTTAGAGTCAACAGCACCTGTTAGTGAGATGAATATGAACAGTAAAGGAAAGAGAAATTGGAAAAACACCTAGAGGTTTGGTTTGAGCACCTGGATAAATGGAGGTGCCATTAATTAAGATAGCGGAAGACTTGAGGGAAAATCAAGTGTAGGGTGCAAAGAAGTAAACATCAACAACTCTATTTAGTCTTATTAAGTTTGATATATTAATTAGCCATCCATATAAAGATGTTAGGTAGATAGTTACATAGAGAAGCCTGAGTTTCTGGGTAGAAGTCAAGGCAGTAGATCCATATATGGGAGTCATCAGTATCTATATGTTATATAAAGTCATGAAGCAGAGGAGGAGAAGTTAGCAAATAGAAGTATTGGTTGGTGAGGTAGGAAAAAAATAAAGAGAGACTATAGGAGGAGGCAACACCAAGAGAAAGAGAGCATTTAAAGTGGGAGGGATTAGTAAACTATGCCAAATGTTACTGAGAAGATAATGAGGATGAGAGCTGAGAAATGGCTATCAGACTGCGCAAAGTGGAGACTATTGAGTGGTGGTAAAGGAAGCCTAATTAATGTTGATTGAGAAGAGGATATAGAGTGAGGAAATGAAATTTCTTCACACTATTTCCCCTCCTGGGATAGGCTTGGTACTTATAGGCCAGGAGAGAATTGGAAGAGATACTCAAAGTACTTAAAGAAAAAATAAATCAGCCAAGAATACTATATCCAGCAAAGTAAGTTATCCTTCAGAAATGAAGTAGGAATAAAAACCCCCTGAGAGAAGGAAAGACTGAGAAAATTAACCACCACAATACTGGCTTTGCAAGAAATGCTTAAGGGATTCATACATCTGGAAGTGAAAGGATGACATCTACCAATGTGAAAACATGTGAAAGTATAAAACCCATCAGTATAGATAATTCCAAAATCACACTCAGAATACCCCAGTGCTGTAATGTTGCTATGTAAGTATTTCAGTCCTCTAGTATGAAAGTTTAAAGTTAAAAGTGTCAAAAGCATCAACAGCTATAATTAGTGGCTAAGGTAGAAACAAAGATAAAGTTATAAATTAAGGCAATAAAATACAAATTATGTGGGAGGAGAGAAAAATCTAGAGCATTTTTATGCAACCAAAGTTAAGTTGTTATCAGCTTAAAATAGTCTATTGTAATTCTAAGATTCATTATGTTAGTTCCATGATAACCACAAACAAAGAAATCACAGCAGATGCAGAAATAATAAAGAGAAAGAAAACAAAACTTAACACCACAGAAAACCACCAAACCATAAAGGTAAACAACAAGAGAGGAAGAAAGGAGCAAATGATCTATAAAACAACCAGAAAACAATAAACTGGCAGAAGTAAGTTCGTACCTATCAATAATAACCTTGAATGTAAATAGATTAAATTCCTTAGTGAAAGATATAGAGTAGATGAATGCATTAAAGAAAACCACAAAACCCAACTATGTGCTGCCTACAAAAGGCTCACCTCACTATTAAAGACAAACATAGACTGAAAGTGAAAGAATGGAAAACAATATTCCATGCAAATGGAAACCAAAAGTAAGCCGGAATAGCCATACTCATATCAGATAAAATAGACTGTAAGTCAAAAACAGTAAAAAGAGACCAAAAGATTATTGTATAATGATAAAGGGATCAATTCAACAAGATGATATAACAATTGTAAATATATATGCACCCAGCACCAGAGCACCCAAATACGTAAAGAAAATATTATTAGATCTAAAGGGAAAGATAGACTGCAAAACAATAATAGTAGGGGACTTCAACACCCCACTTTCAACAATAGAAAGAAAGTCAACAAAGAAACGTTGAACTTAAACTATATCGTAGACCAAATGTATCTAACAAACATTTACAGAACATTCCAATAAACAACTGCAGAATACACATTCTTCTCAATTTCACATGGAACATCCTCCAGGATAGATCATGTGTTAGGCCACAAAACAAATATTGACAAATTTAGGAAGAAAAAGAGCACATCAAGTATCTCTTCTTATCAAAATGCTATAAAACTAGAAATCAATAAAAAGAAAAACTTTGGCAATCTTACAAATACATGGGAATTAAACAACATAGTCCTAAGTAACCAGTGAGTCAATGAAGAAATTAAAAAGAAAACTTAAAAATTCATTGGGACAAATGACAATGGAAAACACATCATACAAAAACCTGTGGGACACAACAAAAGCAGTTCTAAGAGGGAAGTTCATAGTAATAAATGCCTACATCAAAAAAGAAGAAGTATCTGACTCCAATATTTATTGTAGCACTATTTACAATAGCCAAGATATAGAATCAACCCACATGTCCAACGCAGATGAGTGATAAGAAAAATGTAGTATATATATATATATATATATATATATATATATACAATGGAATACTATTCAGCCATAAAAAAGAATGAAATCCTGTCATTTACAGCAACTTGGTTGGACCTGGGGGACACTATGTTAAGTGAAGCCAGCCAGACTCAGAAAGACACATACCATACCATCTCACTCATATGTGGTATCTAAAAAAAGAAAGTTGATATCATAGAAGAGTAGAGTAGAACAACGGTAATAAGGGAAACAGAGACTGAGGCAGAGGTGGGAGAAAGAAGGAAGGATGTGGCGAAGTTGGTCAATGCATGCTAAGATACAATTAGAAGGAAGAAGTTCTGGTGACAATGCTTATCAGTAAGGTATAGTGTATTACAAAAGAGCTAGGAGAGAGCTTTTGAATGTTCTCACTGCAAAGAATTATAAACACATGATGTGATGAATATGCTAAGACTATGATTTGATTATTATACAACATTTATGCATCTAAACATTGATTTGTACTCCATAAGTATGTACAACTACAATATGTCAATAAAAAATAAAAATTATTCTGATGAAGAAAAATATATTTGGAGTTTAGCAATTTCTTCTAATTGACTTTGATTTTTGTTAAATTCAAGGAAAATTACTGAAAGTAATGCATTTATTCAAAATATAATATGGAATGTTACCCTATTTTTTAAAATTATTTTTCTTTCCAATTTTCTATCTATATCTCTACATAGATGGCTGGAATGATGTTTAATAAATGTTAATAATGAATGTTTCAGTGTGGTAAGATTCTGTATTACAGTATATGTAATTTATTTTCTGTGCTTTTCTATATTTTATGAATTTCTGTCATAAGAACGTATTGTTTTTATAAAATATCAAATTGATTATTTTAAAACATTGTGCTAATGTCGATAACATGGGTTTTTTTCCCCATGTGGTAAACAGAATAATGTCCCCCTCAAAAATATTCACATTATAATCACTGGAACATATCAGTATGTTATGTTATATGGAAATGGGAGGAGTAAGGCTATTAATTAGCTGACCTTGAGATAGGGTGATTATCCTATACTATCCAGGTGGGCCCAGTGTAATCAGAAAGGTCCTTATAAGAAGAAGAAGGCAGAAATGACAGAATCAGAGAGATGACAGCAGGAGAGGGAGTCAGTCCAGCTCTACTGGCTTTGAAGATGGAGCCATGGGACCATGAGCCATGGAATGTGGGTAGCTTCTAGAAGCTGGAAAAGGCAAAGGAATGGATTTTTTCCTAGAGTCTCCAGAAGGAATGCAACCTTACTTACAATTTCATTTTTAGCTCATCAGGACTCATGCTGGAATTCTAATCTATAGAACTGTAGGAATACATTCTTGTTATTTTAAATCATTACGTTTGTGGTAATTTGTTAAGTAGTCATAGGAAACAAATACACTCACTTCCACTTAACTATTATCTAATTTATTCTCTACTCAGCAGCCACAACAAACGTTATAGGCCTGCATTGTCCAGTATAATAGCCATTAGCCACATGTGCTAAATGAGCACATAAAATGTGGCTGGTCTGAAATGAGATGTGCTGTATATGTAAAATACACACTGGATTTTGAAGACTTAGTATGATAAATGTAAAATAGCTCATTAATAATTTTTAATATTGACTTCATGCCAAAGTGATAATATTTGGGCTATGTTTGGTTAAATAAAATACAATACTAAAATTTATTTTCCCTGTTTCATGTTACTTTTAAAATATTTGTCTACAGGAAAGCTTAAAGCTACTTATATGGCTTACATTGTATTTCTATTACACAGTGCTGATATAGAAGGCAAATAAGACACTATCATTTTCTTTTTTTTTTGAGACAGAGTCTCGCTGTGTCACCTAGGCTGGAGTGCAGTGGCGCGATCTCGGCTCACTGCAACCGCCACCTCCCGGATTGAAGCGATTCTTCTGCCTCAGCCTCCCGAGTAGCCGGGACTATAGGTGCCCACCACCATGCCCAGCTAATGTTTGTATTTTTAGTAGAGACGGGGTTTCACCATATAGGCCCGGCTGGTCTCACACTCCTGACCTTGTGATCTGCCTGCCTCAGCCTCCCAAAGTGCTGGGATTACAGGCATGAGCCACTGCGCCAGGCCAACACTATCATTTTCTTATTAAAGGCCTTCAATGTCTTCCCACTATACATGCAATATTCTTCAAACTCCTTAACTTGAATTTATAAGATCTTGCATCATCTGGCTTCTGGTACCTGTTTAGCCTCATCTTTTGCCTCTTATACTCCATTCTAGTGGGCCAAGCTTGTTTCTGCACAGGGGCTTTCCATGTGAGGTTCAGTAGACCCAGGAAACTCTTCATTTCACTATTCATTTGATTGAAAAGCTCTCATCCTTCCCTCTCAGCTCAAGTGTCACTCAGGTATACCTTCTCTGGAATCCCAATGTAGGTACATTTTGCTGCCTCATTCATAGCATGCTGTTATTTTTGTTAATGGCACTTTTCACAACATGTAATGATAAAGTTTTTGTTTATTTCTAAAATTCTCTTTGAAAATGATAAGCTCAGTGTATGCTTTATGTATTAGGCAAAGCACAGATGCTCAGTAAATATTAAATTAATGTAGAATAATCAAATAAGATAATGTTTATGTGAACACATTATAAGCTATAATTTACTGTACAGATGTAATAATAGTAATAGTCATAGAAAGAGAAGGAGGAAGATAAGGGGGAGGAAGAAGGTAAGAAATTAAAGTCTTTGCTTTGCATCAATTTTTAATAGATTTTTTTCCAGTCTCTTATGTCTTTAAACATTTGGGAATAAGTAACACAATAAGTAGCTATATTCCATTGCTTTAAAATAAAAGATCTATTTTCAAAGACATATCCCAATTTCTTCTTAAAGGAAGTTTTCTAAATTGTTTGCTGGTGACTCGGGTTCCCTTCTCTAAGGCATAATATGTATATCCACAGTAGTGAACACAATGGGAATGGAGTGTGGTGGAGTAGGTGTTGGAGAAAGCAAAGCAAAACCAGCATTAGGATGGTTATATATAATAGGAATGGTTATCATATAATAGGAAGTCAGACTGTGCAAATATTTGTTACTGCTATACCTACTCTCTTAAATATGGGAGTAGCATTATTTGTGTTCTAGGTGAAGCTGTCCAGAGCTATATGTCTATTTGAGATTGTTAGTTTTTGCAACAGGAACATGAAATTTGTGTCCCTAATTGTAATGCTCAACAGTCTTGCTATAAATAAGTATAATTGCACTGTACTTTCTTTATATTTTTTTCTAATTAGAAATTTATTTTTCCCTGTCAAAGTCAGAGCTTAAGCACGGCCTTTCTTAAATGATCTTAAAGTAAATTTTCCTACTTATGTGCCTTTTCTACAATCATTTCTGACTTAAAGTTAACCTTATAATTAGCATTTTAATAGCCCAAAAGCCTTCCTTGTACTTAGTAGCACATTACGATCTGCATTGAAATAGGAATGTTATAAAAGAACAAAATAAAAAAATTACTTATGTTAGAAAAGTTGTTTTTCTAGGTTTTGTTTTTGTGTTTTCCTTATGGCATATCCTCTCTATATATTAGACAAAGATTAAAACATCTCTTTTTGAAGTTACTGAATTTATTATTGGGGAAAGTTATCAAAACCAATCCTCTACCTTTAATAAAAATGCCTTAATGTGATATTTTAAAAATAATACCCAGGAAATGATGCTTTCAAAATTAAGATTGATCTACTCATTTCCAATTTGGAGAACCAAAGGCAAACTAAAACCTTTTGGCTTATATTTGTTAGTTATAGATAGATATGGATATGGATGTAGGTATAGATATAGATAAAATCAGACTTGAGACAGCATTGAAAAATTGAAGTGTGCCATTATTATAAGATACCATTTAATAAGCCACAATAAAAAAAATCTTATTACGTGATTCCTGTATATGTGACACTGTTTGCCTTAGATACATCTCTATCTTTTGCTGCTATTTCCCCATCCACTCATACACACATACTTATTTTATCAATGTCTCAACACCTGAAGTACTCCCACTTCTGCCTCTGTGCCTTGTCTAATCATCGCATCTCCAATCAGATTGCCTGAGTTCAAATGTTCTTTTCACGACATTATTTGCTGTGTAGCCTTGGTAAGTTACCTAACGTCTCTGTCCTTCAGTATTTGTATCTGTAAAGCAGGAAAAATGATGGTACTTCTTCATAGAATTGTTATGAAAATGAAAAGTAATGCATGTAAAGTATTTTGGCATAATCTTGGCAATAAATGTAAACTATTATTTTTACTCCTTTAAATTATACGATTAATACTACTGCTACTATTTTCTCTACTGCCAGCCCTCTATATACTCTATATTTATTAAATCAGTTCTTAAATAATCCTTCTCTCCGTAGCCTTCCTGTATTAAAGAGGAAAGATAAGAGCTCTTTTCTCACCCCACCTTTGCTTCTGTTTCGCTTGCTTCTCATTGTCTTAAGAAAGAGACTTGCGGGGTTAACAGCAGCATCTCTGGCTGATGTAATCCAAACCTCAAAAGCAACATATTAAAAATAAAGCAGAACATCAAAGCTGGTTCTTTAATAAGTCCTCTGTTTCCTTCGGGTCCCACACCTAGGCGACAGTATTTTTTCATACTTTGTTCTTGTCCCCTATTCCATGTCTTGCAGATCTAGCTCAGTTTTGTAAATTGCAACCTTTTCTCCTTTCTTCTGTAGTTAGTTCATTTCATTTGAAATAAAGCATTTAATGATCATCTAGCCCTGTGCTAGGGAGTCAGGATATGAGGGAGAGTTCTTAAAGAAACAAAATCGTGAGATACTGCCTCTTCTTTCACCAAACAGGAAATTAGATTTGTATAAGATTTATATGAAGTAGGCCGGGCGCAGTGGCTCCCGCCTGTAATCCCAGCATTTTGGGAGGCCAAGGCAGGTGGATTACCTGAAGTCAGGAGTTCAAGACAGCCTGGCCGACATGGTGAAACCCCATCTCTACTAAAAATACAAAAATTAGCTGGGTGTGGTGGCGTGTGCCTGTAATCCCAGCTACTTGGGAGGCTGAGGCAGGAGAATCACTTCAACTAGGGAGGCAGAGGTTGCAGCGAGCCAAGATCACACTGTTGCACTTCAGCCTGGGCAACAGAACGAGCCTTCGTCTCAAAAAATAAATTATGTGATTTATATGAAATTATTAGAAAATCCTGAAAGAAAGAGTATTCATTTGGTCAGCATTCATCACATGTACTAAAATTATTTGTTTTTACATTTTTCTCCATTACCATAGTATGAGTTCCCTTGGGGAAAAGTCAGTGCCTCAGTAATACTGTTTATCTGCTCAAGTTCCTGTCTTGTAGGAGGCATTGAAGATATTTTTTGAATGAGTAAATGGCAGGATGAAAAGATGAGACCTAGATCTTATCCTCAAGAAGCTTCTAGTCTGTTAGAAAGGATCACTTGTGTACATAAGTAGTAGTAATCCTTATTCTAGCCTACATTTATAGACTCTTCTCTCCTCTACTTCCCAATGTACCCAGTCCATAGAGAATATGACACGTATGCTTACACCTCTCTTTCATAATTTCTTCTGCTGAGAATACCCTTTCCTCTTTTTCCACTTATGAACTTGTATTCATTTATCAAGGTACAACTCTTAATAGTATCTTATCAGTAAAGTCTTCTCTGAGTCTTTTCCCCATGTAGAACAAATCCCTCTCTCCTCTGCCCACTTACAGCATTTTTCATATACCTCGCTTAGCTCTTAGTACATTAAATCATAATTACTTATCATTTTTTCAGCTTTAATGTGAACTCCAAAAAGAGTGAGACCTTATCTAATTGATCTTTGTAATTCTAGGGCCTACAACCGTGTCTGGCTTATAGTTAGTGCTCAACACATAGTTGACTGAAAAAAAAAATGAATGAATGGATCAATGACTCAATGAATAATTGTGACAAATACCCTAAAAGAAGTGGGAAAAAAACTGATATATGATTGTTATTTTGTATAGTAGGGTCCCAAGAGCCAAATTCAAATTCCCCCTTTTTGGTTAAAGCTCTCCCTGCCTCAGTCTCACTCCTTTTTTTTCAGTTCCTATACCTTCTGTCTGTTCTTGACTTTGCCATAACCGTTGCCTGTTATGACAGATTCCGTGAGCATCCAGCACAGATGTATGTATAAAAACAAGTAAGATTAACCATAGGTGAGATTTTGTCACTTGAAACATAATAATATCATGTATAACTAATTGTTGCATGTTCTAATTAATTGCATATTTTGATTAATTCTTTGGCAGGGAATAATCCTGGACTAATTTTCACAGAATTAGAAGGCAGTAAAATATACTCACCACTGCAATTATACTAAACATAGTTGAATGGAGAAGATTGGTTTGAATCTACACTAATCCCAAGATGTACATGGGAATTTGTTCTTTAAAAAAATACCCAGCATACTTGTCATTTATCATATTGTTATAAAACTCAAGAAGAGAAAAGACCCCAATTACTTTTGCTTTCCAGTTGTTTGGAGATCTGATAAAAGGAGGTATTTTGAAAATGGCTCAACAACAACTGACAAAAGTCCCTAATGGATCATATGCTTTGTCATCCTCAGTAGCATCACTGGTTTACTCTGCAAACATTAGCAGTTTCCTTAATCTCCACAGTCATTGGCTTGAGAGTGAAAACACTGCATCACCTAGTTAGAACCACAAAAACTAGATTGGTTTTATATTTAAGTGCTTTGAAAATTTAGAATAACACCTGGTAACTTATAACAATTGTCCAGGGAACATCTATAACGTGCAATTGCTCAGGGAGTGTTTCGGTAAAATTTATCCTGAAACAAGTTGGCCAGCAGCCACATCTTGAAAACATCTATGTTATAAAGAAAAATTTCATCATACTGGTACATTTTTCCATAGAGTTTGGCATGTATTATCAATCCACTATTACTTTAGAAGTATAATCTTAATAATATTTTTTGAAACCACAAGGTTTACATTTATATTTTCCTGATTTTCTAGGAAAATTAGATGGACCTGTGATAGAAGTAGCATTCGGTATAATAAGTATATTTTACAGTCACCACATACACAGTTACTTTGAATATCTGTCTTCATTCTATATCTACCAAGGATTCCACGTCTCACTATTTCCAGAAGGCTTTTTCAAAGCACGAATTCTACTGAATTGAGAATGGGGATGTTGTTTGTTGTTTTCCAGAAATAGACTTGCATGCTACTATATTTTGAGCAAATGATCACAAACACATCCGCATGAGAAGGCAACAGATGTAAAGAAAAAACTTCTATATTTATTACAAACCAAGGGAGCAATGCAAGTATCACAGCAAATTTGTACCAACAATTATATATATTCTTTTGCTGACAGCTTGGTCTGCAAAGCTGCTAGAGTGCAGAATCAGCAAGTCTAACCCAGAGGCAACTCCAATCTGATGGATAATATTTGATTCAGTAAATGAAGTCAAGTAGGAGTTTAAAAACCAGTTACATCTTCTTTCATCAGACATTGCTTCATCTTGTCAGTCTTTTTTTGTAGACTGTAAATTGAATAATACAAAATGTTATCTGCAAAAAATTTTTCAGCTTGTTATAAAGTGAGACCATTTGTGAAAGGATGAAATAGTTACAAATGCGTATTTGTTACTGATAAATGATGGCATGTATGATCCAGTGTTTTGAACTTTCCTCCACATTAAAAAAAAATGTTGGAGATAAGAAAACTAACCCAGGTTTTTTTTTTTCTTCTGAGTACAACAGATAAAAGGAAAAGTTAGCCTGGGAGGGATTTTTGAAGTTCTTTGGTTCACTGATTTTCTAACCTGCTTTCACATTATAAAGCACCTAAAGTACTTTTTGAAAATATAGTGTTAGGCTCCACTCTGAAATTTTGATTCAGGAAATCTGAAACTACCTACTAAGTACTGTCACCACAACAAGTCTATGCACTTATTCAGAACTACTGATCTAATTCAACTCCTTACTCAATGCGGAATCCTCTTTACAAAAACCTTAAAATGTGGCTGTTCACTGACTCAAGGCAGCATAGTCCATTGTTGGACAATTCTAGTTCAGAGAAAGTTTTTATGTATTAACCCCAAATCCTAGAAACTTCTCCCCAATATTGTGTGTCCAGCAACTTCACATGACCCTTCCATGGTCACACATGTGCTTGGTTCATCAGGGACTCCTTATTTTGCTTAGCCAATTCTGTCTCAGGGCCTAAGGAGTGTGCGTATCAAAAAACAAAATTGCATTAAAAGTTACATTTATATTGATGAAACAAAATATCCACAGGTTTATGTCCCTCAATTAGTAGCTATGCTGGATTGAGCTGTTCACTCAGAAATGGCTTCTAATAACTTAAATGTTGGCTGAGTATTTAAGATTAAGATTTGCCACTTAAATGACAGCAACACTTCATTCAGTATTGGGAAGTGTGAGAAATTTGACTGACAAGCCCCACTAGCCTATTTACAGGTATCAGGGTTACAGTTGAATTTAACCTTACACTCAGGCTTCTCCAGACCAAAAGAGCCCCATCTTCTGAACTTCCTCAAAAAGCGAAAGACAGATCTGAGAAACCTGTGCCAAGACAATCACATCACTGGGAATAAGAATAGTACTGTGAACCCCAGAAATCTAAGACAGGTCTCAGTTAATTTAGAAAGTTTATTTTGCCAAGGTTGAGAATGCACACCTGTGACACAGCCTTAGCGTGTCCTGATGACATGTGCCCATGGTGGTCAGAGCACAGTTTGGTTTTATACATTTTAGAGACATGTGAGACATCAATCAACATATGCAAGATGAACATTGGTTCGGTTCAGAAAGGTGGGGGACAACTAGAAGCAAAGACAGGACAACTCAAAGTGGGGAGTGGGCTTCCAGGTCAAAGGTAGATAAGGGACAAAAGATTTCATTCTTTTGAGTTTCTGATTTTCCTCTCCAAATGAGGCAATCAGATATGCATTTGTCTCAGTGAGCAGAGGGGTAACTGAATCAAACAGGACGCAGATTTGCCCTAAGCAGTTCCCAGTTTGACTTTTCCCTTTAGCTTAGTGATTTTGGGGCCCCAATATTTATTTTCCTGTCACACATTCCCCCTTCTCATTTTAAAAATCTTTTGGAGAAAGCATTTTAGAAGAAAATAAGTCTATGATCTCAGGTTTCGTCTGATAGATCATGGCTAGAATGGTTTATTCCTAGATGGGTAGGTCCTGAGTTATTAGGAAAGTTCATTTTTAGCAAATTGTGAAGTCTCATGTTTATGAAGAGAAAATAGGGGGAAGAGGGGAGAAAAACAACAACAAACCAAAGGATGAGTCTTTACTCATCCTGGAAAATCAATATAAGGCACATTACTCTGAAGTCCATACATCAGTAGGCAGCTATGAAAATGGTTTATGTAGGTAAATAGGTTGCTGTTATTTTCTTCTGAAGTTTAAGTTGTCTAGCTTCAGTTCACAGGGCTTTACAAAAGCACAGCTTAGTTTTCAGTGACTCCAAGTTAGAAAAATGTGGGGAAAGAGAAGGAGAAATAACTGAAAACATTATTTTGAAGACTTACAGCCAAGAAAAATTAGAATTCATTCCAAACTATAGAAAATAATAAAAATTGAAAAACATTAGGCAAGACTAGAATCTAACAACACGTTTACTACAGTTTTTTAAACATATTTTTTCTCTCTCCAGTTTTCCATTTTTACTAAAGACAAATTATGGTAGGACTGATTTGTTTTATTATACTTGGCCTGATTATTTGTATACAGTGCAGCAAGAATAACATTTTTTACAGAAGCTTTTAAATTGGCTTTGATGGAATTTTGTTTCATAGGAGTCTCAGATAAGACTTTTAAAGCTGAGCCCAGCCTTGGATTTATACCATCAAATGCCTATGATTTGGGTGAATTCCTCTTCTCTTGAGGTTCCAAGATAAACCTGGGGGCTCCTGGTCCTGTCAGAAAGTGACATTCTTTACTTACCCCGGGTTAGGACCCCTGTACAGGGAATGTGTAGACAAGGTATAAAGTCAGTTTTCCCAAGGGGCTTTTATTGGCTCCACAATTCAAGTTTGATTCCTTAAAGGAAAGCACACCATTCCAGTCAAAGCCTTAGTAAAATAACCAGTTTCTCCAATTGCGTCCTGTTATAGAGGAAAACAGATTGTTATTTCACTTGTGCAAATAACAAATATTAAGAATACTCATAAATAGCTTCCAAATACTGGAGAATTCAGGTAGAGAGAAACAAATATATTCTAAATTTTGTTCATAGAAGTATAATAAATTGTTAAAAGCTGCCAATAGCTCAAAAGAAAAGTTTCCTTGACTCTGGAAAAACAGAACAAAGGATCAGCAACGTTTTAAGCAAAAAGTCAAAAAGATTACTTCCGTCTTCTACTAGTTCAGTCCATGTAGTTAATTCCTGTTCTGCTTGATATTCATGAACATTTCAGTTCTCCATGAGTTCTAAAAGTTTTACTTCTGTTCTGATGTTACAATCTTCAAAGTTATCAGAAACTTGTATTCAAGAGCACCTGTGGGAGTTTTATAGCTGATTATAAAACCACCTTCTAAAGAGGACCAAAACAAGACAACAATTGTCTGCAGATGACAAAAAGTTTTAGGGCAGCCAGAGTCAAGGACACAATTGACAAGGAAATTTGTTGCCTTTGTTGCACACAAAAAATTATGTTAATAATTTAACATAACAATTATAATTATTACTGATAATGTCCACTAAGTCATATCAGAATTATAGGAGTTTCCCATTATTTTGGAACACATAGCAATAACATATGTATACAAACACGGTGCAAAGAAAACTAAAAGCCATTTCATATTTGACAGTGTTTTCTGTATAATTTTCATACCGAATAAACCAAATTGTCATTTTTGGACTTCAGGAAACCTAATATCTTAAAGGATTAATTAGGTCAGAAAAAGACATAATTTATAATTTGATTTTGGTAAGTTTGTCAAATATCCAAAAGTTAGAACACATGATATCACAGGTCATTGTAAAATAAGTCATTCATTTGGCCAAAGTGATAACTCAAGGATTTCAAACAAAAAGTGAGAACCTTCACTCTTTGAGAGATTTCTTTTTCCTTTCTCTTTTGCAGCTGTGAGGAATTTTGGCCATATTAGAGAGACTTTGTTACCCATAATTTGGAATTCTCACTCAGATTTGACCCAGTCAGGTAGAGTTGGTCAAATCTGATGGGAGAAAGAATGGAACAAACAACAACAACAACAAAAACCCAACAATATGATCACTGAGCACTCTAATGGTAAGGAGAAATTAAGACAAGTTAGTTGTTAAACTTTAGCCAAGGCAAAACCCCAATTCAGCTACTTACCTAGGGATGGTTCTCAGGCTGAAGATGGCTTTCTACCATTCTAGAAGCAGGAGAAAAAATCCTCAAACTCATCTTCCCTACTGGGAGCGAACTCAAACTCCATAAAGGAGTTACCTACCTTCCATCATCATGGAAACAGGAAATCTTGCCTTCCTTGTTGGAAACAAGTAAAAAAAAAAAAAAGGGTGTTGACAGCAAAATAAACTTTAGATCTTGACCAAATTTGGGGAGATCAGGGATTATCTGGAGGGGGTGCTCCTAGACCTAAGCAAATTTTCCTATTGGTTTGAGCCATAAAGTTAGTTCATACTTGTACCAAGCACCAGTAGGAGATTTGTCAAAAGGAAGGGGCATCTTTATTCAGAATCCCTTCATGGTTACCAAAATGTGAACCCCAAAAATCTGAAACAGGCCTCAGTTAATTTAGAAAGTTTATTTTGCCAAGGTTGAGGATGCACACCCGTGACACAGCTTCAGGAGGTCCTGATGACATGTGCCTAAGGTGGTCAGAACACAGTTTGGTTTTATACATTTTAGAGAGACATGAGACATAAATCAACATATGTAAGATGAAAATTGGTTCGGTCTGGAAAGGCAGGACAACTCAAAGTGGAGAATGGTCTTCCAGGTCATAGGTAGATAAGAGAGAAATGGTGGCATTCTTTTGAGTTTCTGATTAGCCTCTCCAAAGGAGGCAATCAGATATCCATTTATCTCGGTGAGCAGAGGGGTGACTTTGAATAGAATGGGAGGCAGATTTGCCCTAAGTAGTTCCCAGCTTGACTTTTCTCTTTAGCTTAGTGATTTTGGGGCCCCAAGATTTATTTTCCTTTCGCAGTACTCAAATGGAGCAGGAAGTGGAATGATACAGAGGACGTACATTGAATCTGGGGATGGGGGTACTGTGGAGAAGCTAGTTAAACAGTAAACAGTCCCAGCTACTCTGGAGGCTGAGGCAGGAGAATCGCCTGAACCCGGGAGGAGGAGGTTGCAGTGAGTGGAGATCATTCCATTGCACTCCAGCCTGGGTGACAAGAGTGAAACTATGTCTCAAAAAAATAAATGAATAAAATAAAAAATAAAAATTAAAAAAAAACAGTGAACAAAGGGATTAAGTGTGTACTGATAATCCTTTTCTTTCCACCTTGTCTTCCTTCTTGGTGGTAAGCTTAGCTCTTGCTTAGCTCAGTTCACACCTCTGCCATGCCTTGTAATTCTGTGGGACATCACCCGGGGGAGTCCTATTTTGGTTGCCAGCTGGGCTTGGAAGTACAGGCTCTTTACTCTGGGTCTCCATCCAACTGAGCCACCAGAGCAGGGTCAGACTTGAAAGAAATCCAGGGCAGCTACTGTCCTGACAGATAACCCAGCATCTTTCATTCCAGAGAACAGTCAAATTAGAGGAGAGAGATTTAAATCTTACCTTGCTGAGAAGAGGCTGTCACAACCCAGACCGCTCACTGAGAACAGCATTCTGACTAAACCTTGGAAGGGTATGGACATAGTAAAGGAGATTACTTGGGTTTGAGGTCAACAACTCTCTGCACTGAATGCAATGAGGGTGCCAAATGTCATCTTCTAAATTAAGGACCTGGCCAACTTAATGCAAAGACAGGCAGGGGAAGAAAAAGAAAAATACGGAGGAGGAAACAAAGACGATGAGAGTAAAGTCAGGAAAAGGGAAATTGAGTATACAGGAAAAAGGAAAGGAATTTGATTAAGGTGAATGGGAACATCTCCTTCCCCACCCCCACCTCAGGAATTGTTAGGACTGCAGCTGCTCTTTTAACTTTTTTTTTTTCCTGAAGTCAATTTTTATGCATAGGACTCAGGAAGTTTAAAATTAAATGACACTTGCCAGTTTTTTGACTCAGTGTAACTTCCCTCTCATGTTATCCTTTTTTTTTCCTTTGCTGATTCGTGTAAGCAAACCCATTATCTGAACAAAGGGGAGCTGACAGAGTGTCCTGACCTTATCTTTTCCAACTCCTAATTATTTTCACAAGGTACTGAAATGAAGTTTTGGATTTATTTTTTAAGTTGGGGAACTAGAAAATAAAGGAGTGAAATTGTGCTATCTCTGATGACACCAACAATTTTCCAGATTTAATTTAGTTTATTTTAAAAAAATGCTACAAAAAACCCCATCCTAACACCAACAAAAAGAACATCAACAAACCAGCCTGACTAAGCCCAGACCCCTGTCAGGAAATGAAATTGATTAAAGGTGCCCCCTCTTCCTGTTACTGTCTGTAACACTTGTCTATTTCTGCCAAAACATGTATCAAAATCTGTAATTTTCTTGTTTATTTTTTCTGTTTTTTTTTTTTTTTATGTTTTGCCTGTCTCCCTCCCAGTAGAATGTCAGATCCATTAGGGCAGGGATTGATTAATTAATTGTTTTGCTCCCTACCATATATATTTCTGAACTAGGAAAGTACCCAGACATAGCAGGCACTCAATAAACATTGATTGATTGATTGAATGAATGAATGAATGGTGAGGCTCACTGAACAGACAGAACAAGCCTTTAGGAGAGATCCAAACCACTAGTCTGTAAAGTACTATGTCATCTGACCCCTGCCTACCACAGCAACTTCATAATTTACTCTCCCTCTGACCTTTGAACTCCTCTCACACACTATATTCTACCTACCTCAGGGTGTGATACATGAGATTTCATTTACCTGGGATTTTGGGATGCTCTTACTGGCTTGGCAACTTCTCATCTTTCTGATCTCATTATAAAGGCACCTACATGAAAACTTCTTGGCCATCCCAAGTAGCCAAGTAGCCTCTCCTTAGCCCCTATTCTACTCCTTGTTATTCTCTCTCATTTTACATTGTTCCTTTCCTTCAAGGGATTATTTTTTGTAATTTATAATTCTATATTTATTTACTTCTTTATTGCCTGCCCCCTCCCATTGTTATATTCATAACGACTGGGATTATGTTTTTTTTTTCTTAACTCTGTATCCCCAACATCTAATACAATCATTGGTACAGAGTAGATAATTAAATATTTGCTGATTAAATGAGTAAGTAAATGAATAAATGAATTGCTAATGTTCCTTCTCCCACACCTCATTGTGCAGACATGCCATCCTGAGGTCTGGTGTTTTTATACTTTTGGCATGGCCATGTACCCTCAGACCCCACCAGAGAAAACCTTGGGCTAGGAAAGCCTGGATAGTCCCAATTACACTTCAATGATTTGAAATTAAGGTTATATGAATAATTTATTTTGAAAGGAAGAAATATAAAGAAGGGAAACATTTTTGTTTTCATTTCTTATGCTCAAAGTGGTTTGGGTTCAAAGTTGGATTTTTGTTGTAAATACACCACACTTGCAGCAATACAATATACCATGTTATTTTTGTCACAAACAGCAGATTTCCTAATGGGAGCTAGAGAGTCCTTTGGGAACTTGGCCAACCAGGCCTAGTAAGCCATTTTGATCATGTCATCTTGGATTAATTGCTATTTGGGCTCCATGCTTTCTTTGCCTGGATTAGGGGACAGGGCTTGTGCAAGCTCCTGATCAGGCCTCCTGCTGCCAGCACAATACTGTCTCCCACTCTCCTCAAATTCTTTATCTTCACCTGTTCTGGAACTCTCTAACACCCTATGACTTCAGCAGCTGTTGTCTCTGCCCCTGAATCAGACATGTGTTCAATAGAGGGGTTTATATAACTAGGCCCTGAGAAGGATTTTTCCAAATGGAACTACCCCATATATTTTATTTACTTTAGGATATATTGCTTCTGTCTCTGTATCCTTCCTAGTAAATATCATGTCTCTTAACTTTCTGGAGTCATGTTTATAAATGCAGCAGATTTGTGTACTATGTACAGACCTTGCTGATTTGCAGCTCCTAGCACCAATCCTTGTGTTTAGTAGACATTCAGTAATTATTGTTTAATCAAATTGGATCAAATCTGAAAGCGTATTGATGCCATTAGAGGAAGAAGAATCCAAAAAGACTGTCTTCCTAGGAAGGAAACTTCTTCATCTCTTTGACATTTTGAGAACTCCTTGTGTGAGGGCAACATGTGTAGATGAGATTTAGATTATGGTTTAAGACTAACTACTAACTGCTGGCCTCTATCAGTAACAGGAAGGGACAGTTAGCAAAATGGTGATTGAGTTTCTGATTCAGTTTCTATTGAAAGGATCTAAAATAATATGTATACAATTCATTGTAACTAGATGTTGGAGGTTTGAAATATTCCGAAAAGGATTCTAATTTAAAATATTGAAAAATATGCTTTGAATATATACAAATTCAAAACACTATATGGGAAAAATGAAAATAAAATAGAAATTGTGAATAAAATATATTAATGTTACAAAAGAAAGTAAAATTGAATCATATAGTAACATCTAGCTTTATTTTCAGAAAGTATTATCAAATGAAGAAAACACTAATATCTAAAACAAAAAACTACAAAATATTTGATGCACCAAATAAATTGAACTATCAAGTATTTCCAAAGGCCTAAGATTTCTTACATATAGACAGTACTAATATAAAATTTGTGTGAGTTGTAAAAACTGCCCAGTTCCAGACTCCAAGGGATACAAACAAATATAGTAGCTTTCTTTTTCTCTGTTGAAACTAAATTTTACTAACTCCTGGACTTATTCTCATTTCCAGGTCAAGATTTTGTTAACTCAGACTTTATACTTCGTCCAAATGACATTTGCATTGACAATCTCAGAAACCATTTTTGTCAGAGTTCCCGACAACATCCAACTCTGTCTGAGATTCCCCCTAAATCTCTAGGGGTCATCTGAGCCCACCTTCACCCTGCATCTCCTGCTCCTTTTATTCACTTCTGCGAAAAGAGGGAGTTGTGTTCACCTTCTTTTTGCATTTAGCAAATGAAAACAATCAATGGTATTTACAATTTCCAACATACATAATTAAGAGACAAGGCAGAAAAGATTTAAAGCAGACTTTCAAGATTTAGTCAATACTAAACCTGTGGTACATTTGTATAGTTTGCTGATCTGGATGCTTTGAGGATATAATGTCCCTCCTATAGAACTAATCATTCATGCTGCTTAGCCCTCATTTATTTTCTGACTCCTAAGAGCACCATGCTTTACGTAAAATGAGTGCACAAAGGTCAGGTGGCTTGAGAATTTGTATTTAGTTCAGAGACTTGAAAATTTGGTAGGCTATGCTTGTATTTTTTTCCCCTAAATCTGAAAAACCTGTGATTTTCCTTTCCCCAGAGGCAGTCTGCTGGATTAGATGGAGACACGTTCTGCCCCAAAGACAGAAACTAAATAATATCCGGAAATATCTTGATCTGAAGCAAAAGCCATGCCAAACGTTACTGAAGAAAGCTTTGAAATATAAAAATAAGATTAGAATAAGAATCCCAGTGTCCTACACTAAATATTTTAACAAAGAAATCGTTCACCACTTAGCACTTTGTGTAATACTGTACAGATTCTAAATAAAAATGGGATTACATAATTAGTACATTGATCAAAAATTGTGAAAATTAGCTTCAAGTTCTTAATAAGTCATAGCTGAACCTCAGCATGGGCAAACTGCTGAATGTTCAAGGGATGAAAAATAGAATTTCTGTTATGTAGCTCTAGGAGCATCATGAAAATATTCAATCAATCTGGCAGATTAAAGATACTGCAGGCATCCTTTATTGTCAGAGATTTGATTCATAATCTATACTTATCAAATTTGGTGACATTAAACAGTGGTTTTCAAAATTTAATATGCTTCAGAATCAACTGTCATGCTTGATTAAATGCAGATTCTTTGGCTAATACAAAAAACAGTCTCATTCAATGGATTGGTGTTGACCCAAGAATCTGCACTTTAACAAACAAGGCAGGTAATTATAAAACTAGTTGACCACAGACTATGTTTGGCAAACAATGCTCTAGTAACCCAGGGGTCAGCGGACATTTTCTGTAAAGGGTCAGATAGTAAAATATTTTCTGCTTTGTGAACCAAATGATCTGTCACAGCTACTCAACTCTGCCCTTGTAGCATGAAAACAACAATAGACAATATGTAAACGAATGGGAGTGACTGTATTCCAATCACATTTTATATGCAAAAAGAAGCCTTAGCTTGAGTTTAACCCGTGGGCTATAGATAGCATACTTTTCAGAACCTTGGTATAAAGAATTAACTCTTGTTACACACCTAATACCTTCAATCTCAGGTTTTTCTTTTTGTATCTGGTTTATAGTAGAGAGGAGCATCTGTTGGTCAACTGTGATTTTAGAGTCTGGCTCCATTTGCTATTGTAAATACCAAATAAAATAGAGAACAAAATTTTTTGAGCTGTCTACACAAAATAAAGGGAAATTCTCATGACCTATTTTCCAGAAAATCTTCTTGGATTAACCAAGCCCTGTCTGTAGTTAACCAACACATTCTCCTGCTCATGTTTTCTCTACAATTCGCATTAATGATTCTTAACCCCAGTATGACAATAATATGGGGCAGGAAGATTGAGCAAGCTCTTTTGATAGAACAAGGACAAAACATACCTGGCATTTGTGCTGCCATTTCAATTCACAACACCCATAGTAGACATTGCCAATCACCGGTAGTACTCTTTCCTTCTGAGTGCCTATATGGCCACAAAGTATTTCTCAAGAATTCCAGGTACTCATTACCATCAGACTAGAGTTGTCATGTGAGATAAAAATTATGTGTCATCCCTTAATAAGCTAGCCTTACTATATAGAATTTTTATTATCTGGGGTTATTCTATTTGGAGGCACATAGTATTATTTCTACTATATCTTAATCCATATAATTATGAGCCTTGCTTAATAGAGTTACATAATACACATTTTAATTGGTTGTCATTTTCTGTTAGAATATTAGTATCAAATTTGAGGACTGTGACTAGTTTATCATGTTATACCCTGAGATCATTCGAGAAACACTTGTTGCCAGGTTTGTATATCATCTTTTCTCATTAAAATTTCTATATTCATCATGTCTATATTCATCATGACTATGATAGTATACTGAAAACTTCTGCTAATAGTTACCTAACTAAAGGGCATTTGAAACCATATAAACTGACATTATTGGCAATCTGTAAATTGAATTGACCTATAGTTTCTTTTCTGGAAAGATATCATTGCAACTATAGCATATCTTTGAAGTAGCATTTTAGATCTATTTGGGTTAATATTTACTGTTAAAGAATTGTTTGGCTGCATAATTAAAATGTTCACTTACTAAGCACAATGTAGTTTCTAGCATTAAATGGACTCTCTTGCACAGCATGCTACCGACTCTGCAAACTCATGAAGTCATATGCTAGCTATTTCAGTAAAACTTATTTAGTAAAACTTGAAGAAAAATTAGCATTTAATGAAGCAAAGCAATTTTCAAAGCATTTACAATTCCATCCTGGCACATAAAGTTCATGTGTAATATGACTTTATCTAAATATTTACTGAGGTGGTAGCAAGTGTTTTACTGTTGGCAGGATTGGTTATGAAGGATTTGACCTGAAACTCAAATTGAATAGGATGAAAAGTTAAGTACAGAGAGCGAATACGGTCTAACTAGGTGGCTTGCCACAAAGTTTCTAGCATAGGCAAGCTGGCATGTGATCTGAGAGGCCATCTCCATTAGACACCCAGCTTTTCACCTAGCAAATTTGATAGAAACTCAAACACCAAAATGAAGCAGATGGATAGTGGCAACCTTCTGTATCTAGTACTGGTGTTTCAGCACCATAACCTCCCTTATAGGTATTCTCCAGGCTTTTCCTATAGACTTCTGTTATGCCTTGGGGAACATGATCTGACCTCTGATATTTCCAAATCTCCATAACAGGATCTGAGTTTGTTTATTTTTAACCAAGCTTCTTCCCTTAAAACATTAAAAATCTCTTCTAGCTGCTCAACAAAACTTTCGACGGCTTTAGGCAAAGAGAGAGCATTTGTTAGAGGTTCTAGGAAGACCCAACTCCAGAAATAATATGTTCCCCATCCTTATAGTTCTGATGTCTGTCTTTGAGACACATAAGAAACTGTTTACTCTAGATATTCTCTATACTTGACATTTATCAAGAAGATATGGGAAATAAAGAGGGGTTATAAGTGAATCTATGAGAATGAAGCACATGCAACTCGTGCAAATTTCAGAGAGAGAAGAGAGACAGTGGAACAGAAATGTTGGTGCAAAGGGGGCCTTGCAAAAGAAAGTGGGGTTGAGAAATCTGTAATGGACGCTTTGAATACTGCAGGAAATGAGATCCAGGTGGGTTTTGGACATGTTCTGGCCAAAATTGTGACCAGGTTTATCAACTATTGACAAGCTTAGTTTACCAAACCAAGAACCTTCTTGTTCTAAGATTTCAGTACACAGGACTAAGCTTCCAGAAAATTTGGGTAGTAGATTCAGTGTCTTCAATTTGCCTTTTTTTTTTTTTTTTTTTTTTTCACTTTTCTCACTCTGGAATTTTCCCACCACAACAATCACATCTTGTGCTTAATATCCTCCCTAGGCATTCAGCCACTCTCTTTGGAATATCAAAACATCTGGAAAATGTTGGGTGAGCTCATTTGCTCTAAGGTGTTAATGATGGGTGAAAAGCTTAATATGTTGCCTTTCCCATGTGAGTGTGTCTTGGGTCCAAAAAATGACTAATGAGAGCTATTCTGAACATTCTTCAGTATGGGAGAGGTATAGGTGATATAGAAGGTTTTCTTACTGTCACTGAAATCACAGTCCTGTAGGCCACTGATCACTCATAAAGTCTTCCCTGTGGTTGGCTGTGGAAATACAGATAGGAAAAATGTGGCTGGTTCTCTCAGTGTTTGATCTAGAACTATCATTAAGCCCCCCCTTTTTTTGCTTTTGTTTGGTTCAATTTGCTTTTAGTTTTTTGAAATCAGGCTCTGATAAGAATGCTAGAAAATTCTGAAAGACTCATCTCAAGACTTTCTAGACAAACAATGTATATTTTATTTTTTGTACAAGGTTATTTGGGGAGTGGGATAAGGGAGAATTCAGAGAGTTCAGGGCAAACCCTAGGATACAGATACCAATTTCAGAGTGCCAGCCAGGCCTTAGAAAATCTACTTACCATACCCAGGGAACCCATTGCTAATTTGAATGACCAATTTGTTGTTTTTAACCCAAAGTTTTCTCTCATCAAGTCATTGTCTCTATTTAAACAATTATTTGCCAGTCTGTATAATAATTGATTTTTTTGTCTTGGTGGCAGATGGGAAACTAACACTTGTAATGTTATAGACCATGTCTGAGCATGAATCTTTAGATCAACTTGAATTTTAATATACAAGGTTATTTTTGTCTTTAATAAATGACTTGCTCATTGGTATAGAAGATACACTTTTATTATCCTTTTATTACTTTCCATGTAGTTCAAAGTTTAATATGCTAGTCTAGCTATGATTGGTTAAGAAATTGACACACATGGCTATTATTGAGCACAATATAGTGACTATCAATATGTGTTTTTTCCCGGAGTGGGAAAAAACCCCACATTTCTCACATTTGTACACTTTGAGAGTTGGAAATCATCAAATATTTAGCTAGTTCCATTGATCTTAGCTTATTAAAACTTCTTGTCAAATGGTAGGAATTCTTAGTTTATTTTACTGAAGCAAAATAAACCTAAATGAATTAAATGGTTCTGTTAGTTGCGGCATCTATAAAATTAGGAAATTGGGTGAGATGAATATAAGGTGCCATAGCTATGTCCTCTAATATTCCTTCAAGCAAACATCTATGAATCCATGTTTAGATTTGGCTCCATAACAATAATGCCTTATATGTGATAGCACTCTCTAATTTACTTATGTGAGCTTAATTGACTTGCAACTACCCTATTCCTTTACATATTTACTAAGTTCCTACTAATTGTCCACAGTGTCATTAGGCTTTGAAAATATAAAGCTGAGGTAGACAGTCCCGTGATTATTGTCCCCATTTTAGAAAGAGGGGATCACAGACTCAAAGATGTTTAGTGACCAGAGATTACAGTTGTGGAGCTGGGACAGAATTCCAAGCAATTTGACTTAACCTGTTCATACTCACCTTCTACCTCTTGTGTGCAAGTAGATGGACCAGACAGAAATGCAAAAGTTAATGATATGGATATGTCACCAAAAGCATGATCCATAAAAGAAAAAAAATGATAAATTACACTTCATCAAATTTAAAACTTTGCTCTGTGAAAGACACTGGTCTTTCATGAAATAAAGAAAGACAAGTCACAGACTAGGAGGAAATATGTGCAAATTGCAGATCTAACAAACTCGAATTTATAATATTTAAAGAACTCTTAGACTCAATAATAAGAAAACCAACAACACAATGAAAAATAGATTGAACAGATAGTTGACCAAAGAAGATATACAGATGCTAAATAAGCGCATGAAAAGATGTTAAATATTTCTAGTCATTAGAGAAAAGCAAGTTAAGACCACAATGTGCTACCATTAACATTCATTAAAATAGTTAACATTAAAAAATACTGACAATACCAAGTGCTGACAAGGATGTGAAGCAACTAGAGCCCTCATACATTCCTGGTAGAAATGCAAGATGATACAGTGCTCTGGAAAATGGTTTGGCAGGTTCTTATAAAGTTAAACGTGTACTTGTCATATTGACCAGCAATCTCAGAATGAAAACTCACATTTGCGTAAAAATATATACATGACTGTTTACGGCAGCAGTATTCATAATTGCCAAAAACTGGGAACAGACTAAATGCTGTTCAACATGTGAATGAATTTAAAAAATTGTGGTGCATCCACACAATGAAGTGCCACTTGACAATGAAAAGGAAGAAATCTTTGTCCACTTTGTGATGGGATTGTTTTTTTCTTGTAAATTTGTTTAAGTTCCTTCCAAATTCTGGATATTAGACCTTTGTCAGATGGGTAGATTGCAAAAATTTTCTCACATTCTGTAGGTTGCCTGTTCGCTGTGATGATAGTTTCCTTTGCTCTGCAGAAGCTCTTTAGTTTAATTAGATCCCATTTGTCAATTTAGCTTTTGTTGCAATTGCTTTTGGTGATTTTATCATAAAATCTTTGCCCATGCCTATGTCCTGAATGGTATTGCCTAGGTTTTCTTCTAGGGTTTTTATGGTTTTGGGTTTCACATTTAAGCCTTTAATCCATCTTGAGTTAATTTTTGTATGAGGTGTAAGGAAGGGGTCCAGTTTCAGTTTTCTGCATATGACTAGCCAATTTTCCCAGCACCATTTATTAAACGGGTAATAGTTTTCCCATTGCTTATTTTTGTCAGGTTTGTTGAAGTTCAGATGGTTGTAGATGTGTGGTCTTATTTCTGAGGTCTCTATTCTGTTCCATTGATCTATATGTCTGTTTTGGTTCCAATACCATGCTGTTTTGGTTACTGTAGCCTTGTAGTATAGTTTGAAGTTAGGTAGCATGATGCTCCAGCTTTGTTCTTTTGGCTTAGGATTGTCTTGGCTATGTGGACACTTTTATGGTTCCATATGAAATTTAAAGTAGTTTTTTCTAATTCTGTGCAGAATGTCAATGGTAGTTTGGTGGGAACAACAAACATATGAAAAAAAGCTCAACATCACTGATTGTTAGAGAAATGCAAATCAAAACCACAATGAGATACCATCTCATGCCAGTCAGAATGGTGATTATTAAAAAGTCAAGAAACAACAGATGCTGGCAAGGCTGTGGAGAAATAGGAATGCTTTTACAGTATTGGTGGGAAAGTAAATTAGTTCAGCCATTGTGGCAGATGGTGTGGTGATTCCTCAAGGATCTAGAACCAGCAATCCCATTTGACCCAGCAATCCCATTACTGGGTCTATACACAAAGGGATATAAATCATTCTATTATAAAAATACATGCACACATATGTTTACTGCAGCATTATTCACAATAGCAAAGACCTAGAACCAACCCAAATGTCCATCAATGATAGACTGGATAAAGAAAATGTGGTACATATACACCAGGGAATACTGTGCAGCCACAAAAAGGAATGAGATCATGTCCTTTGCAGTTACGTGGATGAAGCTGGAAGCCATCATCCTCAGCAAACTAAGACAGGAACAGAAAACCAAACACTGCATGTTCTCACTCATAAGTGGCAATTGAACAATTAGAATACGTGGACACAGGGAGGGGAACAACACATACCGGGGCCTGTCAGAGTGGGGGCAAGGGCAGAGAGAGCATCAGGACAAATAGCTAATGCATGCGGGGCTTAATACCTGGGTAATGGGTTGATAGGTGCAGCAAACCACCGTGGCACATGTATACCTATGTAACAAACCTACACGTCTGCACATGTATCCCAGAACTTAAAATAAAAATAAATAAATAAGAAAAGGAACAAACCACTGATACATGCAACAGTATGGATGAATCTCAAATGCACAATGCTGAATGAAAAAAGCCAGACCCAAAAAGTTACATACTTTATTTTTTCCACTAAGATGACATTCTGGAAACAGCAAAACTATATGGAGAGAGAAGAGATCAGTGATTACCAAGGGGTTAAGGGAGAGAGACTGACTTCAGAGGCCAGCATGAGGGCAATCATGCTGGGGTGTTATAACTGTCCTATATCCTGTTTGTGGTGATCATTGCAGTCATCTATGCATATGTTAAAACTCGTAGAAATATATATCCAAAAATTGTAATAAAATAATTATTACACATTAATCCTGACAGTTAAAATTGGTTCTAGCCAAAATTTAAAAATAAGTGAGGTTTGAATTTAGCAATAAATGCTTCCTTTACTTTTTTGTTATTAGAGACACTTTTCTATGTATTGTCTTTCCTCAGTTCTTTCTCTCAGTTTTCAGGATATGATTTAATAACCAATTCACAGAAAAGTTTAAATGACTGATAATAGCTACATGTGTTTCCTCTAGTAGGGCCATATTCATTTGAGCAGGTTACCAAAATCTTAAATTAAAATAACGCATTTCCAACAGTAGGTGGGATGCCAAGCAACAGCCAAAGGATAAAGGAGTTGGTAGGGATAAAGAGTCAGAACAGCCTCCATTACATTACTGAAATGAAGATATATTTGCTTTGAAATTTTAATTTTGGAGGTTGTATAAGAATATCACTTAGTCTATATGGTACTATAGACAAATATATAGAAATGTAGATAACACTCCCAAATACTGATGAATGTGCTCAGACCAGGAAGGGAAATCTTACATGGAACAATAAAAATAAGTGTCTTGAAATCTTAACTTCTTAATAAATCATTTAGTTGATTGATTTTTACATCAAAATTCTGAAACTAAACTCATTGTAAAAATATAAACGTATATATATATATATATATATATACCATATTTATTGTCACTTTCTGAGAGCTGAGCAACTATAGTTGCATATAAATCACTTTAAAACTTATGTAATAGTGAGAATTCATTTGTAAATTATAGTATTTTTAAAGCAAAATGTCACCCAGTACTTTATTTTTACCTACATTTACATGTCAGGTTTCCTTAAAGTGAGGTATACCTGCACAAGAATGGGGAAGTTTTGAGCACTATAGAATTTGCTTACTTCTTTTTTATTCTTATTAATATCAAATACAGGTAAACCAGACTTTACAAGCAATGCTACAAACAGTGTAGAAAGTGTCTCTACATCTATCATATAAATTCATGTTTATTAGATCTCAGTGAGAGTAATAAAGAGTTTCAAAATAAATTGGAGCTGCAGTTCTTTTCAAAGTGACCCCGGTAACAATGTGTCTGAATTGGAATACTTTATCTATATTGATTTTTATTTTCATGTCAAGTTTGAAAAATATGTCAGGTGTACTTTGAGGATACATAAAGCATATATTCCTAATTGTATTTATTTTTTTGCTACTGTCTATGTCAGGTGTACTAGAAACATAGGGATTATTAAAATTAACTAAAACATGGCATTATTACCCATTTAGAAACAGGTGCTAGGAACTCTCAATCTTGGGTTCTATGTACCCAGTTTCAATCTTACTGGTCAATTCTGTTTAAAAGCAATCCAAACCAGAATTTTCTCTGAGGAGAACAACAGTAAAATATAAAGTGTTACCATGGGTTAAAAAAAATAGTTGAGTGGATGAATATTTAGTCACAGCCATTAACCTTTAATTTTAATGGTTTTGATTGAGGAAGAAGTTTTTGTTTTTAGCATGACACTTAAGTAAATGAATGGTTTGATCAAAATTTACTGTTATAGGCTAAAAGTATGAGATTAATAATAGAATATCAGAGATGCCAGTCAAGCCACTGAAGAAATGGATTCAACCTAATAAAGAGCATAACTCATCAAACTTAACCATGACAAGCCTAAATATTCCCATTTCATCAAAATAAAATGGCTATAATTAAGTGTTTTAAAATTAATGTTATCAGCTCTTCATTCATCCAGTCATTCTAGGCCCTGCTTCCCAACTCTGAACAACTTCCACCTCTGCCTGTTCCCTCTAACTAGGGAAATGTATCAGACTGAGTGAAGATTTGAGCAATGGCACAGAGGTTGATGACGTGAGAAATAATGACCTGGTTAAGTACCAGATAATGGGTATGTGCCAAAGATTAAGGGGAGCCTTTGGCTAGAAACAAGGGGATGTTTGAATTAGCCTAACATATAAGATCCCGAAGCACCCAGCTCCAGATAAAAAGAATCAGGGATATTAAATCAGGAGGGAAATAGTAGAAGGAGGTAAAAGACCAAACTTGATAACCCAAAGTATTATAAAACTCTGTTTTGGGGTTACATTAGAAGATGACTTAGGGATGTGGTATATGAATACATCAGGGAGTAGTGGCGTGTTGGACAAAAAGAACCACGGAAATATAGAATCTCTTTTTGTGCCCATAATTTAGACTAAGCTGACATCATTGTGGCTTTCGCTTCTGTTAGATGGGCTCGTCTGTGATGAGGCCCAACAGATTTGGCTTTACTTAAAATTGAGTTCTTCAAGACTTCAGAGTGGCAAGATTACAGGGTATTTATGTGGCATCCCTCCTCTCCCATTAGTCTTCACAACCTCAAGGAGAAGACAAGTAACTGAGCATAAGGAATTGATGCAGTCCTCAGGTTCATGTAGAGGTCCCTCTTTCCTGTTGATTAGTAACCTGCTTGTATGTTTGACATTGCTTGGCTGTGTGTGCCCACCCAAATCTCATGTGGAATTGGAATCCTCAGCTGTCAGGGAGGGACCTGGTGGAAGGTTATTCGATCATGGGGGCGGTTTCCCCCACGCTGTTTTAGTGGTAGTGAGGGAGTTCTCACAATATTGATGGCTTAAAAGTGGCAGTTTCCCTGGCACTCCCTCTCTCTCCTGCTGCCAGGTAAGACATGCCTTGCTTCCCCTTCACCTTCTGCCATGATTGTAAGTTTCCTGAGGCCTTTGCAGCCATGTGGAACTGTGAGTCAGTTAAACCATTTTGTTTATAAATTACCCATTGCCATGTAGTATCTTTATAGCAGTGTGAAAATGGACTAATATAGTGTTCCTACCCTGTTGCCATTTGTGAGCTTGAACTTTATCTCTTCTGACTGTGATCTTGGCTTGGCTGTTGGCTCAGCTCTTGTGTATTTATGATTTACTTCCTTTTTGCTGCATGTGCTTTACTTCAGATCCTGATTGATCCTGTATGTTTGAGCCTAAAAGTACAACTACAAGTCCAAATTGCCCCTTGGGCAAATGTTTGGCATTTTTTTTAGACTCTACTATGATTCTTGTTAATCCTACTATATTGGCTCAATCAGAAGTGCCCAAGACCGTTCCCTTTACAATATAACTTTTGCTGTACAAAAAAAAAAAAAAAAAAAAAATGGGGTAAGGAAAAGGATGGAAGAAAAAATGATACTAAGGAGACATTAAGTTAGGAGAACCTCCTTAACATTTTGTCTATTCTACAGGAACCATCTTCTCTTATAAAATATTTTTTGGTACAGGCCAGAGAAAAACACATTGCACTGCATGGGATGGATAATTTCTCTGGCCCAGAGCGATGTTTTGTATGTGTATGTCTGGAAAGGAGCCAGGCTCAATAAGGACAGAAAATATCAATGAGAATGGGATAGGAAGTTGAATTTGAAGATTATTTCGGGTAATGAAAAACATCTGATGACCTTGGCCGACTACTAAATTAAATCTGAGTTAAAAGATAGTTTGGGGCTTTAGGAACAAGAGTCCGCAGGTATATTTCTCTGTTGATAACTATTTGTGATGGAAGAAATGAGGTGAGGAATGCCTAGGTGAATGTCTTTCACAGCTAAATTGAAACATACAGACTCAGACAGAAATGGTCATGGAGGTTTACTTTTAAAAATAAATTCATATACCAGCTCAGAAAACATCCCACAAAATGACAGTATGTGAAGGGTTATCCTCTTGGAAAAGGAATTCAATTTTGAATTATCCATACTACAGACCTTGGGAGTCTTTAGTCACTTCATCCAATGAAAAATGGAGATGTTTGACTTAGTGACAGATGATCTGCTCAACAATGTTTTCTTTCTTCTATTGCTGCTTCAATTGTATATTTAGTGAATTAGTTGTGATTGATGATAGCATTTTAAGCACTTGATATTTTTTTCTGGTGAAAAGATGGCATAATTTAACTATATTAATAGTTTTAGGTTTAAGTGAAGCACAATATATTTTTATAATCCTTCAATAGTGAAGTCACAATTTATACAAGTGGATTCATTCTGTCTTTAGACCACGGAACTCTGACAAAAGGATGTCATTTAAAGTAATGTTGCTCATCCTTCAGAGATGCAAAACTGAAGGCTACATTGCTCTGATATGAAATAACTTTGGAGTTTTGAATGCCTGGCAAAATTTGTATATGCCACTAACAGTAACTTAAGTGGTTTGTACAGCTGGAGCCAAATATGCTCTGCAGAGAAAAATATCACCAACTGCTGTAATTTTCACATAAGTAATAGGACTAAAGAAACAGTTTTGTTCAGAAACAACACCTTCTCTAAAATCTGGGCATGAAATGTTCAATCGGTGATATGGATTGTCTGTGTCTCCACCAAAATTTCACCTTGAATTATAATAATTCCCACATGTCAAGGGTGGGGCCAGGTGGAGATAATTGAATCATGGGGGGTGGTTTCCCCCATACTGTTCTTGTGGTAGTGAATAAGTCTCAGCAGATCTGATGGTTTTATAAATGGGAGTTCCCCTGCACAAGCTCTCTTGTCTACCACCATGTAAGATGTGTCTGGCTTCCCCTTTGCCTTCTGCCATGATTGTGAGGCCTCCCCAGCCATGTGGAACTGTGAGTCCATTAAACCTCTTTTTCTTTAGAAATTACTCAGTCTAGGGTATTTCTTTATTAGCGGCATGAGAACAGACTAATACAATCAGTGTCAATGTTTATTATTAATAACATAATTATGGACAACGTAAAGTGCTAGTAATTACAACAGATTAGAGAGCTGCTATTTTACCTCAGGTGGTATTATTTGGAGTCTGGTATATATCAGATTTAGGGTGATTACCTTAAAACCTTAGAAGAAATGATATTAACTAAATGTTATTTTCTACTTAGTCTGTTACTTCCTGCAGAATAATAGTTTATGCTCTTACTTAGTAAATGTCACAGTAGGGGAGAAAATATAAGAGCATGCCCATATACCCACACAGTCTCCTTTGGTGTAACTACCACATCACAGTATCTTAGTGCTACCTGAATGCCAATAGCTAAGTTTTGTAAATGGAGATGAAAGAGAACTAGGGAAATTAATTGATGTGATTATCTTTCAGTAGTGCTGTATAATGACGTATTTACCTAAGCTTGTAGGCCTTTAAGTGGACTCTCAACATTTCTAATATTGAATGAACCCAGACCTCTCTTAAAACATGCCAGTTCATACATATTATGCTTATAAGATTCAAACGTTCTCTCATACTGATAGCCTTCAACTGAGATATATTTAGATTATCAATGTCAAATTAAGACATGACAAGTTCCCAAAGACATATAAACATGACCCTGACAAATGAATGTGCTGGAAGCTGGATCTTATGTAGAAGTAATAGCTTCCATTCTGTTCCAGATCTGGGGTGTATGTGTATGTGTGAAGTTGACTGTATAAATGTAAAAATTTATCCAAATCTTTGGTATGAGTTTCTGTGGGACCTTTGGATGGTACCTCATCATACCATGTCTGAATGGTATGTCAGGAACATACCGTTCTGACATAGGTTTGAAGACTAGTCTTAATACTAAAGCATTTCCCCACGAATAATTTTATTTATAGTATTCATAAGTAATAACTACAAAAAGGCTCATTATTATGAATTGGGTTCTTCTTTATTTTTTATTTTATTTTATTTTATTTTTTTTGGAGTCTCACTCTGTTGCCCAGGCTGGAGTGCAGTGGTGCGATCTCGGCTCACTGCAAGCTCTGCCTCCTGGGTTCACGCCATTCTCCCGCCTCAGCCTCCCAAGTAGCTGGGACTACAGGTGCCCACCACCATGCCCAGCTAATTTCGTTTTTGTATTTTTAGTAGAGACGGGGTTTCACTGTGTTAGCTAGGATGGTCTTGGCTAGTCTTGATCTCCTGAACTCGTGATCCACCCGCCTCAGCCTCCCAAAGTGCTGGGATTACAGGTGTGAGCCACCGTGCCCGGCCATGAATTGGGTTCTTATTACCTACCAGGGGTATAAAAATGTGCAGTCTTCTGATCCTAGCTCTAGGCAAACAAATTCATAAGGTGCAAACATTGTGTAATCCCTTCAATACTGCTCTCTGTCACTATTCACAAATGTTAGCTCCCTATTATCCCCAAACTTTGTGGCACGTTTTTAAAATCAGTCCCTAGCCTGTAAAGGCCCCAAATGATACCAACCTCCCATCTCTTGCATGCTTATATTTTATACTTCTGACAGAGGACATGTAAAGCTCTGCCTACATTTCTATTATTTACACCCGAATCTTTGTAGCATTTCATACCCCAAGCCCCTTAATAATGTGCAGTAGAAGCTCTGTGCCCAAACTGTATTGGCATATGCCACATGCTGGATCCCTTCTACTTTGAGTGAGGACAAAGAGTCTTCATACAGGCTGGGCATGGTGGCTCACACCTGTAACCTCAGCACTTTGGGAGGCTGAGGCCGGCAGATCACTTGAGGACGGGAGTTCAAGACCAGCCTGACCAACATGGTGAAACCCCATCTCTACTAAAAATACAAAAAGTAGCCCAGCGTGGTGGTGGGCACCTGTAATCCCAGCTACTCAGGAGGCTGAGGCAGGAGAACTGCTTGAATCCAGGAGGCAGAGGTTGCAGTGAGGTGAAATTGCACCACTGCACTCCAGCCTGGGCAACAGAGCAAGACTCCATCTCAAATCAATTAATCAATAAAATAAAAACAGTCTTCATACAAAGGGTAGATTATAACCTATGGTACTTTATTGGTAGTGTCTTCATTGGATTGATAATTTAAGTTTCAATTGATTTCTTTTTAAAATGTTTTAATTTTTAATTATTGTGGGTACATAGTAGCTGTATATACTTATGGGTACATGAGATATTTAGGTATAGACAAGCAATTTGTTATAATCACATCATGGAAAATTGGATATCCACCCCTCCAGCATTTACTATTTGTGTTACAAACAATCCAGTTATACTTTTTTTAGTTATTTTAAGATGTACAATTAAATTATTATTGACTATAGTTTCTGTGTTGTGCTATCAAATACTAGGTCTTATTCATCCTTTCTATTTCTTTTATACCCATTAATTTTCCCCACCTCTCCCACAATCCCCCACTACCTTTCCTAGCCTCTCGTAACCATACTTTATTCTCTATCACCACGAATTTAAATGTTTTGATTTTTAGATCCCACAAATGAGTGGAACATATGGTGTTTGTGTTTCTCTATCTGGTTTATTTGACTTAACATAATGATCTCAAATTCCATCCATGTTTTTGCGAATGACAGTGTCTCAATCATTTTATGGCTGAATAGTACTCCATTGTGTATAAGTACATTTATCCATTCATCTGCTGATGGACACTTAGGTTGTTTCCAAATCTTGGCAATTGTAAACAGTGCTGCACAAGCATAGGAGTGTAGATGTCTCCTTCATATACTGATTTCCTTTTTGGGGGGTATGTACACAGCAGTGGGATCGCTGGATCATATGGTAATTCTATTTTTAGTTTTTTGAGGAAACTCCAAACTGTTCTCCATATTTGTTGTACTAATTTACATTTCCACCAACAGTGAACAAGGGTTCCCTTTTCTCCACGTCCTTGCCAGCATTTGGTATTGCCTGTCTTTTGGATGAAAGCCATTTTAACTGGGGTGAGAGTATATCTTATTGTAGTTTTGATTTGCATATCTCTGATGATCAGTGATATTAAGCAACTTTTCGTATGCCTGTTTGCCATTTGTATGTCTTCTTTTGAGAAATGTCTATTCAAATCTTTGGCCAACTTTTAATCAGATTCTTAGATTTTTTTCCTATAGAGCTGTTGAACACCTTATATATTCTGGTTATGAATCCCTTGTCAGATGGGTAATTTGCAAATATTTTCTCCCATCCTGTGGATTGTCTTTTCACCTTGTTGATTTTTTCCTTTGCTGTGCAGAAGCTTTTTAACTTGATGTGATGACATTTGTTCATTTTTGCGTTGGTTCCTGTGCTTGTGGGGTGTTACTCAGGAAACTTTTGCCCAGACCAATGTCCTGGAGACTTTCCCCAATGTTTTCTTATAGTTGCTTCATAGTCTGAGGTTTTAGACATAAATCTTTAATTCATTTTGATTTGATTTTTGTATATGGTGAGAGGCATCATGTTTCATTCTTCTGCATATTTTTTAATAATGCCAAAAGTATAATTCATTATTAATATATAATAATTACAAATATCTGTAGGTAAAATAATATTGTTTTATTTATATGTATTTATTTTTTAATTTTAAGTTACAGGATACAAGTGCAGAATGTGTAGGTTTGTTACATAGGTATACCTGTGCCATGGTGGTTTGCTGCACCTATCAACCCATCATCTAGGTTTTAAGCCCAGCATGCATTAGCTATTGGTCCTAATGCTCTCCCACCCTGTTGAGGATTTTTGCATCAATATTTATCATATATATTGGCCTGCAGGTTTTTTTATTCTCATGTGTCTTTGTCTGGTTTTGGTGTCACAGTAAAACTAACCTTATAGAATGAGTTTGAAAGTATTCCCTTATCCTCTATTATTTGGAATAGTTTCAGAAAGATTGGTATTAGTTCTTCAAATGTTTGGTAGAATACAGCAGTGAAGCCATCAGTTCCCAGGCTTTTCTTTTCTGGGAGACTTTCTATTATGGCTTTGACCTTGTTACTTATTCTTGGTCTGTTCAGGTTTTGGATTTCTTCATGGTTCAATCTTGATAGTTTGTATGTGTCGAGGAATTTATCAGATTATTCTAGATTTTCCAATTAATTGGCATAACTTACTCATAGTAGCCACTAATGATTATTTGAATTTCTGCAGTATCAGTTATAATGTCTTTTTTTATCTGTTATTTATTTGGGTCTTCTCTCTTTTCTTCTTAGTTGGGCCAAAGACTTGTCGACTTTATCTTTACAAAAAAACAAATTTTTGTTTCCTTGATCGTTTTTATTTCCTTGATCGTTTTTATTATTTTCTTCATTTCAGATTCATTTATTTCTGCTCTGGTCTTTATTATTTCTTTTCCTCTACTAATATTGAGTTTGGTTTGCTCTCACTTTTGTAGTTCTTTTAGATGTATCATTGGGCTATGTATTTGAAGTTTTTCTTTTTTTGATGTAGGGACTTACAAATTTTTCTCATAATACTGCTTTTGCTATATCCCATAGGTTTTGTATGTTGTGTTTTCATTATCATGTGTTTTAAGAGCATTTCCAATTTTCTTCTTAATTTCTTCATTGACCCTCTGCTTATTCAGGAGAATATTCTTTAATTTCCATGGATTTTACAGTTTCCAAGATTCTTCTTGTTTATTGACTTCTAGTTTTATTGCAATTGTAGTCAGAGAAGATGCTTGATATTATTCCAGTTTTTTTGAATGTTTTAAGACTTATTTTGTGGCCCAGCAGCATATGGTCTTCTTTGGTTTATCCATGTGCTGAGGAAAATAATGTGTATTTTTCAGGTGTTAGATGAATTATTCTACAAATTTCTATTAGATCAGTTTGGTCTCTAGTGCAGATTAAGTCTGATGTTTCTTTGTTGATTTTCTGTCTGGAAGCTATGTCCAGTGCTGAAAGTGAAGTGTGTAATTCCCCTGCTATTATTATATTAGGATTTATCTCTCTCATTAGCTGTAATACTATTTGCTTTATATATCTGGGTGCTCCAATGTCAAGTGCTTATATATTTAAAATTGTTATATCCTTTTGCAGAATTGCCCCCTTTATCATTGTATAATGACCTTCTCTGCCTCTTCTTACACTTTTTGTGTTAAAATCTATTTTGTCTGATATTGGTGTAGCTATTCCTACTCTTTTCTGGTTTCCATTGCCGTGGGATATCTTTTTCCATCCCTTTATTTTCAGCCTACATGTATCTTTCTAGGCAAAGTGTGTTTTTGTAGGTAACAGATCATAGAGTCTTATTTTTCCATCTATTCAGCTACTCTACATCTTTTGATTGGAGAGTTTAATCCACCTACATACAATGTTATTATTGACACATAAGGACTTATTCCTCCCATTTTGGTATTGGTTTCTGGTTGTTTTGTGTCCTCCTCTTCCTTTTTTCCTTCCTTCATGTCTTCCTTTTAGCAAAGGTGATTTTCTCTGCTGGTATAATTTAATTTCTTGATTTTTGTTTTTTGTGTATCTGTTGTATGTTTTTAAATTTGAGATTACGATGAGGCCTGCAAACACTATCTTATAACCCATTATTTTAAACTGATGACAACTTAACACTGATTGCATAAACAAAGAAACCAGCATGCAGGAAAATTAATAAGAAATCCACACTTTAACTTTGTCTCTCCATTGTTTCTCTTTATGTCTTATTGTTCTATATATTTGAAAGTTGTTGTAGTTATTATTTTTGATTCGTTCATCATTTAGTCTTTCTACTTAAGTGAAGAGTAGTTCACACACCACCAATTACCATGTTATACTATTCTGTGTTTTTCTGTGCATTTACTATCACCAGTGAGTTTTGTACCTTCAGGTAATTTCTTCTTGCTCATCAATGTCCTTTTCCCTCAGATTGAGGAACTCCCTTTAACATTTATTATAGGGTAGGGCTGGTGTTGATGAAATCCTTTACCTTTTATTTGTCTGCGAAGGTCTTCATTTCTCCGTCATGCTTCATACATGCTTAGAATAGTATATCTGGTTAAAATTATATATATATATATATATATATATATATATAAAAATATATATAAATATAAATATATATATGAATATAAATATATATAAATATAAATATATATAAATATATATATAAATATAAATATATATAAATATATATAAATATATATAAAATATATATAAATATATATATAAATATAAATATATATAAATATATATAAATATATATAAAATATATATAAATATAAATATATATATAAATATAAATATATATAAATATATATAAAAATATAAATATATAAATATATAAATATATAAATATAAATATATAAATATATAAATATAAATATATAAATATATAAATATAAATATATAAATATATATAAATATAAGTATATAAATATAAATAAACATAAATATAAATATAAATAAATATAAATATATAAACTTAAATATATATTTATATAAATATAAATATAAACATAAATATCAATATATAAATATAAATAAATATAAATATATAAACATAAATATATATTTATATAAATATAAATAAATATAAATATATAAACATAAATATATATTTATATAAATATAAATATAAATATAAATAAATATAAATATATATAAATATATTAAAAATATAAATATATATAAATATATTAAAAATATAAATATATAAATGTATATAAATATGTTATACATATAAATATGTAAATATATATAAATATATTAAAAATATATATAAATATATTATACATATAAATATATAAATATATATAAATATATTATACATATAAATATATAAATATATATAAATATATTATACATATAAATATATAAATATATATAAATATGTTAAAAATATAAATATATAAATATATTAAAATATGTTAAAAATATAAATATATATAAATATATTAAAAATATAAATATATAAATATATAATTTTAACCAGATATACTATTCTACGGTAAAAGGTTTTTTTTCTTCAGCACTTTAAATATGTCATTTCAAATGTCTCCTGGCTTGTGTGGTTTCCACTGAAAAGTCTGCTGCCATATATATTGAAGATCCATTATATGTTATTTGCTTCTTTTCTCTTATTGTTTTTAGGATCCTTTTATCCTTTACTTTTGGGAGTTTAATTATTAAATTCCTGAGGTAGACATCTTTGGGTTAAGTGTGCTGGGTGTTCTATAACCTTCTTGTACTTGAATGCTGATATTTTCCTCTAGGTTTTGGAGGTTCTCTGATATTATCCCTTTGAATAAACTTTCTCTCCATATCTCTTTGTCTACCTCCTCTTTAAGGCCAATAACTTTTTTTTTTTTTTGATACGTTGTTTTGCTCTTGTTGCCCAGCTAGAGTGCGATGGTGCAATCTTGCCTTACTGCAATCTCCGCCTCCCGGGTTCAGGTGATCCCCCTGCCTCAGCCTCCTCAGTAGCTGACATTACAGGTGCCCACCACCATGCCCGGCTAATTTTTGTATTTTTAGTAGAGACGGGGTTTCACCATGTTGGCCAGGCTGGTCTCAAACTGCTGACCTTAGGTGATCCACCCTCCTTGGCCTCCCAATGTGCTGGGATTACAGGTGTGAGCCTTCATGCCCGGCCTAAGGTCAATAACTCTTATATTTGCCCTTTCCAGGCTTTTTTCTCTAGATCCTGTAGGTGTGCTTCTTTGTTTTTTTCTTTTGTCTCATCGGATTGTGTATTTTCAAATAGCCTGTCTTCAAGCTCACCAGTTCTTTCTTCTGCTTGATCAGTCCTGCTATTAAAAGATTCTGATGCATTCTTCAGCATGCCAATTTTATTTTCATCTCTAGAAATTCTGCTTCATTTTAAAAAATTATTTCAATTTCTTTGTTAAATTTATCTGATAGAATTCTGAATTCCTTATCTGTGTTATATTTAATTTCTTTGAGTTTCCTCTAAACAGCTATTTTGAGTTCTCTGTCTGAAAGGTCACATATTTCTGTTTCTTCAGGATTGGTCCCTGGTGTCTTATTTAGTTTATTTGGTGAGGTCATGTTTTCCTGGATGGTGTTAATGCTTGTAAATGTTTGTAAGTGTCTGGGCAATGAAGATTAAGTATTTATTGTAATCTTCACAGTCTGGGCTTTTTTTGTGTCTGTCTTGGGAAGGCTTTCTAGGTATTCAAAGGGTCCTGGGCCCCAAGCTCAATGGCACTGTGGTTTGTGCAGACTTACAGAGGTACTGCTTTGGTGGTCTTGGATAAGATCCAGATGTATGGCTGGGTGCGGTGGCTCACGCCTGTAATCTCAGCCCTTTGGGAGGCTGAGGTGGGCAGATCACGATGTCAGGAGATCGAGACCATCCTGGCTAACACGGTGAAACCCCGCCTCTACTAAAAATACAAAAAATTAGCCGGGCATGGTGGCGGGCTCCTGTAGTCCCAGCTACTCGGGAGGCTGAGGCAGGAGAATGGCGTGAACCCGGGAGGCGGAGCTTGCAGTGAGCCGAGATCGCGCCACTGCACTCCAGCCTGGGCAACAGAGAGAGACTCCGTCTCAAAAAAAAAAAAAATTAGCTGGGCGTGGTGGTGTGCACCTGTAGTCCCAGCTACTCAGGAGGCTGAGGCAGGAGAATCGCTTGAACCAGAGAGTCAGAGGTTGCAGTGAGCCAAGATTGCGCCACTGCACTCCAGCTTGGTGACAGAGTGAGATTCCGTCAAAAAAAAAACAAAAAACAAAAAACAGAAGTATTCTCTGGATTACTGGGCAGAGACTCGTTCCTTTTCCTTACTTTATCCCAAACAAATGGTGTCTTTCTCTCTGTGCTGAGCTCCCTAGAATTGAGAGTGTGGTGCTGCAAGCACCCCTATGGCCATCACCACTGGGATTGCAATGGGTCAGATCTGAAGCCAGCAGAGCACTGGGCCTCATCCAAGGCCCTTCCCTTTAGTGCAGTGAGTTCCCCAAGGACCTAGGCATGTCCAGAGATGCTATTTGGGAGCCAGAGATTGGAGTCAAAAACCTTAGCAGTTCACCTGATGTTCTATTCTACTGTTTCATCCATTGGGATGGGCGATTCCCCTCTGGCTATGGGTAGTCCAAATGCTCCCTCCATTCACAGTCACTGGCTAAGCCCAACATGGCTTTATTCTTCATGGTGACAGGGCAGCGCTGAGTTCAATGTAAAGTCCCCAAGTCACTGCACTCGCCCTCTGGGAGATGGGGGAGTGGTGGCATAGGCAAATCGAGATTACCTTTTCTGCCCTCCTCAATACCTCTTTTGGTGATATTAAGTTACCACCAGGTACTGTGATTGTCCACCTGATTTTTGGTTCTTGTGACAGTGCTTCTCTGTGTGCAGATAGTAGTTAAAATTTCATGTTTCAGCATTGGGGAGGAATGGTGTAGGCTTCTATTCTGTCATCTTGCTCTGCCATCCTTGATTGTTTCTAATTCAGTCTAACAGCCAATCAACAACTATTTAAATCCATTAAACCAGTAATAAATTTAGACTTTGCTTGTCTGAGGCTAGCCTCAGCCTCTCAGTTGTCCTCATTGAGCATGTAATAAATAGTTCCAGTGAAGAACTCTGGGAGGAAGGAGTACAACTATTTGTATTGAAGTCTTCAGTATGTATTTCTGGGGATTTTTCAAGAGTTGATGTTTGCAAGAAAATCAACTTTGAGTAATATAGAATAATAATCTCTTTCATTTTAGTAAATCTCTACAGAGAACATTGACACATACTGGTGGATTTGATTTCTACAACAACTTTGCGAGGAAAGTAGATGTTACTATTTCTATTTTCCAAATGAAGAAACTTAATGAACTTTGTCAACAGAGATGTAAATAACGAAGACCACAACTCAGTCTTAGGTCCGAGTGTGTGTGTGTGTGTGTGTGTGTGTGTGTGTGTGGTTTACTGCTCTGTTAGAATTATGATTGTTAGTGTTGATATGAGGGTTTTTTCCCCCAGTGAGATGGATTAATTAATGGCATTGCTAATTTATATCTCCTTATAGTTTCACAGTATACTCTCATGTCCAGAATGTTCTCTCCCTTTTCTCCTAGGCTTATCTCCTCCATGAAAAACTCTGATATTTTCTATGGATATCTTCTCTCTCAGAACTTCTAGAGCACTTCTAGTTTATTCTCTAAAATACAGCACTTATTTCTCTTATATTTTGTTTATAGTGAACTGTTAGAATGAAATAGAAACTGCTCTCATTGTACGAGTGGCTTTAAACATCGCTATCTCTTGACCTCTCCTTTTATTCCCATGGACTTTTCTAATGGCCTGCTTAGACTTATCCCTCCTCCAAGAAAGTGTCAGATTTATATTTCTTTTAGTTTTCTTGTCTGCCAGTTGGAGATAATAATTACTATTTCAAAGGACTGTGAGGATTGAATGATAATTACTTCAGAAGTGCCTGGCATTGTTTCTGGTACACAATAAATGGTAGCTTTTGTGTATAAGACAGATATTAAAGTGTTAAAGAGAATGAGAAAAAGGAAAGATAGAGTTGTAAGTATCTCTTAGCCTTCTTAGTAATTCCCCTTGGCTTTAGGCATGCCTCAAGTTTCACCATTTCTTCCATGAACATCTGTGCTTTGATTACATAAACATTCTTGTTTCCCAGATTAGTCTATCCATAATAACATCTGTGAAAAGATGAGGTATGTGTGCAAGCATAATATCTATAAAGAGAAGTTAAAATCACTTCTGCATACATATTGTTTGCAGGTATCCATGTCATTAAGTACTAATTAATGCTGCCTTTTGCATGTGTGCTGAATGGAAGATACAAAGAAATTTGGTGAATTACCCATTAACCACATTCAACAGAGAGAGAGGTAGAGTTTTTTCCCTACTTATAATTATGAACTTATAGACACTATCTCCCGATTGCCCTTTGAAAAGTCCTCCAATATATAATTACTAATATAAATATAGTCACGTGGCCTAAAAAACCCTCTATAACACTTTTAAATGCTTCCTACATTTCCAATTGTACCTCTTTCTATAGGAGATACTAAAAAACTGCTTCATCCCTGGCAAAATCTCCAGTGTTGAGTCCTCTCTTTTATTGTAAATATTACCATTGAAAAAGTTTTGCATCATCTAGTGATGATCTAAACTTATGTGCACATTAAAATGAAGGGTGGAAAAACCTGTTCATATACAAAAGAAGAAACCCCTGCAATTTTGACCAATTTTAGAACCAAATAAAACTATGTATTATTTTTGAGACCGTTTATCTTTTTTAACTTCTTTTTTTCTAGTGATGAGGTAAAAACAGAATACAGTTATCAGAAATAATAACTGCAGATTCAAGAAAGTTTCAGAGGTGATCCTATCTGTTTTCCTGCCCAAACTAGTGAATAAAATTGCACAACTAATAATTTAGGAACACTGCCTATGGAAGCCATAGTGAAGTCATAGTAAAAACATGAATTTTCAGCAATTGACATTTCATATAACAAATCATATTTTGACCTTTTGTATGCCAGTCATAAAAAGATACTTGTGGGAATGACCTGGTATTGTTGATGTATCTGAAATATTTTTTGTACTTTTATTGGGCTCTATCTTTGTTGCTGCTGGGAGAGTGAGAACTCTCTTTTTCACTTACATCCAATAGATAAAAGGGGGGGGACATTGATTGTCTTAAAGATTCTTATTATTATGAATAATAATCTTAAGCTCTCAAAGAACCAGAATTCTCAATTAAAGATTTTTCTATATTCAACTCTACCTGTCATGTGTAGCTTGCATGTACCAGTTGCCCATCCCACAAAAGAATGAAAAATGAGAATCCTGACAGATTTGGTGTTGGATTTTAGACTTTAATGCCTTTAGCCCTGCAATGGGCATTTTACTGGCATTTTGAAGATATTTCTTTTTAATCTGCAAAATAAAGATTTGAAGTGACTTGACAATGATAGTAAGATGATTAGTGGTGCACATTCACTATAAAAATACAATTTGACCATTGTAGAAAGTCTTTAAATGGTATTGATACTTGCCTTTCAGGAGTAACACTGAGATATTCAATGTACCCTACCTCCACTGGGAAGTGAAACTGGAAAATAATTTAAGTGTGTGTTTAGAATCTCTCCACCCCACTCCCCGTATCTATTTTTGGTGAACGTCCATCAATCAAAGGTCTTATACCTTCACATTGACACAACAGCACACACAGAATCTTCCACATCTTTGACACAGGGTAAACTCTTGGTAAATATTGGCTAATGGTAAGGATAAAGGTTTCTTTGGCCTAATTTTAGTCATATTCTCCCATGTGCAAGGCTACATTTGTCCAGAGTTCTACATTTAGGATTCCAAAATAAGTTAAACTTTGTATACTTCATGTCAAATCAGTCATCTGAGATTCATTTATTTTTTCTGACCATTGACACAGTATATAATGCAAACCACTTGTTCAGTCCCATTTAATTATGAAGTCAAATCACATGGTATACCCAAAATTTTCATCCCAGTGATTTTGTATTTCCAAAAAATCAAATCTGATAGACTTTTTTTGCAATGCAATGTATTGCTTAACCATTGACTGGTAAACATTCAATCCAGCCAGGAGTAAAGATACAGGCTTATGCAAATTAATAATAAGTGCCTTTTCATCTTACATTCTCCCAATTCCCTTCCTCTAGGGCAAGGAAAATAGTCATATCCTGGATATTTTCTTTCATGCTGCTGTTTACCTTCATGGTGTGTATATATGATACTCCTCCAGTAATTGCTCTGAAGTGGGCAAAATTAGCATGGAAAGAAACAAATGCTAAATACAGTATAAGTTGTTTAGGATTAGATATTGTAAAAATATAAACTATACATCCAGGAGAGATGTCATCAGGATGCCTGACTAGAGGTGCTCAACACTCATCTTCTTCACAAAGGAGGACCAGAACAATGAATAAATAAGTGCGATTCAAGTAGAGTGTCTATGGAAGAACACTGGAATTCAGCAAGGAAGGGACAAAATTTTCTGAAGCACAGAAACTTGGGATGTCAGCATACGAAGCAAAGCACCCAACTGGGATCAGCTCAGAACCAAGAGAGACTCCCCATTAGGATAAAAAAGTAAGCAGGAGATCTCCAGCAGCCCCCCGTTACTAATGCAGATGCCTGAAACCCTATCTACAAGAGAACCCCACAGTCCTTGCAGGCCCTGATCCCAGTAAAGGGAGTTGTCTAGAGTTAATGCAGCTGTATTGCTCCAGAGACAGAACTAATGCTGTGTTTCCCACTCCTTGGGACATAACTTGCAACAATATGGTGTCATTTTGAGAACAAAGTCATGCTGGAGTACATCCTGCCTTGAGGCCGAAGAGCCCCTGTATCTCCATATCCCTTGGTCCCACCTGTCATTCCACCATGCCAACACAAAAGGCTATAATGTCACAACCCCAGATAGACCCAAGAGTACAGTTATGACACCAACACTTGAGCCTACACAGTACCCTACACCTCAAAAAACAGGCAGTCCAGCACAGAGTATAGGCTTCTCCCCAAACCAAAGGAGCCAACATGTTTGTTCTCCAGGGCATGAGAACCACCTACTCAATGCCCTCTACCGCTGGTGACCTTGTACCCTTAACCAACAGAGCTGGTTATCTTATCTAACTTATATAGCTTATATAAACAGATCTAACCAGAGCTGCTGTACACTGTGCATGCAACCAGAGGCCAGGGGCTGACCCACCCAGTACAAGCTGCCCCTGGCAATGCTGTCTGTCTCTGTAACTAGTAGAGCTGCCACAACTGGTGCCCTACCCCCAAGTACTTCAGAACTGGCCTACACAGCAACCCCTATCCCCAGCAACCCCTATCCCCAGCAAAGCCATGCTACAGTCTTAAAAACTGCCCACAGCCCAGACTACTGAAGCACTAGCGGATACCACTGACATTAATTACAGATGAATAAATCACAACAAAGACTCCACTAGTGGGACTCACCCAGAATTAAAGCCAAAGCACCCTGCCCTACTCATACTTTAAGATACATATATAGGAAAAAGTACAATAATTATCCTGTAACAGACCTCAAAGCAAAGTAAATATATAAACTGCCTGAAAAGGAATTTAAAATAATAATCCTAAGGAAATATCAGTGAGACACAAGAGAATACAGGTATATTGATACAATTCAACTAATTTAGGAAAATAATTTATGGTCTGAATGAGATTGCATAGTTTGCAAAAATTGTCTCCCATTCTGTAGGTTGTCTGTTCACTCTGTTGGTAATTTCCTTCTTTGTGCAGAAGCTCTCTAATTTAATTAAACCTGTTTGTTGATTTTTGCTTTCATTGCAGTTGCTTTTGGCATTCTCATCATGAAATCTTTGCCTATTCCTGTGTCTAAGATGGTATTGCCTAGGTTGTCTTCCAGGGTTTTTATAGTTTTAGGTTTTACATTTAAGTCTTCAATCCACCTTGTGTCTATATTTGTATATGGTGAAAGGTAGGGGTCCAGTTTCAGTCTTCTGCATATGGATAGCCCATTATCCCAGCATCATTTGTTGAACAGGGAATCTTTTCCCCATTGCTTGTTTTTGTCAGGTTTGTCAAAGATCCGATAGTTGTAGGTGTGTGGCCTTATTTCTGCGTTCTCTGTTCTGTTCCATTGGTCTATGTGTCTGTTCTTGTACCCGTACCATCCTGTTTTGGTTGCTGTAGCTCTGTAGTATAGTTTGAAGTCAGTTAACATGATGCCTCCAGCTTTGTTCTTTTTGCTTAGGATTGCCTTGACTATTCAGTCTCTTTTTTGCTTCCATATGAATTTTAAAATACTTTCATCTAGTTCTGTGAAGAATGTCATTGGTAATTTAATAGAAATAGCACTGAATCTGTAAATTGCTTTGGGCAGTGTGATCATTTTAATGATATTGATTCTTCCTATCTATGAGCATGGAATGTTTCCCATTTGTTTGTGTCATCTCTGATTTCTTTGAGCAGTGTTTTGTAGCTATCATTATAGAAATATTTTACTTCTCTGGTTAGCTGTATTCCTAGGTATTGTATTCTTTTTGTGGCAATTGTGAATGGGATTGCATTCCTGATTTGGTTCTCAGCCTGTTTGTTGTTGGTGTATAGAAATGTTAGTGATTTTTGTACATTGATTTTGTATCCTGAGAATTTGATGAAGTGGTTTTTCAGGTCAAGAAGCCTTTGGGCTAAGGCTATGAGATTTTCTACATATAAGACCATGTCATCTGCAAACACGGATAGTTTGACTTCCTGTCTTCCTGTTTGGTGCTCTTTATTTCTTTCTCTTACCAGATTGCCCTGGCTAGGCTTTCCAACATCATGTTGAATAGTAGTGGTGACAGAGGGCATCCTTGTCTAGTGCCGGTTTTCAAGGGGAATGCCTCCAGCTTTTGCCCATTCAGTATGATGTTGGCTGTGGGTTTGTCATAGATGGCTCTTATTATTTTGAGGTATGTTCCCTTAATACCTAGTTTATTGATAGTTTTTAACATGAAGAGGTGTCGAATTTCATCAAAAGCCTTTTCTGCATCTATTGAGGTAATCATGTGGTTTTTCTCTTTAGTCCTGTTTATGCTGCTCTTTTCTTTCTACTTTCTTGAAGTAAGACCTTGGATTATTGATTTCAGATTTTCTCTTGATTCTAATATAAGCATTTAGTGCTATAATTTTCCATCCTAGTATTTCTTTAGCTACATCCCATCTATTGATATGTTGTATGTTTATTTATATTCTGTTCTTTGTATTTTTAATTCTTTTTCTTTCTAGTTTGATTCTACTATGACTAGATAACAGAATATGTAAGATTTCAATTATTTTTAATTTTAGACATTTGTACTATGGTGAAAGATATGGTCTGTCTCATTTTAAAGTATCCTTTACATACTTTAAAATTGTGTATTCTAAGGTTGGTGGAGTATTCTGTAGATTTCACTTAAAAAGATTGATTGATAATATTTTCAGTTTTCCTGTATAATTGCTGGTTATTTATCTAAAGTTATACACACACACACACACACACACACACACACACACACACACACACACAGAGCTGCTGAAAGAGGCTAGAGCAGTTTCAATCTACTTAAAAGAACTGGAACCACAGCCTGCCTAGACCCACCCTGTTGCACATGGAAGAAATGTCATGAATATCACATTTATATTTAAGGTAATCATTAATTGTATTATTTGTTGCTATTTATATGGTGGTAAATATACATAACATAATATTCATCATTTTAACTATTTATAAATGCACAATTCAGTGGCACTAAGTGTATTCACAATGTTGTGTATCCATCACTGCTATCTATACCACAAATTTTTAACCATCTCCAACATGAACTCTGCACCCATTAGATAATAACTTGTAATTTTCCATTCCCCCTCAGCCTCTTGTATCCTCTAGTCTACTTTTTGTCTGTGTACATTTGCCTATTCTGGGTACCTCATATAAGTGTAATCATACAATATTTGTCTTTATGTGTCTGGCTTACTTCACTTAGCATGATATTTTCAAGCTCCATCATGTTATAGCATATATAAAAATTTAATTGCTTTTTATAGCTGAAAAATATTCTATTGTGTATATGCATGTATATATATGTATGTTTTATATATATATGTATGTTTTATATATATGTTATATATATGTATATATATAAAACATTTTGGCTTTACATTCATCTGTTAATGGATTCTTGAATTGTTCCATCTTTTGGCTATTGTAAATAATGCTGCTATAGACATTGGTGCAGAAATATCTCCTTGAGTTTCTTTCCAGTTCTTTTGGACATATGCTTAGGAGTGGAATTACTGGGTCATATGGTAATTCTATGTTTAACTTTTTGAGAAACCACCAAATGGTTTTCCACAGTGGCTGCACAGTTTACATTCCCACCAACAATGCACAAAATTTTCAGTTTCTTCACATCCTTGCCAATATTTAATTTCTGGGCTTTTTCTTTAAATTATAACCAATCTAATGGGTATGAAGTAGTATCTCATTGTGGGTTTGATTTGCATTTCCCTAATGACTAATGATGTTGAACATCTTTTCATGTGCTTATTGGCCATTTTTATATCTTCTTTGGATAAATGTCTATCGAATTTCTTTGCCCATCTCTTGAATTGGGTTGTATTTTAATGTTTTTGTTCATCTGTAGGAGTATTTTTAAATATATCTGGATATTACCATTACCAGGTTTGCAAATATTTTCTCCCATTCTCTAATTGTCTTTTTGATTTCTTGATAGTGTTTATTGATGCACGGAAGTTCTTAATTTGTAGTTTTTCTTTTATTGCCTATTCTTTCAGTGCTATATCAGAGAAATTGTAGCAAATCCAATACCACTACAATGGCATATTATTCAGTAATAAAAGAAGAATGAAGCAAATTCATAGATAAACCTTAAAATATTATGCTAATGTATTATGTTCACAGAGTTATGCAACCATCACCAGAATCAATTTTGGAATACTTTCATTACCTCAAAAAGAAATCCATACCCATTAGTAAATCTTCTAAGGTCTCTTCTGGGCCAAGTATACAGTTTTGCTCATGTGTTTGACCTTCTAAATGTTTAAAGCTTTTCAAAGCCCTCTATGGCCATCTCATTACCCAGTTTTTCCTTTTTACGTTTTTCAGTCAGCCTCTTATCAATTCCCATTGATGGTGTCACCCGAGGCATCTGTGAAGTCAAACAATTGACACTGATCGTTTTTGACTAATTCTCTGTGAATAAAACTGTTCACCTGGTCATAGAAATCATGCCCTGAGAATGTAGCTTTTCAATAAGCTTTCAGACAGGTCGAATAGAGACAATTTTCTGTGTATGAGGCTTCTGGATTGCTCTAAATCCATTCTGCTTCCTCCAATGGCTGCTAGGCTATAGGATTTTATACCACAGTAGTGAGGCTATTGGCTGTTAAGGATACCAGGGAGCTGGGGATTAGGGCCAATTAAAACACCACGAAGCTCATTGTTCTTACTGAAATTCAGCCACTTTTCTTGAATAAACATTCCTTGTATCGTTGCAAGCCTTTAGTTTGTTTCCAGAGTTCTGAAAAAGTTGACTTTGGCAGATTTTTGCCAATGTTCTCGTTGCTTTTATGGAAGAGTTGATTTTTGAAGTCCTTACTCCAACATTCCAGAAGTGCCCTCTTGGATGAATGATCTTAAACACTTTAGTTCAACATAGAATAAATGTGTGTTTGTGTGCATGTGTGTGTGTGTGTCTCTGTGTGCATGTGCGTCCATCTGCCTGTTTATCTGTCTGCCTATCTGTGTCTGTGTATTAATATTTCTCTCATATGTACACATTTTTTATTGTGTTCATCTACTTTGACTGTAAACCTTCTGTCTGTGTGTTGGTTCTTGAATATTTATTTCAAAGAAATGTTATTTTTACAACATTGTTCTTGTTCTCCTTTAAAGGTCAGCTACCTTTTTCCTTATATTTTCATCCATACATCTGTGTTTGGCTTTTATTAAGTAGCAGCAGTGCAATATTCCTGGTTTTATCTTTCTGGCTTAAGCATGTGAGCAAGACACAAAGGATAATAATACAACATACTTTAAGAGACAAAACAGGTTGCTATAATAATAGAAGATCTATTTAAATATATTTAGCATCTCTTTATGTAGAAACTAAAACAAATCCAATATTAATAGCATTAAGCATTTGGGGCATGTGTGTGAGAATATGTTTTCTGTTCAAAAATAAATTTTTATTATCCAAGTCCTTTAAATTTATTTTTTCCAATTTGCTTTGCTACCCTAGCTGGGATCATTATCCAAACCAAGCATCAAAATTCACAATTATATGAAAAATAAATATATACTAACTACATTTCCACGGGGAAAAAATTAGTTGGCAAAATTGGTACTAGCCTAAATATGACTATACCAACTTACCAATATAATCCGGTACTTCAATTATTTTGGCTATGCTAAATCAGGATGCCACAATTCCTCCTGGAATATTAAATAATCCTTTGCCAGCAGATTGTCCAACAGCCAGTCATACTTGCTCAGCACCTATCTTGACAAAATTGTGAAGCAGGCAAAGTTATGTCTTCAGCACCTGCCCATCCCCTAATTTAGTTCCTTTTGTTTCTTCTTTCATAATAAATGGACAAGCAGGCGACTCACCTCTTTACAAGGCTCTCCATGTGACCACAAAAATGTTTTAAGAATAGACTACCTTATTTAATGAAGGAGACAAAAACTGTAAGAGGAAGTACATCCCCAATTTGAAAAATCTTATCGTATGTCTTATTGTAAAACAGTGCCTCCTGATGCTTTCATGTCTCCTTCCTTCTTTCCTTCTCACTCTTCTTCTCTCTCTACATCTCTCTCTCCTTTATTCTTCCTTCTCCCCATTCTTTTCTTTCTTTCTCTACCCTGTTCTTCCCCCCTCTCATCCTTCTTTCCTTCCAGGCACATGTGAACCACTTCTTTTTACATTGGGTCTCTCAAATATGGAGTATTAATCACATAAGCACGTAAATAATGGCATGCTGTTCATCTGGGAATTTTTCCAAGTAATGGTGGTTAGCAAGCTGTGTAATGAGCTTCTTGTAACCCTTTCTCTTCCCTCACTCTGAAATTAAAGGTCAGGGATCTCTCACTAGAATATTACAATGCTAAACATACCAAAAGTATCTGAAAATGTTTAGTTACCAATAGGCAAGAAAAGTTTTCTAGTCCTTTCATTTTCATTTAAAAAATATCTCTTGGGAAACCTATTTCAGATCACGAAGTTTTACACAAATGTATAGCTAAAACAGTCACCTATCGATCCAAATACCTATTAACAGATAAACAACAGACAATGATTCACTCATTCACCCAGGATAAAGCCATGTCTGTGTACACACAAGGACAATGTAGTTAAAATGGGTGACTTTAGTTTGTTGCTAGAGATATGATTGAAGGAACACAGACACTTGAGTCAGACAGACATGAGCTTAAGTCTATTCTCTCTTATGTATTTGCTAGTTTTTTATGTAGAAAATGTGAATTTCCTATGTTACGTTGAGGTGATTGAGGAGAAGAAGATTAAATGAAATGATAAATGCAAAGTATCAAACACTGCCTGGCACATAGTAAGCACTCAGTGATTACTGCTGACTGCTGCTGACATTCAAGGAGTTTCCAGTGTCTCAAGTCCTGTAGATGCCCAAATGAGTCACTCCACACTTTGCAGATTCTTTCTGTAGTATCAGTTGCCCTTAGTGCCTTCTAGGAAGAGAAGAACATTAGTCCCCTTCAGCTCAACTGTGTATATAGATAGGATAAGGGACTTGGGCAAGAGGAAGCTAGTGCTAGTGACTTTCTCCCATGAACACTTTTCCTTTAAGTCTTTTTATCATCACCAAAATCTATTTGGTTTAGAGTTTCTGTCTTACTAAATGTTACCCTAGTGGCTTGAAAGGGTTAGTGCCATTTCCAAATTGAGTATATTCTGCCCTAAAAAAAATCTGAACACAAATCCCTACACATATGCATACATTAATTTCAGCCTGCTTTTCTTCCCCGCCCAAAGGCTCAGGCTGTCTGAAGAGTAAGCTTCTAGCTTCTCTTAGGCAATCTGTATTTTAAAAAATCACTGATCCTTCCATCAGAATTACTTCCTTTCATTTCAGAGAACAATCCTATCCTGTCAAAAATACACTGCAATAGAAATAAAGAGGAATAATAGCAGAGTATAATTTAATAGAAAGAAAGGAGGGTGAGGTAAACTATAGGCAAGAGGTATGCAAATGCTTAATGTGACACACAGAAGAAAGAAGCCATACGTAGGTATATGTGTGTTGTGTGTGTAGAGTAGTGTGTGTAAATGTGTATAGGAGCATGTTTGTATGTGTGTGGGGGCATATAATTTGTAAATTGGTATAGTGCATAGGAATGAAGCACTATGTATCTTGTTAAAGATACTGCTTTTTTGGTTCTTGAATAAGGAGGATGCTGGAAAACATCCACCATTATCTGTACTCTTGGTTTGCACAATCCTTCCTCCCTGCTATCCCCTGCCACCATGCAAAACTTTCATACTGCGTCATTAATTCTTCCAGCCTGGGGATAGTCCCCAAATTCTCTCATTACTGGGCTGCTTAGTGCCATCAAAATTTGGATTATTAAGGAGCTGCATGAGGCCTTGTTTCCTTATAATGAAAGCACAATGACCATCTAGATAGAGATTAATATCTCACTTGGGGTTATGTAATATTTTCTTTATTCCATTCTAGTTGCAGTCCCTCTTCCTAATTTTTCAAAATGCCACTGAAGCCCATTTCATGAAATTGCAAAGTAATCTGATGGTGATGAATCACTTTTAGAAGGAAAAAAATTTGCCGAAGCTATGGATTTGCATTCCCCATGTCATTTTAGTTAAAATGAGGAATGCTTGGAATTTATATATAAACAGCATTGTGTTTTGGCCTTATTTATTACAAAAGACACTTGAGAGAGCTGCTTGTTTCAATTATACTTTGCCATTGTGTGAAGAGAGAAAAAAAGTGTCTTCTTTTACTTACATATTTGCTATCAGTTTAGGACTTTTAAGGAATAGTTTGTTAAAATGGCTATTGAAAAATTTGGGGTCCTAATGTTTGTTCTCAGAGACAAATCTATGAATTTATTTTCTACCTGATAATTCATCAAATCTGGGCCTCTGTGAAAGGCAACCCAGTTGTTTTTAACATCAATGCTCTCCCTCACTATCTTCCCATCTTTCTTTTCTAATATAATTCTTCTGCCCCAAATCAAAATTAGAGGTTAAATTCTTCTTCCCCAGCACACATGGTCTTTTGCCCAACTCACTTCACACTACTCATCTTTGGTTCAAATCCCAACAACAGTCTTCTAATCTCCATCTGCAGTCCTTACCCCCATTTTCTCTTCCCTCTAATAGGTGCTAGAAAGACAAGTTCAGTTTTCTGTCTGATATCATGAAACCCCTACCATGAAATCACTGAATAATCTACTTACCTGAATGATTAATTCTGTGAAGTTTGATTCTTTAATATAACAACAGATAAGAATCTTATTAATTTGATATTTTCGGGATCACAGAAAGTTTCACTAGTTTTTTTCTTTAGAAACATTGTTTGCCTTCTATGGAATGGGTGAGTCCATGGATTTTTCACCATTGCTGAATCAAGCCATGAAGTTTTCCCTTTATTAATAAGTATTTATTGAGCCCTTAGTATGCCATTTATCCAATGAATAATAAGGAGTGGGAGAGTGGATTGAGACAAAGGATGCAAACAGTGTGGACCCTGCTCATAAAGACAAGGATAAGCTCTTGCCTTCGTTTGAAGGAATTGTATTATTGATTTGATAATCTTCCCAGGACCTAGAGAGGTGCTAATAGTTAGAGTTCAGGGTTCTAATTCTGGTTTGCTAGTAATCAAGTATTTGATTTAGGCAAAGTCTCTTTATAACTCTTTAGGTTCCTGTTTATGTGAAAACAGGGGATTGGGCTAGATACACTTCTCTCTCTCTGTCTGTCTCTCTGTCTCTCTCTCTCTCCCACACACACACACACACACACACACACACACATGCACGCATACACTTGTGCCCACGTGGAAGACATATAAAGCAAGTAGTCAGCAGTGAGAATAATGAGTCAAAGAAAGCTCCTTCTAGGAGGTAAGATTTAAATTTTATTTCATCACTTATGTGTACAGAGTAATGGTTCTGCTGAGTAATGTTATCTTACCTTAAGTTTCAGTTTAAACTAAACATATGATGAAATTACTTTCAACACGATCTTAGTATCTGTCCTCCCACTTTGGTTTTGCATACAGAAAGTAATTTTGGATGTTTGATATTCTAGTACTTGGCATATCCTACTCATTATAGATTAAGTATTTCTGGCTTCTGCCAGATGCCATTTATAACCTTTTGCCAAAACTTGTTTACATACTCAAAATTTGACTATCCACTCCTTGAAGGCAGAGACTTCAAAATCTTCTATTTATTTATAGTGCCTAGCACAATGCCAGGCACATAATATTCTCTCATAATCTTCTGACAAAGATGTCTTTGGGAAATTATATTGAGAGATGACACCAATGTTTGGGCATTCCTATTTGAATTTTGTAAACATTATAAATTGGACCAACAGAATATGATATGGCAATAAAATCACATCAGCTTCAATTTATCAAGTTCTTACTATGTGCCAGGCATTTTACATATGTTATCTCATTTAATTCTTATAACAACACTATAAGATAAATGCTATTATTCTCACTTACTTAGGGGGAAACTGAGGCACAGAGTGGTTAAATAGTTTCCATAAGGTCATATAGCTAATAAGCACAATAAGTCTTCACTTAATGTCATCAATAGGTTCTTGGAAACTGTGACTTTAAGTGAAACAACATAGAATGAAACCAATTTTACCATAGGCTAATCCTAAACAAGAATTTCAACAGCATATTTCTGGTCACAAAAACATCATCAAACTTCTAAATGAATACAAAAACACTTCTAATATTAAACGTTGAAATAAATGCGAGCTATACATACATTTAAGAAACATTAGTAAAAACAAGTAAAATAATTATTAACCCCAAAATCCAAAATTCCTTTCTGTATATAAAACCAAAGTGGGAGGACAGATACTAAGATCGTGTTGAAAATGATTTAATCACAAATGTTAGTTTAAACTGAAACTTAAGGTAAGGTAAAATTTCTCAACATGACACTTATTCCAGAGTCATGGGTAACTGGAGCCTATCCTGGCAGCTCAGGGCACAAAGCAGGGACCAGCCCTGGACAAGACATGATTGCATCATATGGCACACTCACACACTCATACACTAACTCAGACTAAGACAATTTAGACACCCCAGTTAACCTAATGTGCACATCTTTGGGATATGGGGGAAAATCAGAGTACCCAGAGAAAACCCACACAGACATGGGGAGAATGTGTAAACTCCACATAGACAGTGGTCCTGACCGGAAATTGATTATTTTTCCTCATCAACATCATAAAACAATTTTGAACAAAACAACATTATTTGAAGACCTTCTGTAATGAAGCTTGGAATTGAAAACCTGTCTAGCTAGAAACCCTTTAACCACTATTGTATTGACTACTTGGCATTAAAGCAAAATCATTTTCTGTGAACTAATCCATAGTCTAATTCCACAGTCTTCAGTTCCCCTCTCATCTAGAAAGAAGACAACATAGCATTTGCTTCCTTTTCCATCTTCGACCTTGAAAGATATCTATGTTTTTCCTCTTTGAAATTGACTCTAAGAAAAGTCTTCTTTCCTGAGAAAGTGAAGTGAACTTAGTATCAAGAATCTCTTTGAATGGAGAAGACGCATTCTCATTTTGTACTATCAAGTCATAGAAATGTGTAATTTTAGATTTTGAGAGCCAGATCCTTTAATAATAGATTATTAGAAACTATTGTTGATTTATTTTCCTCTGTTATTATTTAAAGACAGACTTGCTTTTACCTTAAAGGCATTGAAATAAATGTACTAGGATGTTAATATTCTTCTCAAATTTCAACTTTGTATAGAAACAGACCCTGGATTTGTTGGCAGCTAATCAATTCATTCTGGTTAGGACTGCTTCACTTACCCCTGAATTTTAACCTGAATCTGAATACTCAGGAAGCAAATTTAAGGACTAAGAAAATAATAATTTTCCCACTTGGTAGATTGGTAGCCCAGCAAAGAAGGGGCTGTTAACATTTTAGAGTGGGAAAATTAACCTGACTTTTCTGTGCAAGGGGCTTTCTCTCTTTGTTCAAGGACAATAGGCCTTTATGCAAATACTTCTCTGTCTCACTCCAGTTTAAAAGTTCTTCTGGCTGCTTGTTAGCTGTCAGTAAGTATTGTTCTCTAGTTTTCCTATCTTTTAAGGGCATAAGATCCCTTGAGCAGGCTTGGCGGGCATACATTATCCCTGACATTATTGTTGCACGTATATCTTCTAAACCATCCCAATTGGCATATTCCAAGAATTCTCAAGGGATAGAGGTGACACCAGTGAAAGCAAGAACTGATGGTCCAAGTTGCCCAGTCAAGTGGTGATTTTGTTTCTTGAATGAGAAATCAGAACTCTGTAAGTCCCCTTCCATGGTATGGTTTATAGGAAGCTAACATTTGTGGAATTAGACCCCTTGGTGATACGACCTTTCAGAATACCTAATCTCAAATAATTTCAACCTTTTTTTTTTTTGGCTGCTTTTCATTGTTAAGACATATTCAGTCAAAATATTTTTGGAAAACATATGTTTTTAGCATAAATGAATATTATATTGACTCAAATTGGTTGGAAATCACAAGTTAAAACTGCTCTGTCTTCTGTAGCTAATAATTCTTGGCACTGGGATTATGTTTCAGGATGGCAGAACAGTCTGCATGAGTGCTCTGATTGGTTATAGAATATTAATTGGCTGCTGAGGTAGTGTTTAGAGCTCCAATTTAAGGTTGACAAGAATGATAGCTTTCATTTGTATGCAAAAACTTCAACTGTCCCTTCAAGAAAGATGATCACATCCTACTTCATCTGTCACTCTTTCTTTACTTTTTAATAGAGGAAAAAGAAAGGAGAATGAAAGAACCTTTATCAAACATGATTTTCAAGATTGCCTTGATGCAAATGAAGTGTCTCAATGATCTTGTTGCTTCACTAAAGCATACTTATTTACTCTTTGTTGGTACCTTAGTCCATTTTCTGTTGCTATAACCGAATATCTGAGACTGGGTAATTAAAAAAGAAAAGACATTTATTTCTTACATTTCTGGAGGCTGGTAAGCCCAAGGTCTAGAGGCCACATCTGGCGCGGGCCTTTTTGTTGATGAGGAAACAAGGTGGTGCAGGGCATCCCATGACTAGGGAGCTCACAAAAGACAGCCAAACCCATTTTTTTTAACAGACCCACTATCACGATAACTAATTCACTGTCTTAAGCCATTAATCCATAAATGGATTAATTTATTCATGATAGCAGAGCCCTCATAACCCAATCTTCTCCCAAAGGTCTCACCTCTCAACACTACTGTATTGGGGACTGAGTTCCTAACACATGAACTTTTGTGGGACACATTCAATACCATAGCAATCAGATTAAGAAGTACATGAACTGGAATAAGGTGAAGCTTTCATTCACTGAAAAATATCAACTACAGGGTATTGTCTCTGAGATTTTCAAACTTTAACAGTGATTTGTTTGGCATTCTGTGAGACATTTCTTATTAGCCAAAGATAAATAACAATCTGATTTGAGGTACTAGCAAAATGAAGTACTGACTTCCATCATCTCCATCATGCCACTCAATTGCTTATACAAAGTTGCTCAGGGAAGACCTGGTTCTATGTGAAAGCAGAGACCAACTGTCAGCTTAAGGAAATATATATAATGGACCCTGAAAGAATACCATATTCCAACATAATTCACTGTGATTTTGGATTAGATTCTACTACATATAACAGAAAACCCTGCTTATAGTTGTTCAAACATACACGTATTGATTCTCTCAAGCAAAAAGAAACAGAAATTAGGCAGTCCAGGGTTGGTATAGTGACTTCAAGAAGTCATCAGGGATCTACACTTTTACTTTCTTACTGCTCCTCTATTGTTTGCATCTGATTTCCATCCCAAATTTACGAGATGGCCTATGGAGCTCTAGACATAAAGTCTGTACTCTATGGAACGGATTAAAGACATGTGGTAAGTGTCACCTTGGAAACAGGAACCAGGAGGAAATAGAACATAGGGCAGGGGGCATTGTAATAGGGAAAATAACATGGAAAGAAAAATATAGAGCAAGTCCTCAAACTCGCCTTATCATCAGAACTAGCTGTGGGAGGGCTTATTAAAAACACAGATTTCTACTCTCCATTCCAGATCCACTGGATTATATTGTCTAGTAGCGGTACCTAGAAATGAGAATTTCAACTAGCCTTCTAGGTAATTCTGGTAATAAGGCAATGTATTATCTAGAGTGATGATAGCAGCTGTAGTAAGCAAACCGAAAGATGTAGAATGGTTGAGATATGACAGAAATTTATTTTTTCTCATACAAAACGCTAGCACGTGTTCCTAATTTAAGGATCTGGGTTCCTTCATTCTTAAAGTTTCATCATCTTTAGCATATATCTTCCAAGGTCACCATTATCACCTGTATCAAGCTGGTGGAAGAGAAAATGGTATGAAACATCTTGTGTGGAAGATTTTTATGGGTCAAGCCTGAAAGGGGTGCATATCATTTCCACTTACATTGCACTGACTAAAACTCAGACTTATGATCACACCTAACTGCAAGGGAGGCTGGCAAATGTGTAGTATAGGTATGTGCTCAGAAAGAAAGGAGACAAGTTTTACTGAAAAGCCAGCAGTTTCTGTATAGTAAAGTTTGGGAACAGGGCTGGCCTCAGGGCATGTGACCTATGCAGCTACACAGGTTCCTGAACTTAGAAGGGCCTCAAGTTTGGTTGAATGCCCTGATGTTACTCTCTTAAATTTCTTAATAATTTTTGAACAAGGGGCCATGTTTTTCATTTTGCACTGGACCCTACAAACTGGACCCTATTTAACTGGTACAGCTTAGGAAAGAATGACCCAGAGTGTGAGGCAGAGCCAGAGGAATATGGCACAGTTCAGGACTTTGGGCAGCCAGCAGGTACTGTACTTCAGAAGTGTTCATTAATGAACCAATGTTCTTGGCCACCAGAGAGCCTTCTCTCAGAGTGCTATCCTGTTCTGCATTTTTTATCTGTGACTTAGATGACATATAAATGATATTTATCACATTTTCAGATGAGAGGAAGTTGGGAGGGACAGTTAATACTTTGGAGCACATATTTCTTTTCAAAAATATCTCAGTAGTTTGGAATGATGGGTTGAAACTAACCAGATTACATTTAATAGGAAAAAAATGTAAAGCTTTTCATTCAGGTCCAAAACTCCAACTGCAAAAGCACAGTCTTAGAATTTTATTTGGCTGAGAGCACAAGCAGTGGGACTAGATTGCCAAAAATTCTAATTTAGTCTTAGTCTGCATCACAGAAAGGTAGGGTCCAGAACAATAGAAGTATTGGTTTAATTGCACTTTAGATGACATCAGAAATTATGTGTTCAGTTTATTGTACCATATCTAAGAAACCCATTGATAGATTAGATTGTGTCCAAAAAAGATTGTCTAGGATGGAAAAGGGTTTTGGAAAACATGTCACCTGAAAGACAGTGGGCAATTGAGGAAACTAAGTGTTTAGCCTGAAAGGGGAAGAGCTTTTAGAAGGGAAGGGGGTGAAAGAGATCAAGAAATCTGTCTGCAAATGTTTTAAGCATTGGTATATAGAAGGTGTATTGGGTTTATTCTGTGTTGTTCCAGAGACCAGAAATAGGACCAAGAGGTATAACATACAAAGAAACAAACTACAGCTGAACATAAAGAAGAAATTTTAATAAAGTTATTCCAAAATTGAAATGATTGATGTCAAGAGGCAGTGAGCCTATTGCAGAAAAGTTATCAAGCAAAGACTGAATACTGGGAACTGTGGAGGGAACTCATGTATTAGGTAGGAAGACTAGAGTCTTTGTAATTATGACTGTCTAAGACTAAGTACTATTGAAATGATGCAAATTGATCAGGATCTTGTTAGTCTTATATTTTAAAAGGACTATGAAGCCAGACTGCCTAAATTCAAACTTCAGCTTTGTTTCTTATTACCTATGTAATCTTGGGTAGGTCACCTAATTTCTTAATGCCTCAGTTTTTTCCTATAAAATGGAGATAATAATAGTATATACCCCATACATAAAGTTATTGAAAGCATTAAATGAATTAATACTGGTGAAGTCCTTATAGTAAGCATTTTGTAAATGTTATATATTATTATTTTCCAGAAATATAGTTGGTGATAATTCTTCTATCTCTTCTTCAATGAATGTAGCCTTTAGTACAATTAGATTAATTTACACTAGACATAAAATAGAATGCTATGGTGACAAAATCCTTTAAAACACCAAAACAAACAAACAAAAAACTGAAGTGGTCCTGTAGATATTCTTCACAGGCACCCTGAGAATGGCATAAGATAGCTATATCTCTGGGATGCAATGTTGGAAGTTGTGACTTTAGGAGGACATTTCCAGCTTTCCAGCTTATATATTTAGAGATTTTATAAAAACCTCATAGGGCTTTTTATATTTCTTAGGTCACTTGATCCTCATATTAACTATAAAACTACACAGGGCAGTTACCATATCCATTTTGAAGTTGAGGAACCTAAGCAATAGAAAAGTTAGAAAAGGTAACAGAATTGTTCAAGGTTACACTATAAATTTTTAGTGGAGCCAGGATCAGAACCCATGTATCTTAAGTTCTAGCTCAGAGCTCAGAGATAAACCAAATGGGTAGTAAGTTGCTTTTAGACTATCTAGTCTGTGGAAGAAATTTCATAAGGCTGATGAAGTGGCTTCTATTATTTTGCCAGTAACTTGCCTGTTTGCTTTGCAGCAAAATTGACATCAGCCTGAAAACCCAGCCACCCAGCTTAATTTCCTTTTTGGCTTTGCATAGGTTAGGGGGAGTCAATAAAATCAGTGACTTATGCTGAGTGTATTATCCACACAGACACTATGGAAATATACTTGCCAGCTCAATCCATTTTTTATGCATTATTATAGATGATTTTGAAGCTTGTGGAGAATATGTGGTCCTCTTACCAAGGCAGAAGCTGGCTATGTGAGTTTTAGATCTGTATCTATTTGTACAAGTACTGTGATAGCACGTGGTATTGCAGAATCGAATTTTTGAAGTGAGTGAGTCTTGCTTTGGTGATCCTGATGCTCTGTATCTCTATCTACCCTACTCTCACTTCTTCCCTTCGGTACCTGGCCCTTGTCCTTTCAACCTTCCTCTCATTGGTGTACCTATTAGGTTGGTGCGAAAGTTATTGTGAAATTACTTTTGCACCAACCTAAATATTTACAGCCATTCATTTACTGTGGGGTAATTAATTGGGTTCCATCCCTAGGAGAATATACAGCTCGATGTTCTCTTTAATTGGCAAATCAATGTTTGCTACCATTTATTGAGAACTAAACTATGTACCAGGCCTCTGCCTAGCACTTTAGAAGCATGATCTTATTTGATCCTCATAATAATCCTAAAAAATGGGTACTATTATTATCCACAGTTATGCATCAAGGAAATGGAGTCCCAGAGGAGCTTAGGAATCATGACCAAGGTCACAAAGTAAGTGCTAGAGCCAGAACTAAGACTCAGGTGTTAACACAGAACCTATGCTTTCAACTACAACATCTTAGAGTTCTGTGATCTAGATAGTGGGTGGCAGATGTTTTTGAAAGTTGAGAAAGGCTTTTCCTATAAAATAATAAACATAAGCAACCATTTGCTCTGAATTAGACTGAGATCAGCCTGATGCTAATGAACATCACAGACATTTCCAAGGTCTAGATACACATAAGACAGGTGGGGATGAGGAGCTTCTGCTGTCCCAGGAACTGAATTCTTTTCTCACGTACTATGCAGTGCCTTTTTTTTTTTTCTCCCAAGCTCTCTGAGATTAAATGGATATATGCTAGTGAGCACTGGCTGTCAGGCTGATGCTAAAGCACTAATGGGTCATTAGCCCATAGACAAAGATCCTAAAGGGTTGGGTTTTGGTCAGACAAGTAACTAGCCTTCATGTTAAAAGCATAGCAGTAGACACTGAGTCACCTAACACAGCAAGATCTATTTGCAGGGTTTTCCCTGATTTGTAACCTCAGGTAATAACCCCCACAAGAGTTTCCTGAAAAGCCTTTTGTTCTCTCACAAATGACCTGACCACTTTTTGACTAAAGATACTCTCAGAGAAAGTGCATATTTGCTGTAGAAACATCCAGTGGCACTAGATCAATTTGTCATAAGCTCAGAGCAGTTTTCACACCTGGGTTTCCATCTGTACTTGAATGTTCTGCAGAGGAAGTGTCAGTCCAGACTAGGGAATAATGGGATGAGGTTGGGGAAGTGAGGGGTGGGATGGAGGGGTGGTGGTGGTACAGACCCTTAGGTGAATTAGACTATACTTGGAAGCTGCTTCATTTAAACCAGTACAGAAAACACTATGGTGGAATTTGATTCCCCTGTCAAAGAATTAGCTTGCCTTATGGTATTTCAAAGACGTATTATTTAGAGGGTCAGGATATCCTTTGAACATCGAACCCAATTTCTTGACAAAGTTATATCAGGAGATGAATGATAATCACAGCTGACTAAATGCTTATTCTATCAGAGAAAATGGGGCCATCAAAGCTCCACAGTTAACTGGCAAGTTTACTCAAAAAGTTGATTCAAAAAGGCAAGTCACCCTTTTTCATGAGATTTGGATCCTACTTTGAAAAATTCCCAAGATTTCCTATCTCAGTTTCTGGAGACAACAATTCTTGCTTTCCTAGTCTCCGAGTTGGACTTAATGAGATAATCATGGGAAAGAGAAAGTGCTTTGTAAATTCAGTTAATTTTTTTCCTTTCTCAATTCTTCTGTATCCAGTAATCACATCTTGAAATCACCTAGCTTATATTTTTTCCTTGGAACTATGAGCAGTCATAATTGGCTCCATTTGAAAATCAATTTCAACATCATAGATCATCAGCTTATATTTGATTAATTAAATTAGTTCTCATCGGTGTTACGAAGACAGGGAACAAGCTTGGAAACCTCCCAGAGAGCTGCCATCATGTGGGAAATTAATCAAGATTTCTAAGAGCCAGGTCCTGACTTCAGTGATGGAAATGGAAAGTAAAACTACTTTATTTTCAGAGACTGCTCTAGTATGATTTAGTTCATTTGAAATATTATTACATATTCATCCTTGAATGATTCTGGGGGAAGATCTCAGCTTTAAAGCCAAACAGACATAGATTTGAATGATAGCTCTGCCATCTTTGCTAGCAAGGTAACCTTGGTCAAGTGACCTAACCCCTTTGGCCTTTAATTTCCTCAACCACAACAACAAAAAATGGAAATAGTGGTACTCATCTCATAGGAATGTTGTGAGGATTAAATGAGACTGGGAGACTACAGAATAGGAGTCAGGAAATTAGGATTTACATTTTGGTTCTGGCTCTTAGTAGCCAGAGGTTAGTCCTTAGGAGAGTAAATTAACCTGTCTGAACCTCAGTTTCCTCATCTGCAAAGTGGAAATAACACCCTGCACTTTATAGATTTTTGATGACCATGCATTTGGCTTGTTGTCATGTAAACAAATAGGTTACTCACAATCATGGAAAGTTCTCTGGTAATGTAAAGCTGACATGGAGGAGGATAAAGTGATAATGCCTTGTGATTTACACTTTATTTTCTACCTCAGATCCCAAACTAAGTAAGTCTTTATGTTAGAATGGTTCTCTTCTTTCTGAGCTCTAAATATCACATCACAAATAATGTTTACCAAACAAATATTCTGTGAATTAGAAAATTATCCCTGTCATGAAACTTTTGATTTTTTGAAAAATGCTTATTTAATATCCGGTTGTCATCCTCATTACGGACTGTTAGCACATCCAAACAACTGAACTTAAGTGATATTTTGCTTTTCCTTATTCTTTTGTATTGCAAAACATCATGTTAACAAGTTATGAATGCCTAATTAGTTTGAAAACCATAAGTAAATAAACCATTAGACTGAAAACAGAAGTATCAATACCTGCCCAATCTAGTCAAATAATTGCCTTTATGAACTTTGGTTTGAAATGCAAAGATTATGTTCAAAAACTGATTTGGCTGAAATGAGACCAGTAAAAAAGTTATTTTCATAAAAATACAATACAGACAATATGTTATTCCATATGACAGCCGCAATGTCATATTCTGCTTCTTTAAATTTTATCTATATTTTATTTGATTACTTCTTGTGGCATGGTAGTAGGCAGAATAATGCCCTCCACCCCAAAGATGTCCATAATCTAATCTGTTAGGAATATGGTAGGTTCTATAGCAAAGTCAAATTAAGGTTGTAAGTAGAATTATGGTTGCTAATCCCCTGACCTCAAAATAGGGAAATCATCATGGATTATCCAGGTAAGCTCAATGAAATCACAGGTTTCCTTAAAAATAGAAGAGGTAGGTAGAAAAGAAAGAATAATATAATGTCACAAGGATTCAACCTGCCCTTGCTGGCTTTGAAGATGAAAAATGGCCAAGCACCAATGAATGCAGACAGACTCTAGAAGGTAGAAAAGGAAAAGGAATTGATTTTCTCCCAGGGCCTCCAGAAAGGTATGCAGCCCTGCTGACACCTTAATTTTAATCCAGTGAGACCCACATTAGACTTCTCACTTCCCAAACAATAAGATAATAGTAAATATGTTGTTTTAAACTACTAAGTGTGTGATAGCTTACCAGCAGCAATAAAAGTTAAAACAGTCAATTACCACTTTTTGTCAGTTACTACAGCCATTTTATACCTCCGTTTCTTCTACTAGATTAAGCCTTTTGATCTGACTCTGTGTATTCTTCAAATTTATACTTTACTGCCCCCAACGAAGATATACACACTAGTTGGTAGAGTACCTTTCTGTAATAGAACTACAAACATTTGTTAACTGATTATAAGAATGAATTACACCAAGTAATCCAAAATCGAATTTTCATCCCATTCTTTGACCTGTGGAATTTTGTGGATACAGCTAAAGGAGGTATTCAGTCAATTAATCCCCAAAGCTCATCAGTTTAGTGAAGTGTTTAGGTTTCTTTCTTTCTTTCCTTTTTATTTATTTATTTATTTTTTTTGGTGATGCTTATATGGAGATATTTTGGATGTATTTTGAACACACACACAAAAAAACAGTCTTAAAAAAAAACACGGAAGAAATATGACAGTATAGAGTAGTGGCTATGACCTTGGACTCAAGGGTGAGATAGACTTTGGTTGAATCTTGGACCCAAAATGTATTTACCAGCAATGTGACTTTGGACAAATAATTTAAACTCATTGAGCCTCAGTTTTCTTATCTGTCAAATGTTGATAATAGTAGGACCTACTTTATACATTGTCATGAGGATTTAATGAGAGAATAAATGTAAAAGGGCTTGGCATGAAATCCCTGCTTAATCAATGTTAGCCATGGTGCAGTAGCAAGAATATTGAACTTTTAATTCAAGAAACTTGGGTTTGGGTCTTCTGTTTTATTATTAATTTGCAGTATGATATTGAGTACATTCCTCCTTTTCTGCCTTTCAGTTTCTTCATCTGTCAAAATAGCCAGATGAATTAGATCTCTAAGGGTTTGTCTAGCTCTAAAATTATCCATCCTTGGGTATCATATTATATTTTTAGACATCACTATCTAGGCCAAATTTCTAGATCCTGACAGATCAGTCATCACAGAGCCAAATGATGATCTTTAAGCAAGGTAAAAATTCACCCATCTCCCATGTTTAACCTTTCATACTTATTTTAATACTAACTATATCCCAAGTTCTGTGTGAAACCTGGAAGTATACTATCTTGTGAAATTTCTTTGATAATAACTATATGTGGAATTTGTTTGACATCAACAATATAAGGGTCCAGGGAGTACTATTTTAGAGAGAGAAAGAAAAATCTTACTTGAGGGGAAAAAGGCAACAGTGAAGAAAAAGCAGGAACTGTGAAGAAAAAAAAAAAAACAAAACTACCATCATAACCACTGTTTAAGTTTCCATTTCCCCCAAGGTTGTTTTCTTTTCAAATTTGAAGAAGTTGCTTTATGTCTGGGCAGATTTGTGCTGAATAAACATTGTTCTCTCCAGAGAAGGGCCTTGTGTCAAATGGCATTGAGAAGAAATTGCCCTGCCTTATACTTAAGCTTTCCCAAAGCTCATGCACTGCTCAAAACTCAAATATTAGTGGAAATAAATGTGGGATCTAGAGAAAAGGGCAACTCAGGGCAACTTCACAGCAGCCCTGACCATTCACTACCCTCAGGGCACATCCACTGAATTGCAAGGCAGGACACAGGCTCTGAGCCAGTTGCTAGGGAGGCCCTAAGCTTTGCAGGGGCAATGGTCAGGTAAGTTGCCCAGCACTTTCCCAGCAGTTTAACCTCTATTTGGTAAAGGATCACTTATTTATTAAAGACAATAACTGACTTTAAGTTCTATGCTAATAAAAGGCAAATACTTCAATGGCTTTAAATAATGGAAGGGATATTTTTAGTGAAACTGGAATGTGTTTTAAAAGCAATGTAATCCTCTGAATATAAACTTTCATGTGTTTGACTCTCAGCAGTTCTCAATAATTTTATCTTCCAAATATACATGTGAGGAACATGAACCATTGTCATCAGTAACAGTGACTTAATGAAGCGAATTATTTTTAAAGGGTTGTAGTAGGTAGGGAGATGAGGGAGATACATGTAAAAGTATCTGAAGTTGGAGCCATCAGTGATTTGAAAACAAATTTTCAAATAATTCTGGGGATCACTGGTTCTGTTTTTTGTGGTGAGCCTATCACAAATGTTCTATTATAGCTGGGACACCTAGAGAATATATCTTCTCTCTAGATTGAGTTAATAAACAGTCCATGCTGATCTGTTTCCTCCTGTTACAAATAAGACAGACAATATTATAATTTTGGTAGAGAAAATGATTATAAAATATTAATTGCTACAGTGGTTAGTTGATGGAAGTAATAACAAGCTGAAATAAAAACAAAGCTTGATTATTAATGAACATTGATTTTTTAATTTAACATATGCCTGGGCTCTTTTCCTAAGATGTTATTATGAACTAGAAGATTCACTCATAGTAATGCTGGTTAGAATCTTGAGGAAAACAGCTTTACTTGTCTTCATCGGCTTCTGCAGAAGGCCACCCTGTTTGTTGGCTAACATCAATGTGAAGATAGTAAGTCAAGAAAGGGGCCCTGGTGCCCAATGTGTGCCTACAATGGACTAAAGTCTTTCATTCCACATTTAGAGACAATCCTTCAAAAGCAGCTAGCCTTATGAGAGAAGGTACAAGTGTCTTAAGTTCACATTAAGGTTTAAATGGCAGATGCTTTTTTGCAGCAGGTTTTGATCAGAGTCACAACTTTGTGTGCCTAAAAGCAGGATGGAGAAGAAATTTCTCTAAAATAGAGATCACAAAATTAGGAATATTAGGGCAAAGGAGATATATTGTAACCAAGGCTGGTCCTGCTTGAATTTACAGGTTTGGAACATTAAGGATGATATTGAATAATCATGATTTTTCTATACTTTTTCCTGGATAATCATCTAAATTACGGGACTCTCAGCCTGGTAATTCTAGAAATAAAATATTTTTATCGTATGGAGCTTTAGATTAAGTGGCCAGTAAATTGTGTACATCATAATACAGGATTAGGAAGACTATGTAGTTAATTGAGAAAGAGAGATTCCTTGCCTCAAGCAATTATCAGCTAATCACAATAAAAAAATGACAAGTATTCCAAAGAATAATAGCTCTTATGATGTGTTCAGAGCTCAGCAATTTCTGCATTCATTCTGTGTTCAATTTATGAAATCTTCAAACTAGTCAACTACTTAGGCTAAGCTTGGCAAATCTCCATTCATGATTACAGGAAATTTTTAAGGTATTAACAGGATCTCTGGCTCTCCGTAAATCTGATTTGCTAAGTAAGGACCTCCATTTTGTCTTCTCACATGAAAGCTATTCCCAAGTCTTTCTTCCCAAAATCCTCAATTCCCTCAGAACAATAGGCAGTCTGTAATACTTGTACATCTGCGCACTTTCGGACAAAGAGCCATAAGGCTGCTATTGCTCTCTTTTGGAATTAGCTCATGAGCTTAGGTGATTTGGAAGAGGAAAGAGCCCATGGAATGGTTGCTACCCATTGACAAAATCCAGTGACTATTTCAGAACTTGAGAAGTATTTGGCATAAAATATTATTGTTTTAATTAATAAAATTGTGTTTTATTAATGGATGTGTGTGATCAATGTCACTTCTTTGCACAACTTCAGGGCATCCCATTAATATTATATGCTCCCAGGAATGCCATTCACATGGAAACTGATGTAAGTGTGCCCCTGGAGTTGGGCAATGAGATGGTATTGCCTGTTACCTTTGGCCATCTAGTATTTATTTCTTTTTCTAACACAACCTAAGTTTTCTTTAGGACAGTGGTTATTAAGCAGGTACAATGTTATTGCCCTCATTACATTTTGCCAATATCTTGAGACATTTCTAGTTTCACAACTGGGGGAAGGTCCTACTGGCATCTTTGGGTAGAGGCCAGGGAAGCTGCTAAACATCCAACAATGCATGGGACAGTCACCTACAACAAAGAATTTGCTGTTAGTGAATGTTATCTCGCTGAGGTTGAAAAAAACTGCTTTTAGGAGATTCTTCTCTTCTTCATGATTTGCATATAATCTTTCCTAGGCCTGGAGCTCAAAACTTGTTCATTCAGCCTGTCATTCTGGGATTTTGAATCTTGATCAAAGTGAAACAAGGACAAAACATTTAACCAAGATACAACACAATAAAAGAAAACATATTAAAAAAAAACAACAAAACCAGTTCAATTCAATGAGGGGGTCAAGATGAAATTATTGTATAGTCTCTTTTGCTTGCATACCTAGACCTCGCCTGGTTTCTTTTCTGTTATTAAACCTAGTTCCCCAAACTTCCTGGCCATCCTTGAGATATACTTCTGATAAATTCCCTTTTGGCTTTAATTAGCAAAAGTTTGATTCTGTTCCTTGCAATCTAAGAATGCTATGGGAAGCACAGTTTTTTAGAGAAAGAATACCACCGGGAAGTTAATTTGGAGATTGTGTTTATTTGTTCCCCAATGTCACATACTATCTTCTTTGCTGAATTATATGAGACATGATCTTTATCCTCCAGGAGCTTAAAAATATAGTTAGGAAGACAAGACATACCCATGTAATGTGAGGTTTAATTTGTATTCAAAGTAGTACATGTCATGAACCAAATGGGTGGTTCAAAGGAGTAGTCAATGCTTTAGGATTTAAGAGAGGAGAAAGATTAGCTTGGACTGTTATTAAGGAAGGCTTTCTGGAGGATTCAAGACTTAAACAAGTTTTTGGAGGATAGCTAGGACTTGGGATGAAAAAAAGAAAGGGGGAGGTCTTAGAGTATTGTGGGCCTGGTGAAATCAGACAGAACTCAATTCAGGTCCCTTCTTTAGATTCAAGAAGAAGCTGCTTGACTTTGGGCAAGTTATTTGTAAAATGTAATATAAAATGTCTTGAAACAGCCTAGAACAGTAGATATTAAGTAAATCATAACTATGGTAGCTGTTTTTGTTTGTTACCAAACTTAGAGGAAGAGTTTAAGCCAAGATGCATAGTTGGAAATTAATGCGATGTGAATGAGGAAAGTAAGTTGTCTATAGCATCAATAAAATAGAAGATAGGTGGGTAAAAAGGCAGGAAAGGCTGGGCACCGTGGCTCACACCTGTAATCCCAGCACTTTGGAAGGCCGAGGCGGGTGGATTACCTGAGGTCGGGAGTTCGAGACCAGCCTGACCAACATGGAGAAACCCTGTCTCTACTAAAAATACAAAATTAGCCGGGCGTGGTGGTGCATGCCTGTAATCCCAGCTACTCCAGAGGCTGAGGCAGGAGAATCGCTTCAACCCAGGAGGCGGAGATTAAGGTGAGCTGAGATTCTGCCATTGCACTCCAGCCTGGGCAACAAGAGTGAAACTACATCTCAAAAAATAAATAAAATAATAAAATAAAATAAAATAAAATAAAATATAAAATAAATAAAATAAAATAATGACAGGAAAGTTATTAAGGCTAGACTATGACTGCCTTTATGTTCCCAGGTGACAAGTTCAGAGTTTATCCTCCTGTAAATGTAGGAAACATTGGTAGGTTTTGAATGGTTAAATGTTATGACGAAAATAGTGATGTTAGAATGTGATTTTAGTGCTGCTATGCTGAATGGATTTGGGAGGATCCATTTCATTGACCATAACATACAAATTCCAAAATAGCTTCATTCACAGAAATTAATGAGTTTCTGTCCTTCTACTCCCTCCCACTTGGTCTTTCTGGCCAATCTAATTAAACAGGTAAGTCAACAACAAAAGAGGACAATGAAAGTTGTCATAACAGTAGGTAACACTTGGGCAATGTAGTCAAATTCATTTATTCAATTAAACAAATGAGTCTACTTATTTTTTATACTAAGTTCATGGAAATTGACCAATCATTTCAGTCAAACCAGTTGATCTGGTTGTACATATAGATAAAATCATTGCCTATCATGGAAAAGAACAAGTTATTTTGAGCATTCTTCTCAGGAAAGTTAGTGTCAAACATATAAAACCTAGTTTTAGGAAGAAGAAGGCAGTAATAGTAGTAGCTTCACTAACACGTTAAGACTAGTGTCATGGTATACACAGTAGAGCAATTATATTTAAGGATAATTAAATATAAGCAGCTACTGAGGAAAGTGCATTGGTGAAATTGTACATTGAAACGTTAGTAACAAAATGTATCCTTTGCTCCCATTCTTTCAATCAAAGCATGAAGCTTAAGCAGCAAATTCAAAGATTAGCTCAGACCCCAATTAGTCCCCCTTGAGGTCCAGGATAAAATTCCTAATAAAATTGTAAATCTCTGCCCTGTTGTTTAGGGGACTTGGTATTGACAGTTCTTTCTTTCCTTTCACAATTAGTAACTGAGTTTCAGATGAGATTTAAAAATAAAAATGAACAAGAAATGAGCTTGCCTCCCTGTGGCAGCATGCACTCTAGCTAATCTGCAAATGCTATAATTATGCAAGGTGCTGATAGATTTGTCTCTGGGCTGGTGGTCAGGATCCAATTGAACTGCTGCAGTTGCTGCTTTATCATCACAAATGTTCTGCACTTCTTAGCAATTCTCAGGCCTAAACATGATATTGGAATTTAAAGAGGCACCATAGCCTTATATCCCATTGAGATGTGCTGGGTTAAGTGCCAGTTCATCTCTTTCCATTCACAGGTTTAGGGGGAAAAGGTGTATATGTGTGGGGTGTCCTACAGGGATCATGTTTCAACTGGCTGTTTGCCACAAAGCCATTCCCATTGGACTAGGAACCCTAGTGTAATTATCGTAGAGTCAAAGAGGCTAAAACCACTGACTCAGTACTGAGCTCTTTACCTGTCTACTGCCTACAACTTATATCCTGTTTTCCTATTCATCTTGCAAGTGGGGGCTTTTGGTCCCAAGGGGACACCAAATAAGACAATATAAGCTTCATTTAACTTCATATCTAAATTGGCCACATTTGTAACTGTCTTCTTTACCTTACAAGGTCATCATGAAGATAATATGAGCTAATGTATCTGAAAGCACTTTGAAACTTATGAACCACCTATAAATGTAAGATGCTTAAAATTATCATTAATATTAGTGAATGTCACTTCAGCAATTGATATTTAACAATAATAAAATTAGGGTAAATACATCCATAGTCCATGGCGGAAGATAAGGGAAGGGGAAAACAATGACCCCAAACTCATCCTGCTGAAAGCAGAGCAAGATTGTCATTTCCATACATGAAATACATTCCTTACAATTGCTTCCCACCTATCACATTCCAGTTAATTTATTTGGAAGAAGGAAATATTTTAAAATAAGATTGCCCAAGAATAGTTTCCAGCAAACTAAATGTCTATAATTTGGATGTGTAAGGTAAATTGACAATAATTCTATAAAGAAATCAAAATGGGTTTTTTATTAATAAAATGAAAAATGGCTGGATTTAATTTTATTTATGTTTTGAATACATAGCATATGGGGATGGTTCAAAATATAAAGGCATATAGTGAAGATTAAATCTTCCTTCTGCCTGCCCATGACACCCTTTCCTTACCCACCACAGTTACTCAGCCATCCACTCCCTCTCTTCAGAGGACACCACTGTTACCAGTTGCACATGTATCCATCTAGAAATATTTCATACATATACAAACATTTATATATGCATATGTATGTTTTATACTCAAAATAGCATGCTGCGCATACTATTTGGGACCTTGTTTTTTTCATTAAACAGTATGTCTTGGAAATATTTTCATATCTAATCTACAGATTTACCTAATTATTTTAAACAGCAGTATCATAATATGTCATTATATGAAATCACCACAATTGTAACAAGGCTCCTACTATTAGAAATTGAGGTTGTTTCCAATATTTTACTATTACAAATAATAGCAAACTACAACAAAATTGAACATCTGATATAACTGGATTTTAAATTCAAACATATTCATTTTTTTTAAAGTAGATCCCTCATGTTTCCAATAATATTTAAAAATCAGATTATTAAGAGTAACTGTAGTATTTATGAAATGAAGACTAGACATTATATTAGTAGGTCTAAATTATGCCAAAGTCAATTAAAACAAAAATGTTGTTCAATTCCATAAGGACAATACATATTGTATGTCATCTTGAATGATGTGTTGGAAAAATGAAGGCAATTAATTCACTGAAATTTTTCCACTTCAGGCAGCTCAGGTATTAGGAAGAGAAAGCTAATGTGCCATAAAGCTCTTTCCTAAGTATATTTCTGGTGCATTTGTTTATTATCAACAACTATTTTGGGAATCTCTCCAAATTTGTATAGTTCCCTAACCTTACCTGTCCTGTAATCAACTTTTATTTCTCTCTTTCGCTTCTAAATATTCTTCAAATAGTATGAGATCTTCTCTCATGTTGGCAGGGAATTCCTAAGCTAGTCAATTAATGGTGGCTTAATCATTATAGCACAATCCTATGCTATTCCTCCTGTGAATTATAAAGAAGTATAAAACATTTCTTTTTAGTAGGTAAGAGTTCAGTTGGATACTTGAAGCAAGACATAAATACAGAATCAGTTAAAGGGAATTCAGGATATAAACAATAGTTTGATATAAGTAAGGGTTGTTTTATGACAACAATACACATGACATTATGTATCTGCATACTGAGTCCTCTCATTTCTTTCTTCCAGGTGCCTCTCAGATTTGTCCTCTCATTAAAAAAAAAAAAAAATTCCCCAAACTCCAACCTGGTGTGACTGCTCACCACCACCCATCCCCACACACTGCAGCATTGTTTCCTCAACCTCTTAGTTTTTGTTCTTCTCTCAGCCCATTCCACATATCAAGCCAATCATCATTAGACATCACTTCCTTTGAGTCATTTTTTGTTTCAAGATCTACAATGACACTCCAGCCTAGAACATCATGTCCAAATTCCTCTGCCTGTTACTCAGAGTCCTCCAGAATTCAGCCCCATCCAATCTATCTAGTTTCATTTTTAATTCATGGTGCTCACAAAACCCCTTCTCATCAGGCTCATTTTCCTCAAAGCATATTATGCTTGTGAAGTTCTACTTTTGTGCCTTGGTTTATGTTGTTAATCTTTCCTGATAATCTTTTGAAAATCTTTTTGAGAATCTTCTGAGAATCTTTTCTTCTTTACTCTCTGCCTTTCCAAATCTTCTCCACTCTCTGCCTTTCCAAATTTTCTCCATCCCTTAAGTTTCGTATGGAGATCCATTCTCTTCATAAAACTTTCCCCAAACCTTCCAGCGAATATTAACCTCTCCTTTCTCCATTTCTTTACCACCTATATATAGCCTTATAGCTCAAATGCTACATTCTATGTTCCATTCTCTATTATGGTGTGCTAGTCCTGTGTTCATAGTCCTGTGTTATAAATTGAGGGCAAAGATAAAGACTTTACTTTCTTTCCCTTTAGTAGCTAGCACAAGACTTGGAGTACAAAAGATGCTTAATTGGTATTTTTGATCAATTATCCCAATGAAGATATCATTGCTTTATTATATTGTTTTGGAGGTTGCAGTGGAGAGTGGGGGATAATTCAGAGGTTTAGAAGATTCATGTCACTAAAAATGTCCGTTAGGGTAATATTTCATTGAGAATACCACTACAAAGCATATATGAGGATTTACTATTTCTCAATTATACTTTTAAAATATATATTTCTTTATACTTACAAATTTATAAAAACCACCCAAAATAGTCCATTTGTTTCATCTTGTTGGAAAATGTAGTTGTCAAAATGGCCTATTTACAGTGAATCAATGGTGCTCTAAATGTGCTGGGAAATGGATATTGTATGGATAGAGTAACAACCCAAGTAGGAAGTAGGAACACTGTCTAATAAATGTTTACACACCATCAAGTCTACAAACATTAAATATCATACATGATAGAATCTTTCTCATCCTGTAATTTATCTCAATTTTTCCATTACTTTCTTTCATTTTCTCTTCTAGCTTTACTCACAGACAAGCCTCCCAAGCCATTGTTCCCCATGGAGAATCAGCCAAGTGTTATAGATGTCCAGCTGGGTAAGTCCCCTCCTTGGAATAACACTTCCTAAACTTGCCCTCTGTTAACAGATGGGGAAAATTGCATGAACCAGGAAAGGTTTATTGCCACTGTTATTACATGCAAATCAATTTGTGTTCTGCTCATTTATAACCCTGGAGTTCAGTGCGATAGCAGTTTAAGGAAATGAGTTTGTATTGCATCAAAAAATGGTAATACTAATTAGTTACACTGGGTATTAAGTGTGCTGTATGACAGAGCTTTTTAATTCTGTGATTGATAGATTCATGAGTGTCTTGCATTGGTGATTGGTACAGAAAACTTTTCATACATGTCAGCCAAAATTTTTATTTGGACAGCATTAACTCCTGGAGACCAAGCACTTCTTAAAATAAAATACAGGCTTCGGTTTCGCCTTTAAAATGATTTGATAATATTATTTTCAATATCACAATCCAGGGTCATTTAAAACTTGTTTTTAGGTTGGGATCCTGAATATTTATGAATCATATGATGTTGGGAAAAGTGGCAAGTTGACTTATGAGTGCTATTGTCTTTTTACACACTCAAATAAGAACACAAGGTGTTACACCTCTTTTTAGAGCTCCTACTGCTAATCCTTGTAATTTTAAGTACTGTAAGCTAAAAACTCAGAGGCCTGCTAGGATCTCTTTCAAATTGTGGCCTTTAATTTAAATCATGCCCTTTAACATTTGCGAGATTTCATCTGTCTTGGATTTCATTCTAGTATTCTAAATTTCTTCAATTCTAAATAGAAGAACCACAAGAGAACTGAGTAAATATGCTTGAAATGTATTGGGCTTACACTGAATATATGATTTGTTGATATTTGTGACCATTGTGGTCTATATCCATTATACAGCCAGGGAAGACAAATTGATCCCAATTTTCACTCATTTAGAAAGGTTTTTCTTTTTGTTTAATTTTTAATTATTGTGGGTACCTAGTAGGTGTGTATATTTATAGAGTACATGAAATATTTTGATACAGGTATACAATGTACAATAATCACATCAGGGTAAATGGGGTGTCCATCACCTGAAACATTTATTCTTTCTTTGTGTTACAAGCAGTCCGGTTATAATATTTTAGTTATTTTAAGATGTACAATAAATTACTGTTGACTGTAGTCACCCTGTTGTGCTATTAAATACTAGATCTTACTGATTCTAACTATATTTGCATGCCCATTAACCATTCCTACTTCCACCACACCCAAAACCCTTCCTAGCCTCTGGTAGCTATCATTCTACTCTCTATCTCCATGAGTTCAATTGTTTTAATTTTTTAGTTCCCCAAAATAAGTGAGAACGTGTGAAATTCGTCTTTCTGTGCATGGTTCATTTCACTTAATGTAATGGCCTCCAGTTTCATCCATGTTGTTGCAAATCACTGGACCTCGTTCTTTTTTATGACTGAATAGTATTCCATTGTGTATATGTACCACATTTTCTTTATCCATCTGTCTGTTGATGGACACTTAGGTTGCTTCCAAATCTTGGCTATTGTGAATAGTGCTGTAATAAACATGGGAGTACAGATATCTTTTTGATATAATGATTTCCTTTCTTTTGGGTATATGCCTAGCTGTGGGATTGCTGGATCATATGGTAGCTCTATTTTTAGTTTACTGAGGAACCTCCAAACCATTCTCCACAGTGGTTGTACTAATTTACATTCCCACTAACAGTGGACATTTGGGTTCCCTTTGCTCCATATCCTCTCCAGCATTTGTTATTGCCTCTCTTTTGGATGAAAGCCATTTTAACTAGGGTGAGATGATACCTCCTTGTAGTTTTTGGAAGTTTTGACTCAACTTTTGATCTTTATAATTCAGTTGGGATTGTTGAAAGCTTATTTATATCTTGAAAATAAGAGACAGAAAATTATATTCCTAATGTTCACTTTTCCAAAATGAAATATAGCAAATAGTAGTTTTTAAATAAGCCTAGCAATGTGAGTACCAAAGTTAAGCATTTTAAACAAAACAAAAAGAAATTAATAAACATGTTATCAAGAGTGGACTGTGCAAATGGTAAATATTTGGAAATAATGAAGTATTAGACTGTGGCTCTTCTTATGTCCCCTATATTGTTTTGCAGTCATTATATTTTGTTAGAGCCAAATCTAGATATGCTGATACCCTTACTGACTGTATGATACATTTTACTTACATTTCTCTACCTTGAACTGGGATAAAAATATTCCAAGGGAACTTTGTGGTTCCAGGGGTTACATGGAGCCATATGACGGTCTCGTATCATTAGTTTACATGGAAATTCAAGTGGATAAATTGATTTCATTTGGTATGAAAACAATTTATCCACATATATATCTATATATCTATATCTATCTATCTATCTATCTATCTATCTATCTATATGTAGAAAGCAACATTTGCATGATAAAATGTACATGATAAGCCCAGGCCCTGTGGCTCATGCTTGTAATCCCAGCACTTTGGGAGGCCGAGGAGGGCAGATCACAAGGTCAGGAGATCGAGACCATCCTGATTAACACGGTGAAACCCCGTCTCTACTAAAAATACAAAAAAGCAGCCAGGCATGGTGGTAGGCACCTGTATTCCCAGCTACTCGGGAGGCTGAGGCAGGAGAATGGTGTGAACCCTGGAGGTGGAGCTTGCAGTGAGCTGAGATCATGCCACTGCACTCCAGCCTGGGTGACAGAGCAAGACTCCATCTCAAAAAAAAAAAAAAAAAAAAATAGTACTTGATAAGATACACAAATAAAATGTGAGTAAATTTTATGTTTGTGGTCCCTGGAGGAATACCTTCTGTACTCTCCTCTGCTATTAGGCACACAACAGCAAAGTTTGAAAAGTATTGATCCAAAGCAAGGAGAAGGACCATTGTAGAAGATACATTCCATTCAGATTCACTGGGTGTAACACCTGTATGTACTGTTCAGGACATCTACAAGATGTGCACTTTGTATAAACCTGTATTCTAACATAGATATATATGCCAAAATACCCTACCAAGTACTACCATCCTATAAGATTACTAAAATAATTTACTTCCAATTTACATTAGATGTAAGGCTGAACTTTTCGGGTTTTAGTTTGTAACACAATTGGAAACAACTTTATTGACAGAAAGATGGAGACCTGCTTATTTTTCATCCCAGAAAGGCTGTTACTCTGAGATGTTAAACAACCATATAATTCAGAGAAAGAAAAGCAAAATCAGTCAAACCAGATCTTTGGTGTTTCAAGGAGCACATGACTGATTAATTTTAAGTGATTTTAACTCTTTCACGGATTTATTTAGTACCATTTATTCACAATTGGAAATCCTTTTGTAAGTTGCTCTCATACCTCAATAGTCAGATGACATTATGAGCACTATAAATGTCAAAGAGCTCCTCCGTGTGAGTGGGAGTTCTGCAGTCAGAATCATGAGGCATTAGAAAACACCATGTGTAAAAAAGAGATAGAGAAAGATAACTGGGACTACTGGATATCTCTGTCTATGTCTGGAAAACTTGAAGAATTCAGTAAGGTAATGAAAACTGGAAATTGTTTTCCTTCAGTTTCTGAAGTTTATCAAACACATTCAATTCTGGACATCCTCAAGCTAGAACTAAAATTAGAGCTGCCAAGAAATACGAAAATCCAATCCATATGGCTAAACACATTATCAACTTTGGGTTTCCCAAATCACATTACTTAAAATTTTAGACAACATCATGGTAGATTAAAGGTGGCCATAGATTTTTGGCTACTCCTAATATCTAAACTTGATTTTTCATTCTTCTCCCGTTGAATCTGGGTTGGCCGTCGGGACACACTTGACCAATAGGGTGTGGCAAAAGTGATGTTCTGAAATTTTAGAGGCTGAATCAAAAGAAACTTGCAACTTCTGTCCCAGTGTTTTGGTCCACTCTGAAACCACCATGCTGTTTGAAGTTTAAGCCACATAGAGAGGCACTAGAGGATGAGACACAATATGGTGGGAGAGAGAGGTCAACTAGCACCAAGACACCAATATAAGTGAAGAAGATATCTTGGAAGTGGATCCTCCAGCCCTAGCTTCCCTGGCTTATGCCATGTAGATCACAGACAAACCACTGAGCTGAACTCTTCTCAAATTTATGACCCCAAAATTCATGAGCAAAGTAAAGTGATTGTCATTTGCCATTAAGTTAGGGGTAGTTTGTTAAGTAATTAGTAGATAACCTGAACAAACATTAATCAGTTTATCTAGAGCATTATTAATTTTATTTTTCCCATGGACAAGAATTTCATGCAGCAATTTTATGCAAAATGAGACACGTTTTAGGAAATACTTGAGTATCAGCTTCAAGGTAGTTTTAGGAAACATGGTCTGGAATAAGTGTTTATGTGTTCATTTGAGGGTTACACTCTGTTCTCAGTTCTGAATATTTCTAAAAGGAATTCATTAAATGAAAAATTTCAGTAGAAATAAATACTTTTCATGCATGGAGTTGGCATCAGTACAGATATTTTGTTATGTCTCTAGAGAAAAATAAACATCTTGACTTTTTCCTATAGTGGAAGCCATTAGTCATCTGCAAAGTTCTAGAAATTTAGATACGTTTTTGCTGATTTAGTGATGACAGTTTGGTTGTTGCTAAATTGTGTTCACATTGTAATACTGAAAGAAGATGAATCTTTACCAAATAACCATATATTTTGAGATGATAAACACATTCTTAACAAAATAATCTGAAAACTATTGCTCTCACAAAACAAGTCTATGCAACTAACGTTCCCTGTGGTAATGTATGATATATAAAAGATAAAACAATGTACAACACGTACGTGCAAAATTCCAATTTGGTCCTGTTATCCTTTATTTTTTCTCTCTCTGAAGGTAAATTTAGCTTTAAATTCGAGAAATAAACCTTGACTATACCAGGGCCAATTCTTTTCTCAGCAGTTGAAAAAAAAATATTTTCAATAATTTTTTCTAAGTAAAACAACACTGTATTACAATATATAAACTTATTTTACACCTTTAATACAAATTTATTAAAATATTGTAAGGACATGTGCCCCATTTGAAATATATTCATGCTAGATAGACCCTTTTTCATAAACTACTTCTTTTCATGAGACCCAAATGCATGCTTTACAAACTGTAACACACTCCTGGAAGCTTTGAAAAAGTCATGAACAAATTTGCATGAAAGATTTGAGATCTGCTATCTAATTTTAATTAAAGGTGAGTTTCAAAATGTGCTCTGTTCTTCTGACTGATGATGATAATTTTCTTTTCCTTCCTTCCTTTCTTTCTTTCTTTCTCTTTCTTTTTCTTTCTTTCTTTCTTTTTCTTTCCTTCCTTCCTTCCTTCTTTCTTTCTCTCTCTCTCTCTCTTTCTTTCTTTCTCTTTCTTTCTTTCTTTTCTTTCTCTCTTTCTCTCTCTCTCTCTCTCTCTCTCTCTCTCTCTCTTTCTTTTTCTTTCTTTTTTTCTTGAGATGAAGCCTTGCTCTGTCACACGGGGTAGAGTGCAGTGGCATGATCTCGACTCACTGCAACCTCCGCCTCCCGGGTTCAAGTGATTCTCCTGTCTCAGCCTCCCAAGCAGCTGGAATCACAGTCAGGTGCCACCACGCCCAGATAATTTTTGTATTTTTAGTAGACATTGGGTTTCGCTGTGTTGGCCAGGCTGGTCTCAAACTCCTGAACTCAGGTGATCCACCAGCCTCGGCCTCCCAAAGTGCTGGGATTACAGGCATGAGCCATCGAGCCTGGCCGATAATTTTCTTCTTGGAAGTTTTTTAAAACTTGAAATAAGCTAGACAGCATTATGCAGAAAATACATATAAACATTTACTTTCTCTTTCTGTGTGAATCAAAAAGGAGGCCTGGGGGGCCTAAGGTAGATCAGAAAAACCCAGACAAGTAGAACATCCAAGCTAATTGGGTTACTTTTGATGTTTCAAAAAGCCAATAGTTCATTTCTAGACAAATCTGATCCAGTATAAAAGATTCTTTTTCTTTTCTATTCTCATTCAGAATTTATTTTATTTTTACAGGCTATTCAAATTCATATTTCATGAGTGTGTTATATGCTATTGGCTCAAACTGTCTCTATATATGTAAGAAGTGTTAATCTTCATCAGAAATCGATTTCCCTAGCATATCAGTTTCTACTGAAAATTATATCAGATCCCTTAAGAGACCAGTGTAAAAGACTCTACAAGAGAATATATCAAAATATAACATTTAATTCAATACTCAGGACTAGAAGGCAAACAAATACCCAGTTTAATCCCAAATTAGGAAATAAGCTATTCAACTAAATTTATGTTTTTTATAAAACATTATTTACCTAAAAACATTTATTGAGTTCTTACTGGATGCCAGCATATTAGCTCCTGAAAATACAGAGGTGAATTAAATGAATTTCTTGGCCTTAAGGAGTTCTCAATCTAGTGGGGAAACAGATGTGCATAAGTAGAATTGCATCGCAATATGAGAACTGCCAAAAGAGGGAAAAAGGAAAATGATTTTTCTTGTGGCAGGACCTCATGTTCTATATGCTTAGGCTTTCACTAAAAACAATGACAAAACTCTGTAGCTTCAACCCAATTACTAGATTTATCTGAAAATAATTAAGAATTACCAAGAATAGAACCTTTTGAAATCATAAATTGTCCACCATTTGCTTTAATGTGGCAAATACTAAAAATGGAAATTTATGATACCCTTGAATCAATTAAGTTTAACAAAATTAATCAACTCCTTCTAAAGTTGAAATAAAATGAACAATCCAAAGCAAGTCAACAACTGAGCTAAATGTCAAACTAGAATTATTGTATTTTTTATTTTTTTATTTTTATTTTTTTTTATACTTTAAGAAGAAAATGTGGCACATATACACCATGGAATACTATGCAGCCATAAAAAAGGATGAGTTCATGTCCTTTGTAGGGACATGGATGAAGTAGAATTATTGTTAATGCAAATAGTAATACATGGTTATTTCATTAGCTGGAGTCATAACTTGGTATATGCATTGTGTGTATAATGGTGGAAGCAAGGGATTTTTTAAATTTTTTATATCATATTCTTACCCTCTTAGTTTCAAATAACTCCTTAAAAACTTTTATGTAATCTTGAATAACTGAACACTATGGAGACTTTGGAGAGTAAGAAGGAGGGTATTATGAACTAACTCAGTTTTCTTGGCACACGTAATGGGAGCTAGTTCATGGCAGAATTTCCTCACCCTTGTAGACATTCTAGGGTTAGTGAGTTGTTTCCAAAAGACCTATTTATTCAGGATAACACGCACAAGCTTAGCGTGAGCTACCCCAAACTGAAAACCATTCTATTGCCCAGATCATATACCATGTGCATTATTTACAGCTTTGGAAAATCTGGACCAAGCCTTTTCCTTAAGAGTTGGCTGCAGTATTGAGTGAGACTGAAACTGGTTCCCTTACTTTGTCTAAGTTTCTATAACAGCTGTGCTTGTTTTGAGATTTTTAAGAATGAAATGGGAAAAAAGTTAACAGTTTACTAAATAGTGTCTGTTATAATCTAACAATGTGATTACGAACATCTCTTAAATAGCATGATTGTTAACCAGTCCTCTATGCATACATTGGTGTTTGGGGGCATTGCTTAGGCTTATGTCTTATTGAGATACTGATACAAGTTTGATGGTGTTTCATCATATTTTTAAAAAGCCAAAACCATTATTTCATATATTTGAAACCAAAATTATTTGAGAATTTACTAGGTACTAGGCACTAAAATGGGTATTTGCACATACAGTGTCTTATTACTCATAAGAGCTCAAAGTAGTAGTAGATATTGTTGAATTATTTTGCAGATGAGGAAACGTAACCACAGACAGGTGAAATAGCTTACATGATGTTACATAATTAGTAAGTGACAAAGATGGGATTTCAACAAGATCTGTTTCACTCCGAAGTTTTTTCTTTTTATTATAGCACACTGGGTATGGTAACATTATCTAGACCCCAAACTCTATCCTAGGAAAAAACTATCATTCTAATAAGGACAGCTAAATAATATTAACAACTATAGTAATTATTATTTAATAACAGCTCTACTATTACAAATAATAATGTTATTACTCTACTTAGTATAATTTAATAACATTTCTAGTACTGCTAAGAATAGCAATTATTATTATAATCTTATTTAATAATAATTCTACTACTAATAATAATTATTATTATTTGTAGTGATAATATCAGTAGTAGTAGTAGTGGCAGTGGTGGTGGTGGTGGAGCTGTCACTTATTGATTGCTTACAGGGTACTAGGCACTATATTAAATACTTTATATAGCTTATTTTATTTAATTTTCCCAGCAACTCTTTGTGATAAACCCAACTACTTGCCTCATTTTAACAGTTTTATTATTATATTAGTCATATACCGTACAATTGGCAATTTAAAACATCCATTTCAATGATTTTTGGTCTATTCACGATGTTGTGCAAGCATCACCAGAATTTCATAACATTTTCAACACCCCAGAAAGAAACTCTGTACCCATTGACAGTCACTCCTCAGTCCCTCAGCCTCACCCCATCCTCAGCTTTAGGTAGTTATTAATCAACTATCTGTAACTATAGATTTGCCTATTCTGGATATTTAATATGAATAAAATATGTAACATGTGGTCTTTTGTGATAGGCTTCTTACATTTAGCATAGTGTTATCAAGGTTCAGTCATTGTTATTGCATGTATAAGTACTTCACTCCTTTTCATTGCTAAATAATAATCGACCACATTTTATTTATTCATTAGTTAGTTGACTGACATTTTGATCATTTGTATTCTGTGGCTCTTATGAACAATGCTGCTGTGAGCATTCATGTACAAATTTATGTGTGGACATATGTTTCCATTTCTCTTGTGTATACCTAGGAGTAGAATTGCTGGGTCATTCGGTCATTCTATGTCTAACCTTTTGAGGAACTATCAGACTGCTTTCCAAAGAGACTGTACCATTTTACATTCCTATCAGTAATGCAGAGGTTCCAATTTCTCTACATTCTTGAAAGCACTTGTTATTTTTTTATTTTTAACATAATTATTCTAATGTGTATGTAGTACTATTGTGGTTGAAATTGTGTTTTTTATTTATATTTCCCTAATGGTTAACTATATTGAGCATCTTTTCATGTGCTTGTTGGCCATTTGTATGTCTTTGGAAAAATGTCTATGGCCCCTTTTTTAAATGAGGAAAATGGGCTCGGAGAATTTATACAACTTGTCCCAGCTAGTAAGCAGCTTGAAAGTAGTGAAGCTAAAGTTGTCACTCTTAAACCTTGCCGTATTCCTACTAATATTAGTAGTATTGTTTACAAGGTCCTCTTGTACTTCTGCTCTTTCCTAAAATAGATTTTTGGACAGAAGGTGAGTGATCATGTATATGGAAGTTAAAGGGGTGTCTAGTGTGAATTGATTCAGTGAGAAAATAGAAATTATTAAGAGCATTGCTTTAACTTTAAATCTTTGTAACTCAAGCCACAACTCCTTTTTAAATACCAAACTAATTTGTAAGCAGTACATATGCCTGAAAACTAGCTGTGAAGCACAAGACAATATAAGAAAGTTTTCTGGAGGGATTTACAGTATACTTAAATGGCCAAAAATTGTATGTAACCCAGTATCTGAACAGAGATCAAGAAACTAATTTGTATCATTCAACAATAGGAAGTATAGATTAAAGAGACTTTAAAAATAAGTTAGAGAACTCTCCACTGTTTGAATTTATTAGGAATAAGTGTCAACTGAGTGCACTGTTCCCCAAAAGCATATGATGTCTGTGTTGATATCAATACCATCAGCTTTGCAGCACTTCTCAGCAGCTTCATCTTCTAACCCATCTTATTCAGTGGGTTATAGATGCTTTTTAAAGATCTGGAAAAGAAAAAAAAATAACGCTACAAATTTTGACTATGTCTAAAATGCCACATGAACTGGGAAAAAATAGAATTATTTATGATCTCTTTTAATTCAAATATTTTATATAATTTTATGTAAATAAAGGCAGATTTTATGGATGAACTTGTAGAAAATTGAGTAAGCTATTATCTTGCTTATTCATAATTGAGGTAGAAGGGTATTCTCATAATTGAGGTAGAAGGGTAGCTTTGTATCATTTAGACAATTCCATTAATTGTCCTCTATACTTCATTTAAATAAATTTGGCTTAAACTTTGGAAGATCTTTTGCTCCTTTAATAATAGCTCTTTCCAGAAATTACTTAGATATATCAGAGTGGGATATAAATTTTGGTCCCTTTTTGGGGGGTCAGGGTCTCGCTCTGTCACCCAGGCTAGAGTGCAGTGGCATGATTCTGGCTCACTGCAGCCGCAAACTCCTGGGCTCAAGTGATCCTCCTGTCTCAGCTTCCTAAGTAGCTGGGACTACAGGGACACATCACTATGCCTGGTGAAGTATTTTTTAACATTTTTCATTGAGACAGAGTCTACACAGAATAAGGACAAGGCAGGAGATCTGGGAAAAAATACTCAGAGATCTGTGAAACTACAGCTAGTAGTTTATGTTCAAAGTAGTAACTTGGAGTTTGGAAGCTTACAGGTTGCAGAAGCCCCGGCAAGGTGGTAAGCAAAGAAGTCACGTCAGAAAAAAAACTGATCTTGGGTTTCTAGCAAGGTGGAAAAGTCAAAGGCTGAAAGCCATCACAAATCAGGCAACAAATGGATACTGAAAGATCAAAGACAATGGTACTAAACCTGTAAGAGTTTGCTCGATTCCCACAAGAGAAAGGTATTGTCACTGTGAACATAGCCACTGAAAAGTAAAGTTTGAAAGAACTGGGTCTTAGAGTGATGCAAAAGAGGGCACACCTGGCAATTAAGATCAGTTAAAGCAAGTCCTTTGGCTGAAAAAAGGAACTCCTTCAAAAAGAGTATAATATAAAATAAACTTGGCCTGATACCAGTTCTAATGAAAAGTCTAGTCTTTACCAATATCTGAATTTCAAAAAAACTGAAGTAATAGTATATTCATCAAGTCCACAAAAAAGCTTTGATTTTGTTTACAAATGCAATATTAACCTAGGAATAGAGCCTATGTATATTGAAATGTGGTGTACATTTGTAAGACACTTATTTTCCAAGAACAAGAGGAGCTCTGACTCACTGAGGGCCTGTATCAATTTCATTTATTTTCCTTAGTTGTGAAGGTGTTGACTGTATATCTGTTACTATAGTGATGATTTTACATTTGTTGTCAAGTTGTTTGATGAAATTGTAACTTGGTGAGATGATAATCATGGTGTGTCTTAAGGCTGATTGTTGGCAAAAGAACAAAAATAATGTGAACATGTGATGGAGAGGGGGCCTACAACAAAGGAGAGGGAAAATTGTGTCAAGGTACAATTTGAAAACTGCTGTAAACCAAAAATAAAATTCTAGGCGTCTCTCCCCGCCACAACCATCTGAGTGGACTCCTCCTCTCGGCCAGGGCGTTCCAAAGTTAGCATGAAAAACTGGTTCAGGCCATGACAGGAAGGGAGGACTGGACATGTTTCATTATACTCTACTCCCTTTTAGAATTCAGGAAAAGCTGACCAGCATTTAACATCAACACAGACCTTAAGTCTGATAAGAAACATATACAATCTATTCTCTCTGAAGCTTGCTTCCTGGAGGCTTCATCTGCATGATAAAACCTTGATCTCCATAGCCCCTTATTGCGACCCACACATTCTTTGTGATTGATAATAACTTTCAACCAGTTGCCAATCAGAACATTTTAAAATCTACCTATAAACTGGAAGTCCCCTGCTTCGAGTTATCCTGCCATTCCAGAACAAACCAGTGTGTATCTTACATGATTGATATCTCATGTCTTCCTAAAATGTATAAAGGTTGTGCCCTGACCCACCTTGGGCACATGTTCTCAGGATTTCCTGAGGGCTGTGTCACAGGCCATTGGTCACTTACATTTGGCTCAGAATAAATCTCTTCAAATGTTTTACAGAGTTTGATTCTTTGTGTTGACACTCTCTTAGCTCAATTATGGGAAAATGAAAGTTCTTGAGAAAGAAAGAGAATCATGCTAACTTTACATAAGATAATTAAGGAAAGTGAAGGGTTAACTTTAACAATAGTACCTCATATTTATGCAGTATGTATTTCCAAGGCATTCAAAGCATGTTTTCAGGCATCATTTAATTAATTTCTTTGGTAGTTCTGTAAAGTATGATGAGTATAAGATATCATTCATTAAGCATTGACACGTGTAGTGATTAAGGTTCTTTGTGACACCCACAGGCAGTTTAATTGAGCATGCTAGTGAGGAATCAGCTAGATCAATAGTGAATAAATGATTGTTAGCCTGATCATTATTAGTCAGATCAGAATTTCTGTAACTCTACTATTATGTATGTACACATATGACTGCTATTATATATATGTAAAATTTATAGCAGGGATGATGTGTGTACTCACTTCTGTGTGTGTTTCCACTTCCTTTCTCAGTCAAGTGGTTTGCTTATTAACCTAATAATAGCCATTCTCATGAGTGACCACTTTGTATATAAAGTAGCTCTTAAACTTTACAGATTACTACTCTGCTTGCATTTACTTTTTGGTTCTCAATGTTGATTCCTGTGATTTTAGTTTTTATATTCTTTTGATGTACAAAGAATTCTTAAATATATTTATTGGGTATATATGACATTTAAAACCATATAATCTATAGTGATCAGATGAAGGCAATTAGCCAGTGAAATGTAAATCAAAATCACAATAAAGTATCATATCATCTCAGTTAGGATGGCTATTATTAGCAGGACAAAAAATAACAAATGCTGGTGAGGATTAGAAGATACTATTATGAACAATTATAAAAACTGAAGAACTTTGTCAACAAATTCGAAAACCTAGAGGAGAGGGATAAATTCCTAGATACATACAACCTACCAACCTATCATTGAACCAGAAAGATGTAGAAAACTTGAACAGACAAATAATGAGTAAGGATATTGAATCAGTAATAAAACCCCCCAACAAAGAAGATCCCAGGACCAGATGGCATTACTGGATAATTCTACTAAGAACTAATTGACAATACTAATAATAAATGTTAATTAAATTCATTAACAATAACTAAAGAAGAATTAATTCCAACTTCTCTTAAACTCTTCCAGAAAATTGACGAGGAGGGAATTCTTTCAAACTCATTCAGCATTACCTTAATACTAAGGCCAGACAAAGACACTAAAAGAAAAGAAAACTACAGGCTAATAACTCTGATCAATGTAAATGCCAAAGTCTTCAACAAAATACTAGCAAACTGAATTCGACACCACATTAAAAGGATCATACATCATGACCAAGTGCGATTTAACCCCAGAATGCAAGGAAGTTTCAACATATGAAAATCAATCAATGTGATATACCACATTAGCAGAACAAAAGATAAAAATCTTTAGAACACATGAATATCTCAATAGATACATACAAAGCATGTGACAAAATTCAACAACCTTTCATGATAAAAACACTCAACAGAATGAAAGCCATATATGAAAATAGTCCACAGCTAACATCATATTTGATGATGAAAAATCGAAAGCTTTTCCTGTAAGTTGAAGGACAAGGCAAGTGTGCCCACTCTTGTCACTTCTATTCAACTTAGTAATGGAAGTCATTGCCAGAGCGATCAGGCAAGAAAAAGAAAAAAAGGCATTCAAATCAGAAATAAAGAAGTGAAAGTATCACTGCTCACAAATGGCATAATCTTGTAGGTAGAAAAACCTACCAATTCCACCAAAAGTTAGAACTAATAAATTCAACAAATTGCAGAATACAAAATCAATATTCAAAGATCATATGCATCTTTATAGACTAAGAATAAATGATCCACAAATAAAATTGAGAAAACAATGCCATTTATAATAGTACGGAAAAGAATAAATTACTTAGGAATAAACTTAACTAAGGAGGTGAACGATCTGTATAATAAAAACCACAAAACATTGCTGAGATAAAGAAGGCACAAATAAATGAAAAGACACCTCACATTTATGGATTAGAAGTCTTAGTATTGTTACAATGTCCATGATTACCCAAAGTGATCTTCAGATTCAAGACAATCCCTATCAAAATTCCAGTGACATATTTTTTTGCAGTAGATAAATCAATCCTAAAATTCATATGGAAACACAAAGGTCCCCAAATAGCCAAAACAATTTAAAGAAAGAACAACAAAGCTGAGGCCTCAAACTTTCTGACTTCAAAACATACTACAAAGCTACAGTAATCAAAGCAGTGTGATACTAGCATAAGGACAGATATGTAGAACAACGGAACAAAATTAAAAAAACAATAGAAATAAACCCATGTATATTTGATCAAATTACCTTCAACAAATGTACCAGGACTAAACAATGAGGAAAGGATAATCCCTTAAACCAAGGGTCCCCGATCCCTGGGGCCACAGAACAGTACCAGTCTGTGGCCTTTTGGGAACTGAGCTGCAAAGCAGGAGGTGAGTGGCGGGCAAGCAAGCATTACTGCCTGAGGTCTGCCTCTTGTCAGATCAGTGGCACATTAGATTCTCATAGGAGCATGAACCCTATTACGAACTGTGCATGTGAGGGATCTAGGCTGCGTGCTCCTTATGAGAATCTAACTAATGTCTGATGATCTGAGGTGGAAGAGTTTGATCCTGAAACAATCCCCCCGATACTGTCCCTGTTCATGGAAAAATTGTCTTCCACAAAACTGGTTCCTGGTTCCAAAAATGTTGGGGATACAGATGATCTTGGGAAAACTGGATATCAATATGAAAAATAATGAAATCAGGCCCCTTCTCTTATACCATACACAAAAATCAACCCAAAATGCATTAAAGAATTAAACATAAAACCTGAAACTATACAACTCCTAAAAGAAAACACAGGGGAAAATCATAACACTGGTCTTGGCAGTGACCTTTTTTTAATGTGACACCAAAAGTATAGGCAACAGAAGCAAAAAATAGACAAGTGGGACTACAGAAAACTGAAACGCTTCTATGCAGCAAAGGAAATAATCAGCAGAATGAAAAGACAACCTACAAAATAGAAGAAAATATTTGCAAGCCATATATTTAACAAAAGTCTAATATCTAAAATATCTGAGTAACTCCTACAACTCAATAACAAATAACCTGCAAAAATAAACTGATTGACTACAGATAAAAACTTTGCATAGACATTTCTCAAAGAAGACATACAAATAGTCAACAGGTATGTGAGAAGATGATCAATATCACTAATCATCAAGGAAATAAAAGTAAACCATAATGAGCTATCACCTCATACCTGTTAAGATGGCTATTATTATAAAAAGCAAAACAAAAGGAGAGAAAATAAGCGCTGGTAAGGATATGGCAAAATCAGAAAGCTTGTGCACCATTGGTGGGAATGTAAAATGGTGCAGCCTCAATGGGAAACAGTATGGCAATCCTTAAAAAATTAAAAATAAAACTACCATATCATCCAGCAATTTCACTTCTGAATATTTGCCAAGATGTGGAAACAACCTAAACATCCATCAGCAGATTAATGGATAAATAAAACGTGGTCTATACATACCATGGAATATCATTCACATTTGAAAAAGAAGGACATCCTGTCCTATGCGACAACATGAATGAACCTTGAAGACATTATGCTTAGTGAAATAAGCCGGTCACAGAAAGACCTATACTGCATGATTCTGTTTACATGAGGTTTTTAAAGTAGTGAAACTCTTAGAAGCAGAATGTAGAATGGTAGTTGCCAGGCACTGGTAGAAGTAGAAATTGGAAGTTGCTGTTCAATGGGTATAGAGTTTCAGTCATGCTAGATGAAAAAGCTCTAGAGGTCTGCTGTACAACAATGGATATATAGATAATAATACTGTATACTTACACATTTGTTAAGAGGGTAGACTTCATGTTATATGTTAGTTACTACAATGAAAAAAAAAAACCAAAAATACAAAACAGTTGGTGAGAAGTGTTCTAACAGAGATCTATTAACTCAGAAACCTAAGGCTTAAAGTATATTCTTCCCTCTACCTTGTCTTATATAATGTGCCAACAATGCTTAGAGATCTTCCTGCTTAGACTGTTCTATATTATTGCTTTAGTAACTTCAAATTAGGATCCCATATTTTTGCTGGGGCAAGTATTACAATCAATTCCAAATTGGTCTCTTTGCCTCCTCTTTCTCATCTTTAATAAATTCTCATCACTATAACCAGAAAAAAAATCTATGTTAAAATGTAAATCTTATGCATCTTTCCTGATTTAATCTCTTACATAACTCTCCCTTACTTGCCCAAAAGAGAAAATACTAATTCCTTACATTGATTACTGGTTGCCATCTACTTCTTCAGTCTCATCATTCTTGCTATGCCAAATTGTTTTATTTTTGTTCACACAGGAACTCATATCCCTTCTCACTCACAACCTCCTGGCAAACATTTTTTATACACCAATGTTGAGTTTATCATCACTTCCCAATGATACCTTTCCTGATCCCTGAGCTGCAATCCCAGGAAGAAAATATGTATCCCTTTTATGTCTCTACTATACCTTATGAATTATCCTGTCCCAGCATGTATAGTTTTTAATTATATCTTCATTTGTTGATATGTATGTATCTCTTACTAGACTGTAAAACTGATAGTATTTGCTTCAATATTTCTTTTCCAGCAATAAGCACTGTGCCTGATGCTCAGGAAATGTCTATTTTATGTATGTGTGCACAGTCGTATGTATGAACAAATTTACAGATATGTGAAGGAATGAAAAAACAAGTGAATAAATTTCTATGATAACTAAATTTCAGATGGTTGGCAACTTCCTTCACTGCAGCCCTCCCATTAATTTCATTATATTTTACAAATCCAACTTTACTTTAGAAAACAACCTTGTGATTTAATTTAGTGCTATCTAGAACCATAAGATCTTAGCCTTGTACGATGGCTCATGCCTGTAATCCTAGCACTTTGAGAGGCTGAAGTGGGCAGATTGTGTGTGGCCAGGTGTTTACGACCAGCCTGAGCAACATGGTGAAACCCCCACTCTACAAAAAATACAAAAATTAGCTGGGCATGGTAGTGTGTGCCTGTGATCCCAGCTACTCAGGAGACTGAGCTGAGAGGATCACTTGAGTCCTGGAGGTCAAGGCTGCAGTGACCCTTACTCGCATCACTGCAATCCAGCCTAGATGACGAAGTGAGACCCTCTTTCAAACAACAACAACAACAACAACAACGACAAACCCATAGAGTCTTAAAATTGCAAGGAAACTCCAGCCAATATAATAAATAACCACAAAATCACAGTGGCTTAACGTAAGAAAAGTTTACTTCTTGCTAATACAAAATCTAGTTGGGTATTCATATGACTTCCTATGCAGTTCAAGCTTTTTCTACCTAGTGGCTTTGCCATTCTGCTGGATCCCCCACACTTATCTAGCCAAGAGAGAGAATGTGGAGGGTTGCAATGTTGTTTTTAGGTTCCAGAACAGAAAGTAGCGCACATTACTTCCAACCATATCTTATTCAGAGTTCACCACATGACCAACCTAATTACAAGGAAGGTTGCATAATATAGAGGAACACATGGATATGGGTGAGCACTGGCTGTCCCAATAGCATTTATCTATTCCTACTTGATGTTGCTCCTCTGGGAGCATCTCTAAGAATATTGTCTAAAACAAAAGCATTCTATGACAATGGAGAACACATTATCTCCACAAGGCAGCCTATTCAATTATTGTATAATTCTTGTAATCAGAAAGTTCCCTTTATGCTGAACTATAATCTCACTCTTGTGGCAAGACAGAGTAAACCTATTTTTCTTCCATATAGTCCTTCAAATATTTGAATAAACTAGCAGGATCCCCCAGCCTCTTATATTCTTTAGGATAAATATTTACAATTCTTGAAAATTTCTTATAGGAACTATACACTATTATGGCTACCCTCTTCTGGATATACTTAATGAAGAGTGTTAATGTACTTCTTAAAATATGAGACCATATACCAGATGTGGCCTAACTCATACAGAATAGGATATTGACTTCCTGTATTCTAATCACTATGTAAAATGAGATCATCTGTGTGAAGGCACTTTTTACAATATGAAGCAACACACTCATGGAAGGTATCGTTATTATTATAAATGTAATTTGAGATTGTGTGAGCTTATTCAGCAGCCACATCACACTGTTGGCTAGTGTTTTAAACTTGTGGTCAGCTAACCCCCCAAACCTTTTTCATAGGAATTACTGCATGAAAGAGCCCCATAATCATTTCTTCCATGGTCAGTGAAAAATACATTCTTTTTTTTTTTGTTTGTTTGCCTCTGAGAAAATAGGCTTAATGGTGTCTAGATTTCTGGGGCTAAGTAATAATTTAAAATTCTTGACAAGTTTTAGGTCCTATCCACCTACACAAACCACTTTGACCAAAATCAGTGCTTTAAAAAAAAATGCAAATGTAGTTAGCTAAGCGTATTTTTTTTTGTCTGCATGACAACAAATACCTGATTTAAAGGCTTTTAAATCAGTTTGTGGCATTGGTGTGGGGATGGCCTTAAACTTTTGATTTCCTCTTTAGTAGCTAATGGTTTCGTTTCATTAAGTGCTCTCTGTGGTTAAGAACTGCACATTTTTCTTGGAATTTTGCAAACAGAATGAGCAATTTAAATTATGCAGAAGCACAGAAACCATAAATAATAGCAGCCTTAAGATTGTATGATTAGTACAATTAAAGCAGAGATATGGAAAAACATAACTTTTCCATCATATTATTCTCCCTCTCTAGGAACATTCTGGATCAATTACTACTCAAGCCCATAAGTCAAAGCAATCTCTTAAATCCAGGATTAGCAGTCCGTAATGAAAGGAGCAGAATTTTTGTGAATGCAGTTATTTTCTTAGCCTATTTGTACTCCCCAAAAGTTCCCAGTTAATTAACTGGACTACTTTAATCAGTGAATGGCTACCACATTACACAATGTTTGATTTATATTAATGCGCTTTGGTCTTGGTAGACCAGAATTTCCAGTTCTCTAAATAAGAGAAAAAAGAAGGAAGCTGGCTTTCTTATTGGACAGTGAAAAGTACACAGCAGTTTTGATTAAACTGAAATAAAATATCTCTCTAAATATTTACCTCAAGGAGACAGTGGTGTACTCTAAAGAGGTGGATGACTACAACATACCCTCCCTTACCACATCCATGAGTGTCCTAGGGCTGCTGTAACAAAGTGCCACAAATGGGTAGCTTAAAACAAATTTATTGTATCACTGTTCCAGAAACTAGAAATCTGAAATCAATTTGTCAGCAGTACTGTTTCCTTCTGGAGGCAAAAAGGGAGAATCTGTTCCATGTTTCTCTTCTAGCTTCTGGTAGTTGCCAGCAGTCCTTGATGTGCCTTGACTGGTAGATGCATCACTCAGATCTTCGTCATCACATGGCATTTTCTCCTTGTGTCTCCTTTTGTCTTCAAATTTCACTCTTCATGTAAGGTCACCAATCATTGGATTATAGGGCTCACCCTAATCCAGTATCATCTCATTGTAACTCTGCAAAGGCCCTATTTCCAAATAAAGTCAATTCACAGGTATCTGGAGTTTAGGTACATACATTTTGGAGGGAACTCAGTTCAAGTCATAGCACCATACCTACTTACATCAAGATCTGTATGACAGTGAACATCTGGATTAGAAGTAAAACCTTCAGTCTCAAAATAAGAAGTTTGCTGAGCTAAAATCTGAATGCCTGGATATTTAAGTTTTCATATCATTGGAGTTCCTGGAAAGATACACTATTAGACAAACACATAGGCAGGTTTCATGCAGATCTTAAAAGGGAAGTCCTATATAAAAATAGGCTGTAACCTGTGTATTGAATCTACAAGTCTCACTTACCAAGTGCAAGAGAGGAAATCCCTGCATATAAATGAAGCTTCTTTCAAAATTGGGCCTTATTTGAAGTATTATTATTTTTTCTTTCCTATCTTAAGTCCATAGGGCTTACTCATTTTATGACAGAAATATTTACTCATCATCTGGACAATTCTGAGATCCTGATGTGTTTGTGGAGTTTGTATTGATGCAGCAACATCAGTTTATAGATCAGAAAAAAAATGAATAAAATTCTTTCATTATAACACAATACCGAGGAGAGCAAAATCTGGTCAATATAATCTTAAGGGTATATGTACAAATCTCAGAAGTGGTATAGTAAGCAAGTACAATTTCAGGGTTATATTTCTTTCTTACCTTAGCCAAACAAATTGTGAAGAAAATAAGTAGTTTGGGAAGTAGAGCAAAATAGCTGACATGTATCTATTGTTTTCTTGTACATAGATTATAGATAATTATAAATTTAGTTTCTAGATTCTTCCTGCATAAGGGTGATGCCACCAGGATTTCTTTAAGTCTATGCATATAATGCAACCCATGTCCTCCTAGCATCTAATCCATGGCAGTGAAGATTCCATGTATAGTCACTATAAATAATAGGCAGTTCAGATAATAGACAATCAAAAAATACTGAATAAATCAGTGTAATGTTACCATGCCCCAGTAAATAGAGGTGTAGCATACAAGTCTATTGTAATTCCTATATCCTTAGTGCTGGTATGGTAATGTGGGATGGTTTAGTTCTTGTTCTGTCTAGAGCCATAAAATGACCCTACCCTCCCTTCCTTACCTGAGTATGCTCCCTCATGTCCACAAATATGGCCTTTACCAATGTACACTAATCTCCGTAAATTTTAAATAGTACTTCATACGCACAGATAATTTAAGCAAAGGTCCATGAGATTTAACTGATTTAACAAACACTTATCAAGTGCTAGTGATGTACCAGGCACCATTATAAACACTGAAATTTAAGACAGACATGGTTTCTTCTCTCATGGTGATTACTGTCTAGCAGGGGAGACAGAGATTAAATAAATTAACCTACCATTTTACATAAATATAAAATTACAAATTGTTGTTAAGTGTTATGAATGAAAATAAGAGAGAACATCTATTACATTGTGGATGAGTAGAAATGAATAGTTTTAGAAAGTTCATAAGGTAAAAGTTAAAAGATGAGGAGGAGGCACCATGTTAAAATTAAGAAAAAATGTGCCTCAATTAGGCAGAATAGCATATATTAAGGTCTTGCAGAAAGAAAAAAATGTTGAGAATATTTGAGATACTTCATTTAAGTCCAGTATAGCTAAACATTGCCATCTGTGAAGATGGAGATAGGAGTGGTGTGAAGTGACATCAGAGAGGTAAGGAGTAGTCTTATCATGCCAAACATCACAGGAGGGTTCTAATTAAAGAAGTTTCATGATGTAATTTATGTACATTTATACTTTCTAACTTTTAATCTTGAAATAATTGTAGACTTACAGAAATGTTGCCAAAGTAACACAGAGATGTCCTATATACCTTTTCACCCAACCAATTTTTATGAGGATCCTGGTTAAAAGGATACTGCAGTATTTCAGGCAAAAGCTGAAGGCAATTCAGTCTAAGGTATTGGTGGAGATGGAAAGTGATTGTTTGAGATGAAGTAAGATTAATAGTACTTCCCTGAAATTAACCTACTATACCTCGGACACTCTATTGAGAGCTGGAAATGCAGTAGTGAGCCAAAAAGACATGTTTCTTGTCTTTAAGAAGCTTGTAGTCTAGCAGACTTGGCAATGGATTGGATACAGGTAGGTGAGAAAGAGAGTAGGTGTAAGAAAGTCTTTCAGGTCACTGAGCAACTGAGTGAGTAAAGAACACTTACTAAAGTGGTTATTTCAGTTACCTATTACTCTATAATACCCTCTCCCCAAATGGTGGCTTAAAAGAACAATGATTTATTATTTCTCATGATGCCATGGGTGTCCAGGTGGTTCTCTTGCTGCACATGATTTTGACTGTGGCCACTCATGCGGTTCCATTCAGCTGAGAGCTTGGCTGGGCCTGGAACAACCCATAACTCACATTCTTGGGCCTTGATGCTGACCTTTGACAGAAGCAGTTAATTTTTTCTCCATGTGGCTTCTCTCTCCACACAATATTTTATTATGCACTCTTCTGGTACAAGCTTCTTTACTTCATTTCTCTCTTCTAAGACAGTGAGAAGATTCCAGGCCTCTTAAAGACTAGGCCTGGAATGAGTGTCACTTTCACTGCATTCTGTTGGTAAAAGTGAGTCACAGTACCAGCCCAAATTTAAGGAGAAGTGAAATTGGTTCCACCTCTGAAAAGGAGGAGATAAATGCATATAATGGTTGTTGGCAATTTTTGGAAACAATACATCACCATGGAAAAGTCTGAAAGGAGACGGAGATTATAAGTCGTAAGATCAAATGAGACGTCAGAATATTTCAAACTGAGGAGCTCTTAAGAGAGCTTCTGGTCCATCGACATTGTTTTTCACATGAGAAAACTCAAGCCCAGAGAGAAAAACATGACCTATTTAAGATCATACATCTGCTTTGTACATAGTATCCCAGGTACAGTAATCCCAAATCAGCTAGTGTTTTTCAGACTACATTTCTGCTCCCTCTTTATGTAACAAAATGTAATCTATTCTTGAATTTCCCTCTTTCTTTCAACATTTTCAAGCTAACATTTCAATGAAATATAACTCATTTCCAGGGAACCTCATGGGTTTCTTACGCCTGTAGAAGAATAAGTAAATGGAGCACCATCTTAGGAAACCAAGACAGAAATTGGGCTCTGGCTATGTTTTATTTCTAGTGTCTTTTTCCCAAATAGATTCATGTTGTGCCATTTTATGTTATTCTTACTCTGTCAAGAGAATGAGTTGTTTGAATTTGAATGCCTCATATATTCTGTAAATTACAAATAGCAACATTTGGCTATACTATTTTGACCTTTTCGACAACGTATAATTTTCAGGGTATGCCATTGCACGTCTCTTGTTTACGGCCTCAGTGAACTGTGGAAAAGAGGTGGCGTGGCCATCAAGTCAAAATATACAATACTGAGAAGGTCAAAATAATGTATCATAAGACTATTTTTCAAAGCAAGGATTAAAATTAGGATAAATCTGTCTTATTACTCCCTTCCCCCTCCCATCATACACGCACAAGCAAATGTGATTTAAAAGACTGTGCATAAGATGATGCAGAAATGAATAATATAATGGCTAAAGTTGTACTATTTTTTTTACTTCATTTTGAGAAGGAATTATACTACGTATAGGCAGACTCTAGATCCACCTTACAAATAGGTTTGATAGTGCTACATTTATCAATCCTACTCTTGAAACTTTCTCAGGGATCTCAGGGATCTCTGATTATCTCTAATTATCCAAAATTTTAACTGCAAATTTAATTTTAATTTATTTTGATGTTAATATTGAAAAACCACTTAGCATATGCTTAGGAGAGGAATGGTTTATATCCAGAAATCAAAATAATTGTAGGGTTTAAACTTTACCAAAGTTAAAAATCATTACCTATTTCAGTGGCTTTCTCCTTTTAGTAGTGGAGCCATGTCTACAAAAGCAAATTAAAACCAAAGCCCTATATGAAAACACATTGAGGGGAAACAGCTTTAGCGAAGGAGAAAATCCCTAATGAGATCCCCATCCTATTAGGCCCCAGCCACTGCAATAGATCTCCTAAAGCTCTGCAGAGTGGCTTTTGAAAACCTCTGTTCCATTGCAATGTATAGCTGCCTAAAAGAGCAACTGACCCTCTACCAAGTAAACCTTTGTTATTTTGTCCCAAGGAAGAATGAAACCCAGGATCTCCCTGAGCACAAAAGAGAGTTATTATTATTATTATTTAAAATTTCTTCTAAACCCACTATAGCAACCTTGACAATACTAGGCCCATGGGTTAGATTCCATTCAGTACTTCAGTCTACTTACAAACCTCACTCTTCAATATTGGGATCCTTTTAAGAGATCATATTGCTAAAATTAGCATAAATAACTGGTTTCGGAAACAGTAACCAAAGCTCATGGCCATAAGTTATAGATGTATGGATAGATTATTCAAATCACTTAGCCTTAATCATTAAATTCTTTCCCTTTTTATCAAATCAATACATAACTGTTTGAATTTCACATTGCCTCCATACTGCTACTTGAATATCATAAGGTTTACCTCAAGTAGTTAATATTTGCCAGCTCTGAAAAAAAAATAGTCCTCAGGTGATGCACTTAAGGCATCAGAAGTTGGAAAGAACAGTTGTGAAGCCACCCACAGAAGGCCCTTCAGAAGCTGGCAGAAAAGAAAAAAAAAATGAAAGCTTTTTTTTTTTTCCTGATGACTTCTGAAAAGGAAGAAATGTGAACTTATCCATTCCTCTCTATGTTCAACACTGGGAGCCTTATGCATTGATCAAGCATTGACATTTACAGATTCATTCTCAAAGCAGTGGGGGAAGTATTGACCAGTAACTATGAATTAAATCACAGTAAAACCACAGAAAAATAATTAGCAAATTACCTTCTTAAAGCAAAGAATACTTCCCTAAGTGTCAGGAGACAAACAATAAGATCCCTGCTTGTCACAAAGAGGGTTGGTGATACTGGCAAGTAATTTACCTCTGTAACTCAGCTTTTTCTTTCTAATCCATAAAATAGGGATTCATTCATTTAACAGATATTTATTGACCACTTGATATGTGTTAGGCACAATTCTAGGCATTGGAGGTATAGCATTTAGAAAGACTGATAAAGTTTGCCCTCACAGACCTTACATTTTACTTGAGAGACAATTATTACCACAAACAAATATATAAAATGTTCACGGACTCTAATAAAGTTCTATGAAGAAAAAGCTAAATTATATGATAGAAAATAACTGGGTGAGGCTATTTCATATAAGATCATCAGAGAACATCTTACTAAAGACATCACATTGAGGCTGAGAACTAGGGTAGGAATGAGCCAACATTGGAAAAAGCTTGAGGAACTTACGAGAAAGGTCGACTTTCATTGGCCAATAAGGCCAATATTACAGACTAGGACAAATGTGGGCATAAACTTGAGAGAAGATGATTGGCCTTTATAACAACTGGACCCATGAAATTGGCTTCATTGGTAGCCTCTGGCTACCAGAAAATAAACAGAAGCTTACCACGAGTTAAAATGTTTTAAAATTTAAAAATTATGTTCAGTTTCATAAGGCAAGAGATGTTAAGTGCATATATGTATGCTAGGTCCTTCCCATAGTGAGCATTGAGCAAGTAACCAGTGAAAAACATTGCAAAGGGGAGATCAATGATTAGATGTAGGTTGTAGCCACAGAATAGACCAATTGGACTATTATCCACTTGACCTTATTAGCACTGGTCTCTAAAAGCAACCAAAACTAGGTGGCAAAAACCTTAGGGTAGTGTTTCCCTCTAATCCAGCAAGACACACTTAGAAGCAAGAGTTTTATTATCAACTAAATTTAGGAAAGGGCTTACACCCTCTCTTCATCTTAGACATTTATATTGAATGTTGGTCCATCCAAATCTCTGCAGCCAGGCATGGTGGTTCATGCCTGTAATCCTAGCATTTTGGGAGGCCAAGATGGAGGATCATTTAAGGCCAGGAGTTGGAGAACAGTTTGGGCAAATTAGTAAGACCCCTATCTCTACAAAAAAAAATAAATAAATAAAATTAGCTTGGTGTCATGATGTGTACCTGTAGTTTCAGCTACTTGGGAGGCTGAGGAGGGGAATGCTTAAGCCCAGGAGTTTGAGGCTGCAGTCAGCTGTGATGGTGCCACTCTAGCCTGGGTGACAGAATGAGACCCTGTCTCTAAAAAAATTTAAATTTAAATTTAAAACAGCCTCCGCAATATCATATAATAAAGAAACTGGTTGAACATTGTTTAATTCATCATTTCTGTATTTCAACATGGAATACTTTACATGGTAATGTGTATGTGTGTGTGTGTGTGTACATGTGCTTGTGTATATGTGTCTGTAGGGGTGGCATGCATGTATGTATGTACTGTATCCATGTTTGTTATATTCACCAACATCTCACTGAGCACACTGTATGAAAAGCTAGGTATGAGTTTTGGTAATGTGTGTGAAAACCAAATGGATTCTGTCTTTGGTAGCACTGAACTTTACCCCATGTGGTGGATACAGTAATGCCTCCTCAAAAAATGTCCACAGTCTAATCCCTGGAACCTGTGAGTATATCACCTTCACGGCAAAGGTGAATTAACATTGCAGCTGGAATTACCTTGTGTTATCTGAGTGGGCATGGATTATAAGGGTACTTAAAAGTGAAAGAGAGAGGCAGAAGAATAGGTCAGAGTGATATGATGTCATGTCAGAAGGACTGAACTTACTGATGCTGACTTTGAAGATGGTGGAAGGGGTCACTAGCCAAGGATTGTGGCAGCTACCGGAAGCTGGATAAAACAAGAAAACAGATTGTTACCTAGAGTATCGAGAAAGGGATACAGTCCTGCCAACACTTGATTTTCGCCCCAGACTTGTGACGTACAGAACTGTGAAACAATAAACTTGTGTTGTTTTGCCACAAACTTTGTGATAACTTGCACAGCAATAGATAACTAATAGACTTCATCTTATGAGTAGGAATGCACTGCACTGAAAGAGGAACCAACACCATATAGAGAGTCCATTTAGTGGATTACTTTGTTGATATGACAAAGGAAATGTAGTTTCCTCAGCTACATTGACTGAGATACACTAGTGAAGTTGACCACTCACATTTACATTATGAATGCAAATCAAGATCTAACTAAGCTTTATTAGGCAGGCAAATCATTTCACTTATCAGGATTTTCATATTTTTTACTGATTCTGTTTAACCAGCTCTTATGATTCGAGAAAAGGTCATTGGTCATGTTGACATAACAATTTTCTATCACATCAGTTTTGGAGCTCCACAAGGACATCATAAGTATGAATAATGTCTATTTTTACTCATTTCATTTCTGCAGCAAGTATTCTTGGGTCCTGCTTCTTGAAAGCTGGAAGGAATTTTCTAGGAAGTCTCTTTCCTGTAGGCTATTTTGTGCTGTCCTATATATATATACAAAAAGAGCTCTTATAGACCTAGCCCCAGTATGACATGTACTTTGAGTTTTTTTCTAGCCACAAAGAATTTTCTCTGATTTACCCACCCACCCACATGTGTCCTCTCCATAATAAATAGCTGGCATTTCATTGGTCAGCATAAGATGACAGACTGGGACAATGACTTTGGCCATGGACCAGAAAGAAGCTGAATGGCCTTTATAACAACTGGACCCGTGAACTTGGCCTCATTAGTAGCCAGATGAACTAAGAGGAAAAACAAATATTTCTACTTTAACTTTGAGAATGACTGTCTTAGCATCTTCTAGTTAGCACAATATTGAGCAGGAGACTATCTCTCCCATTTATCAAACATCTTGAAATAAACACCAAGTGGATGAGACTCTGTTAATATCTAATGCTCAACTGAATGTTTTAAAAAGAAAATATTTTGTGTTTTTTAAATTGAACACCTCTCTATTTATATATTAGGAACTACGTTTATACAGGTCCTTTTACAAGTGGTTGGCTCCTTGAGTAATACCTAAGAGAGACTAAAAACTTGAGTAAGCCAAACTTAAAATACTTTGTGTGATACGAATACTTAACGACTCGAATTTCAAACTGTTAATGTCTTTTCTCTCTAATTTCAGTCCTCTCTAATTTCAGTTCTCTCTAATTTCACCCAGAAATATGGCATTTCTGGGTGAAAAACTGTCACAAGCAGCTTTTGTTTTTATGGATTATTAATATGTTCCAATTGAACAATAATTAAAATAGGTATTGTAATTGGACACAGGCCCTTCAACTCTCCTCCGGGGTTTCTTATTGAACTCTGGTCAGTGGTGAGAACTAGCTCTAGAATCTATTGGTGAATTCTGTTCCAACAGAGCTGGCTCTCTGAGTCATAAGATGACATTTCTCTGGTGTTTTCCTGTAGATAGGAAACCTTTTTCTATATCTTTTGGAAACATGGAGAACAAAGTGGTACTTCAACTGTGGCTTTTCTTTTATTTGCCTCATAAAATCCCATGAAGTATTAGTAACCATATTTCTTGAACTAAAAATTAGAATGATTACCTAAATTGTCTTTTCCCTAATTTGTGAATTTATTTGTCTAGAAATCTTACAAAGGTGTAAAAATTAAATCGCATTTTGTTATATATTTAACATATCACATTTACTGAAAAGAAAAAATTCATGAGATGAGGGCAGTTCAAGAAAAATTCAAGTAATAAGAGTAATTAATTCTTCAAAGGAGTGTCAGACAATATCTGCAAATAATTACGAGAGAAATAATCCAGCAATGCCAGATTTCTTTTTCTGTATAATAACATATAGTCAAAAGAACCAGATGACTATATATATTTTTATACTTTAAGTTCTGGGGTACAAGTGCAGAACATGCAGTTTTTTTTACATAGGTATACATGTGCCATGGTGGTTTGCTGCACACATCAACCCATCACCTACATTAGGTATTTCTCCTAATGCTACCCCTCCCCTAGGCCCCCAACCCCCAACATGCCCTGGTGTGTGATGTTCCTTCCCTGCATCCATGTGTTCTCATTGTTCAACTCCCACTTACGAGTGAGATCATGCAGCATTTGGTTTTCTGTTCTTGTGATAGTTTGCTGGGAATCATGATTTCCAGCTTGATCCATGTCCCTGCAAAGGACATGAACTCATCCTTTTTTATGGCTGCATAGTATTCCATGGTGTATATGTGCCACATTTTCTTTATCCAGTCTATCATTGATGGACATTTGGGTTGGTTCCAAGTCTTTGCTATTGTGAATAATGCCGCAATAAACATACGTGTGCATGTGTCTTTATAGTAGAATTATTTATAATCCTTTGGGTATATACCCAGTAATGGGATTGCTGGGTCAAATGGTATTTCTAGTTCTAGATCCTTGAGGAATTGCCACACTGTCTTCCACAATGATTGAACTAATTTACACTCCCACCAACAGCATAAAAGCGTTCCTATTTCTCCACATCCTCTCTAGCATCTGTTGTTTCCTGACTTTTTAATGATCGGCATTCTAACTGGCGTGAGATGGTACCTCATTGTAGTTTTGATTTGCATTTCTCTAACGACCAGTGATGATGAGCAGTTTTTCATATGTTTGTTGGCTGTATAAATGTCTTCTTTTGAGAAGTGTCTGTTCATATCTTTTGCCCAGTTTTTGATGGGGTTGTTTGTTTTTTTCTTGTAAATTTGTATAAGTTCTTTGTAGATTCAGGATATTAGCCCTTTGTCAGATGGATAGATTGCAAAAATTTTATCTCATTCTATGGGCTGCCTGTTCACTCTGATACTAGTTTCTTTTGCTGTGCAGAAGCTTTTTAGTTTAATTAGATCCCATTTGTCAATTTTGGCTTTTGTTGTCATTGCTTTTGGTGTTTTAGACATGAAATATTTGCCCGTGCCTATGTCCTGAATGGTATTTCCTAGGTTTTCTTCTAGGATTTTTATGGTTTTAAGTCTTACGTTTAAGTCTTCAATCCATCTTGAGTTGATTTTCGTACAAGGTGTAATGAAGGGGTCTTGTTTCAGTTTTCTGCAAACTAATTTAGTTTTTCTATCAAATCATGTGAAATGGCAGCAGAATGGGGAAGGCTTGTGTTCACTAAGTACAAGTCTGTGTGTTGTCAGAAAAATGATGAGTCAAAAACAGCCTGCTTTTAACAAATGTCAGTCTACTATTAATGGGTATTTTCTAAGAAAAATTGGTGTCTGGCTAATTTTCTACCTTCAGTGTTTGGCCAACTAACCAAAGACTGTCTCACTAGATTACAACCTGAAAAGCTACCTATCCCAGTTTCAGATTTACAAGCAATAAGCGTTGGAACCCTGATGTTGAGTTTATCAAGTACAGGAGAAGCAGCATGATCCAATGTAATCTAGACATGGGTGGGGCATCAAGAAACTGCATGTTTCTCACCCTGCTGAATCTTCAGCAAGTTGCCACATCCTTCTGTGTCTTAGTTTATACTTTTACCAAATGGGGGCAGGAGGAATGCCTGTTAGGGCATGGCTAAAAACAAGCAAACAAACAAAACAAAACAAAAAATAAAAAACTAAAACCTTATATGTGGTAGAATACTTTGAAGCAGATACAACAAAAGTCCAGAGACATAGACTGTTATTTATAAATAAGCATTACGTTACAACTCACGATACTAAGTGTAGCTAAGATATATGAGCAGAAATTTCCCAGAGGTATACAGGTAGCCCAAGAAGCAAAAGCGGACAGTAAAAGGAGGCACATGAGGAGAAACTACTGTGGCCCAGTGGGATGGAGACAGCAACAAAGGGAAGCAAAGAGTTAATAGAGGTTTTGCTTTACAGTTCTACTTAACCAACTTTCTAAGGACCAGCAGCATCAGTAAGCCACTGTAAACAAAGGTTCTACTTTCTTTAATTTGTTTAAAACATTAACTTTTGTCAGCCTTCAGGGCTGATCCAGCTAGATCAAATCAATTGAATCAGGGTTGAAAAGGGGAGCTGAGAGAGGAAAAAAAACAACAAAAAACATTAAAACAGGAATAAAGGTGGTGCGTAAGAAGAACTTTGTAAATTGTCTAGCACTATGAACATGTCAGGAAGAAAATAAATAGTAATGATAATAATGCTACTCCTAGGCTCTGATCACAGAGTTTCTTTTCTTTAGGGACATCCATGAGTTTGTAGCCATTTCCATCTTCACAGCCCCTGGGAAGTCAGAGAGGAAGTGTGTTCACTGATCACAACATCTATTTGCTGAAGACAGAACCACAGACCAAGACTTTTCTGATAAGGTCAAAAGACACTCATACTACAGTTCTTAATCATCTGGCAATCACAGATCCTTTTGAGAATCTAATGGTAACTAAAGAAACTCTGTAGATAAAATAAAATCCATAAACTGAAAACTGCATGTAATTTCGGGTGATTCATGATATCTTGAATCTCAGGCTGCAAACCTGTTTATCACTGCCCTATGCTCATATCTTCTTATATGCTAATTTCCCAGCTTCACCATTGAGGAGGAGGATCAGTGAAGATACTAAAGTTTTGTACTTTTTTTTTCTGACATAGACACTTAGACCTTAAAAAAAAAATTTACCAACTGTCAGGTCAGGGATTGGCAACATAGGACACAACTGGAATGCAACTGATGATAAGTGTTTTGGGAGCTCACTGGGGGCTAAAGTGGTTGAGGAATTTTCAGTGAGTCTCAAGGATCTGAGCTGGGCTCCTAATATTTGAATCAGAAGAGATGGAAGACAATACTTTCTCATTTTATTACATAAGACTATCTTGACTAGGCAAAGATAGGGGTGTGGTGGGAAAGAAAACCACGAACCTGTGACTAGGGAGTGTTGAGGGTGGAACAGCTATGACCTGAATCCCTTGACATCTGCTTTGTGGCTTTGCAGCAGGAAAATAGATCTAGATTATGAGTAAAATTAAAAGAGAAAATACTGTATAAACCTGTAAGAAGTGCACCTTTATCCTTGTGACTTGCTTCAATATGTAATGAGAAGATTCTGGGCTGTGCTTGAATTCACAGAAAATTTATTCCTGAAGAAGTTGTATGGCTGTCAGAAGGGTTTAGAAGTTTGTAAGGTGCAAAAATGGGTTTCTGAGAGAAGAACAAAGGCAACAAGTCAGGAGAAGGAAGGAGAAGGGGATATGAATAAATAAAAGACCAGCTCAAACATTTCCTTTTGAATGTATAATTCAGTCTCTGGAAACAGCTGGTTGTGATGGTTTTCCCCAGCCAACCATGTTTTCACCAGGTGCATATTGTTTTCTTAGACAGCAAATAAACCTGCACAGCAGTAATTCAGCAAAAAGGAACTTTATTCTTCTTGCATTGGACAGGGAATTTTCATTTAATCCATCATTCTGAACTTGCTGCACTGTTTTAAAAAGTCACAGCAAGTTATTCAGGGTTGCCTTTGACAGCAGCCTCAAAACACAGGGAAGAATTTGCCCATGATTACAAGATGGCATGACATCTGGAGAAATCAGGTGTCATCCAGGTATTGGGTATCCAGGATGTCAAACACGTGGATGCAATGAACTACTTTTAGAAGGTCAGTGAAAGCACCTGCTTAGAAATGGTTTGGTTGACCTTTTCAGTTTGCATATATATTTTTGTGCAGGTCACATCCCTAATAAATGAAAATCTCTTTGAAAACAGAATCCATTTGATACCCCACTATACCAATTAGAGTGTCATGCACATAGGAGACAACAAATAAATACAAGAGTGAGTGGTGATATTTAGGACAGACTTTGAAACAATCATTCCTACAGTCACTAAAACACTTTTTATCACCTACTGTGTGCCAGCCACATGCCTTGGGTTACACAAATAAATTTCATAGACGTTTTTTGCAAGGAGCTCACATCCAAGTAGATGATACAGACAAATAAATAAAGTGCATAGTGAGTAACTGTGTGATAAGGATGTGCACTGTCCTAAACGATTTTAGAGGAGGAGCAGCTAACTTGGATTGGAGGACTGAACAGGAGTGAAGGCAGAGATCAGATGTTGTGGGACTAGCTAGGATAGTATTAGTAAGAAACTTAAAATCAGGCCCCAGATTTTGAGAACAGGGTGTGTTTCCACTAGATGCAAGGATATGTTGTGTAAGTTTATAGAAATCAAAAGACAGGTGTGTTTTGAAAGGCAATGTTGCCAGTAATTAAGTAGGCATTATTTGTTCCTTTATTGACTCCAAGGTACCACACTAAGTGGAATGGAGTAGATAATCAACATGAAGTGTCCACAGATCATTCTCTCAAGAAACTCACTGTCTAGTGTTAGTAGAAAAGACAATCATACAAATAACAATTAGATATGCTACTGTAAACACAGTGATGAAGTTTTTCCCTAATTTCAAATTTATGTATGCAGCTCCTTACTGGATGTTTAAACTTGGTGGTCCTGCTAGTATCTCTAGTTCAAGTATAGTCAAAATTCTCATGGCTAGCACTCAGAACCTCCCAAAATCTCATTGAACATTGCTACTACTCTTTTCAGGCATTTATTCATTCTATAATGCAAATTTGAATGCTTGCTGTTTTCTGCACTTGCTCTATCATTTCACACCAATGTGTCTGTGTTCATCCTGTTTCCTCTATTAGGACACCTTTTCTACCATTTCTACATATCCAAATCCTATCCCAGACTTCAAGGAACCACTAAAAAGCCAGGACATTTCTGATTCCCACTCTGTCATTCAAAAAAAACAAAAACAAAAACAAACAAACCTGGAAGTGACTGCTACTTCACTCGAGCTTTCATAGCATTTTTTTCTGTACTTCTCTCATACTAGAAAGACAAATTTGGGTCTCATTCATACAGAGATAACAACTGAAACCTTACACTAAAATTAAATTGCTAAAAGGCAAGATAGAGAGATATAACAGAAGAATCAAAGTCAGAGGTTAGGAAAACACACTTAGGGGGTTGAGGAGAAAAGGAGCCAGGGAAGAGGACAGATAGATAGCAAAGAACTGAAAAATAAAGAACAAGGAGAAAGGGATGCCTAATGGTGATGAATAAGGCAGAAACATCAAGAAAGAGAAATGCACAAATAATGAATATCTGTTGAATGAATGAAATAATGAAGAAGGAATGAACAAGTGAAAGAAGTCATGAATGGAGAGGCCATTGGATTTATCGGATAGGAGGTCTTTGGTGGGGAAAGAGTGTTGACTTGGAGAAATTTTGAGGGTAGAAGAAAATATAGAGAATTAGAATCTGAACATATAGACTAGACTCCTGGGTCTTCTACTGTGTAGCTTTAAGCAAATAACCTCTATGAAACTCTTTTTCTGTTCTAAAAATGAGAGAAACACCTACAATTACCTCCTTCACCTATATCCTGGGGATAAGAATACAAGCAAAAGACCCTAGCAAAAATAAAGTGCTATACAAATGTAAAATAGTATAATTAGCAACATTTAAAAGAGCTCCACAAATGAGAAGGCATTCAATCATCAGTCCAAAGAAATATTAGTAACAATGAGTTTGCAGAGATCCAGTTTACAGATGTCATGACTTGCTGTGCATCTGCTGGAATTGAGCTCAGTACCAGGTATCATTATGTATTGGATTTTGTTTTCAGCTAGTATCCCATTAGACAGCTTTGCAGCATATCTTGCTTTAGAAACTCAATTATTACATTTAGTAAAAGAAGAAAAGAGATTTATCTTCTGCGAGTCTCTTTAGGATTGGTGTAGCTTTTCTCACCACTACTTGTAGAAATCATAGTCATAGAACCAAAGTGTTTCAGACCAGCATTTCTCAGCTTCCAGGTTACCATATACTAATGACACATTTCAAGTACTTGGTTACTAGTAAAAAGTTGTAAGTAGATTCAAGTATAACCCTATGATAACATCATCCACTGGCTTATATTTTTATCTAAATTCTTGAATGGGAGAGAAAGGTTAGTATGTCAGGAATCATTTATAACTTGCCTTACCTATGCTACCACCCAAGCATCTATACAACTTTCACCATGAGTGCCCTGGTAGAAAAAAGATAAAGAATCAACTGTATCTTCAGAGATCATCTAGTCTTATACTATCATTTATAGGTGAGGAAAGTAAGGCCCAGAAAAAGGGAGGGATTTTCCCAAGAACCCACAAGTAGTTAGAAGCAGGGGCAGAGTTGGAACACAGATCTTCTCATCCTAGTCCAAAGTCCTTTCCACCATATAACCTTTTCTCAAAGTGTGTGAATGTGCAAGGTGCTATACACACATACACATATTCATGTATGCATATATACACGTGTATATTGGGGAATAATCAAATAAATCTAGACCATAAAAGATCCTATACCATCCTCTTGAAGATTCTGTCAAGAAGTCTCCCCAGATATCTCCAACACAACTTGTAGATAAGACAAAGCAGAGTTTATTGCTTCACCACCTCCTCGAAGCTTTGACAGTGCTTCAGAGGGGGGATGGTAAGAATATAATTTATTAAGAATTGGAAATTTGATGTAAGGCAGGTGTTTCAGTGCAGGGTCTGGACTGGGATTGGGTGGCAATCATGATAAAATAGCTCAGGACTGATGGAAGCAGCAAAGTGAGGATTTTGAAGGGTGGATTCAAAGAATCTTAGGGCTCAAGCAGTCTGTGAACACTCTCCATTGAAGAGTTGATGGGTCTTTTGGGAATCTCCTGTAATGAGCAATGAAACCATTGGTTTGGGTAGGACAGTTTGGGAAGAGTAAAGAAACGCTAATGAAAGCAGGGAAATAGCAAAGTCATGTTAGTATAGACACTAAGGTATGGTTTTGGTTCTCAGTGTCCAGGCTGAGTGTAGAAGTTGACAATGTGGGGACTCAATTCACAATGTATATTAAAGCCTTAGAGAAGTCCTATATTAGTTACATTTGTTTAACTCTATTTAACTCAGGCATTTTCAACACCTATCTGACTACAGAACCCTATTTTTTACTTTAAACACAGTCTGAAAAACTCTGCATTCTATTTTGTTCTCTTTATAAGAGGTAGTTCTTTGGAACCTATTCAGAAGTTGATCAGTTGTGAATTATCTAAAAACATTAAATGGAAGCTACCAAACATTAAATTGGAAGCTACCCAACGACAGTAGCTGTTCTGATGACTGCCCTAACTAGTCTGACAAGGCTCTTTTGATTGTATGCTATGTAAGTGTTACTTGACCTGATAAGAACGGCTCAAGTTGTGAAGCTTTTAGTTGAGAACCCATTAATCCCATTAGTGCTGCAAGAATTAAGTGTTGGGAATGGATCATTCCAATTACCTTCCTATCACTTTATACCCAGAGTAATCTTTCTTTGTATCTATATTGCTTATACCTAATTTGTCAATAAACTGGTGCCATCATTTGCATTTTGAGATACACATACTCAGGTGATTTTCAAATATTTCTTTTCTGCTATGTTTTAAAATACTTTTTGAAATTGTTTTTCAAAGCATTTTAATTACGACTTATCATAGATTAATCACCTGTCAAATTTAATTTATAAAAATGAGATCATTTTAAGTTCTGTCAGCTGCATAAGAAAACTATCCCAAGCCTTAATTCCTTTTTATCCAGTTTTAAACTACACAGTCAAGACTGTGAATTTTTCCTCTTCTTGACTTAAAATTGTGCCATATATTTTTTTCTTCTTCAAGCAACCGTTTATGGCCCACCCAATTTCAAAAATTCTTCATTTATATATAGATAGTGAGTTACCAAGTCATGCAGAACTTTAACTGAGAAAAGACTTAATGAGTCCAAAGGTAATTGTGTATGCATAAATGAATTAAAGGGAAACTCACAAGTCAGGGATATGGCTGTGATACGTGGCTTGCTAAAACTGCAACTGCTTATACTCCTCCATTAGATTAGATTTAGTTGATTTCATGATGTTAAGCCAGATATTTTTTCTATTATAGCTATTTTTACACCTGATCTTAGCCAAAAGGCTTAGAAGCAATATTATAGCTATTTCTTTCTTTCTTTTTTTTTTTTTTTTTTTTTTTTTTTTTGTGAGACAGAGTCTTGCTATGGCGCCCAGGCTGGAGTGCAGTGCCGCGATTTTGGCACTGCAAGCTCCACCTCCTTGGTTCACGCCATTCTCCTGCCTCAGCCTCCCGAGTAGCTGGGACTACAGGCGCCTGCCACCAAGCCCGGCTAATTTTTTTTTTTTTTTTGTATTTTTAGTAGAGACGGGGTTTCACCGTGTGAACCAGGATGGTCACGATCTCCTGACCTCGTGATCTGCCTGCCTCAGCCTGCCAAAGTGCTGAGATTACAGGCATGAGCCACCGCGCCCGGCCTGCTATAGCTATTTCTAAGAACATGGGGATTCAAGTTTGGGGCATCTGAATTTTGCAAGCTGCATTAAATGGGTCATGTACTCACATGGGGATCTGGAGAGAAAAACAACAACAGTGACAATGAAATGAGATCAGGGTAAAACAAATAGATTGTGACTTTTATTAATGTCATTTTCAAGCAATCTCTAAGTAAAATTATATGACACCAAGACATTCAGAGAAAACAGCCAGTCATCTGATGTTTAGATATATGTGATAAAGCTACACTTGTCTTGGTGATTGATATGGTTTGGCTCTGTTTTCCCACCCAAATTTCACCATGAATTTTAATAATCCCCATGTTTCATGGGAGGGACCTGGTGAGAGGTAATTGAATCATGGGGGCTTCCCCCTTTGTTTGGCACTTCTCTCTCCTGCCACCATGTGAAGAAGGACATGTGTGCTTTCCCTTCCACCATGATTGTACATTTCCTGAGGCTTCCCCAGCCCTGCGGAACTGTGAGTCATTTAAACCTCTGTCCTTTATAAATTACCTAGTCTTGGGCAGTTCTTTATACCAGTATGAGAATGGACTAATACCGTGATGTAAATAATCCTTACCGCCAAGAAACATAAGAGACCCTGTCTGTATAACTACTACCCACTGGTCCACAGAATACATACATGGCTTGGGAAAATTTTATTAAATCTATTTTAATTTTTAATGTTTTCTGGCATTATGAACCAGCAATTCCATATATATTATTTTGGTTGATCCTCTCAATAACTCTGTCACTTGGTTGTTACATACAGCCTTCCCTAACATATATTAAAGCAGATGTCAATAATTTGGTACACGTTGAGCCATCAGTGAATTTTAATTGAATCCAACCCTGGACCTCAAGAGTTGGAGGCTTTATTCTGTGACTATGGTAAGCTTATAGGCAGCATTATCAAACTTTTACCCTTTGGAATTATTTAGTTTGAGGGAGGTGATTTGACATAAAGTATATCTGCATCAATATAATGATAAATTTCATGGCTATGTTAGTACTTTTATGTATCAGCACAGCTAAGAAAAAAATCACATTTTATTTAGTTATCAGAATGAATTTCCTGTATGAGATCTATCATCTAGATGTTGAGAACCATGTATCAATGAAATTTAGCCCCATCTGGGATTTGTCATTATTTAGAAACAAGTAAAATGACATGCTTGTGCATGTACATTATTGTAACATTTAAAGTTGAGACCAGTAATTACATTCCTGTAGTTTCAAACCCACCCCAGCTTCTTTGATACTTTCTCTGCCTACATAGGGACCTATAAAGATTTCAAGTTGTTCTGTGACTTGGTGTCTAGTTCAGTGGTTCTAAATTTTGGCTACACATTATAATCAATGGGGAGCTTTAAAAGGTATTCTTGACTTGATCTTACATCCATAGGTTCTGATGTAATTGGTTTGGAATATAACCTGGACATCAGGATATTTTAAAAGTTTACGTATTTTATTTCTAGTGTGAAGGCAAAGTTAAGAACCATGATCTTGTTGATTTACCTGCTGGTACAATGCTGCCCATGGTATCTCAGTGCTTCTTCAATAATCAGTATCCTGTTTGGGAAACATTCCCCAGAGGTTTTCAATGACTGGGTCCCTGAAACTTATTTCTCTCATATCAATCACCTTCCTACTTGGATTCCTACCAATTTTTTGTTCTTAAAACTCAATCACTTGCTTCATCTGACCCTGCTTGGCTAGAAACAGCAGGACTTAGAATCTGATTCTTTGTTTTCCAGTCTGCTATTTTCCAGAATACCATATCTTTTCACCATGTTCTAATCTCTGTCTTTGACCAAATCTAGGGTTCTAACTAGACTTTCAGTCCTGATCTTGTTTAGTCTTCCCCAACCTACCACTTAAAACTTCATGTACAACATCAGTATCTAGATGATTGTGGATTGCTTTTTTCTTATTCCACAAATATTTTGGCATCCTGCTTCTAAAAATGATTAGCATGGTAGTTAGCATTGCAAGTTCTGTTAGTGTGTCTGAATTGAAATCCTGGTTCCACCATTTACTAGTTTTGTGACCTTGGATCACATAAGTAACCTCTCTCAGCCTCAGTTTTCACATCTATAAAATGGAGGTAAAGATGATAATTTTTAGGGCTATGAGCATTAAGTGAAATAATTCCTGTAGCATGTTTTTCACAGAGCCTGGTACATACTAAGTGTTCAAATCCACATTAGAAACACATCTGTGTTTAAATAATAATAAATTTGGCAGGTAATAATTGGTATTTGTTTTAAAATCAACAAACAATGATTTGACAATTGAAACAAATTGTTTCATCCATCCCATTTGCTATTCATACACCAGACCTCCTCATATTTACATATCTTTTGAACAGTGAATTTGCCTTGGAAATACTAAATTTCTTCAGAGAAAAGTCTATAGGGGTCCACCACTGATGCATAAGAAGGCCATTGCGTTTGATATCATAGATAAACGCTAGGATACATATTTTATAATTGCTTTATTGCCAGGAGTTTTCAATGAAGCCATAAAAGAAAAAAAAATGATCAGCCTAATTGCCTCGAGATGGATATGTAATGCATAAGTCTCTTGTTAAATGGATCTAGTAATAGGCCACCTGTTTCCCCTGCCTCCTACCCAGTTCAGTATATGAATGAACAGTGCTTTCTGAAATGAGCAAACCAAGACTTTTAAGTGCAGTTATGTTGTAATTTAATGACAGCTCATCTCAGGTTTGAATCTTACCTAATCAGATAATTCTAGAGTTTAAGAACAGATTTGTATCTTGCTTATCATTTTTATTGCACAGTCATTGAGATATCCTCTAGGTAGAAGTTCTCGGCTCAAAGGCCTCACTTAAAAGATGAGCAAGAAATAGAGGAAAGGAGATATAGGTAGGCAGGTGCTGGGGCATTTGGTTGATTTATTCAAGACCAAATTCATGGTATGTTACCATAACTGAATTTAATATTCGGTCAAGCTGCTCATCATTCATTTCCCACCATTTGACTTCATTATTCAATCTATCACAACATTTGAAGTCTGCAATACATGATATTATCCAAAATAAGTATAAATTAAGTCTAAATGAGCCTAGCCACTTTGTACATGTCAGAGATTTAGGCTCCAATAATTCAGAATTTGTGACGACTCATATTACTCTGAAAAAAGCTGGGGGTGCAGTTATTCTCGGCAGATTAACAGGTTTAGCAGATATAGGAAGGTGTGTTTAAGCTACTTAAAACACATCATTTTCAAGCACCTAAGAACTTATTTACTGCAAATACTAGATATGATAATTACAAAACATCATGACTAGCCTAATGAAACCTGTCACTGTGTTTACAGTGAAGATGTTTTTTTGAGGATGTTGTTCATTATTTGCTCTACAAAAACCTATGGAATATATATTTTCTTCTGGTCTCATTATTTTAAAATGTTGCACTTACCAGGAAAAGAGACAATATTAATTAGAGATTTAAATGTGGTTTTTTTAATCAGGACTACCTGTGGTTAAATTCCAATTCTGTCACTTCCTGGCTATGTGGCCTTTGGCAAGTCAGTTACTTACCTTCTATGAATGTCAGTTTTTTCACCTGTAAATTGAGGGTAAAGTAGTCCCTGTGGTGAGAATCCAGTGAATTTATATATGAAAAGTGCTTAGAAATATGCCTGAAACACTTGATAAATGCTTAGCAAATATTAGCTGTAATAGTATCATGAGTTTTTTCCTTGTAATTAGTTTATTTTTTTCCAAATAAACATTCTAGGATATTTTCTTGTTGCTGCTAGTTTGGGTTCACATTGTGACCCACTTGATACAAGGGCAAAGACTTTATCACTTGCATGTTGTGATTCTCTCTTATGCTTCTATTATTTTTAATTTTATTTGATTTTGTTAATTGTCTGAATGTATCAATCCTTTTTAGAGTAAGGGATATATTAGTCAACCAAACAAATGATACAATATAAGGCAAAACTAGTTTAGTTTCAGCTGCTATGAAGGATCAAAGGTAAAAATAGTTCATTTCAAAATATGTTGTTTTTCAGATTTTTTTCTGATTTAAATTAGCGTTTTCTCATTACTCTGAATTGGTAAAAAAAAAATCTAACCTTTTAGTATAAGGCTTTGAAAATATACAGAAAAACAAAAAGAATAATATAATGAATGTCCAAATATCTAGTACCTAGATTGTACAACTGTGAACATTTTGCCGTGTTTACTCCCTCTTTATTTTTCCAGATTTACGTTAAGGTAATTACAAATAACATGATGTTTCACCCCTAAATACTTCAGCGTTTATGTCTAAAAGATAGCAACATTTTCTTTTGTAATCACAGTATTAATTAAGGATAATGACTCATTTCACTCTTTATATAAATGATTGGCACAGATATGGGTATATGTGCTTGGTGCATCTTTGTGAGTTGACTAGTCAGTTAATTACTTGATGCAGTTTTATTGTATTTGCTTAGTTCTTCCCCCTGGAGCACAAAAGATAGAAAACACTTCTCTCCTTCTCTTATTCCCTCTTCCCTGCCTCTTCCCAAGTTAGCAAGAGGGAAAAGAATATAAGGAAATTAATTTCCTCTACTTTGTAAACTCATACAAGTTGCCCCTGTCCCATGGCACCCTGCATCTGCAGGCAAGTTAATAACTTTCTTTCTCTACTGGCAAAAACTGCTGACTTTACTCCTCTCACAAAAGGTAGATAATGTTTGTTAGACATTTTGAGATTCATACATGGAAGCTGCACTTTATACTCAAAGCTTTCTTAATCCCACAGTTGAAATGGATTGTATTAATAGTAATTAAAATAACTACTGTATCAACTCTATCAGCAGCTGTGGTTCTAAAAGAAGTAATATTAAATACTAGCCCCAATCTTTTCTCAATTTTCCCACAGAGTAACTTTATCTGTTTCCTTTGTGTTTTCTTATTTTTCATAGTTTTAGAAAATGTTTAATAATTCTGAATATGATATGTAACTTCCTTGAATTTTTATCAGGTATGATCAGTGTGTTGCCCATTTAAGGCTTGGCTATTGTTTTTAAGAAATACATGATTTAATCACCTCAATCTCCTCTGGGAGAACTCAGATTAAAACTCTGCCATTGAGAAGATCAGACTTGTCAAATTGTTTTACCATACAGAAAATGCACCTAATTATTTAATAACAGCTTTCATCAACATTTCTCCCAATTTGTTCTTCCTTGATTGTGTTCTCCCATGTATCAAAGATCAAATCTTGAGTCAAATATTTAATATTGAACAAAGCATCACATTTAGAAATAGTATGAATTCCATCATGCCTAGACAAGCACTGTTCCTGTGTTGGTGGTTATTGACAGGACTGCTGTCACTGTTTGCTATTATGGGCTTCATTAATGCTGCCAGGAAAAAAGGACTCTGGCATTTTGGCAGTTACTCTTTGCCAGGCTCTAAATTTAATTTTCTTCTAAGCTTTACAACTTGGCTACACAGAAATTTTAGGAGTGCGATTAGACATCTTGGCTGTTGATTTAGTCATAAATGAAAAATACACTAAGTTGTCTTTGTATTGTCTGGTTCTTTTTCTGGTTTAGTGCTTTCTGGGCAGGAGACATGTATTTCGTGTATATCAAAGTTTGATGCAAAATAATAATGTTTACATTTTATACTATGGATTATCTTGAATGAATTTCTGGATTTGATTACCATAATAACAATAAGGTTGAGCAAGATGTATTAGGTTCATTTTACAGATAAGGAAGCTAAGAAAATTATTATTTTAATTTTCTAAGTTCACAAAGTCCAGGAAGAAAACTCTCTTGAATTCTGGACAAGTGCAATATGCTGCCTCCTAGTCTGTTTAACGTGGTTATTCTATTAACGAGAATTTGACAAAGAGCACCTAACCACAATCCAAAAGACTAGTTTCTAGAGTGAGTTGTAAGAATTGAATGAATGAATGACAGAAGACATAATTTAAAATAAGATTGATCAGTAGCCATTATTTGTAAGATGGTACAATTGAATGGACCTATATTTCTAGGTCTCTACTATTTATGTCTCTATGTGAATCAGTGTCTCTACCAAGTAAATAATGGCCAGTTGTGGATCATAAGTCACAAATGTGGCTTGCTCCTCAAAGCCTACAGGATAAAAAGGACATGCAGTATATGTGAGAGTGTGTTGTGTGTGTGTGTGTGTGTGTGTGTGTGTGTGTGTTTCCTTTCCGAAATAGTTTAGGGATTTTAATGTTGTTGTTGTTTTACCAAAAGTTACCCTTAGGGCAACTATGGTACAATTTGTGTGCCAAGGATATGAAATCAATAATTGAGTCTTGCCCCATGCTATGATTATTGAAACAGAATTGATTTGTGTATTTCCAAATACTGTATATGAGATATCGACCTTTGAATCATTTTTTTACCACTAAATACATGGCAAATTGGTAGCAGTGGTTCTAGTGAAAAATCAGAACACCTCAAGAAGATAGATATCTTTAGGTGACAGTGGCAGGACTTTCTGGTCCTCTCCCTTAAAATGTATCAAGTAGTATCTTTGTGACCCTGCCACCTTTCCTTCCTCTTTCCTTCTACAAGCCTCCCTTTGCCCACCATCTTCTCTGATTACACTTGATTTAACAAGAACTCCTACCACTGATTCAAATGGAAAATATGCAGAACTGCTGCCCAGAAAGCAGGCATGTAGGAGAATCCTCTTGGACGCCACTGGTCTCATTCATTGCTAATGATAGCCTGCAAGGGCTATCAATCATTTCAGGGAATACCCATGTCATAGGATACAGGAATTACAGAAGCAAAGGGGTGAATTTATACCATTGAAAATGTGCAAATCAATACTTGTGAGTTTCCAACAATGGATTTGGTAGTGGCCATTGTAAAAGTATTCTAAGATTGATAATAACAATATAAGTGTTCTGAATTTGAATAGCACTTTTCCCCTTGTCAGTGTACTTTTTTATCTGTTATCTCATTTAATCCCTACAACAGCCCCATAAAGTAAACATGGCAAGGAGGTATTATCACCCCTTATTTGACCCATGAGAAAACTCAAATAAAATGACAAGTTAATGATAGAACTTGGACTAGAATTTAGAGCATTTGACTCCAAGCTATTTATCTAGCCATCCAGCCATTCCTTTCTTCCTTCAAATATATCAGCTTCAGTCCCAGAATATTAGATGCCTTTAGGTGAGACTGAATATTTTTAAAGATTTTTATTTTATTTTTCACAACATTATTTTATTTGGAAAAATTTTAAACCCACAGAATAATTGCAAGAAAATTACAATGAACACTTATATGCCTTTTACCTAGATTAACCAGTTGTTAACATTATACCACATTTGTACTATGTCTACATACACGGGTATGTCTGTATTTTTTTCTAAACCACTTGAGAGTCTGTTGCAGATATGATAATTCACCCCTAAATTAGTTAGCATGTGTTTCATAAGAATCAAGACCTTCTCCTACATAACCAAAATATAACTATCATGTTCAAAAAGTTTAACATTGATAAGATACTATGTCTAACACATATACTATATTGAAATTTTCCCAATTATCCCAGTGATATCCTTAATAATATTTTTCTGATCCGGAATCCAAGCAAAGATCATGCATTCCATTTATTTTCACATTATATTTTCATGTTGCCTTTAATTAGAACAGTTTCCAAGCCCTTTTATTTTATTTGTACTTATTTTTTCCAGCTTTATTGAGGACAATTAACAAATAAAAATTTGTATAAATTCAAGGTAATTTAAGTTTATTTTAAATTGATTTCATGACATTGACATTTTTGAAATAACCAGACTAGTTATTGTGTAAAATTATCTTCAATTTGAATTCATCTGTTTGCTCATAATTAGATTCACATTATACATTTTTGACAGGAATATGATTTGGGTGATCCTGTGTCTTTTTCAGTGAGGCACATGATTTCTGTTTTTTCCTTTTATTGGTTATTCTTAGTTTGACTATTTGCTTAATGAGATATCTGACAGATTAAATCACTATAAAAGCATTTTTTTATCCTTTATAAATAAAATTAATAATCTGTTGGCAATGCTTTGAGACTATTTGAATACTCTGTTCCTCAAAATATTTCACTGATGCTTCTTTCCAGAACCAGTGATTATGATGATGGTTGCAACCTGGTCATTTTAAACTCATTCCACACATATAAGTTGGTATTCTTATATGAAAAGGAATTACCCCCTCCTTCATTAGTATTACTATAGACTCCTAGACTCTTTCTTTTTCATCAAATGTGTCCATTTTGAAATGTACAAATCTTAAGTGTACAGCTCAGTGAATTATTACCATTTTAACCATTTTAAGTATACAATTCAGTGGCATTAAAAACATTCACATTTTTGTGCAACCATCACTACCATCCATCTCTAGAATTTTTCTTCCCAAACTGAAACTGTACCAATTAAACAGTAAAGCTTCATTCCGCCTGTCTCTATTCCATGGAAACCACCATTCTACTTTCTATCTTTATACTTTTTGACAATTCTAGATATGGAACCATACAACATGTCCTTTTGTGGCTGATTTTACTTAGGATGTCTTCAAGGTTCATCCACATTGCAGCATGTGTGAGAATTTCCTTCCCTTTTAAGGCTGAATTGTGTGGATATACCACATATTGTTTATCCATTCATTCTTCAGTGGACACTTGGAATGCTTCCATGTTTTAGCTATGGTAAATAGTGCTGCTATGAACATGGAAAGCTGTTATGAACATTGGTGTGCAAATATCTATTCTAGTCCCTGCTTTTAATTCTCTTGGGTATATACATGAAAATGGAATGGGGGAACATATGGTACATATATATTTATTTTTTGAAGAACCACTTAACTGTTTTCCACAGTGGCTGAACTGTTATAATCCTTACCAGCAATGCACATGGGTGCCAATTTATTCACATCCTCACAAATACTTGTTATTTACTTTTTTAAATTTTTGTTCCTAATGGTAAGAATGTGTATGAAGTGGGTGTGTCATTGTGATTTTGCTTTCCATTTATCTAATTATTAGTGATGTTAAGCATCTTTTCATGTGATTATTGGCCATTTGTATACCTTCTTTGTAGAAATATCTATTCAACTCCTTTCTCCATTTTATTTTTTATTTATATTTATTTACTTTTAATTTTTTAATTTTTAATTTTTGTGTGGATACATAGTAGGTGTATACATCTATGGGGTACATGAGATGCTTTGATACAGGAATGTAATATGTAATAATCACATCATGGATAATGGGTTGTCCATTTCCTCAAGCATTTATCCTTTGTGTCATAAACAATTTATTTACACTCTTAGATATTTTAAAATATACAATTAAGTTATTGACTATAGTCACCTTGTTATGCTATCATATAGTAGGTCTTATTCATTCTTTCTATCTTTTGTACACATTAGCCATCCCTTCCCCCCCGCCCCCACCCCACTACCCTTCCCAGCCTCTGGTAACTATCCTTGTACTCTCTATGTACATGAGTGCAATTGCTTGAATTTTTAGATCCCACAAATAAGTGAGAACATGGGATGTTTGTCGTTCTGTGTCTGGCTTATTTCACTTAACATAATGATATTCAGTTCCATCCATGTTGTTACAAATGACAGGATCTCATTCTTTTTGATGGCTGAATAGTTCTCTATTGTTTATATGTACCATATTTTCTTTATCCATTCATCTGTTGATGGATACTTCTTCCAAATCTTAGCTATTGTGAACAGTGCTGCAACAAGCACGGGAGTGCAGATATCTCTTCAATATACTGGTTTCCTTTCTTTTGAGTTTATTCCCAGCAGTGGGATTGCTGGATCATATGGTAGCTTGAGTTTTAGTTTTTTGAGGTGCCTAATTTACGTTACCACCAACACTGTATGAGGGTTCCCTTTTCTCCAAATCATTGCCAACATTTCCTATTATCTGTATTTTGGATATAAGCCATTTTAACTGGGGTCAGATGACATCTCATTGCAGTTTTGATTTGCATTTCTCTGATAATCAATGATGTTGAGCACCTTTTCATATACCTGTTTTCCATTTGTATGTCTTCTTTTGAGTAATGTCCATTCAAATATTCTGCCCATTTTTTGATTGAATTAATAGGTTTTTCCCCATAGAATTGTTTGAGCTCCCTGTATATTTTGGTTATTAATCCCTTGCCAGATGGGTAGCATGTAAATATTTTCTCCCATTCTATGGGTTGTCTCTTCACTTTGTTGGTTATATTTTTTTTGGCCATGCAGAAGCTTTTTAACTTGATGTGATCCCACTTGTCCATTTTTGCATTGGTTGCCTGTGCTTGTGGGGTATTGCTCAAGAAATTTTTAACTATACCAATGTCCTGGTGATTTTTCCCAATTTTTTCTTGAAGTAGTTTCATAGTTTGAGGTCTTAGATTTAAATACTTAATCCATTTTGATTTTATTTTTGTATATGGTGACAGATAGGGATCTAATTTCATTCTCCTACATATGGATATCCAGTTTTCCCAGCACGATTTATTGAAGACACTGGCTTTTCCCCAGTGTTTGTTCTTGGCATCTTTTCCAGCAACAGGTTCACTGTAGGTGTCTAGATTGCTTTCTGGGTTCTCTATTCTGTTCCATTGGACAATGTGTCTGTTTTTGTGCCAGTACCATGCTGTTTGGGTGACTATAGCTCTGTAGTATAATTTAAAGACAGGTATGTGATTCCTCCAGTTTTTTGAAATTCCTCCATTAGTTGTTGAACACTTTCTTACTTTCTGGAACACAGTGTTTCAGACTCACTGTGTACTCTACTTGTCTCAGCCCTGGAAGGAGCTCTGGCTCATTTTAGTGGAAAACAGTATTTTGAAACCATGGGATATGGGCAACAGCTTTGCTCATTGCTAATTTGGTGTCATTGATTCTAGACTTTTTCAGCAGGTAAATGAGTTTATATTGATACTTCTAAATCTAATCTAACACCACAATTTGTTTCTCTCTTCCTGCATTTTATATTTGCACCTCCCTTCACCCAAAGTGTGAACCCTGAATCTCTAAAGCACCAATATATCTAATTGTTCACTCCTACATATAGACAAAACAGTTTTGGAATTTCTGTACCCATACCAATATCAACAACAAACTGTTTAAAGTTAAAATTTTATTATCATTTACCTTTATCCTTAGAATATACTCACAGAGTATGTTGTTTAAAATTTACTTTGATTTTTTTTTTCATTTGTGGGGTTATCTATTTGATGTACAGTTAGATATATGAGTTTCTGATTGTATTCAATTTTAAAGTTTCCCCCATTTTTTAAATGTATGTATTTAAATATGTAAAATAACATAATTTAAAAAATCAATACTTTGTAAAATAGTAAATTCAGAAAAGTTTTATACCTTTCCTTATCCCTTTCACCTCATGCCTGTCTACTTCCTTTATATAAACAATTTCATTTATTTCTCTGCCTTACTATTGCTTTGTTACATTTTGAAAAAAATAAACATGTGTTACATATTTTTCCAATTTCTTACTTTTTGTTTCATGAAAGGTATTACAAGGTATTTCATATATACATACACCTCTAGATATACATATATATATTAGATTAATTCTTTTTTGTACCCTTTTAAATTTGCTACCAGGTGCGGTGGCTCACACCTGTAATCCCAGCACTTTGGGAGGCCGAGGCGGGTGGATCACGAGGTCAGGATTTCGAGACCAGCCTGGCCAATATGGTGAAACTCCATCTCTACTAAAAATACAAAAATTAGCCAGGCGTGGTGGTGCGTGCCTGTAGTCCCAGCTACTTGGGAGGCTGAGGCAGAAGAATTGCTTGAACCTGGGAGGCGGAGGTTGCAGTGAGCAGAGAGCATGCCACTGCACTCCAGCCTGGGCGACAGCGCAAGACTCCATCTCAAAAAAATAAAAAAATAAAAAATAAATAAATTTGCCAATATTTCTGGGAAATCACCACAGATAAATTCATGGAGAACCTAATTGTTTAAATTTTTATTTTGAAATCATTATAGATTTATAGAAGGTTGCAAAGAAATGTATAAGAAAGTCCTATGTACCCTTTCCCCAGCCTCCTCTAAGGTTAATATCTTACACAACCACAGTACAATATAAATCCCAGGAAATTTGACATTGGAACAATCCGCAGAATTATTCTGACTTTACCAGTTGTGTGTGTACCATTTGTGTTCATGTGTGTGCAGCTTTTGCCATTTTATCACATGTATAGCCTTGTGTAACTACCACCACAATCAAGGTATTCAACTATAGCATCAACACGAGGCTCCCTCAAAGACCCTCTTTATAGCCATACTCATCTTCTCCTTCACTATCCCTAATCCGTGACAACCACTGTTATGTTCTTTGTATCTATAATTATTTGACAAATGTTACATACATGGAGTCACACAGTATGTATACCTTTGAGATAAGATTTTTTTCACTCAGAAAATTTTTTGAGGTTTATCTAAATTGTTGCATATATTAATAGTTTGTTCCTTTTTGTTACTGAGCAGTATTCTGTGGAATGGATGTGCTACAGTTTATTTAACCATTCACCCACTGGAAGACATTTAGGTAGTTTCTGGTTTTCAGCCAAAAAGAATAAAGCTGCTATGACAAGTTCCTCCATCCTCATTCATTTTTACAGCCACATAGAACTTCATTGTGCAGTTTTCCTATGTATAGAGATATAGATTATGGCTAACATTTTGTTATTAGTAAAAATTATTCAGTGATCATTTGTTTATATGTATTTTTGTATTATCAAAGATATACCTTCAAAGTAAATTCCCAAAAGTGAAAGTGTTGGGTCGGAATAAACATGTATTTAGTTTTTCAGCTATTTCAGTGGCGTGCTAAAGCTGACTCATACTGGCTTTCAAAATTCAATTGTTACACTCTTAGGAATTTTGCAAGCTGGTTGTTATACATAACCATTAGTAAGAATTAAATCACATAAACTTACAATTTAAAAATTTATATTTCTAATTAAGGTAATGCCAAAAAGCAGAAAGAATGAATAATACTTAGTAATTGATAGCATAAGGGGGTCATTATAGTCAAAATAATTTAACTGTATATTTTAAAATAACTAAAAGAGTATTATTGTATTGTTTAAGACAAAGGATAAATGCTTGAGTGGATGGATACCTCATTTTCTATGATGTAATTGTTACACATTGCATGCCTGTATCAAAATATCTCATGTACCTCATAAATATATACACCCACCATGTACCCCACAAAAATTAAAAATAAAAAAATACCCAAAATTTTTGAAAAAATGGGAAGAATCACGCTACTGAACTTTAAGACTTACTCTACAGCAATAGTTATCAAGACGGTGTTGTATTGGCAAAGGGATACATAGATCAATTAACGGAGTCAAAAGTCTGGAAATAGACTATATAATTATGGCTAGCTGATTTTTGATAAAAGTGCAAAGGCAATTCTATGTAGAAAGGATAATATTTTTCACATATGGCCTTGGGACAGTTGGACATCCATATGCAAAAAACAACAACAATAAAAAATGAACCTTGACCTAAACCTCATACCTTATACAGTAGTTAATTCAAAATGGATCATAGACCTAAATATAAAAACAAAAACATAAAAGTGTCAAAATTTTAGAAGAAACATAGGAGAAAATATTCATGACCTGGGAATAGGCAAAGAGTTCTTAAACATGCCATCAGAAGCACAATCTATAAAAGGAAAAATAGACAAGTTGACGTCATCAAAATTCATGTTTGCTCTGCAAAAGACACTGTTAAGAGAATAAAAGGACAGGCTATAAACTGTATGAAAATATTCACAAATCACATCCCACAAAGGACTTTATCCAGAAAGACTTCTCAGAATTCAACAATAAGAAAACGACATAAAGAAGGCATAAAGAAGAGTTCAATATGTTCACTATAATTAGCCATCAGGGAAATGCACATTAAAGTGATCGCGAGACCCACGACTCACCTAGTAGAATGGCAAGACTGAAAAAGAAAACTGACAATACTGAGTGCTAGTGAGAATGCAGCAGGACTAGAACCCTCATTTATTGCAGATGGACATGCAAAATGTTACAGCCATTCTGGAAAAAAGTTTGGCAGATTCTCTTAAAGTTAAACATACACTTGTCATAGGACTCTACCATCCCACTGTGAGGTATTTACTGTAGAGAAATAAAACCTTAGGTTCACACATAAACACACATGAATGTTCATAGCAGCTCTATTCATAATCTCCGAAAACTGGAAATGTCCTTCAACAGGTGAATGGATAAATAAACCATGGTACATCCATACTACTTGGCAACGAAAAGGAGCAAAATATAGAAACAAGCAACAACCTGCATTCATCTTATAGGCACTAGACTGAGTGAAAGAAGCCAGTCTCAAAAAGTTATGTACTTCCATTTCCACGGCATTCTCAAAAATATAAATTGATGGTGATAAAAAGCAGACAAGCCACTGCCAGAGGTTAGGAGTGAGGGGAGGGTGTGACTACAAAGCAGTAGCATGAAGGAATGTTTTTAAGGTGATAGAACTCTTCTTATCCTGATTGTGGTGGTGGTTATGCTAATTTTTATGTGTTAAAATTCATACAACTTTACACCAAAAAAGGCAGCTTACTGTATTTTAATTCAGTAAATTAAAAAATTTACAGTAAATTAAAAATTCACTTAATTTAAAAACAAAATTAAAAAATACAAAACCCTAAAAAGATCAGTGTAGAATAGTAATAGCTACCAATATATAGTTCTTTTTTTACAAATATATAGTTCTGATAAGAACTTAATATGTGAGGTTTTTAAATAAAAATATTTCCCTTATTATAAAAACATGTTCATTATAAAAAATTAAACCAGTTTCCCAGAGATAACCACTGCTGTTATCTTGGTGAATATAACTTCAGACCTCTATCTTGCCTTGTTTTCAGAAAGAATGGCATTCTGTACTTATAATCTGGGAATCTGCTTTTTCATGTTACAATATGTCATTAAATAGTCTTCTTAAAATAATAAAAGTTACAAAATTAAGGTAAGAAATAAAATCATTACTTCTTAATTCTTTTTATCTACATTTTTCTATTATCTGTTTTCTTGAAGTTATTAATGTTAATTGATTTTATATGGTAAAAAAAAAAAAAAAGGAAAAAACCTATACAATAGTGTGCTAATGTGCATCTCTTCCCAAAATGTGTTCAGTGACTTCACCTTCGTAGCTTGAAATTGGCCATGGTGGTACTATTTCACAAAGAAAATCAGTAAATGCCACACATCAGGACTTTTTGGGTGTGGTTTTGATTTTTTCTTTTCTGGAGAACCAGTTGTCAAACATTTACCAGCACAACATAGTACATTTTTAAATTCCCCTTGAAGGAATCATATTATTTTGCACTCTTACCAGCAACACATGAGAGTTTCTATTTCACCACAGCCTCAGCAACAGTGTATTAGCAAACTTTTAAGTGTTTTCAAACTGATGTATGAAAAATCATATTTCAGTGCAGTTTTGATTTGCATTTATCTTATAAGTAAAGTTGTACATCTTTTTTAACATATGTAAGGAGTAACTGCATATATTTTTAAACTATCTGTTCATGTGTTTCACCTATTTTTCTAACACAGTTTTGATCTTTTATTTTCCCTGTATTTTGAAGAGTATAGATCTATATATATTAGGGATATTAGCCCTTTTATGATACACGTTGCAAATAACATTTTTGTTTATCATGTTGTGACTTTTTGCTTTGCTTATGGTAGATTTTTTTTGCCATGTAGAAATTTTTAGGCAGTCAAATGTATCAATCTTTTATTGCATCTAAAGTTTGAATCATAGTTAGAAGGTCTTTTCCTTTAGAGAATGAATATTTTTAACAAGCCTCTCTCATATGATTTTATTTGGGAACAATAGATCAAACAAATGCAGTTAAACAGACATTAGGTGCCTATTATTTGTAGAATGCTCTGGTGAATACACAGACAAGAGCTGGTGTATCTATCTTTCATTTCCAGGAACCCATAATTTAATGGGGAACGTTGACCTATACATGGCTTTTCTGAACCTTCTGCTAATCACAGCTGACTGGCTTCTGTTTCAATTAAGGTCTCAAAACTAAAATAGGAATGAAACACTACCCAGTAATTCTACTATATTCCTCTTTAGGCTCACCTTCCGACTTATAAAAATGATTATTCTATATGTTTTCTTTCCTCATCCAAGTTTTTCTACCTTTGCTTATATCTGATTACCATACCTCATCAAATAAGCAGTGTATGTTTAGAAGTATGAACATTCAATCAATACTGCTTGAGTGTGAATTCCAGCTCAACTACCTACCAGCAGTAGGACCTTTAGCAAATTTCTCAACCTTTATGTGTTTCAGTTTCTTAATTTGTAAAATGGAGATAATAGCATTTACCTGATAGTTTTGAGTAAATTTTGTGTATGTGTATGTGTAATGGGTGACAAATAATAAGTAGTTTTAAGTGTTTTCTATCATCATCATCATTGTCATCTAGAAACTCCTCTATCTCCCTGTCCTCAAATCTACAATCCTATCTTTATCTGCATACATATTCTTCCCCTTTCTTACAGTTTCCAAAGGAGGGTATATCCATCTCCCCTTTTATTAAAGGAAAACCCTTCATCTACTCACAATTTGCATCCTCTTTCTCCTCTTCAAAAATTGTGCCTCTTCAGTTAGCTTCTCCCTTTTCTGCAATGCTAATTTTCCCTTCTTTTTTTTTTTTTTTTTTTTTTGAGACGGAGTCTGGCTCTGTCGCCCAGGCTGGAGTGCAGTGGCGCAATCTCGGCTCACTGCAAGCTCCGCCTCCTGGGTTCACGCCATTCTCCTGCCTCAGTCTCCCGAGTAGCTGGGACTACGGGCACCCGCCACCACGCCCGGCTAATTTTTTGTATTTTTAGTAGAGACAGGGTTTCACCGTGTTAACCAGGATGATCTCGATCTCCTGACCTCGTGATCTGCCCACCTCGGCCTCCCAAAGTGCTGGGATTACAGGCATGAGCCACTGCGCCCGGCCAATTTTCCCTTGTTTATTGGATCATTCCCATCAACATTAACCTGCCTTAGTATTTTCCAGTCACCCATTTTATAAAAAGAAAAAAAAAACCTTTCTGTTACTTTTCTAATACATTTTACAGAAAGACACAAACTTTCTACAACCACATCTACTGCAATGATCACTCCACTTCTCTGCTGAAAAGAAAATTTGAAAGGCAAGTTCATTTTAAGATATATTCACATTACCTTCTTTCCTTTGTGAGCTTCCATTTACCCTTCAAACCTCTTCAGGCTGATTTCATTTTCCTGAACTTAACTGAAAATATTGCAGATAAAGTTAACAACAACTTCCATGATGGGAAGTCCTAGCCAGAGTAATCAGGCAAGAGAAAGAAATACTAGGCGCCGAAATAGGAAAAGAAGAAGTGAAACTCTCTCTCTTCACTGACAATATAATTTTATTCCCAGAAAACCCTAAAGACTCCACCAAAAGACTTCTGGAACTGATAAACAGCTTCAGTAAACTTTCAGAATACAAAATCAATGTACAAAAATCAGTAGCATTACTACACACCAATAATGTTGAAGTTGAGAGCCAAATCAAGAACTCAATCCCATTTACAATATCCATAAAAAGAATAAAATACCTAGGAATACAGATAACCAAGGAGGTGAAAGATCTCTATAAGAACTACAGAACACTGCTGAAAAAAAATCAGAGATGACACAAACAAATGGAAAAATATTCCATGCTCATGGACTGGAAGAATCATTATCATTAAAACAGCCATACTCCCCAGAGCAAAGTACAGATGCAGTGCTATTCCTATCAAACTACCAATGTTATTTTTCACAGAAAAATGTTCCAAAATTCATATGGAACCAAAAAAGAGCCCAAACATCCAAAGCAATCCTAAACAAAAAGAACAAACCCTGAGGCGTCACATTACCTGACTTCAAACTATACTGTATGGCTACAGTAACAAAAATAGGATGGTATAGGTACAAAAACAGACCCATAGACCAATGCAACAGAATAGAGAACCCAGAAAATCATACTGACAGCATCTGATATTCGACAAAGTAGACAAAAATAAGCAATGGGGAAAGGACCTCTTATTCAATAAATGGCGCTGGGATAGCTGGCTAGCCACATACAGAAGAATGAAACTGGATACCTTCCTTACACCATATACAAAAATTAACTCAAGATGGATTAAAGATTTAAATTTAAGACCTTAAACAGTAAGAATCGTAGAAGAAAACCTAGGAAATACCATTCTGGACATAGGTCCTGGCAAAGATTTTATGACAAAGGTTCCAAAAGCAATTGCAACAAAACCAAAAATTGACAAGTGGTATCTAATTAAACTAAAGAGCTCTGCACAGCAAAAGAAACTATTAACAGTAAACAGAAAATCTACACAATGGGAGAAAATATTTGCAAACTATACCTCTGAAAAAGTTCTAATATCCAGAATGTGTGATGAACTTAAACAATTGTACAAGCAAAAAACAAAAAATCCCATTAAAAAGTGGACAAAAGACATGAACAGACACTTCTCAAAAGAAGACACACAAGCAGTCAACAAACATGAAAACATGCTCAGCATCACTAATCATTAGAGAAATGCAAATCAAAACCACAATACCACTGTGAGATACCATCTCACACTAGTCAGAATGGCTATTATTATAGTCATTCTGCCAGCCAAAAAACAACAGATGCTGGCAAGGCCACAGAGAAAAGGGAATGCTTATATACTGTTAGTTGGAATGTAAATTAATTTAGCCACTGTGGAAAGCAATTTTGAATTTCTCAATAAACTTAAAACAGAACTACCATTTGACCCAGCAATCCTGTTATCAGGTATATATTCAAAAGAAAATAAATCATTCTACCAAAAAGACACATGCACTCATAGGTAATCACAGCATTATTTACAATAGCAATGACATGGAATCCACCTAGGTGCCTATCAACAGTGGATCGAATAAATAAAATGTGGCATATATACGCCATGGAATAGTATGCAGCCATAAAGAATGAAATCATGTCATTTGCAGCAACATTGATGCAGCTGGAGGCCATTATCCTAAGTGAAAGCAGGAGCAGAAAACCAATTACTGCATGTTCTCACAAGTGGGAGCTGAATATTGGGTACTCGTGGACATAAAGATGGCAAGAATAGACACTGGGGACTACTAGAGGGAAGAGGGAGATTCTCTCTCTAAGCAATCTCATGTAGTCCCATGACTTTGATTATCATTTTATTCCATTGATTCCAAAATATTTTTCTCCACCTCATTCTGCTCCGTTGAATTTCTGACTCATATCTAACTGCCCACTAACATCTTCATTTTGTGTATAAATAGGTATCTCAAAATAAAAATTAAACTCCTTACCTTTGCTTTTCCAAATCTACCTCCTACATGAGTAGTCTGCTTCTTGGAATATATATATATATATATAATATAAATATATTAGTTATATAATATATACATATATTATATATGATATATAATACATACATATATTATATATGATATATAATACATACATATATTATATATGATATATAATACATACATATATTATATATGATATATAATATATACATATATTATATATGATATATAAATATAGATTATATGTTAGATTATATATATATATATAAAATCAGCCCTCTTTTCTTCATATATATTGCCATTTGCTTAGTCAGGTCACCATCATCTCTTGCTTGAACTAGGGCAATAGCTTCCTACCTGGTCTTGATTCAACATTCCTATACCTAGTTTACCCAAAGAGCAATAGAAATGGTTGTTTAAAAATGTAAATCAAATCATATTACTCTGCTGCTTAAAAGTCTTAAGTGGATTTCTACTGAACTTGGAGAAAAAGCTGAAGTATTTACCATGTCCCACAAAGCGTAAGTGGATGAACAGAGGAGCGAGAAGTTAATTATGGCTGGAGGAGAGTCAGGAACATTTGATGGAAGAGATGGCACTTGAGGTGGACTTTTAAGGGTAGGTTAGATTTGTATATTTGGAGATAAGGAGAGTAAGTGGAAAAGTACAGATAGATTATCCTTGAAGAAAAGGAGAGTAAGTGGAAAAGTACAGATTGTCTTTGAAGAAAAGAATGTGATCCAGTGCAGTTTGGAGAATGAGGCATATGACATGCTTAGGGAAAGGTAAATCTGGACAAAGTAGTTGGGGCAGATTGTAGAGAGCATTGAATACTGAGCTGTGTCCTAGCCTGAGAAGAGGAGGGATGTAAGAGATTATCAAATCCTCCTTTCTGCTTCCTCCTGAAATTTCTCTTGGGTCTGCCCCTACTTTGCATTCCCCACTTCCTCTTCCCTGGTTCTAGCCCAAGTTACCTCTTGCCTGGACGATTAAACAACCTCCTAATTAGTCTTTTCTTTCCCTTCCCTTCTCTCAACCTTTTTCTACACCAGCTTAATCTTTCTAAAGCACAGCTCTGATCACACCATATCCTTCTCCAAAAACCTTCAGTCATTCTGTTACCCACAGGATGAAATCCAAACTTTATAGTAGGGTAGTTCAAGCCACTATCATTCCCACCACCCCCACACCAGGAAATTTAACCTGCGTTTGCTGTCTTTGTATCCTTTAGCTCCCTCTTGATGAGTCATACCTCCCTGCACACTCTTTCCTCTGCACATCCACTGATTCTTCTTTCTCTTTGCCGTTGTACATTCAGTTGCCTCCTCTTGTACTACTTTCACCCAGCTTCATATCTCTCCAACTGGACATGTCTCAATGCTGCACAGTTCCACCATCTTCTCTACCAAGCTTCAATGCTTTTCCACCTGCTCAAGTTGTTAGTAATTTCTCTCCTCTGAATTTCCGTAATATTGTATCTGTACTTCTCTTGTGGAGAGCATTGTAAGAGAGCATTGTATTAGCCACTGAGGATAGAAAGGTGAATAACACACAGCTTTATACTATTTTATATATGATGCTACATTTAAAGATCAATAATGTAGGGCTGTGTGGCACAATCAATAACTGTAGACTGTGTGACACAGCCTGTTGTAGTCAGCCAGACTAGTTATCTCTCTTCAAAGAACGTAGAATAAACCCCCCTCTTGGCTTCTATGGAAAACAGACTATACAAATTGCTTTCAATGTTTAGTTTTAAGAAGCTAGACTATATACCATCTCTATACCACCAATAACACTGTGAAAATCTCTTTGCAGTTTTTTGTCCTTTCTTCCCCTTTCCCAGAGGTGTAGTGGAAGAGAAAGGGTGGGATCACTAACATTTGTTTAACATTTCCTATTTGTCATTTAATCCTCACAACAATCCTATAAAATAGATTCTCTTTTTTTTTTATTTTTTATATTTTTTATTTATTTATTTATTTATTTATTTATTTATTTATTTAATTTATTATTTTTTTTTTTTGAGACGGAGTCTCGCTCTGTCGCCCAGGCTGGAGTGCAGTGGCGGGATCTCGGCTCACTGCAAGCTCCGCCTCCCGGGTTCACGCCATAAAATAGATTCTCTTATATGCCTCTTTTATAAATGAGGTAACTGAAGCATAGAGTGAGTAGAGAACTCAGGATTTAAATTCAATCTAGGAATTGGAGAAGTTGAGATTAAAATGCATGCAATCTGGCTCCATAGTATCCTCTATTTAACTACTATACTACACTACATAACTACCACTGTTTAATGAAATAAGTATATTAGTTCACTGGGGAGAGAAACATCTTCAGACTTCTGAGAAGAATTTGTAACACTGCTCTCTCTGTAAGTAAATACTGCCCTTTTATAGAACCATGGCACAGTAGCTCCTTTTGTATATATGTTTCCAAGGAAGTGGCCTGGCATCTTATCTCATGTAAAACCTGTGAAAACTCACCTATAAAGTTCAATCAGTCAATTAACTACTAAATCTTGAGTACATACTGTATGGCCCAGCCCTGTAAGAAACCAGAGAAAATAAATATGGTCATTTAAAAATATCTACAACTCAAAAGCAGTGCATCAAATAGGTTGAAAAAGTATTTAAATGATTCCTATGGAGTTGGAGAATAAATCTGAATATGAATGCTGCTTGTTTTTCCCTATACCTCACACAGTGGCTTCCTCATCCATTCATAGAACATTGGAGTGGTGAAATGCACTGAATGTGAGATACAATGAGGTCCTTTACAAGTTCTTTTCTAGATGGCATTGGTTTTCACATAACCTGGAGGGCTGGCTGAGGCTGTGAACTTTTCTGCATAATCAGCCTGAGACATCTGAAGCCAAGAAAGACCACAGCAGTGACAGAACACCTACTGTGAGTTAAGCAAAGAATGGGAGATTAACTTTTACACATGTCTATAGTTCATTTTGAGTGAATTTTTGTGCTTCTTGTGGTACCTTAATCAAAAATTCACTAAACATAAATGTAAAGGTTTATTTCTGGACTCTCATTTCTGTTCCATTAAATCTATGTTTTTTCTTGTGATAATGCCACACTAGGGCTTTATAGTAAGTTTTGAAATCAGAAAGTGTGAGTCCTCCAAAAGTATTCTTTTTCAAGATTGTTTTGGCTATTCTGGGTCTCTTTCATTTCCGTATAAATTTTAGAATAGACATGTCAATTTCTATTAAAAAGCTCACTGGGATTTTGATAAAGGTTGCGTTGACTTTTTAAATCATTTTGGGGAAAATTGCCATTTTGAAAATGTTGAGTCTTCTAATTCATGAGCATGGAGTGTGTTTCCATTTGTATATATTTTCTTTAATTTCTCTCAACAACATTTTGTAGTTTTCTAAGTCATGTACTACTTTTGATAGATTTATACCTGAGTATTTTATTCTTTTGATAATATTATGAATGGAATTGTTTTCTTAATTTTAATTTTGGCTTATTCATTGCTATTATTTAGATATACATTTTTCTGTATATTAATTTTTGCATCTTACAACTTAAAATGTATTTATTAGTTATAGATATTTTTGTAGATTCCATATCTCTTTTTAGATTTGTTTATTTGCAGATGAAAGACAAATTTACCTCTTCCTTTTCAATCTGAATGTCTTAAGTTTTTTCCTTCTTTCTTTCTTTTGATTCTTCTCTTTTTTTTTCTTTCTTCTTATTGCCTTAGCTAGGATCTCTTGTACAGTGTTCAATAGAAGTGGCGAAAGCAGACAACTTTGCACTGTTCTGTATCTCAGAGTCAGTATGGTTACTGGCTGCATGGTGTACCTTTTCAGATCCTTTTATATTCAATCTATTTATGTCTTTGCATCTAAGGTGTCACTCTTGTAAACAGCAGATCATTCTATCTTGCTTTTAAAAAACCTAATATGATAATATCTGCCTTTTAATTTGGGAATTTAGCTAATTCATGTTTAAGATAATTTCTGATTTGGTTGGATTAACATTTCTTATTTTACTGTTTTTTTATATGTCTCCTTCCTCTTTCTTTCTTTCTTTTTTGATTGTTGTTTCTGTTTCCCTTCACTGCATTCTTTTCAGTTAAATATTTTTTGTGTGTGCACCAATTTAATTCCCCTGTAGATATTTAGCTAATTTTTAGTTATTTTCTTAATGGTTGCTCTAGGGATTACAATATGAATCTTAATTAACGAGAACCTCCTTCAGATTAATACTAACATAATTTCAGAAAAATATAGCAATTTAGCAACAGTAAGTTCTCCCTCTTTTTTGTATTGTTGCTGTCATATATATTGTATCTATATATGACCAACCTAGAAATGCTGTGTTGTAATTATTGCTTCATGTAATCTTAATCTTTAAAAAAAGTATAGAGTGTTTTATTATTAACCTACGTATTTACCTTTTCCGTTGCTCTACATTTCTTCCCGTAGTTCTGGATCTGGTGTCATTTCCTTTCAGCATTGAAGGTCTTCCTTTAGTATTTCTTAGAAGGTAGATTTGCTAACAGCAAATTCTCTCAGTCTTTATTAATCTGGGAACATCCTTATTTAGCCTTCATTTTTGAAGGATAGTTTCACTGGATATAGAATTCTGTTTTGGTAGTTTTGTAATGAAATGCAGGTCCAGATGCTTACCACTTGCAGAGTGCAATTAACAAGAGCAACATCTGGTAGAAAGAAAGTGACTATTAACCAAAACTAGTAAACGGGAAGTAGCCAGATTCTTATCCAAATTAATCACTTTGATTTTTTGTGGGAGAGGCAGGGGTTTTAAAAGGAAAACTTTTTAAGGAAGCCATGCGAGAATTGGGCTGAGTGCAATGTCTATGTGTCTTCTTCTGTTGGCTAATTTTTTTCTTTTATCGCTTTGAATATGTAATTCTAGCCTTCATTGTTTATTATGAAGTCAGCCTTAATTATATTGATGCTCACCTATATGTTATGAGTTTTTTTCTTTCTCTTGTTGCTTTTAAGATTTTCTCTTTGTATTTTGTTTTCAGTGATTGGCTTATGATATATCTAGATGTGGATTCCTTTTTCTTCAAAGTGCAGGCTGTGCAGACTTTACTTTCTTCTGGGCCCTTTCACATCTTATCAAAATCTGCTTCTGAGAAGTATGTTACCATGTGTGCAGCCTCAGGGTTTGCCAGAAGTGTGTAGCTAGCTTGGGCCTCCATTCCAGAGTTATGTTTATCCCAACCATGACTGCAGCCTCTAGTTAGTAAAGCTGTTAGATTTTCTTACTCACCTTGTGTCCAAGATGATCACTTCCACTGACAACACGGTTGGGCATGGGTGTTGCCAGTGCTCACTTTTCCAAATCAGGTGAGCCCCCTTTGATAGTGGCAGAACAGCTTCCAGTTCTCACGGCCTTCCACACCCTAATAAAATTTATGCCTTGGCTGAGATGGGGTTGGGGGCGCAGTGGGAAAGAATAAGAATGGAAGAAGCAATACCACAGATTCCTACTGCTTTTCATGTGGTATTTGTTGAATGTAAAGATAATGATCTAATTAACATAGTAGTTTACATTTATTCCTTCATTCGGGTAATTTCTTCAGAACCTAATATGTACCATCTTTCGATCTAATATCCCAAGTAACATTATTCATACATCCTCGAGAATTCCATATTTATTTAGGAAAACAGACATGCAAATAAACACAAACAATACAATGAGATCATTAAAATGGAGAGAAGGAGGAAGGAAAATAAGAAAGGTATCACTAGGGGTTCCTGCTGTTTAAAGAAATCCTATGGTGATGGTGATTTTTTTAAAGAAAATAATAATCACCACCTATTAATATATCTATGGGACAAGTACAGAATTGGGTGGGCATAATGGGAGGGAGGAATCTGGATGAATTGTAGTATATCTAGGAGGATCTGCTGAAAACTACAGGTTTGTTGCCTGACCTTTGAAGGAGGAAAGACTTTAGTTATGGCAAAAAGAGGAGAAACATGCCCCATGAGTAATGGAATTCATCTTTATCAGATGCCTAGTTATCGCTAGTTACAAACTACGTTTGCTATATATTCATAAGATTTTCAAATTATTTGAAGTCTAACACCCAATATAATGAGCAGGATTATACTCTCACCACTTCTATTTTCTGAAATATATTAGTTGATTATTGTCAGTGAAGTTGAACGTATGGTCCTAAAATGGCTTTAAATGATTTTATACATTTTCTCTTTTATTATTATCCATCTGATACTTTGAAAGAGGCAGCATACGGCAGTTAATTTTCTCCTCCAGTCCCTCGTGCACAATAATAAAACAATTCAAAGCAGTGCATATTTCAGCTGCCTTTTATAGATGAATTATACCTCCTGCAGTCTGTACATGAAGACATAGAACAGGCCATGAGGCAGATTTTAGCATAAATGTTATTTTGCTTGCTAGGAAGGATTTAGAGAATGTATTTAAAATAATGTGAGCTTTAAGTACAAATCAAATGCTGAAATGCATCTTTAATTCGGAAATGTATAGTAAATCCAAACAAATGGGTGAATAACCTCTATCGTACATTTTTAATACAAAGGGACTTGTTAGCCATTTCAAATGTCATTTGAGTGTTTGAAAAAGATGTGAATTACAATCATAGATTCTGAAGATTAAAAGAGCCATTTAAGATCACCTAGTAAACCCCTTTACTTGTTACTAGAAGACCCACTACAGCATCCCCTAATTCAGCTGTTACTATCTAACCAACTTTCCAAAAATATAGGGCTTAAAACATCCAGCACAGTTTTGCTCATGATTCTGTGGGTCACCAATTTGGGCCAAGCTTAGCTAGGCAGTTCTTCTGGATTCACCTGGGCTCACTCATGTGACTGCAGTGATTTGGTGGCTCTACCATCGAGTAATTGTCTAATCTGGGCTCATTCATATGTCCTGTGGCTAGTACTGACTGTTGGCTGCATCCCTTCCCAAGTGGTTCTCATTCTCAAAGAGGTTATTTCAAACTTCAGATGGTGGGACTGTGTTTCAAGAGAGGGCAAGTTTCAATGTGCACATACTTTGTAAGTCTCTACTTGTCATGTTTGTTAATATCTCTTTGCAAAACAAATCGCATGACCAAGCCTAGCTTCAAGATGGAGAAACAGATTCTATCTCTTGATGAGAGAAGTGGAAAAGTCACAATGCATGCAAGGATAGGGAAAATTTGTGGCTATTAAGTAATCTGTCACATTCTGTTATTGTGGCTATCCATCTTTTGTTTGAACATCTCTGATGAAAAGAAGTTTAGTGCCTTCTAAATTAGCCTATTTTATCAGAGTTCAACTCTGGCTTCTGGTAACTTGCATTCATTGGTGACAGTTTTTCATCCAAGCACACAGCTGTCTACCTGGCTAGCCAGCAAACAAGCACCTACTATGTTAAGCACCAAATAGCATAGAAAAACATAGTGAATAAAACAGATGTGATCCTTGCTGTCATGAAATTCATAATTTACTGTAGGGAGACAGACAATAAATAAGAAAACAAACAAATACATTTTGAATATATATATATTGAAATTATATATATATGCCTTGAAGGAGTCAAGGGAACCATGAACACTTATACCAGGAACATCCAAACTAGTCTGGAGGAGGTAGGTCAGGGAATGCTTACTTGAAGAAGTGGCATAAAGATTAGACAGGTGAAGAGTGAGGAAAAGAACATTTCAGGCAGAGTAAACAGCATAGACAAAAGCCTTGAGGTGGAAAGAACTTTATTTGTTCCAAGCCAGTATAGCTGGAGCAAAGTGAACAAAGTGGAAGGCATTATAAAATAGTGTTGGAGAAATAGGCAGCAAAAAGATTGTGTAAGGCCTTCTGGAGTTTTGTCATTTTATTTCTTGAAGTCATAGAGAGCAAATCCAAATCCCTCTTTGATGTGATAGCAGTATAGGATGTAGCTAAGACTGTAGGCTCTGGAATCAGAGCACCTGGATAAGTATCCACACTCTACCACTTACTGTTTGATCTCGGTCCTGCTTCTTCATAGGTAAAGTGGGGATAATAATTGCTACTTCATAGGTTGCTATGTGAGTTATATAGAATAACATATGTAAATGGATTAACACGGTCTTAGACACATAGTAAATGGCAAATAAATGGTAGCTATTAGCATTATCAATCTTTTTTACGTCTCTTCACCTTATTGTATCATTCTTTTCCAAATATATTCTAAACATATGGGTTTTAACTGAGCGTCCTCTTTTGATGATCCAGAATGATTCAAATATGTTGTTAGGAAGATCATCCATAAATTCAACTTGAGTTTTTCATGCCGTTATGTAAAATAAACTCAATGCCTTAGATTTGGTCCTTTCTGTGTATGGTAAACACGCAGTTAGTGTGCTGTCTTCCAAATCCCAGTATGAAGTATCATATTATTTATTTCCTGATGTGCACAGATGAGGTGTGTGTATGTGTATATGTGTTTATCACTAATTGAATCATAGTCCCCAAGTTAATAGCAATGACTGGAATATTTTTATCTGTCATATGGCAGTTATTCTTTCAGCAACAAAGATTAATTCTTTAAATGACCCAATTTGTTATGAAATTTGTTATATGTCATTATTCTTAAATCAACAAGTTGTTAGGAATTATAGAAACCTTAACCTTCATCTAATTTTTCCCCCTCATTTCCCTGTTGCTGTGGGCAGAGAGATGTGCTGCCCAGAAACCTCTTAAAGGTAGAACTTGTTGGACCGTATATGGAATGTTGTGAGCAGACAGCCTCCTGTTGTCACCTCCCTTCACGGTTTGTCTTGGCTACAGAGAACTGTTGTACCCATGGGCTTATCCTTCCTATCCAATGACTAAGTGTAATGGTGGTATAGAGGCCCATCCATCTGAGTCCAATATGAAATGTGCTGATGAGCCATATATACTCTAGAACTCCATATGTGGTTTATCTGCATGGTAGTTTTTCTCAACTTGTTCACTCCTGCTCCCTCCCACTACCTTTCATAGGTATAAACATCCTAAAAACCCAGGATGCCAAATTTCTTCACAGTATCTACTCCACAGAACCTAACCTGCAACATTTCTTAACTCCCGAAGCCCAGAATTACTCAGAGACCTGAACCTAGAATCCGTCTCTAATTCTAAATCTTAGGCTGCAGTCATTCCGGCCAACTTCTTTATTAAATCTTTCTTCATAGGTTCAGTTTTCCATTTCTTCAATTATTTTTATTGCTTTTCTAGATGCTTCCCTAAAATGTGGGATTCTCTTAGTTTCCAAAGTTTGTGAAACTTGCCAGGCTTTATACTGAGATATATTTATATGTTAGGAGTGATTACTGGGTGTGGGAATGGCACTGCTTTACAAAGCAAAGGCTTTTTCACTGCACCTTCTTTCCAGGAGATAGGACCCGAGAACTCTGAAATTGCCATTAATAAAGAGGGAGAGGCAGGTGAATAGGCAGTAGTCAGGAAGATGAGCAGATAATTCCCTGGGGTCTGCCTTCCTGAGTGTCCTCCACCACAATTAGCTTAGCCGTTATAAATTCCCTCATGTCTTATGTTCTGTATTGTCACCTGGATCTTCTTCAGTGTAATCTTTTCTCAGTGCCACTTATTAAAAATGCTGACTTTCAAAGAGCTCAATAAATTTTTTTAAACATCCCCTGACTCAATAAAAAGGGATGGAATTGAACACTAAGTCTATATTCCACTGTCTATCTCCCAAGAGTGTTGAGATAAACTATGAAATAAATCTTTCTGTCCCATCCAGGTCATTTCACTAGCTTTAATATTATTTACAGCCCTATCCATACAATCCCTGTCCCTTACCCTGAAGTCATCAGTGTGTTCTCTTTCTTTTTGTTGCAAACTCACAGAGTCTTTCAAACTGAAAATAGCTGATGCCTCTAGTACTGATAATGAAAGAAATACTCCTCTGGTTGCTTGTAGGTCGTTTCCCAAAATGGAATGTAATTTCAATGAGCAGAAAAGAGATTTTTTAAATGCAGATATGGTCACAGGGCATACTAAATTGTCAAAGATTCTAAGAGTTAGTATTTACCATGGGACAAAATGTCTGGGAGGATATACCACAAAGAGTGGTTGTCTCTATAATGGGATTACAGATAATTTTTATTTGGCATCACCATATTCTATATATTAAACATATCAATTTTGTGATAAATTTTATACTAAAAGAAGTAACATATGCATTCTAGAAAACCCTCATACTACATTTCCATACATACATAAATACATACATACATACATATGTGACTAACATGATTCAGTATACTTTTCACATTCCGAAACCAGAGTGAAGCCAGATGAAATTAAGTGGCATGCTGTCCAGGTTTTTACAGTGAATAGTGGTAGAACAGGTCTATAATAATTTTTCTCCTGATACCCAGCCTAATGTTCTTTCTACAACTCTAAGGTAGTTTTAAAGGGCAGCGGAGAAATTGCCTGAAGGAAGATTTTTACTCAAAATTTCAGGATCCCATTATGTCTTGAACATACTTACCATTAAAAGTATCACTGATGCTAATGGAATGGAAGAGAATCCATGCACTTTACCAAAAAAAAAAAAAACAACAACAACAAAAAAAACACATTAGTACCCAGTCTTCACATACGCCTCATTCCTTTATAATGAAGGTAAATGAGGCCTTTAACTTTAAGAACCTCAGATGTTCCATTCTTGATAAGAACGATTTTATTAAACTTATGATGTTATTTTTCTTTCACCTGTGGACATTTCAGTAGAACAACTTCCCACCCCTAGCTGCCTCCATGTCTCTCAAAGCAGCAGCCTGAAAAAATCTATTCAGGAGCTAATATAAATTTTTATTAAATGTACTTAAAAATATTGATAAGGCATATAAAGCAGAATGTTCAGTGAATGTTAAATAAGCAAGAATTTAGTCCTATAAAGTATATAAAGCTGCTGGGCTGCAAATAAAAATGACCACAATGCAGCAAGAAAGTGATAAACATTATAAGTTATCTTCCCCCTAATTATCCAGGTTACATTTCATTAATATGCAATGAAAAATGTTAACTCTCCTGGGCTAAAGCATAGGGAAATAGTAAATTAGAAGATTTCCCTTTGGATGCCAGGAGCGGTGGCTCACGCCTGTAATCCCAGCACTTTGGGAGGCCGAGGCGGGCGGATCACAAGGTCAGGAGATCGAGACCATCCTGGCTAACACGGTGAAACCCCGTCTCTACTAAAAATACAAAAAAATTAGCTGGGCGTGGTGGCGGGCGCCTGCAGTCCCAGCTACTCGCGAGGCTGAGGCAGGAGAATGGCATGAACCTGGGAGGCGGAGCTTGTAGTGAGCCGAGATCGCGCCACTGCACTCCAGCCTGGGCGACAGAGCCAGACTCCATTTCAAAAAAAAAAAAAAAAGATTTCCCTTTGGAGACAAGATTTTGATTCCCTATACTTAACTCTCTTGTAATATTTATCATTCTGAATGGCAAAAATCAGCTTATGTGTATTTTCCTTCATTGTACCATGAAAAGATGAAAGATAGTAGATTCTAGTTTCTCTCTAATTTAATGCTTAACAAACTGCCTGGCTCATAGTAGGCATTTAATAAATATATGTTAAGTCGTATTCTTAAACGTATAACAAGCATTTCTTGGTAACTAACCACACTTGCATTTTCCCCACCAAAATTATACCTTGTGGCAGAGAGAGTCTAATTACACATCAAACTCTGTTCCCTTTTTGCGTTCGCAAATCTAGAATACACATAACTAGAATGCACTCTTGAGTCTCCCTTAAACTTAGGTGTGGCCATATGACTAATTTTTGGCCAGTGGAATGTGAGTGGAAATGATGTAAGCTACTTCCAGGCATGACACATAAAAACCTCCCACCTAATCCTGTCCTCTCTGTCTTCCTCCATCTGCTGGCTATATGCTGAATCCCAGAGTATTCTTGGAACCCATATGCTGAAGGTGGCACAGCCTGGGTCTCTGAATAAGTGCGAAATGCATTTCTATTGTGTTAAGCCGTTGAGATTTCATGTTTTAACAGCTACCACAGATACAGTTACTTTAACAGATACGTGTCTATAATACTTAATATCAACATATTATTGCACTTGTTCAATAACAAAAAAAATTTCAATTACAGTTCACACAATTTATTTGGAACATCATTTAATTTAAAAGTCATTTTAAGTTTAAATTGTGTTAAGTATTCTTTATACTCTAATAAGTTTTATTTTCCAATATCATATTATCATAATGCTTTGATATATGCCAAATTGTTTTCTGAAAAGTTAACAGTAAGAAAAAAATTGTAAGAAGAAGTTTTAACTAGAATTTCCTAGTAGATTTTCCTAGACTGTCTGTGGCAGAGCTTAGTGAATAAGTGATCTTTAGCTATTGTGTGAAAAGGAACTCTCACTCAATCTAGAGTCTCCTTAGAGAGGGAATAAACCATAGTGGGGTGGTTGTAAAGATAGAAAAAATAGATAATCATAGAAAAACATGGCCCAAAGGATTATGAGTGACTGCATGTTTCAGGAGTTTCTTTGTGATTAGTTGGCAGCGGCTTTGAAGCAGAGAGCCATCTATATTAGGCCCCAGAAACCACCTGAAGGAGGGCATGTTGGGATCTGCAGTAAGCAATCAAGAGGAAACTCACTAGGACAACTAACACTGGGAAAAGGAGAAAGTAGCTAAAAGGAATTTTAACTCTACAAGTACAAATGACTGACTTAGAGTGGGCTGAGCTAATGCCCAGTGCTTTTTTAAAGTTATGTATTTTCTTCCTGGTATATAAAAGAAAGTCCAATTAATCAAGGTGATTAGTAATCACTGTGTGTTTAAATAGCAAACGTAGACAACATTTGTCTCTAGGTATATATATTTATTTTAAAATTACCTTACATGATATCTTTACTTAAATTAAGAGTTCAGTTAATTAATATTTATGCTATTATCTTAATAATTTATTTTTATAAAACAAAACGTTTCATGTACAGTATAGAGAAATTCATTTTTTTATTGCTCTCTTAGTCTTGAATACTTGTAGCAGCCCCAACCAGATGGTTTATATTCCATAACCCAAGGTACCACTGATTACTTGGGGGCAAGATTTGGAAATTTTAGGCTTAGTGCCTAAGGGCAAATAAGCTTATTTTTCCTCAATAGGACTGACCTTACAAATCTAACTCTGTAATTGTACAGGTCCTTTCCCAATTTTGAAAAGCATTATCTTCAACATTGAGCCACCCAACCAGGACCCCTAGCCTAAGATACCACAGTCATTCTGAGTCCAGTCTTAATAGTTGATACAACATGTCTGGTGTTATGTCTTACCTCTCCTCTTTGTAACACATTACTTGGAGCTGCCCCACACTCCAGGGCCTATTCATATTTCTGTAATCTGTGCCCCACTCCATAGGGCCCTGCCCTACATCAGATGGCCTATTTCTAAGGAATCCTGAAACTCCTCCACAGGACAGTTTGTACTATATAATGTGTTCTCTCCTCAAGAGTATTTACATTTTAACCAAGGATTCTAGAAATACAATGCCCCTGCAGGCAAGGAAACTTATTTATCCCTCTGGCTACTATAAAATTTTTCTTTTTGCTTTTTGCTTATAATTTTGATTACAATAATTTTTAATTTATATAATTTTGCTTATAATTTTGATTATAATATATCTTGGTGTGGTATTCTTTGTGGTTATTCTACATGGGATTCACTGACTCTCAAATTTGTGTTTGATGCTTTTAATCAAATTTGGAAAACTTTAAGCCAATATGTCTTCACATAATTTTTCAGTGTTCCCACCCTCCACATTTTTGGAGCTTCAATGACATGTATATTAAGCTGCTGGATATTGTTCCACGGGTCGCTGATAATCTGTTTAATTTTTTTCAGCTTTTTTTTCCTCAATATCTTTCAGTTGTGATAGTCTGTATTACTCAATCTTAAAGTTCATTGTTCTCTTCTTCTGCCATATTGAAATTTATATTGACCATCCAGTGAATTTTTAATCTTTTAAGGTCTAGATATATTTAATTTTTATATCTTCTATTTATGTATCTGTTATGTTCATATTTTCCCTTAAATCCTTGAACATAGTTATAATAGCTGTTTGGAAGTTCTTACATGATAATTCTGTCATCTCTATCAGATTTCTACATCTGTTTCTATTGACTGATTTTTTTTCCTAGGTAAGCATGACATTTATTACTAAGCATAGACCCTTCTACATTCTCTACTCATTGCCCTGGGCATTCAAGGAGGCCTCTCCACTCTGGATGATCATAACTCAAACATTTTCAAGCCTTGTGTAAAGCTTTGGGGATTGCTCAGTTTACAGCTCTCTGGTAGTTGTTTTTTTTTTTTTTTTTCTTGCCTTGTAGATTTTTACCCTATGCAAGTGCAGTTTAATATTAAGACAAAGATTAAGGAGTTTCCCAGGCAGATTTATTTCTATTTCTCTGAGTAACTTCGTTTTCTCCACCACTCTGCTTTGCATATCTCAGGTACCTCAGCCTCCCCAAACTTTAATCTCTGTCTCTTCAAGTCAGCAAGGCGAACATGCTCTATTTGGGTTCTCCTGCACTGCTCTGAAGTTCAAAAATGACTCCAGGTGGAAAGCTAAGGTAACTATCAGGGTTGCCTTGCTTATTTCCCTTCTTTCAGGGATCAAAGTCCTGTGTTGTCTATTGTTCAGTTTGAAAACCATTATTTCATATCTTTCATCCACTTCCCTAGTTGGTTATGGTGAGAGTCCAGTACCAGTTACTCTTTCGTGGCTGTAAGTGGAAGTTCTAAGAAGTCCTTCTGAAAGGTCTCAGTCATTCCTCAGAGTTGGCTTCCCCCTATGTCTTAGGATAAAAATCTAGTTTCTTAGCAGTCTCATTTTGATCAAAGAGAATTCCAGACAATAATTGTTCCTTGTTAGTTGAAATCCAGATAAACTCCAAGTGTCTTGCAATGTCTTTTTGTACACACCAACCCACATCATTCTATGAGGTTACCTCAGAGCTTTAGTTTTGGAGAAAAGCTTTTGAGATTACAGCTTCAAATGAGAGGTATGTTAGGTTGTCATCACTGGGCAACTAAACATTTGTGAGTTGTCCTTTTGTCTGAAAGATTATTGGGAGTTTCAGACAGAGAACAAGACCTTTTTCTCCCCTTTTAAAGAGCATGCCTCAGCCCTTTGTGAACTTGAAATGCAGGTCTTATTTTATTCATCTCTCATTTGCATGTTGTGCCTTTAGTTGTCAGTGATCAGTAAAATCATTTGGACTTCAGAAGCCTTTGAAAAAGTGATTAAACAGGCCAAGATTATGTTAGTCATTTAGTTTATCCTTCTTTAATCCAGAGGCATTATTTACTGTCCACTCTCACCCTAATTTAGGATTGTGCCTTACATGAAAGAGCTAATGAAATAAATGACTATCACTGTCAAATTTTGCTGTGTCATAGGGGGACAGTACGAGAAGCTTTGTATACCTCCTATTCCCTTGGCCTTTCTAAAATTATTTTGTAAGGCTTTTGATGCATACTTGCAAAGTTTTATTTTAGTAATTTTATTAAATGACTTATTTACCCACAACTACTTGGTAGTACCACCATTTAATGTTATTTTCCCACAGGGAAACTGAGATCCAAGAAATAAGACATTTATTCAGAGTCATCCATCAACCACAAAATGGAATTAGAACACAAAACTCCATCTTTTGAGCCTTTAAGCCAAACTGCTTTTTTCTCCTGAGATTCTTCATGAAAATAACACAGCCTATACTCAACACCATCATACCATCCCCAACACCATCATACCACTGTCAATACCATCATACCATGTAAGTTGAATATAAATTACTACATTGCCTTAGACTCCCTTATTACACTGGTTAAATAGTAGTCTCTATTGATAAACACTGTGGCATACAAAAATAATTTTAAGTATTAATAATAATCTCAACTGTGGTTTAAAATTGAGGACACATATGTGACTGGCTTAGTAATCAGCATTTTCTAGGAAAGGTTCTGTTTTTAGTTTTAATTTGCTCACCACATTTTATTAATGTTTAGTGGAAGATTTACCCTGTTCTTTTATAGATATCAAAAATATGTTTGAAATAATTTAGTCAGTAACTGAATATTATAGAAACAAATACAAAAAATAAACTAATATAAGGAAACATGAGACAGCAAAAATCCTTATTTACTAGTAAATCATTCCTTACTTTAGAAAATCTGGAAAATACACAACATAGTGGTCTGCTTCATATGGCTTTTCTGCTATATTGCTACAAAGCATAGGGCTATAAATTTCCTTTTGATCTCTCATATGGAAATAAGTTTGTCTATTGTCTGGTTGTTTGAAGTCGAAAGTCTTTTCATAACATTTTAGAAAAGCGAATTATATCATACTGTGCACTATGGGTTAGAGAAGATTCAGAGAGCCATCCTGCAGATGTTATAACTTTGGATCCCTCTGTTCACAATCCCCCTCTTTCTCTGCATTTCTATTAGTGGTGAGATGTCATATTTCTCGAAAGATTAGAGACCATTGCCCCAAAGTCTATTAAATGAAATAAAGAGAGACACAGGAATAACACAATGTAATCCTAGCCAGTAACTTTTTGTGTGTGTGTGGAGAATCTAAAAGAAGTAATGGTCTTTGACACAAATATTACATTCTGCCACACCCTGAAAGAAATACCTCGAATCTACATATTTCCAAATAAAAACAAATGATAGTAGTTTTAGAGGGAATGAAAGCAAGTTCTTGATACTTATGTCTCCATTAATTCAAAAATTATGTCTTGTGAGTACCATTTAATTTGGGCAACAAATTATACTGTTCCTTTTCAGTCTTCATGCAATTCACTTTCCTTGAAATAGAAGGGGACCAATACAAAAAAATCTCCCTTCCTTATTCCATCCTGGAGCACAACTCCAAACATTAACAGTAATTGCCTCTACTTCCATGTCATTGAAGCTTATTTAAATTGTAGCTCGATGCTGAGTAAGAGGGAGAGTCGCCCTCCCCAATCCAGAGACAAAAAATTCTAATTGGCAATTCATATAATTTTGAATAGTTCATGACAGTAGAAAAAAAATGTGTTATGTTTTCATAGGAAATTGCTGTGCATTCTAGAAAACTGTTGACTTGCTAAAAATCTGCACTCCTTTATTTTGTCATTTGTCTCAGAAGTTAAGAATGAAGCACGCATAACACCTTCTTTGGGATGCTTTATATTTTATTTAATACATATACTTAGTAAAGGGATTTGCTCCTTCAAACCGGTTAAAAAAAAAGGCATTTGCTCATTCAAACTGGTAATTCTGAATATTTAAGAACTCATAGCCCAAGTATACTTGGGTATATTGAAAGACAGTATAGTGTGGTGGTAAAATGTGGATTCTGGGGTCAAACTGGCTAGATTCAAGGCACAGTTCTTTCTATCACTTGTTGGTCCTGTGATCTTAGGCAAGTAATGTGACTTTTTGTGTCTCAAAATCTTTTCGTGTCTCAAAATCTTTTCGTGTAAAATGGAGATAATAGTAGTACATATCTTTCAGGGTTGTTGTAACAAGTAAACACATTCAAAGTCCTTAGCATGAGTGGCACATAAGCGCTACTCAGATGTAAGCAATATACTAGAAGTGCCCCACAGCAGAAGGCACATATCTCACAATCTTCTTTTCCTACTATCTTCATTCCCAAATGTTGTTTATGTGAAGCAACTTCTTGATTGTCCAGAAGGGAAGGACTTCCTTTAGTCCACTCTCATCTTTTAGCCCCTTTTGTTCTTTAAGGCAAGGACCAACTTGGTTAAATAATTATTTTTCTATTCTGAATTCTGTGACCATGTAGACACTCAATAAATATTTATCTATCTGAATAAAAAGGACAAGCTCAATTTGGTTTCATGATTTTCCAGAAAGTGACCCAACTTTTGACTCAAACTTTGTGTACTTTCTAAAATCTAAATTAAAATTTTCCTTGCAAATCAAGTAGGAAGTAGTTAGCAGTATCTTTCAGAAATTTTCTAATCATGGTCTTCTATATACTGAACACATTTTACATGTGTAATGAGATTTGTGTATTAGTGACATCTGCTACTGCTTAATCAGCTCCTAAGAATAATAACAAATAATCACACAAAATAGATTTGGGAAGTTTGTGTTTTAATTAAATCTGTTTACCTCAAGTTTTGTTACATTTTTCATTCCCTTGGCATAGATTCCACTCTATGTCTTGGTACAGTTTTAATCCCTGCCCAGAGCAGAAATTTATCTTTAATTTACATTGCCTCCTCTAAGCCTAGGGCCATTGACTCAGAAAGTCTTCTAATTTTTATTCGTAAACCAACTTATTTTTATCATGTTACTGAGACTTTTGGGTTTCTAGAGTTCAGAAGGAAACTATTTCCCAGGATTATGGCCAGTTAATTCAGATGGTTGGAACATATTAATGAGGCCAATGCTGCAGGTGTGATTCTTTATGTTTTTCCACTAGGATAGCCACAAATGTATACTTTTGACCAAAAGGGAGATTCATTGAGAGTTTGTGGATTTTTAATCAGAAAGCCATCTCTATTGCTAAACAAACAAAAACATACAATAAAATAAACCCACTCATATACATATCTGACAAGTTCTGAATCAGGAGACTTAACCTTTGTTATACAGTATGAATACCTCAGACTTCCTCAGGCTGTGGTTACAAATAAGGTCACATTAGCTGTAAAAATGCCAATATCACTGTCTTCTTATTTCTACTCATGTTATTTCCACTCACATATTTCAAGATCATTTTACTCTCTTCCCCCAAAGTGTCACCCAGTTATATAGGGGAATCTCTGGAGGTACCCCACATGTGCTCACAAACAGTATTCTTATATTCATCTACTTTGGGCCTTTGCTGATGTCAGTCCACAAGAAGACACTTGAAACTATCACTTGGCTGCTGTCACTGCTGCCATGCCATTTTGGGGGACTATAATTTCTTGCTTGGGGTAATCTTTTATTGTACTCTTCAAAGTAACATACCTTGTAAGGAGCCAAAACAACACGATCTTTTTAGGTTTCACTGTGTCAGTGCCACTCTGGGTAAAAATGGGGAGGATGCCATTCTGCCCCCTATTTATAGCATTTTGTCACCTGGGCACTGAAGCAGCATTGCTTGTGTCATTGTCTTTCTCTATTGCTCTTGTAAAAATAGCTTCTTTGGCTTCTGCCTTCAACTTTGCTCTCCATAGGGCTTAGATCCCAATCTTTGAGACTGGGTGGAGCACCAGACACCGTCTTGACCTCTCCATCTCCCTTTATTGCCTCAGGAACCTTTGAAAAAATTAGACAAAAACCTCTCTCTTCCTTCAGCCATCATGCAAACTAACTCTACCAATGCACCATAGCCATCCCAACTTGCCTGAACTCTAGCAGTGGACATAACAAGGTGCAAGCTGAGATCTTTACTACACCTTTAAAGAAGGTAACCTCCTCAAGGGTCTGTGTGAAGACTCTGTTGTTCTGAGCTAGGCCAACTTAGAAGCTCAAATAAGATATATTCTATGGCAAGATTTCAAGGGAACAGAGAGAATACTAATGCCTACTTGTGGGCGACATCTTGCACCCCTCTCTTTCTTTAACTGTTGGCTAGATGCCTGGACTTTACTCCCAAAGATATCTCTTTTCATGTAGGGTTTTTATTTATTTATTTATTTTTGTTTAGAGGGAGTTTCACTCTTGTCACCCAGGCTGTAGTGCAGTGGCGCAATCTTGGCTCACTGGAACCTCTGCCACCCGGGTTCAAGTGATTCTCCTGACTCAGACTCCTGAGTAGCTGGGATTACAGGTGCCTGCCACCACGCCCGGCTAACTTTTTGTATTTCTAGTAGAGATGGGGTTTCGCCATGTTGGGCAGGCTGTTCCCAAACTCCTACCTCAGGTGATCCGCCCACCTCAGCCTCCTCCCAAAGTGCTGGAATTACAGGCATGAGTCCCTGTGCCTGCCTCATGTAGGCTTTTATAAAATTTGTAATTGACACATAATAATTATACATATTTATGGAGTACGGTGACATATTGTTTATCAACAAATGAATGGATAAAAACTTATATATATATAATACATATATATTTTATATGTACATTTTATGTATATTTAAAAATATGTTTATATTATATATACACTGGAATATTTTATATACATATATGTATATACTGGAATACTATTCAACCATAAAAAGAACAAATTCCTGTCGTTCACAGCAATGTGGGTGAACATGGAGGATATTACGTTATGAAAGTTAGTGCATCATAATTTGCTTGAGACAAAGAATCCATCATTCCTAAACCAAGTCAGTTTTAGACATTAGAAAGAGATTCTATTCTTTAGAAAAATGTCAGTAGCAGAATGTCTTACCCATAAAATGACCCACAACCTGGACTCCTAGAACAGTTTTGGGGTATTGCAGTACTCTGAGAGATGGGACACACTTATACCATAAGTTCACTGAGATGTGGATGCTAACCATTAATAAAGATGTTGCCAAAAAATTAATGCTGACAGCTCACCTTCAGAAGCTAGTAAGTTTCCCCTTCACCTTGGGAGCTAGGTCTAAAGTAAAGAAGCACTTGAAGAAATCTTTAAAAAAAAATTATTAGCACCTGTCTGCTGTTGAACTGGCAGAAATCTTATTTGATCTATATTTTCTTTGAAAGCCCAGACCTAGACTTGGTAAGTGGGTAAGAACAGGTATTACCTAAGCAGCCATACATGCTGAGGGCCATGTAGGCTCTAAATAAGTCACAGCTGGTAGTTATCAAATCTAAATGAACGTGAGATTCCCACCAGCACAGAGGAATCAATATTTATCAACAGAAAAAGTGATATTCATTACTGCCATTTGAAGGTCATGCATATAAAGCATATATGAGTAATGCCAAACCTCAGAGCTGTTTCCTCTCACAATTAGGTAGATACAGTGCCTATGCTTCATTTTGCCACTGCACAATAGCCTGGCTTATTCCCTGAGCAAATGTCTAATCCCTCCTTGTCTCTTGACCTTTGCTACAATATATTTCTTAAAAATAATATGGCTATGCAGAAAAAAAGCAGGGAAGCTTTGTGGACAGTGCAGGGTTTTGCATAGAAAAGGGAAATAGATTTCACAAATACCAAGTGGACAATACCCAGCTAGGTACAAAGTCAACAGAGGATCTCAGGATTAGAGTAGAAAACAAGCTGACTGTGAGGAGTAGCACTTCAGTGTTCCTGTGATTTACAAGTAGATATGGGCAATGAAGATACCTGGAGGCACTTGGCTTGAACCCTTCTTGCTTCCCATTCCCATTATACATAGAATTGTTCTGACTGTCACTGACCCGTGTTATATATGCCTTGATGTTGATTACTAAAATGGAACAGGCAAGATTTGAGAGCCAGAGTTATTGTATTAAGGTAATAAACCACTTAACAAATATTTTATGACCTGAAAAGAAAATTTAAAGGAAGTAAAATTGTAAAAAATAAAAAATGCACAGAAAATGCTGTTGCAGAGCATGGTGACTTTAGTTAATATAATACATTACAATATAATACATTGTTATGAAATACATTATTGTATTATATATTTCAAAATAGCTAAAAGAATGGACTTCAAATGTTCTCACCACAGGGAAATGATAAGTATGTGAGGTGATAGATATATTAACTAGTCTGATTTGATCATTCCAAAATGTATACACATACCAAAACATCACATTGTACCCCATATATACAATTATTTGTGAATTGAAAATAAACACACACACACACACACACACACACACACACACACATACACACACCACATAATATGGAATGTCTTAGGGAACTTAATTACAGGTCTCATAGCCAGAATGCTAGGTAAGCAGGAGTTTAGGCACATACTTAAGAGAAGTAGTCAAGTACTGCAGTCACTCAGAGGGCTTGCCAGAAGGCTTAGCTTGGCTTTCAGAATGCTCTGCCTAGACAGAGGATCAATAGACAGTAGGGAGGCTCCCATACTCAAGTAATAACTTCCCTCAATCTGAAAGATCTGAAGTTCTCCTCCCACTGGAATACTTTACACATAGTTAATTCATCCAGTCAATTAATATATATTTAGTGCCTACTTTGTTTCAGATTCTATTCTGGGTGTTGGGGATTATAGAAAATAAAAGTTCTTGCTTTCATGGAAGTACTGTTCTAGTGGTAGAGGAAGCAAGACAAAAATAACCAAGTACAGATAAATACACATTTTGTCAGACAGTAGTAATCGTTAAGAATAAAAATGAAGCAGGGTAAGGTAAAAGACAGTAAGGGTGATGACTACTGCTTTTAAATAGGGTAGTCGTGGGAGATCTCTCTGAGAAGGTAACATTTGATTTTTAACAATACACATTTATTGAGCGCCTATCATGTGCCAGCCATGTGAATTAATTCATTTTATCTTCACCAAAATCCTGTGAGGTAGGATCATTATTATGTTTGTTTTACAAATGGGGAAATTGGGCACAAGAGAAGTTAACTTGTCCAAGGAAACATAACTAGTAAGGGAAAGAGCTAGAGTTTGAACTCAACTAGTCTAGCATCAAATCCCATCCTTGTAGTCACTATAATACTTGGCATTTTTGATTCTGCTTACAGGCAGGGAGATATGCACATTTTCTCTTTAGTCCTGTGAGGCACTAACAGACCTATGCAAAAAGAAGCAATCATTGAAGCAGAGTTATGGAGGTACCTAACAGAAAGCCCTTAGAAAGGGGGATGAAATGACTAATATTCAAGTACTTTCTATATGTAGCTATGTTACACATAGAGTCTCATTTAATTCTCCCAACAAAAATATGAGGTAGTCAGACAGATAGTTATTTTGCAGATGAGAAAACTGAGGTAACAAAGTGGTTACATGAATTGCCCAAAGTCTCATGGGAACAAAGGACCAATATTATGAATTTGAGTTAGTCTGTCACCAAAGTTTATGCTCTTTCTAATATGCTGTGCTGTCTCCAGGGAGAAGAAAAAGAAAGACAAGGAAATCCAGAGCAAAATACATGGAGAAAAAAATGAAAGGAGAGACCTCAAAGTAAAGACTTAATAGGTTCAGAGGGCCAGAGGACTGATAGTGGCTTAAATGGCATAAAGAACTTTCAATGGCACCTTCATCCTCAATCTATTCTCTGACACTAATAGTCTTAGTCGATTTGGGCTGCTATAACAGAAATAATGTAAACTGAATAGCTAATAAACAACAGAAATTTCTTTCTTATAGTTCTAGAGGCTGGGAAGTCCAAGATCAAGGCACCAACAGATTGTTTGGGTAGGGGTTGTTCTCTGCTTCATAGATGGTGCATTCTCACTTCATCCTCACAGGGCAGAAGAGGCAAACAAGTTCTCTCAGGCCTATTTTATAAGGACACTAATCCCATTCATAAGGGCTCCATATCCTAAAGGCTCCTCCTCTTAATACTATTATATTGAAGATTAGGTTTCAACATGTGAATTTGAGGGGGTACATAAACATTTAGACCATAGCACCAAGTTAGGTGGATTCTTGAGAATTTCTGTGATTTTGTGATTTCAGGAATTGGCATGTGTAGTTTTTCAGTGAGACCTGGTGTTTACATGTGAATAGCCCTTGAGTAGTGCATCATCTTCTTATAACTGCTACTGTCTTTGAATCAGCTACTACAGTAAAGCAAGGAACATAAACTTCGTAAAGACATGAAAGAAAATTTATGAACCATTTAGTATTTGAAGGCTAGCATGTAGTTGTTTGATAACAAGGATTTTTCCCCCTCAGAAGCATAGTTTAAAGCTGTCAGCCTTAATGAAATAACTTTAGATATGCCTTGCCTGCCAATTTTTCCCTTTTTAATAGTATAGTAGTAACACTGTGGGATTGTCAAAATAATAGTCTGATGAGAAGTGTTAGCAAAGAAAGCCAAATGGCGCATTGCTTGTCTTACACTGTAGCCTCTGTGTGGTGTAGAAAAGCCAGGATGTGGTCAGATCACTGTGGGATGAGGTTGACTCACCCATTCATTATTCTGGATGAGCAGAAAATATGCCTCTCACCCCATGCCTGCTCTGCCTTGCCTTGCCTTTCCTTTTCATTCCCTTCCTTTTTCTTCCCACACATGGTCAAAGGCTTTGATTTTTTCTGAATATTAGACAACAAAACAAACAAAGCAGCAAAGACACTTACCTGTTCTGTCTTTAACAGAGTGTTTGGTGGCTCCCTGCAAAGGGAAGCTAAGAGAGACCCAGGGTGGGAGGCTAGCCAGCTCCGTCATTTGTATTCTTCAGGTAACTCGTTTAAACCTCCATTTTTTTCAGCTTTAAAAATGCTATTACAGTGGCTATTGTTTCATTCCAACTTTCAAGAATTCAGTATACATCTTTGAGAACTAGGTGTTTGGAAATTCACTAGGTGTTGGGAAAATTGGTGTTTTAAAAGGAAAATGTAGTCTTTTTTTTAGAATGCTCTCTAGACCATAGAAATCATTGAAATTCTCCTTTGGCTCTATAGAGCCAGGAGATAGTCTTATAACCCAATGTCTTTTGAAAACTGAATTACAACTGGAAGTTGAATAGCAACAAAATATTATAAATAAATTTGATTTTAAGGGAGGTTTTGGCAAGTACCTAGGCTTTGATTACCTAGAAACCAATAAATTCTATTCTACCATGGATTTTCTAATTTTTCTATAAGCAACTATAAGGTAGATCACCTCTATGACATCTACCACCAGTGGCCCATTTGTAAAATATGTGTAGTGTCATTTTAACAATAAGCCTTCAGAGCCACTGTCTTCTAGGAATTCTAATTACAATTTATAACCAAAGTACAAAATAATTGAGTTAACTTTCAGTGGACTGACAGGCAATGGTCGCATAGCTGAATGCTATTTTCTCCGTATCACTTTCCCACACCGCACCTCCATCTTTAGCCCTGTGTACCTATGTAGTCAGTATGGACAAGCCTACTCTTCCATCAAAGTCTATACTTGGCAAATAATAGTTAATTGAAGCACAGATTCTGTTGTTTTGTATTGAATTGGTGCCAGATTCTCTTTCCAAGACACCACTGACCACCTGCTGTCAGCAAAGGAAAGGAAATGGGGCAAAGAAATAAGGAGAAGAAAAGGTTGTAGGGTAGTCAGGAGAAAAATGTGATTGTGGAACATGTTCCATGAGTTAAGCAATCTATGGAGAGTAATTTGGCTGGTGAAGATCTTCAGAGTGTCATGTCAGCTTCAGAATCAGAGAGTTGCCGTCCTAACTTGGCTTATAGTGATTCACGAGGGGATGGAGGGAGGGGGAGCTAGTATGGGTGAAGGCCAGATATAAGGAAAACAAAACAAAGTGCTTTATTTACAGAAATCTCCTCAGAGAAATAAAACCATTGCTAACTCCACAACTGGAACATGTGTATTCTTTTCTTATTGGCAGCAACCCAGGAAAAGAGAGAGAGAGAAAAAGAGAGAGAGAAAAAAAGAAAGAGAGAGACAGTGTGTGTGAGAGAGAGTCTTACAAGAGTTGGTGGAAGAGGACTGAAGGACTTGGTTTCTGAGATATTTAGGAGTGTAAATGGCAGGACTTGGTAACTGATGGCATGTGTAGCATGAAGGAGAGGAAGGAGTAGAGGCTGATATCCAGGTTTCTGATTTTGACTAATGGGCGAATGGTATTGCTGGAAATGTATACACCCTCCCAAGCCATCTGCTCTATTTCTTCACCTTCTTTTTCTTCATCATTGGCTGCCCTTCGTCTCTTACTCAAATAATTACTCGACAAGAAGTTTGCAGAGAGGTTTGTGAGATTTAGCACACAACACATTAAGGACGTCTGAAAACCCACACAGCCTGAGGAGCTGTGGCTTGGAGAGTGATCGAGTTGATGTCTTCAAGTATAAGAAAGATATTTTGTAGGAGACTTTTAAACTTTTCATTTATATCTAGGCAGAAGAGTAAATAAGCACATGGGATAAAATTTTAATAAAGAACATTTCAGTGGGGCATAGGAAGGCAATTTTAACTGTTCTAGGGAAACAGACTAGAATGCAAAACTATACAGAAACTGAGGAAATCTTCAAGGAGAGATATGACAATCCTGAGACCTGAATAATTTAGACACCAACCAGAAGGGAGGGGCCAGGATTAGATGATACCTCTGAGCATCTGTTCTGCAAATGTCCTTTTGTTCTGCCCCAGATATCCCCAGAGGAACTATGGTCTCATTGATCTGGCTGAGCAGATGCATTTAGGGAAACGGTACAGCAGGTCATTGAACTTATCTAACCCTGATGGCTCTAGAAATGGAGATAGAGATCAGAAGGAAAAAAATTCTTATTTTAATTTTGAATGTATTTTTTATGTCTTTAAGGCCAGTTCCTGTTAGAAAAAGAAATGCATCTAAGAGCTAGAACTTAGAACATACTTGTTTATCCATCCAAGATAAAAGAAGCTACCAAAGGGAGTGATACAGACAGATGGCAAAACAATGAATCAAACAGTTTACTAAGCATGAATCCAGAGAAGTACACTCCCTCAAGGCTAAGGCTGTAGATTTATGGGGAAAGTAGCTTAGATTTGAGGCCCATGGACTGTGAAAGGCATGAATGTTCTCCATACTCTGACATACAAGCAGGGAGGTATTTATATACAAACAGTACACATATGTTAATTGCTAAACCATAGTTCTAGCAGAGAATCAGAATAATTTTAATGAATGATTAGAGATGAGCCAGACTATTAGTGGAGAATTTTGTCAGATGAGTATAAGAGGACCAGAGGACTTCCAGCTACATGAAATAGCATTTTAACAAAGGCATAGATCTGTGATTAATGAGTCATCCATTTTCCCTTTCTTCTAAAGAGTCCATTTACATTTAAATTCTTAATTCCATTGCAATGTCATTCTGAATTATCTGGTATCTTCGACCATACCATTATTTGTGGGTGGATCTGGAAGACTGATATATAAAATCACATTTGTCAATTTGTCTTGGATTTTCTGGCCTGGAAAATTTACGGACTTTATTAAATATAATATTATTGGTGCCTTAGAAATTTCACATGATTTTTTGCAGGAATTTTTGCTAAATATGTCTGGCCTGTGGCATTTATCTAGGGATTTGCAGAGAGTTTTCTTCAAAGGAATATAAAGCCCTAAAAAGGAAAAAAAGCCCAGAGAGTTGCCTTCATGGAGTCACTTCTCTTTTAGTGCTTTCACTCATTTATTAGATTTTACAAAGGGTACCTTCTGCCACCAGGCCCCAGAGCATACTAATATAATTTAAATAGGAGAGATAATTGAACTGTCAAAACTCTATGTGTGTGCATGCAGGTGTGTGTGTGTGTGTGTAAGACAGAGATGGAGACAGAGTCAAAGACGTGAAAGACAGAGGCATACAAATAACAGCCATCAACACAGCAGCCACATCATTTTATGTTAGAGCTGACTGCTCAGAAAGAACAGTCTTGCTCAAAAAGATCTTGAGTGGTGATACTGCTCTTCTTTCTTCAAGCAGTATCATCCCCTATCACTACAACTTGGATTTTGTGATACTCTCTGCTTCTCCTAGATGTACCACATAACATGGATTTATTTTAAAAATCAGGTATGTGAAATATATCTCTATCTATCTATCTAGAGTTATTTCAAAAAGAAAAGAAAATCAGAAGACAGTTAACTTCCCTTTACTTTAACATTCTTATTTAGAAAATTGTGACACTTTTAGAGGTAACGGAAAGCACCCCTGGTGTAGCTGATGGGAAATGAAGGGTGTCATAAAACCCAGATTAGGCTGTCCTGGCAATGGGGTATGACTTATATGTATTTGTAACAACACTTTATGCAATGTATCCCTGAAGCTTAACATGTTGTAAAGATTGGTGGTTACTTGGCTCCTTCGGAGAAACAAGGAGAGGGAATTTTTTGTTCTTTCCTTGTTAAACTCTTCATCCCTTTTCCAATACATCTCATTGTGGAAAATATCAACTGGGTAAGTTTCAAATGAGGCCAGTTTTAATTGTGGCAATTCATTGAATTCTCACTTTCCATTACCGGATTATGTGGAATGCTGGCTTTAAAAAATAAGTTAGCTGAATGTAAGAGTAGTTGCAACCTTTCTTGAATGCACAAAATAATTGACATAGCATCTAGAGCTCTTGCAGAACATAGACCCTGATTTCTGGAGTACCATCACTCACACCAGAGATACACTGGCACCATTTTTATTTTTTATGAAAGGTCAAATATCACACCATCTCAAGAAAGTAATGTGTATATACTTTTTTATAAATAGTAATTTATTGCTGAATGGTTGCCATTTTACGAATGCCGTCCCAAATCTCCACAAATTGAATTATTACATCCTGCCAACAAAAGAAACAGCCATGCCCATATTTTTAGATTTAAAAGTTCATTATAAAGTATGGATAATTAAACCATTACCTTTTATTTAATTAATGATTTATACTTTCCCTTAATTATTACTTTGATTCTCACAACAAACCATTGTGGAATATTATGAGGCCCACTGAGTTTGAATGCTGTAGGTCACATGTCTAATGGTAAAATTAAAACTGTAACCCTGGTCTCATGACTTGCAGTCTTACACCCTGTTGTAGTCAATAAGGTATTCACAACTATTTCAGTTTCCCTTGCAGCCATATGATAGGATTATACTTCCCTGCCCCTTTAAAGTTAGAGGTAGTCATATGGCTTGCTTTAGCCATTGAAATGTGAACAGAAGTGACTCCTGTAATTTCTTGATGGGAGCATTTAATTGCCAGTGCTCAGCTCCAGACTTTTGTTTGTCTTTCTGTAGTGATATGGAAGCATATTTCAAAATGGATCCTCCCTCAACTTGGGTCTTTGAGTGATTACCATAGACAGAGCCTCCAAACCAATATCCTACACTGAACATGAAAACTATACAAGAAGTAAACCTTTGTTGTTTTAAGCCAATGAAATTCACATAATTTTTGTTGTTATGGCATAACCTAGCCCATTCTGACTTATAGATACACTCTTTCTATGGGAACAACCAGTATATTATCATTTAAGTATGTCTTCCTCATAGCTTCATATCTGTAAACCTTGTTCCTCTGGAGTCAGTACCATTTTTGCACAGCCACATTAGTAATACTTTGTGACCACTCTCAGACTGAAGCAGTTTGAATTTGGTAGCTATCCTGAAAGGAGTGTCAGTGGCCTATTCTGTTTCTTTTTTAAATTTTATTTCAGTAGTTTTTGGAGTACAGGTAGTTTTTGGTTACATGGATAAGTTCTTTAGTGGTGATTTCTGAAATTTTGGTGTACCCTTCACCTGAGCAGTGTACACTGTACCCAACTTGTAGTCTTTTATCCCTCGCTCCTCTCCCACCTTCCCCTGAGTCCCCAAAGTTCATTATAACATTCTTATGCCTTTGCATCCTCATAGCTTAGCTCTCACTTATAAGTGAGAACATACAATGTTTGCTTTTCCATTCCTGAGTTACTTCCTCAGAATAATGGCCTCCATCTCCATCCAAATGGCTGCAAAGGCCATTATTTTGTTCCATTTTATGGCTAGGTAATATTCCATGATGTATATCCACTCGTTGGTTAATAGGCACTTAGGTTGGTCCATATTTTTACATTTGTGAATTGTGCTGCTATAAATACGTATGTGTATGTGACTTTTTCATATAATGACTTCTTTTCCTTTGGGTAGATACCCACTAGTGGGACTTCTGGATTGAATGGTAGTTCTACTTTTATTTATTTAAGGAATCTCCATACTGTTTTCCACAGTGGTTTTTCTAGTTTACATTCCCACCAGCAGTATAAAGTGTTCCCTTTTCACCACATCCACACCAACATCTATTTTTTGTTATTTTTAAATTATCAGTGGCCTATTCTCTTTAAGTGTAGTAGTGATAGACTAATCATAGATTCAAGGCTTGAAGCAATGTCATGAGACCAACCATTCTACCTCCCACTTTTAAGCAGGTTAGCACTTTCTATTCCCCCTTTATACATGTTTGCATCAGAAAGGAAGATATTTGATATGAAAGAGGAAGATTGTGAATTGAAGTAGAGGAGAAGAACATGGCAGTGATCACAATGCCATGCATTTGGAGATGGCCTTGCCCTATTGAGCTTAAGTGCACTTCAGGTATCATCTATGAAAGAGGAAAAGGGAGGAGAATGTGTAGGAATTGGGGAGGGAGAATACTTATCTTCAGCACCACTTTAGAACCAAAAATTCACTCTGACAAGATAGAAGTAAATGCAAAACCCATTCTTTTTCCTTGATTGATCTTACCAAATCATTCAAATCCAAAAATACAGAAAAGCCTATAGAACCTTAGAATCATAACCTTTATAGATGGAAGGAGCTTTAGAAATCATGTGGTTTAATTCCCTATCTTATAGATGAAGAAACTGAGACCCAGTAAGAAGAAGAGAACTGGCTCAGTTTATACATAACCATCTATATTTCCCAGACATATACATATGGATATCTATTTAATAAAATCCTAAAAGTATTTCATAGCCAAGTTTCTAAATTATAAGTCTTTTTGATAGCTTGAAACATAAGCTAGGTCCTTTTTATATTGATAAATGATAATGATGATTATAAATTATTCCAATTAGTTATGACATAGGAGGTTGGGCTGTGATAACAAAGAAAACTAAATACCTAGTGTCTTAAACAAGATTGAAACATATATTTCCCCTCATGTTAGTCAATATGTAAGTAGTCCAGAGCTGATACAGTCAATCCATGTTGTGAAGGATCTAGGCTCCTTCTCTTCTTGTGGCTCCACTGTCCTCTGTTGCCCTCATCCACATGAGGGTAATAATCTCATATTATGGTTGATAATCTCATACTGTGGTTGAGATATGGGTGATAATGGCTTCATATGTGATCCCTTCTTGATAATAATTTATTTTTACTTGACTTATTCTTGAAGAACATTGCCTTAGTTCAAATGGAATGTTACCTAAAATAATTAACACACTAAGCCTATCAGATCTGTTTCTGTACATGAGAGCATTGAGAGATAAGAGCATTGATGATAAAACATGTCTACTAATTGGTAATTTGATGGTATGGTAGGGGAGGCCTGGAAGAGGCCCACAAGAACTAATCCAAAGATACCTACTCAAAATTATGTATAGGATTAAAACCCTGCTTTGCCTCTAATTTTCTCTCTTCTACTAAAGAGAAAAAAAAAGCCTTCCTTAATGATCAGTGTCTAGATCAGATTTCAATGTCAGGTTTTTGTAAATTTTACAACTATTAATAGAAACGAAGATGTTCCAAATATGTCCATTTTCACTTATTCTTCAGAGTAAAGACACTCAGTCTGTGTACCTAATTATATAATAGGTAATAGAGATTTAGTGACATCAATTTTTCCCCGACATGTCCAATATGTATTAAATTCTGAATACCCCTCCATGCTCTGGAACCACAAACACCCAGAAACAGATAGAAAATTATTTACAAGAAACTTTAGCATCAGGGAAAAGAAAAGGTCTGCAAGAGTGGGTGAAACTGTCAAATCCAATGAAGCAAAGAATTCCTAGAAGATTGTTTATTTTCTGAGTGAAAGTATAGATTTATGGAATGCATACGAAAGCCTAAATCAGTTTTGTGGCCAGGAAGATAGTTCATGGATGAAAATTAATTACTATTTGGTTTTAGATCCTTCTGAGGATGGTGATGACTTTTATATATTATCTTAAGTACAGGTATAACTTATTTTAAGTAAACTCAACTTTGAAAAATTCTAATTGACACAAGAACCAAGATTAGTGCTTAGTTCTATAAAAGGATTCAAAGCAGAATTCCTTAACATAGCATAGTCTTTTAGTTCAAGAGTCAGCAAATGATGACCTAAGGAACCAGTATGATCAGTCTTTGTTTTTGTAAATAAAGTTTTATTTGAACACAGTTATGCACATTCATCTAGTTTATGGATTATTTATGGCCATTTTTGCACTACAATGGCAGTGTTGTAACAGTTCTGTTTGTATGACCTGCAAAGTATAAATTATTTACTATTTGGCCCTTTACAAAAAAAGTGTGCTGACCTATACTACAGTGCATCAAAATGTTATTCATATTACATCAATTTATTTAGTTTGCAGTAATTGAACATATTTTGATATTGTTGAAGAAAAGTTTAGATGTGAAGAAGTGGTAGAGATGAACCTAGTGGAGTGGAGAGAGGTCATATCATGAAGAGATTTGTACACTTAGCTGAGTTTAAACTTTATCCTGAGAGTAGTGAGAAACCATGGAAGGTTGGTTTGTTTGTCTATTTATTTGTTTGTTTTCGAGACAAGGTCTCACTCCTGTCACCCAGGCTGGAGTGCAATGGTGTGATCACGGCTCACTACAGCCTCAACTTCCTGGGCTCAAGCAATCCTCCCACCGCAGTCTCATGAGTAGCTGGGACCACAGGCATGCACCAACAAACCCAGCTAATTTTTGTATTTTTTGAAGAAGCAGGGTCTTGCCATGCTTCCTAGGCTGGTTTCAAATTCCTGGGCTCAAGTGATTCACCTGCTTCAGCCTCCCAAAGTGCTGGGATTACAGGTGTGAACCACTGTACCTGACTGGAGGGTTTTTTAATTCAGTGGACTTACATGATTCCCTCTGATATCAGTGTGGCAGATGGATTGGACAGAGATCAATTAGGAAAGTATTGTTATGCAGGAAAGAAATTATGAATGTCTGAATTTAGATGGTAAGAATAAAGAAAGATTGAAGTTGAAGGAAACTCATGCGAATGTTACCAAGAAAGAAGAAGCAATGTGATTTTGTGAACGGGTGAATGGATGTTGGTAGGGAAGGGGAGGAGTGTGAGATGACTTTCAGATTTCTGACTTAAAAAACCAAATGGGTAGTGGTACCATTCTCAGAGAGGGGGAATATAGGAAAGGGGGAAAAATTTTAGGGAAATAAGATTGGTTCAGTTTCATAGCTATTGAATATGATATGCTTGTGACACATCCAAGTAGAAATATTTTTTAGGCAAGTAGAATACATATATCTGAAACAAAATTAAGAGTTATGAGGCAAGGATATAGACTTGAAAGTTATCTTATATAACTAGCAATTTAGGCTATGTTTTAGAATAAATCATTCAGAAGAACTCTATAGACTAAGAACAATAGAAGGCAAGGATGAGCACAGGAGGAACACCAGTATTTAAACAATAGCAGAGGAAGCCCATGAAGAAGAATGGGAAGACCACTAAGGATATTGAAAAGGAGTTGCCCTTGAGTAAGTTAAAAAGAAAACAAGTTAGAATCATCACGAAAGCTAAGAGAAAATAAAATTTTAAGAGGGAATGTCAAATGTCTAAGAGAGATCAAGTTATAAAGAAATATCATGACAGATTATTCATCGGGTTTGTAAATACTGAGTTCACTCGTGACCTTAGTGAAAGCAGTGACTGGGGAGGATGGCAAAGGAAACAGTAAATATAAGCTAATCTTTCAAGTAATATTTCTGTCAAAGACTGGAGAAGGTACTAGTTAGAGGAACTCTTAAGGGAGTGTTTCTTGAGGATAGGAAAGAATTGCTTGTGTTTATTATGCTAAGGGGAGGGAATCTGCAGGGGAGAGGAAGAAGATATAGGAGGAGACCCACTGCAGCTCCAGGCTATCAGGCCAAGCAAGCTCTGTATGGGACAGTCCCATCTTTAGTCTCTCAGGTCACTGTCAGCCAGGCTAATCCAAAAAGAGCTGACATTTGGACTTTAGATGATAATCACGTCTGAGAATATGATTCACAGCTCAATGACACTAGCTTTCCCAGAGCTGTCTTTCTTTAGTAGGATCAACTAAGAGGAACATGTTTTAATTTTCTTTTCCATCAGGCAGAAATCACTGGAGGTCCAGTGGGAAGCTAGATAGCAAGTGGTTTTGTGGAGTGTTGAATGGTCCTTTTGCTGTCTGTGACAGCACTTGAATACACAATCAGCTCTATGTTAATGCTGTGTTTAGAGAAGTAAGATAATAGTGTTACGTAGACTTGGTAGAAACCTGACCTTTTTTTTTCTCTATAGCAGATGGTATGATTTTGTGAGATTGCAGCAGTATACATTGCCAGATATGTGGTGGGAAAAAGCAGCATTCTATACAACATGCTAATGGGTACAATTTATTAAAACATTTTCTAACTCTTAGAGATATTAAGCAAATCACCCATTAGTGAAAAGTTAGAATTAAAGATATGTAAGTAGGTGAGGAATCAATCAAGCATTACTAAATCTTCTGAATATATATGCCAAACTTATTTTTTGCAAAATTATTTATTTGTGTCATAAGTCAGTATATTATTTCATCCAAAATATTGTCATCACCTGAAATAAACCTGCAGTTCCAACAGTAAAAGCTGTGAGTCTCTCTTCTTACTTTTAATTTTTTAATTTCCTTTTTTAATTTTTATTTTTAATTTCAGGAGTACAGGTTTGTTATATAGGTAAACTTGTGTCATGGGGGCTTGGTGTACAGATTATTTTGTCACCCTGGTATTAAGCCTAGTAGTCATTGGTTATTTTTTCGATCCTCTCCCTCCTCCCACCCTCCACCTTCTAATGGGTTCCATTGTGTGTTGTTCACCTCTATGTGTCCATGTGTTCTCATCATTTAGCTTATAAGTGAGAACATGCAGTATTTGGTTTTCTGTTTCTGTATTAATTTACTTAGGATAATGGCCTCCAGCTCTGTCCATGCTCCCACAAAAGACATGATCTCATTCTCCTTTATGGCTGCATAGTATTCCATGGTGTATATGTACCACATTTTCTTTGTCCAGTCAGTCATTGATGGGCATTTAGGTTAATTCCATGTCTTTGCTATTGTGAATAGTGCTGCAGTGAACATACACATGCACGTGTCTTTATGGTACAGCAATTTATATTACCTTGGGTATATACCCAGTAATGGGATTGCTAGGTGGAATGGTAGTTCTATTTTTAGTTATTTGAGGAATTGCTACATTGTTTTCCACAATGACTGAACTAATTTACATTTCCACCAGCAGTGTATAAGTGTTTCCTTTTCTCCACAACCTGCTAGTATCTGCTATTTTTGACTTTTTAATAATAGCCATTCTGATTTGTGTGAGATGGTACCTCGTTGTGGTTTTTGATTTGCATTTTTCCTAACGATTAGTGATATTAAGCTTTTTTTTCATGTTTGTTGGCCACATGTATGTCTTCTTTAGAAAAGTATCTGTTCATGTCATTTGCCCACTTTTTAATGGGGTTGTTTTTTGCTTATAAATTTAAGTTCCTTATACATACTGGATATTAGACCTCTGTGAGATCCATAGTTTGCAAATATTTTATCTTATATTGAAGGTTGTCAGTTTACTCTGTTGATAGTTTCTTTTGCTGGGCAGAAGCTCTTTTAGATCCCATTGTCAGTTTTTGCTTTTGTTGCAATTGATTTTGGCGCCTTCCTCATGAAATCTTTGCTCATTCCTATATCTAGAATGGTATTGTGTAGGTTGTCTTCTAGGGTTTTTATTATTTTGGGTTTTACATTTAAGTCTTTGATCCATCTTGAGTTGATTTTTGTGAATGGTGTAAAGAAGGGGTCCAGTTTCAATCTTCTGCATATGCCTAGCCAGTTATCCCAGCATCATTTATTGTATAGGGAGTCCTTTACCCATTGCTTATTTTTGTTATCTTTGTCAATGATCAGAGGGTTGTAGGTGTGCATGTGCTGAACTTCTAGTAAGTCAATAGGTCAGCAGTATATAGTGTTCTCATGCTCTACAAGCACATCCCCATACTGGTCACCTTGTGGGTATTCAGAACGCTTTGCCCAGTCATTTTCTTTGAAGAACTTATATTCTTCTAGGGAGCTAAGACATAGTTATGTGAAAGAACACTTATGTGCAACACCTACATGACCCTACTACCTGGTCAGTGTTAGGGCTAATAGGAAAAACTGCAGGAATGCTGCAGAAGTAGCAGATCATGTGAAAATATTGCAGAATATATAAGCCAACTATATGATTAGAGAATACAACTATCAAAAATTCATTTATTCATCAAAATTCTATCAGGTCCCTAGTATAGGCAGAGCATTTCATGTTTCCCTCATGTAAGTGTATTTTAGGAGTTGAAAAATCACCATAAAGTTTGCACTTTTTTCTTAAAAGTGAAACTAAAGTCATTGGTATGACAAGACTGACATGAAAAGTTAGTTGCAGGGAAAAAAATTACTCTATTTTATCATTGATATTCCCAAATGTCAAGTGTTATTGCAACTAGGGAGTAGGACTTTTTCCCACAATTAAAAGCTTATCCACAAGACATGCAAGCCAAGTAAAAATCAGACAGCTGACAATACCAAGAGTCCACCTCTAACATTATTCCTGGGAGAAGCGGCTGAATATTTCAGTAGCTGATAATGGATCTGAAAACTAAAAATTTCACCATCTTTTAAAAATGGGCCTATATGATACTACCGGAAAATTACTTCCAGAAATAATTGCCAGTAAAAGCATTCCTAAAATTTACCTTAATATTGTCATTGAATATTGCTTGTTGGAGCAATTTGTAAAAGGATTGAACCAGATAATTTCTTCCCTTATAACTCTAAAGTCACATCTTTGCCCTCGTGCTAAATGATAATGGCACTAACACAGTATGTTATAAGATTTACCAAAGACTGTGTATGTTCTGCCACCTCATCAAGGTTATAGTTATATCAAAGAGAATCTATCTCTTTGGCTTTCTTTTTCCTCCCAATTAATAGACCCTCAATAATATTGTTGTGATTAATTTGATTGATAGCTTAGTTTCTTTTTTAAATATTAGACATATTTTCCCTCAGCCAAAATTGACAGCATATTTTCCAGACTATACTGATCCATGAGAAAGCATGCCCTCACCCTCCTACAACCCTCACCCATTACCCTATATTGAAGAAGTGTAAAGTCCTGGAATATAATAGTTTGTCCCCTTACTTACCACACTTTGCCACTCACCTCACCAAATCCCATCTCTTTCCCTTTCTTTGGTAGTACTTACATGGTCAAAAATGTGGTTTCTATTGCTCTGAAGTTATGTGAGCCTTGAAGAGTTCAAGATGTTCCCATTTGTAGGAAAATTTTCACTTTCTTTTTATTATTATACTTTAAGTTTTAGGGTAGATGTGTACAATGTGCAGGTTAGTTACATATGTATACATGTGCCATGCTGGTGTGCTACACCCATTAACTCGTCATTTAGCATTAGGTATATCTCCTAATACTATCCCTCTCCCCTCCCCCCACCCCACAACAGTCCACAGAGTGTGATATTCCCCTTCCTGTGTCCATGTGTTCTCATTGTTCAATTCCCATCTATGAGTGAGAACGTGCGGTGTTTGGTTTTTTGTCCAATGCATACTTTATAATCATTTGTAACAGCAAAAAGGCTGTAAGTTCTTTTGACTAGCTTCCATGCACATGCTTATAGATCAATAAATATACAGTATTGTCTCACATTGGGGATAGTTTGTAAAACAAACTGCAGATTTTGGAGGAGGGGGTCACTTACTGTGTTCAAAGTTAAGTGATATGTCAAACATAAGGGTTATATAAGACAAGGATCATGACTGCTCAGCTTGGTTTGTTATTTTAATATTTAAATTGACATTTTTCTACAAGTACCTTTAATTATGCTTTAAATCCCTTTAAATCACTGTGACTAATATTTTTTCTGAAGAAATGCCTCAATGGGATAGGATTATTTACTTTTTAAATTTACCTCCTAAAACTCTGAATACCAAAGATAAGGAGACAGAGAAACCAAGAAAACCCTGACGCAAGTGTTTTTGGAGCTCAGTGTATGGTAAGATGCCTTTAAAGCTCTTGGCCCCTTGAAAGTGCACCACTAATAATTACAAAGGGAACAGACTAAACTCTAGTGCCAATACTTATCACACAAGCTCATACTGTTCCTATCAGTAGGATTAATAAGATACACTGAAAATCTATTAGTGATTTCCAAAGTAGATAGACTGGACCCCTGCCTTAATGCTTTTCTAAAGCCATGCGATCAATAAATATTTGTTGAATAAATGAATAAAATAATGAGTCTATGTTGCCCTCAAGGTCCATGTTGTGAAGCTATCTTGTAATTGAGATCCATTTTATGTTGACAGCTTTCTTTCTCTTCAGGAATTGAATCATATTGGATGGAAACTCTAGCTACTGAAGTATTCAGCCATCTCCCCTGGGAATAATGTTAGAGGTAGACTTGGTATTGCTAGATTCCTGACTTTTGTTTGGCTTGCATGTCTTGTGCATGAGCTTTCCTTTGCTGGAAAAAGTTCTACTCCCTACTTACATTTACACTTGACCTTTGGGAATATCAGTGCTAAATAGAGTGATATTTTTCCCTGCAACTAAATTTTTCTGTCTGTATTGTCATACCAGTGACTTTAGTTTCACTTTCAAGAAAAAAATATCAACCCTATGGTGATTTTGCAACCTGTAAAATTAAATTTACATGAGGAAAACAAAACTTTAAATAAAGATCATGGTTAAAAGTTTTAAAAGTGTCTTAAATTAGAAAAATATATAAAACCAAGCATATTTTCTTTTATATGCAACATTTTTCTTTATATGCAATATATAAACATATGCAACATATTTTCTTTATATGCAACATTAGCAAGCTGTGCTCTACCATGGGTTCAGTAATCTGTATTTAGTGATCACTGATTTATCAGGCTGAGAATAAATAATACTAAATTTATTGTTGTTATTAATAAACAATAACAATTCTACTACTGCTTTTACCATTTACACTACTACTAACAACCACTGAGACTTTATTATGAGACAGATACTAAGCTAATTGCCTTCTATTATCACATTTATTCTTCACAAGAAATCTGTGCAATAGGTATTCCTACTCCATATAATAGATAAAGAACTAAGGCCCAAAGAGTAACACTAACTTGCTCAAGATCACGTAAGTATGAAGATATGAAGCCAGTACTCAATTCTGGCTCTATATAATACCACCTATTATCCATTAGTCCATATTGCCCCAGAACATCAACAAGATGATAAAATGCTTCAAAACAAAATGTTAGACTCCCTTTCTAAGCCCAAGATACATGATTTGGGATGGCTGTGGTATCCCAACAGACATTGGTAGCTAAGAGGCCAAGATAGTCCTTGTAGCCCAGTTCTTATTCTTTTGTCTTACCATGCACACCAATGAACAGGACCCGTATTGCTGTCTCTCTGAAACACTGTAGCACAAATTGCTTTCACAACTTCTTTATTGCGAGTAAATTGTTCAGGTAAAACCATCTTTACACTCCACACTCAGTAGATGTGTTGGTAGATAAATCTGTGATATTGTTAAGGCTATTCAGTGGAGCATTGATAACAAATCATCTTGTGTGCTTTCCTGCCCCAAATCGCACATTTGCATCCAGTGAAATCAGGCTCAAAGAAATGGAAAAGAGATTTTAAATGGGCAGCCTCCGTTATATATAAAGAAATAGACTTGGAGAAATATATTCCTAGGCCGTGTTTATGCCTTGGTGCTAGTGGGAGGAGGAAGGCTGAAAACTGATGTTAAGTGAACCCCCCGTGTTTTTTTTTTTTTTTTTTGCATACTTTGGTGAAGGCCACTTCCTTTGTGTCCACCAGCTGAATGACTGTACAGCTGCCAACAACATGTATCCCCCATTTACCTTAACCAGGGACCCAGGGCAGTCACCTTGACTCACTTATCAACCCTAGGGACAGCTGGGGATTTTGCTAATGCAGGATCATTTACAACAATAACAGAATAGCCCGAATTCTAAGAGCCAGCAGCAGATTTCACATTAGTACCTAATGGCTCTGCAGGACAGGACAAACAAACAAATCTGTCAAACCAAAGAATTATCAAACCAAGACCTTGAGGCTCCTCCAGGAAAGGATGCTCAGAGAGTACAGCAGAGAAAGAATCCCTAGGAGGCATTGGCAGCTCTTTTAATTTGATTGCTTTAGAATGAATTCTGCTTGGCCTCACTGGGCCAATTTTATAAAACTTAAAACACTGTACGGAAATTTTAAAAAATAAATTTAGAAAATCTCTTAATTTCCCATGCTGAGTAGGAGGGAGAACAGTAACATAATTTAAAGGGGCTTAGGCATAATTCTAAGTAATTTACATTTGGCTTGGAAACACATTCTGTAATATTTTTTTTCTTCTGTGGACTCACCTTAGTTTTTGTTCAGACTAATATCTGAAGTAGTTGGAAGTCCCTGGATACACACCAACTGGCATAGTGAAGAGAACCTAGAAGCACGGGCTTAACCCAGAATCTAGGATGTACCATCTGCTGTAGATAAACTATAAAGGGGATTAACTTCACACAGTTATTCTGGGCTTGACTGTATTGCTACACTCATGCAATTTCTCTTTCCACAGCCTAAATATCACACTAAAAATTAGGTTCATTTCTGCACTTTAAAAATGATATTGATAGTTATGTATATGCTAATTATAAAAATCACAAGTGTTCTTTATAGAAAATTTAGAAGGTATATCAATAATGAAGAAGAAATTAAAAATTACCTATGCTTCTAGAATTTAAAGACAGGAGATGTTAATATTTCATTATATTTTTGGACAGTTTTCATATGTAATTATAAATACAGATCATAAACGAGATTTAACTGTATATTTAATCTTTTATTCCTATTTCATTTAATAGTTTATTATGAACATTTTCCATGTAGTTAAACATCCTTCACAAGCAAACTGGATAATGTGTGTTCTTTAACCACTTGAATATACCATAATTTATTTAATCTTTCCACTTTTCTTGGACATTTAGGCTGTGTCTAATTTTTCAATAACATAATGATTATTATTGTAAATAAATTTCAAACTACATCTCTGCTATTTCCTTGAAGTAGGGTCTAAAATATGAATATTATGATAATAATGAGAGTATATTTGTTAAGCCTCTTGATGACATTGTTATACTGCTTTCCAGAAAGTCTGTATAATCTTACAACCATCCAAGCAGTATATAAAATTGTTTATCTCACCATATAATCCAAGATCTAGAACATACATGTATGTGAATATTTTAAATTGAAAATAGGATTCCAATTATTATCATTTTATTTATTTGATTTGGGTTAAGATTTAGTTTGATAGGATGATACTGGTGTTTTTTCTTGAGTTATCTACTCAGTTACTTTGCCAGCTTTTGATTTGGGGTGTTAATTTTTGCATTATTAATTTATACTATTTCTGTATATGTCAAGGATATAATCCCTTCATCTGCCATATTTGTTGCAAATTTTACGCCAGCTTCTTTGAGGAATAATTTACACACAATAAAATTCACGTATTTAAGTATAAACTTAGATAAGTTCTGATAATGGTCAGTTGTGTAACCATCACTAAAATCAATATTGTCTTGATGTAAATATCACACTGTCTTGAATGCTGTAACTTTATAGTGTATCTTAAAATATAATATTTTATGTCTTCCAATTTATTTCAAAATTTTGTTTTGCTCTTCTAAGTCTTTTGTATTTCCTACAAATTCTAGAATCAGCTTGTCAATTTCTACAATTAAAAAACCTACTTGAAATTTGGCTGGAATTGCATTGAATCTATAGATCCATTTGGGGAGAATTGACCTGTTAACAGTAACTCTTCCACTCCAAGAACAAGATATATTTCTCCATTTATTTGAATAATCTTTAATTGCTCTCATGTTTTATAGTTTTCAGTATATAAAATAACATGTTTTATTAAATATATTTCTAATTATTTTATATTTTTATGCTACTGAAAATATCATTTCTTAGGGGAGAAGCCTTCAGCTTTTTACTGTCAAGTATAAGGTTAGCTGTAGATTTTTTATATATGCCATTTATCAGGTTGAGGAAGTTTCCCAGTTTGCTGAGAGGTGTTTTTTTTTTTAAATCATTAGGGTATTAAATTGTATTAAATGACTTTATGTATATATTGATTTTTTAATATATTTTGGTCTGTTCTTATAGTGAATTTCTTATTGATTTTCACAGTGTTGTAATAACACTGCATGGCATAAATCCCACGTGGTCATGAGATATCATTTTAATACACTTTTAATTCATTTTGTTAAATTCTGTGTGTATGATCATAAGCAATATTGATATGTACTTTTTATTTCTTGAAATATCTCCTTCTGGATTTGAAATTCAGTGATACGGACTTCATAAGTTGGGAAGTTCTCATTTCTCTTCTATTTTTGGAAGAATTTGAACATAATTGGTATTATTTTTTCTTAAATTTTAGGGAAATTAACCAATGGAGCCATATTAGGTATGAAGGTTTCTTTGTGGGAAGGTTTTAACTAAGAATTCAATTTTTTTTGTTTTTTTTTTTTTGAGACGGAGTGTCGCTCTGTCGCCCAGGCTGTAGTGCAGTGGTGTGATCTCGGCTCTCTGCAACCTCCGTCTCCCAGGTTCAAGCGATTCTCCTGCCTCAGCCTCCCGAGTAGCTGGGACTACTGGCGCGTGACATCACTCCCGGCTAATTTTTTGCATTTTTAGTAGAGACGGGGTTTCACCGTGTTAGCCAGGATGGTCTCGATCTCCTCACCTCGTGATCCCCCTGCCTCGGCCTCCCAAAGTGCTAAGATTACAGGCGTGAGCTACGGCGCCCGGCCAAGAATTCAATTTTTTAAATTGATGCAAGGATACTCAGGTTATCTGGTTTTTCTGCATAAGCCTTGTTAGTTTGCATCTTTCAGAGAATTTGACTATTTTATCTAAGTTGTTATTTATTAGCATAAAGTTGTTTATAACATCCCATCCTTTTAGTGCCTGTTGACTATGTAGTGATATCTCCTCTTTCTTGTTTCATATAAATCATGTTTCTTCTTCTTTTTCCTTTTCAGTATGTCTAGAGTTTTATGAATTACATTTATCTTTTCAAAAATTTGTTTTACTAATTTATTTTCTTGATTTCTGTTTCATTTATTTCTGCTCTTTATTCTCTCATTCTTTGTTCTTACTTGGGGTTTACTTTATTTTTCTTTTACTAGTTTCTCAAGATGGAAGCTTAAATCATTGATTTGAGAACTCTGCATAATATAATCGTTTAATATGTAAATTTCACTCTAAGTACTGCTTTTGCTGTATCATACAAACCTTGACATGTTTTTCATTTTAATTCAGGTCAGGTGAAGATACTCTCTAATTTGTCTTATGATTTCTCCTTTGCCCCATAGATTATTTAGAAGTATGTTGTTACAGTTCTAAATATGGTCCTTTTGGTGACTATTCCATCTGCACTTGAAAAGAAGGTGCTGCTGTTGTGTGGAGAAATTTTAAAATATCAGCTGGATGAAGTTAGTTGAATACGTTGTTCAAGTCTTCTATTTTTTTTCTGATTTTTTGTCTACTTGTTCTATTAATTATCTGAGAGAAGAGTGTGAAATCTCCATCTGAAATGGTGGATTTGTCTATCTCTCTTTTCCATTCTGTTAGTTTTTACTTTCTGTTTTGTAGCTCTATTATTTAGTGAATGAAGGTTAGACTTGTTATGTTCCCTTAATGAAATGATTATATTATCATCATGAAATGCCCTCCTTTATCGCTGATAATATTCCTTGCTCTGAAATCTATTTTGTGTGATACTAATATTATCATTGCAGCTTTTTCAAAATTTGTGTTTTATGGTATGTCTCGTTTCATCCTTTTATTTTTAAGCTTTATTTCTTTATGTGTAACATGTTTCCTGAGGACAGTACATAGTTGTTTCTGTTTTTTTTTTTCTTGTCTCACTTGATATGTTGTCGTTTCTGCTTTGTATAGTCAATTGTCTTCAAAAGCATTAAATAGGAGGAAAGAAAACCTGGAATTTATGCAAATATTTACCATTTTGCTGACTATAAAATTCTAGGTTGACAGCCTTTTTATCAGCAGCTAAAATATGCTCTACCATATTGTGTCTTGCATAATTTCTGAATATTATGTCTTTTTTATCTTCTTTTGAGAGTCTTGATCACTGGTGTTCAGCAATATGATTAAAGGTTTTGAGAAATGTGGAAATCTTCAATCATCATTTTTTTTCAATGTTTTTTGTTCTCTCATTCTTTCCTCTTCTGGAGCTCCAATTAAATGAAATGTATATAGCATTTTTTATATCATCACACCAACACATTTACCTTTTTCAGTCTTTCGTCCTTCTGTATGATTCCTTTTAGATCACTATTTTTTTTTCCTTTGGAGTGTTTAATCTACTGGTAAACTCATCCTAAATAATACAATTTCATTTCAGATATTGTATTTTTAATTCCTGGAGATTCTGCTTGTATCTTTTTACATATCTCCTGTCTTTCCTCATGTTCATGTTTTATGATTTTAAATATATTGAATATTTTTATAATAACAGCTTTACTGTCCTTGTGTGTTAATTCTATAATTTGGATTTTAATATGTTTCTATTGATTGATTTTTCTTGTGGTTATGCTCATTTTTTTTACTTCTTTTGATGTTGTTGATTGTGAATTTTATGTTCCTAGGTACTAGAGTTTGTTGTTTCTTTTGCATGTTGTCAGACTCAGTTGAGGGATGCAGTTTTTTTATTACTTTTTTTTTTTAATTTAAGTTCTGGACTACATGTGCAGGATGTGCAGGTTTGTTACATAGGTAAACGTGTGCCATGGTGGTTTGCTGCACCTGTCAACCCATCACCTAAGTATTAAGCCCAGCATGTGTTAGCTCTTTTCCTAATGCTCTCCCCCACCTGCTGTCCCACAACAGCCCCCAGTATGTGTTGTTCCCCTCCCTGTGTCCATGTGTTCTCATTGTTCAACTCCCACTTATAAGTGAGAAATGTGGTGTTTGGCGTTCCATTCTGGCATTAGTTTGCTGAGGTTAATAGCTTCCAGCTTCATCCATGTCCCTGCAAAAGACATGATCTCATTCCCTTTTTATGGCTGCATAGTATTCCATGGTGTATATGTTACCACATTTTCTTTACCCAGTCTATCATTTATGGGCATTTTGGTTGATTTTATGTCTTTGCTATTGTGAATAGTGCTGCAATGAACATATGCATGTGTGTATCTTTATAATAGTATGATTTATATTCCTTTGGGTATACACCCAGTAATGGGATTGCTGGGTAGAAAATCTTTGCAATACCATTAAGGACATAAGCATTGAGCAAAGATTTTATAATGAAATCGCCAAAAGCAATTGCAACAAAAATAAAAATTAATAAATGGGATCTAATTAAACTAAAGAGCTTCTGCACAGCAAAAGAAACTACCATCAAAGTGAACAAACAACATACAGAATGGGAGAAAATTTTTGCATTCTACCCATATGACAAAGGTCTAATATCCAGAATATACAAGAAACTTAAGCAAATTTATAAGAAAAAAGCAAACCACCCCATTAAAAAGTGGGCAAAGGACATGAACAGACATTTCCCAAAAGAAGACATTTATGTGGCCAACAAACAGAAAAAAAAGCTCAGCATCACTGATCATTAGAGAAATGCAAATATAAACCACAGTGAGATACCATCTCACACCAGTCAGAATGGCAATTTTTAAAAAGTCAAGAAGCAATAAATGCTGGGGAGGTTACAGAGAAATAGGAACACTTTTACACTGTTGGTGAGAATGTAAATTAGCTTAACCATTGTTGAAGACAGTATGGGGATTCCTCAAAGATTTAGAAGTAGAGGGATGCAGTTTTAACTTGGAGTCAGTACCCTTCTTTTCAGGATTAATCTTGAAATTTTGGTTTATGCCCAGAGAAGCTTTTGCCTAGGTTTAATCTGTACCTGTGATTAAGGCAATACCCTCCTGAGAACTCTATCTGATGATACATAGGTGAGCAGGAATTTCCATTCTGGCTCATAGGAACACACACTATATCCAGCCTAGTGTATGCTGCAAAGACTTTTCTGCCTGCTCCATTTTGGTGGTTGGTTCTTTTTTTGCTTCATATAGTTTCCTTCCATGCATGCATAGACCAGTGCTTGGCCAAAAACTTGAGAGGAACCGCCTACAAACTTCTAGAATTCTGTGCATGTGCACATGTCTTTGTGTGTGCAGCTCTCTCTTCTCTGGTATTTAAATAAAAAATTATATATGCCTTGGCCTCCTCAAATTCTGAATTCTGGTTCCTCAATTTAGAGAAAGTACTGATCTCTCTTGGGGTTCCCTTTCCTTGTTTCTCAACCTGGATGCTCTCCTCAGGCAGGAAGCTGGACAATTATAAGGCTCATCTAATTTCACTTATTTTCCCAGAGATCATTACCCTGTTCTGTCTCTTGTAAAATATATGAAAACTCTCAGGGCATATATTTTCTATAGTCCTCCCTGTATTTAAGGCAGGAAGTTAAATCTGGCCCTATTACTTTATCATGGACAATAGTAGTAGTCCTGTATTCCTTCTTGAATCAAAATTAATATATACTTTTCTATAAATTTTTCCATTTCTTCTAATTTATTGATAAGCTAATTAATAATTTTATCTTTATCTTTTAATTCTGCTTTTCTATAGTTAGGTCTACTTTTCTATTTATAAGAAATATATATGTGACTTTTTGTTTTCCTTGACTATTCTTTCCAAAGTTCTGTATTGTTTGTTAGACTGTTCAATGAAACAAATTTGCTTTCTTTGAGCCTTTTATTTGTTTTTTCTGTTTACTTGACTTTTCTGTTATTGTTACTATTTTCTAATATTATTTTTACTTTCTTCAATTTTTAATAGTTTACTATCTTCTGCTTTCTCTTAGTTTATTCTGTTGTTT